>NC_000005.10:68859807-69484807 GCF_000001405.40 Homo sapiens
CAAAAATAAACTATATTTCTATATGCTGGCAACAAAAAATCACAAATTGAAAAAAAATTATCATTTGTAAACCATCCAAACAAATGAAATACTTGAGGATAATTCTGACAAAAGATTCTGCAAGGCCTGCACTGAAAATGATAAAACATTGCTAGGCTAATTTTAAAAGATCCAAATAAAAAACATATCCATGAGTTGGAAGACTCAGTAATGTTAGGGTGCTAATTCTCTCCAAATGATCTAGAGTCAATGCAATTCCTATCAAAATTCCAGAAATTAGCAAACTAAAATTCATATGAAAGTGCAAGGGACAGAATAGCCAAAACAATCTGACAAAAAAAGAACAAAGTTGGAGGACTAACAGCACCTATTTTCAAGGTTTACCCTAAGCTAGTAATCAAAACACTCTGCTATTGGTGTAAAGATAGACAAATAGATTAATGGAACAGAATAAAGAATACAGAAATTGACCCATAAATATGTGGATTTTTTAATGGGCAAAGGCAATTTGGTAGAGAAAGAATAGTCTTTTCAACAAAGGGCACTGGAATTATTAAATTACTATATGAGGAGGAGGAAGAGAAGAAGGAGGAGGAAGAGGAAGAACTTTAGTCCATACTTCACACTATGTACAATAATGGTTCATACACCTAAAACTATATGAAAATAAACCTACTACTGTGAAACTTCTGGAAGAAATCATATAAAATTTTTGTGATCTTGAGTTAGACAAAGATTTCTTAAATATGATGCCAAAAGCACTATTCATAAAAGGAAAAAAAATCAATATATTAGACTTCATCAAAACTAAAAACATCTGCTCCTTAAAGGACACTGTTACCTGGGTGACAAAATGATATGTACAAATCCCCATGGCACATGTTTCCCTATATAGCAAACCTTCACCTGTACCTCCAAACCTAAAATAAAAATTAAATAAATAAATAAAAGACACTGTTAGGTAATTAAAAGACAAATCACAGACTGGAAGAAAATATTTACAGTCTGTTAAAGGACTTTTAACCAAAATATGTAAAGAACTCTCAAAATCAATAAGAATACAAGCAACTCAATAAAAGGGGGCAAAAGATTTGAACAAAGAAGATATATGGGTGGCAAATAAGCACATATTCAACATCATTAATCACTAAGGACATAAACATTAAACCCACACTGATGTACCACTACATACCTATTTGAATGGCTAAAATTAGAAAAACTGAGCATACCAAGTGCTAGTGAGGATGTGGAGCAAATGGAACATTCACACACTTCAAGTGGGAGTGGAAGATAGTACAATCACTTTGGAAAACAGTTTGGCAGTTTCATAAATAAACATATACCTACCAGATCATCCAGCAATTATGTTCCTAAGTATTTACCCAAAGGCACATATCCATAAAAAGACATGAATATAAATGTTCCTAGCAGCTTTATTTAAATAGTCAAAAACTGGAAACAACTCAAATATCTACCAACAGATAAACACTCTGTGGTATATCCATACAATGGAATACTACTCAGCAGTAAAAAAGGATAAACTATTGATGTATGAAAAACCATGAATTTCAAAATAATTATTCTGAGTAAAAGGAGCCCAGCCCCTACCCCTCAAAAAAAGAGTACATACTGAATCATTCCATTTACATAAAATTCTAAAAAATACTAACTAATCTATAATAACAGAAATCAGATCAACTGTTGCCTGGGGACAATAGAACAAGGAAAGGAGTTTAAAAGATTCAAGAAAACTTTTGAAAGTGCTGGATCTGCTCATCATCATGATTGTGATAATGTCTCACAGGTGCATACATGTCAAAATGCACCCAACTGTATACTTTAAATATGTGTACTTTATCTGCCAGTGCTACTGTGTCAATTATACTTTGATAAAGCTGTTCATATAAAACTGAAAAAGTTCAAAAGGAAGTATTTAGGAAGGATAATTAATTTTATTGGGTCTAGTCTCTGCAGTGTCATATGTAAACAGTTGTTTGACAGCTGAGAATTAAATCACAACAGTCTTAATCTTTAGTGAGGCTGTTGAAAAACATTAAATGTAACCCAATTCATAACCTATAACAAACACCTTCAATTCACTATCTCCTCATCTTATTTATCTTTCATAGATGCCCAGGGCTGCCCCTAAAAGACTCTCTTTCCTTCTCTAAACACCCCAAATTCTCTCTTCCTCAGCCTTGCCCTGGAAACTGACTGTGGTCATTTTCCCCATCTTTCCCCTCCCTTCCTAGAAGTATTCTCCAGTTACTCTATCGCTGCCTCGCCCAGCACCTTTATTCTTCTCAATTCTGATCTACTCCTTCTAGCTCAGCATTTTTCTATCTATTATCCTAAGCAGCATAACTGAAACCCCAGAGGCCAAAAAGTAAAATAATCTTCTCTGGAAGCAGAATGAGTAGAGGCAGAGAGGAATGCTGGGTGGTGGAAGGGAATCTCTTATTTTAAAAAGAAAAGATTGGTCCCAAGATCCTGGTCCCCTCTCTGCTCAGAGATCCTCTCCCTGCTCACGTCTCTCCTCATTCATTCTCACAGGCAAAGAGACTCGGTTTTCCTCCATTCAGTCTTCTCATTCTGACTCTAAACTGCATCCCTATCCCTGAAACACAATGCCCCTTCCCAGCACACAATGCCCATCCTCTTTCTACTGCTGTTTTAGGCTTCTTTTTTTTTTTTTTTTTTTTTTTTGCCTCTTCTCAACCCCCCGCAAGCCACTAGAAGAGAAATGACCCATTTCATCATTTTAAATAGCTCCCTTTTCACATGTATCTTTGGACTTGTAGATGATGCAAATTCTTTATGAATTTAAATTTTAAAGGCTCTGTTTGTTAAATGTTTGTCCATTTGTCTGCATTGAGTTAATATAATTAACCTGTCTCTCTGCAGCACTGCTCTCTGTAGAAGACAGTAAAGTCTGTTGCATCACTTCTTCCAGGTTTCGTATCACAGTGGCTGCAGGGTTTGCCCACAATGAACACGCAACTGTCTGCCACCGCTTCACCCACTCCTCCCACTTGTCTCACTCTCCTCCTCCTGCTTCATGTTCCAACATTATCAAACCACCTATCGTCCTCAACTTTACGTCCCTGGAACACCATCACCTGGGAATTACCCTCTGCCTAAAGCAGAGGTCAGCAAACTTTTTCTGTAAAGGACCATACACAAATATTTCTGGCTTCACAGCCCATGTGGTCTCTGTGCCAACTACTCCGTTCTGCCATCATTGCACAAATGCAGCCACAGGCTATACATAACTGAATTGAGTGTGGCTGAGTTACAATAAATCTTTATTTCCAAAAACAGCCAACAGATTTGGCCTGTGGGTCTTATTTTGCCAAACCTTGATCTAAAACGTCCTCCCTTCCCAATCTCCACCTGACCACCTCCTAGTTCTCCTACAAGACTAAGCACATTACCTTCTGGAGAGTGCTTTCTCCTATGACTGGTCAGGTTCATCCTTTCTTTGTACTCTCATAGGAATATATATGGAATATATTTTGTAGAGGCAAGAAAAGTTTCTTCCCAAAGATTCATGGTTTCTTCCATAAGGAAGGAGCTCTGCTATCATAACACTACTGGCCTTTCTCTACTCCTACTTACTCCTCTCCATGGGAGATGGAGCAGCTTGGAGGAGTCTAGCTCCTTCTCTCACTCGTGGGAGCAAACTGGCCACAGAGAATATGTATTTCTCCTGCTTTTCCATGCCACAGAGGGCACTCTCTGACACTCCTGGGGAAGGCTTGTCTGCCAGTACTACTGTGTTCGGACACATAAGTCTGTCTTACTCCAGAGTTCTCCATTATCAGTTTAACCAGTAACAACAGTAATATTTTTATCTCCATATATCTTACTTCCTGATTACCTCTTAATTGGTTCAGAACTCTAGAGGGAAACAGAAATGCTATTTATAAGGCCCCACTGAACCCCAACATACACCAGTAGCCACGTTTTCAGCATTTTGCTCAGGAATTTTCTTTGTGTATCTTCTATCACCTCAGTTCAGTGATTACCCAAGTGGACTTCAGTCATCTGGAGAGTCTTCCAATTGTCACAAACTGATCCAGAAATGCAAATCTTTCTTTCATACTGACAGCAAATGACACCATTCTGTAAGCTTTTATTTTTACCTACAATCGAATACTGCTTACTAATAACCTGTTGAGTACTATAGTCTGGATATGTTTGTTCCCCAAACCTCATGTGGAAATTTGATCCCCAATGTTGGAGGTGGAGCTTGGGTTATGGGGGTGGAGCCCTCATGAATGGCTTGGTTCATCCTCAGGGTAATGAGTAAGTTCTCACTCTCATTTCTGCAGGAGTTGGTTGTTAAAAAGAGCCAGCACCTCCTCTTTCTCTCTTTCTAGCCATGAGATCTCTGCATATACCAGCTACCCTTTTTCTGCTGCCATGTGTGGAAGCTGCCTGAGTCCCTCACCAGGAAAAGATGATGGCTCCATGCTTCTTGTACAGCCTGCAGAACCCTGAGCTAAATAAACCTCAAATTACCCAGCCTTAAATATTCCTCTATGGCAACACAAATGGACTAAGACAGTGAGTTAGCAGTAGTTTCTAAACTGAAAGTACTAATAGAGTTTACTAAATATTTAATTACATATTCAGTTAAGAAATCTGGCAGCCACACTTTTGGAAATCCTGTCAAACTTTTATTAAGCATGAGTACATAAGGCAGAATTTCAGTAGTTTTCAGGAAAGACAATTTGTGAATAGTGTTATCACTGATGCTGTCTTCAATTGATCATGGTTTTCAACCACTGTTATTCAAAATTATCCCACCTGTTCTCAGTAGAAAATCACTCAGTAATAGCAAATTGAAAATTCAAAAATATTTTAAATGACCCAGCAGTTCCAATTCTGTGGAATATGCTCCAAAAAAATAGTTGGCAATGTTCATCAAAAGACATGTATAAGAATGTTCATAACACAGCTTTGTCTTGTAATAGCTAAAAATTGCTAACAACCCAAATACCCATCATAGAATAATAAATAAATGGTGGAATATTTATAAAGTTGACTATTACACAGCAATGAAAAAGAACAAACTACTTTTACATACTTTTGTATGGAGCAACATGGGTGAATCTCACACACATAAAGATGAGCAATGGATTGCCGGCAACATGGCAGAAGAGGAACAGATCCAGGCTGCAGCTCCCAGTGAGACCAACACAGAAGGCAGGTGATTTCTGTATTTCCAACTGAGGTACCTGGTTCATCTCACTGGAACTGGGTAGACAGTGGGTGCAGCCCATAGAGAGTGGGCAGAAGCAGAGTGGGCAGAAGCAGGGTGGGATGTTGCTTCACCCAGGAAATGCAAGGGGTCGGGGAACTCCCTCCCCTAGCCAAGGGAAGCCATGAGGAATTGTGCTGCGAGGAATGGTGCATTCCAGCCCAGATAGTATGCTTTTCCCATGGTCTTCACAACCCACAGACCAGGAGATTCCCTCAGGTGCCTACACCACCAGGGCCGAGGGTTTCCAGCACAAAACTGGGCGGCCATTTGGGCAGACATCAAGCTAGCTGCAGGAGTTTTTTTGTACACCATTGGCACGTGGAACGCCAGCGAGACAGAACCGCTCACTCCCCTGGAAAGGTGGCACTGAAGCCAGGGAGCCGAGTGGTCTAGCTCAGCGGATCCCACCCCCATGGAGCCCAGCAAGCTAAGATCCACTGGCTTGAAATTCTCGCTGCCAGCACAGCAGTCTGAAGTCAACCTGGGATGCTCGAGCTTTGTGGGGGGAGGGGCATCCACCATTACTGAGGCTTGAGTAGGTCGTTTTCCCCTCACAGTGTAAACAAAACCACTGGGAAGTTCGAACTGGGCAGAGCCCACCACGGCACCACAAACCCGCTGTAGCCAGACTGCCTCTCTAGATTCCTCCTGTCTGGGCAAGGCATCTCTGAAAGAAAGGCAGCAGTGCCAGTCAGGGGCTTATAGATAAAACTCCCGTCTCCCTGGGATAGAGCATCTGGGGAAAGGGGCAGCTGTGGGTGCAGCTTCAGCGGACTTAAACGTTTCTGCCTGACAGCTCTGAAGAGAGCAGCAGATCTCCCAGCACAGTGCTCGAGCTCTGCTAAGGGACTTACTGCCTCCTAAAGTGGGTCCCTGATCCCCATGCCTCCTGACTGGGAGATACCTCCCAGCAGAGGTCTACAGACACCTCATACAGGAGTGGTCCGGCTGGCATCTAGTGGGTGCCCCTCTGGGATGAAGCTTGCAGAGGAAGGAGCAGGCAGCAATCTTTGCTGTTCTGCAGCCTCCACTGGTGATACCCAGACAAACAGGGTCTGGAGTGGACCTCCAGCAAACTCCAGCAGAGCTGCAGAAGAGGGGCTTGACTGTTAGAAGAAAACCAACAAAAAGAAAGCAATAGCATCAACATCAACAGAAAGGACACCCATGCAAAAACCCCATCTGAAGGTTGCCAACATCAAAAAGCAAAGGTAGATAAATCCACAAAGATGAGGAAAAACCAGTGCAAAAAAAAACCCTGAAAATTCCAAAAACCAGAACACATCTTCTCCAAAGGATCACAACTCCTGGCCAGCAGGGGCACAAAACTGGACAGAGAATGAGTTTGATGAATTGACAGAAGTAGGCTTCAGAAGGTGGGTAATAACAAACTCCTCCGAGCTAAAGGAGCATGTCCTAACCCAATGCAAGGAAGCTAAGAACGTTGAGAAAAGATTAGACAAATTGCTAACTAGAATAACCAGTTCAGAGAAGAACATAAACAACCTGATGGAGCTGAAAAACACAGCACAAGAACTCCATGAAGCATACACAAGTATCAATAGCTGAATTGATCAAGCGGAAGAAAGGATATCAGAGACTGAAGATCAACTTAATGAAATAAAACGTGAAGACAAGGTTAAAGAAAAAAGAATGAAAAGGAATGAACAAAGTCTCCAAGAAATATGGGACTATGTGAAGAGATCAAACCTAAGTTTGGTGCACCTGAAAGTGATGGGGAGAATGGAACCAAGTTGGAAAACACACTTCAGGATATTATCCAGGAGAACGTCCCCAACCCAGCAAGACAGGCCAACATTCAAATTCAGGAAACACAGAGAACACCACTAAGATACTCCTCGAGAAGAGCAACCCCAAGACACATAATCGTCAGATTCACCAAGGCTGAAATGAAGGAAAAAATGTTAAGGGAAGCCAGAGAGAAAGGTCAGGTTACCCACAAAGGGAAGCCCGTCAGACTAACAGCAGATCTCTAGGCAGAAACCCTACAAGCCAGAAGAGAGTGGGGACCAAATTCAACATTCTTAAAGAACAGAATTTTCAACCCAGAATTTCATATCCAGCCAAACTAAGCTTCATAAGTGAAGGAGAAATAAAATCCTTTACAGACAAATGAATGTTGAGGGATTTTGTCACCACCAGGCCTGCTTTACAAGAGCTCCTGAAGGAAGCACTAAATATGGAAAGGAAAAACTGGTACCAGCCACTGCAAAAACATACCAAAATGTAAAGACCATCAATATTATGAAGAAACTGCATCAATGAATGGGCAAAATAATCAGCTAGCATCATAATGACAGGATCAAATTCTCATATAACAATATTAACCTTAAACGTAAATGAGCTAAATGCTCCAGTTAGAAGACACAGACAGGCAAATTGGCTAAAGAGTCAAGACCCATCATTGTGCTGTATTCAGGAGACGCATTTCACGTGCAAAGACACAAAATAAAGGGACGGAGGAATAGTTACCAAGCAAATGAAAAGCAAAAAAAAAAAAAAAAGCAGGGGTTGCAGTCCTAGTCTCTGATAAAACAGACCTTAAACCAACAAAGATCAAAAAGGACACAGAAGAGTATTACAAAATGGTGAAGAGATCAATGCAACAAGAAGAGCTAACTATCCTAAATATATATGCACCAAATACAGGAGCACCCAGATTCATAAAGCAAGTTCTTAGAGACCTACAAAGAGACTTAGACTCCTGCACAATAATAGTAGGAGACTTTAACACCCCACTGGCAATATTAGACAGATCAACGGGACAGAAACTTAACAAGGATATCTAGGACTTGAACTCAGCTCTGGACCAAGCAGACATAATAGACATCTATAGAACGCTCCACCCCAAATCAACAGAATATACATTCTTCTCAGCACGACATTGCACTTATTCTAAAATTGAACACATAATTGAAAGTAAAACACTCCTCAGCAAATGCAAAACAGAAATCATAACAAACAGTCTCTTAGACCACAGTGCAATCAAATTAGAACTCAGGATTAAGAAATTCACTCAAAACGGCACGACTACATGGAAACTGAACAACCTGCTCCTGAATGACAACTGGGTAAATAAAAAAATTAAGGCAGAAATAAATAACTTCTTTGAAACCACGGAGAACAATCACACAACATACCAGAATCTCTGGGACACAGCCAAAGCAATGTTTAGGGGAAATTTATAGCACTGAATGCCCATAGGAGAAAGAGGGAAAGATCTAAAATTGACAACCTAACATCACAATTAAAAGAACTAGAGAAACAAGAGCAAACCAATTCAAAAGCTAGTAGAAGACAAGAAATAACTAAGATCAGAGCAGAACTGAAGGAGATGGAGACACGAAAAACCCTTCGAAAAGAATCAATGAATCCAGGAGCCGGTTTTTTTTAAAGATTAACAAAAATAGATACACTGCTAGCCAGACTAATAAAGAAGAAAAGAGAGAAGAATCAAATAGACACAATAAAAAATAATAAAGGGGATATATCACCACTGATCCCACAGAAATACAAACTACCATCAGATAATACTATAAACACCTCTATGCAAATAAACTAGAAAATCTAGAAGAAATGGATAAATTCCTGGACACACACACCCTCGCAAGACTAAACCAGGAAGAAGTTGAATCCCTGAATAGGCCAATAACAAGTTCTGAAATTGAGGCAGTAAATAATAGCCTTCCAACCAATAAAAGCCCAGGACAAGACAGATTCACAGCCAAATTCTACCACAGGTACAAAGAAGAGCTGGTATCATTCCTTCTGAAATTACTCCAAACGATAGAAAAAGAGGGACTCCTCCATAAGTCATTTTATGAGGCTAGCATCATCCTGATACCAAAACCTGCCAGAGACACACAAAAAAAAGAAAATTTCAGGCCAATATCCCTGATGAACATTGATGCAAAAAATCCTCAATAAAATACTGGCAAACTGAATCCAGCAGCATATCAAAAAGCTTATCCACCAAGATCAAGTCAGCTTCATCCTGGGATGCAAGGCTGGTTCAATACACACAAATCAATAAATGTAATCTATCACATAAACAGTACCAATGACAAAAACCACTTGATTATCTCAATAGATGCAGAAAAGGCCTTCAACAAAATTCAACAGCCTTTCATGCTAAAAACTCTTAGTAAACTAGGTATTGATGGAATGTATCTCAAAATATTAGGAGATATTTATGACAACCCCCAACCAATATCAGACTGAATGGGCAAAAACTGGAAGCATTCCCTTTCAAAAAGAGCACAAGACAAGGATGCCCTCTCTCACCACTCCTATTCAACATAGTATTGGAAGTTCTGGTCAGGGCAGTCAGGCAAAAGAAAGAAATAAGGGGTATTCACATAGGAAAAGAGGAAGTCAAATTGTCTCTGTTTGCAGATGACGTGATTGTATACTTAGAAAACCCCATCATCTCAGCCCAAAATCTTCTTAAGCTGATAACTAACTTCAGCAAAGTCTCAGAATACAAAAATCAATGTGCAAAAATCACAGGCATTCCTATACACCAATAATAGACAAACAGAGAGCCAAATCATGAGTGAATTCCCATCACAATTGCTACAAAGAGAATAAAATACCTGGGAATACAACTTACAAGGGATGCGAAGGACCTCTTCAAGGAGAACTGCAAACCACTGCTCAAGGAAATAAGAGAGGACACAAACAAGTGGAAAAACATTCCATGCTTATGGATAGGAAGAATCAATATCGTGAAAATGGCCATGCTGCCCAAAGTAATTTATAGATTCAATGCTATCCCCATCAAGCTACCATTGACTTTCTTCACAGAATTGGAAAAAACTACTTTAAATTTCATATGGAACCAAAAAAGAGCCCACATAGCCAAGACAATCCTAAGCAAAAAAAACGAAGCTGCAGGCATCATACTACCTGACTTCAAACTACATTACAAGGCTACAGTAACCAAAACAGCCAGTTTCCGTTACCAGTACTGGTACCAAAACAGATATATAGGCCAATGGAACAGAACAGAAGCCTCAGAAATAATACCACACAGCTACAACCATCTGATCTTTGACAAACCTGACAAAAATAAGCAATGGGGAAAGGATTCCCTATTCAATAAATGGTGTTGGGAAAACTAGCTAGCCATAGGCAGAAAACTGAAACTGGACCCCTTCCTTACACCTTATACAAAAATTAACTCAAGATGGATTAAAGACTGAAACATAAGACCTAAAACCATAAAAACTCTAAAAGAAAACCTAAGCAATACCATTCAGGACATAGGCATGGGCAAAGACGTCATGACTAAAACACCAAAAGCAATCACAACAAAAGCCAAAATTGACAAATGGGATCTACTTAAACTAAAGAGCTTCTGCCCAGCAAAAGAAACTACTATCAGAGTGAACAGGCAACCTACAGAATGGGAGAAAATTTTTGCAATCTATCCATCTGACAAAGGACTAATATCCAGAATCTACAAGGAACTTAAACAAATTTACAAGAAAAAAACAAACAAACCCATCAAAAAGTGGGCAAAGGATATGAACAGACACTTCTCAAAAGAAGACATTTATGCAGCCAACAAACATAAGAAAAAAAACTCCTCATCACTGGTCATCAGAGAAATGCAAATCAAAACCACAATGAGATACCATCTCATGCCAGTTAGAATGGTGATCATTAAAAAGTCAGGAAACAACAGATGCTGGAGAGGATGTGGAGAAATAGGAACTCTTTTACACTGTTGGTGGGAGTGTAAATTAGTTCAACCATTGTGGAAGACAGTGTGGCGATTTCTCAAGGATCTAGAACCAGAAATACCATTTGACCCAGCAATCTCATTACTGGGTATTTTCCCAAAGGATTATAAATCATTCTACTACAAAGACACTTGCACACATATGTTTATTGCAGCATTATTCATAATAGCAAAGGCTTGAAACCAACCCAAATGTCCAACAATGATAGACTGGATAAAGAAAATGTGGCACATATACACCATGGAATACTATGCAGCCATAAAAAGAATGAGTTCATGTCCTTTGCAGGAACGTGGATGAAGCTAGAAACCATCATTCTCAGCAAACTAACACAGGAACAGAAAACCAAACACCGCATGTTCTCACTCATAAGTGAGAGTTGGACGATGAGAACGTATGGGCACAGGGAGGGGAACATCACACACCAGGGCCTGTCAGGGGGTAGAGGGCACAGGAAGGGATAGCATTAGACGAAGTACCTAATGTAGATGATGGGCTGATAGATGTAGCAAACCACCATGGCACATGTATACCCATGTAACAAGCCTGCACGTTCTGCACATGTATCCAAGAACTTAAAGTATAATAATAATAAAAAGATAAGCAAAAGAAGCCAGATACAAAAGATATAATATCATGTGATTCCATTTATACGAAGATTCAACTTATATGAATTTATATGAAGTGTATTAGTTATAGACAAAACTAGTCTGTCGCTGTAGAAGTCAAAGTAGTGATTATCTCTGCTGCAGAAATGTAAAAGGGCAAGAAAGAGCCTTCTGAGATATGGGAAATTGTCTAATCACCTGATTTGAGTGATGATTCAACAGTGTGCACGTGTTTGTTGCTGTGAGTGTGTGTAAATTCATTGAATTGTACAGTTAAGATCAATGCACTTTACACCATATATATGTATACTTATATGTATATTTAAAGAGAGAGAGAATAATTTCTGCATGCCTGACATTTAGCTGGGCCTTTGAGATATGTTGATTAACAAAGCACACAGTTTTATTCCCCTTGGTATAGTGTATTCCTGGTACCAGTTCAGTCTCTATACTCAGTAAATGGTTGGTAATCTGAACTGAGCTTTCTTCTTTTATACTAAGCATTTAAACTTTAAAAAATATATACTATTGCTGATGCTAATGGCAACAGCAGTGCTTCACTTTTCCTTGACAAACATGTTTTGTTTTTAGGCTTTTTTAATCCAAGGTCATCCTGATGCCTCATTATGGAAAAATCCCAGAATCTTTCCTCCCTTCAGCAAAGGAGCTACATGCACTTTCATCCTGCAGATTTCAAAACTGATTATCTGTGCTGCTAGCATTCTCCATATCCCATGGAGTTGTGTGCTAAAATCCAGAGCAATGAATACACCTCTGAAAAATGATGCTTTCGAACCTGCCTCGTGGTGCAGTAAATTTAAAAGTACTCTTAATAATAATAAGGATCAACATTGACTTTAATAGTCCTCAAGCCCATCACGTAATTTCATTAGCCACCCAGCACAGATGCAAGCAGGGGTGATGTCATACTTTTTCCCCTTGCTCTGAAACCTGAGTCAGGCGCCAGAGATGGAAACCAGTTTTACAGACTCTAATCGGATTAAAGCTCCTGGCAGCCTCTAATCAATAGGTGGTAGCTGGAGGAATCTCAAAATGTTCAAAGCCCTCTCTGGCCCCTTCATGGGCATGGCCTCACTCAAGTAGAAAGGAAGTTCAGGTGGTCTCTTTCTACAAGTGGGGAAAATCTAAATGGTATGTCCTAGGGCACTGTGTTAGTTGCAGTTTTCCCCAGGACTCAGGTCCATACATGAGAGAGGGATTGTCACTAATGCAGCAGCCTCAAGTTTTCCTTTCTGATCTTACCTAAAGGAAACCTCTAACTATTCACACAACCATCATACAGTAAACTAGCAGTTATGATCACAGGCTTTGGTGTCAGGCACAGCTTGATCTAAAACCTAGCTCTTCCGCTGACTAAACAACCTCTAGCAAGCTAGCCTACCTGTGTTAGACTCAATTTTCTCATCTATAAAGTGGGGATAATAACACCTACCTCACAGAAGTGTAGTGAGGAAAAAGAGAGTTAATGTGTACACAAAGGGCTTATGACATAGTCCTTGCCCTGTGTAGTTACATGCTCAACAAATGATTGCTAATAAAAAGAAATAAGCTATGATTAATAGCTACCAGTTATCATTATGATTCTTAAAACTCTGAAATTCCCTCTTACAATCAGAGAGAATTCTTTTTTGCCTTTATCATTTTACTTACCTGAACTTTCCCACCTCTCCAACTTAGGGCAAGTGGGAAGCCAGTGCCTAGACGTGCTCATAATTTCCAGGTTGCTTTAACAAGAACTTCAATAACACGGCAAAATACAATGACCTCATCATCCCAATGTTGCAGAAGTAAAAATCAATGCTACTTAAAAAGCCTGACAATCAATCAAAGTCTAGCCAGATATCCGTGGAAGTCAAACAGACCATATAAAACTCAGATTCACCTAGGGATCTCATTAAAGTACTGCAGCAGTAGTTCCCTGATGTAAGCTGGGAGTTTTCACTTGGCTTTTTTTTTTCAAATATGGAGTCCTGGTGAGGTCAGGGCTATATGTCTCCCCAGCAGCTGGCTCAGGAGCACTTTTATTGGCTGGATGCCCTCACTGGAATTACCAGTGCAAACGGTCATTCATACGTCAATGTCATCCCACCCTCCCATGGTGACACAGACCTTCTCCTACTGAAACCACATGCTGCTTTAGTCCAAAATAAGCTCTGAAAAAGTAATAAACATTATTTTATTTCATTTTATTTCATTTTATTTTATTTTATTTTATTTTATTTTATTTTATTTTATTTTTATTTTGAGACAGAGTCTCGCTCTGTTGCCAGGCTGGAGTGCAGTGGCATGATCTCAGCTCACTGCAACCTCCACCTCCTGGGTTCAAGTGATTCTCCTGCCTCAGCCTCCCGAGTAGCTGGGATTACAGGTACACGCCACCACACTCAGCTAATTTTTGTATTTTTAGTAGACATGGGATTTCATCATGTTGGCCAGGATGGTCTCGATCTCTTGACCTCGTGATCCGCCCACCTCAGCCTCCCAAAGTGCTGGGATAACCCTTACCTGTTTCTCCTTTGCAGGGCAGATAGAACATGATAA
This sequence comes from Homo sapiens, assembly GCF_000001405.40. Taxonomy (NCBI): domain Eukaryota; kingdom Metazoa; phylum Chordata; class Mammalia; order Primates; family Hominidae; genus Homo; species Homo sapiens. The sequence goes on from NC_000005.10 coordinate 68,874,015, forward strand.
TTGGAGATGCATGAAACGTGATTAATCTCTCTGTATAATCAGGACTTGCAACACACTTAATTTTTTTTTTAATAGTGAAAATTTTATTGGAGATCATTGAAGTGAAGACTGATAAACACTTGCCCTGGGTGGGTTACAACCAACTTTTCTTTTTTTTTCTAAGTTTTTTAAATTATATTTTAAGTTCTTGGATACATGTGTAAAACGTGCAGGTTTGTTACATAGGTATACATGTGCCATGGTGGTTTCCTGCACCCATCACCCCGTCATCTACATTAGGTATTTCTCCTAATGCTATCCCTCCCCTAGCACCCCAACTCCCCAACAGGCCCCAGTGTGTGATGTTCCCCTCCCAGCGTCCATGCAACACACTTAATTTCTATTGCATAGTACTATAGGGGTTACAGAAAGCATAATTTTAAGATAATGGATTTATATTCTATGGGCTTCTTTCTAAAACCTTATAATTCAAATATGAATATAAGACAAATCCCCTCCCTGAGCTCAGGTCATTTTAAGAGATAACACCTACTATGGACCACATGTTCTTCGAGGCACAAGAGATACAAAGATGGATAATGCATGAGCCTGCCCTTCTTCAGATTCTATGAAACCAGAAGGCACAGATCCCCCTAACTCCAGACCCAGTCCCCCAAAAAACACCAACAGGATTAAATACACACCATTGAGTTAATGGGACACACCATTGAATTAAAACTTTTTTTTACTCTAGCAGTAAAGAAAATGACTAAACTCTGGATTATCTACTCCAGAACAATCAACTTAGAGTAGAAACTTAAGCTACTATGAAAAAAATGATTGAACCGGAATAAGAAGGCCTGATGTTCCCAACAGCATTGGCAACCGATTCATTTAGAAACTCAGTAAAAGTCAACTCAGAAGCCCACTTCTTAGCCAACTTCATGTCCCATGCATACATGGAGGGTAAGGGAATGAGTTTATACATTTCAAATTATGTCTTCTGACTGGGCACAATGGCTCACGCCTGTAATCCCAGCACTTTGGGAGGCTGAGGCAGGTGGATCACTTGAGGTCAGAAGTTTAAGAGCTGCCTGGCCAACATGGTGAAACCCAGTCTCTATTAAAAATACAAAAATTAGCCAGGCATGGTGGTGGGTGCCTGTGGTCCCAGCTACTTGGGAGGCTGAGGCAGGAGAATCGCTAGAACCCAGGAGGCGGAGATTGCAGTGAGCCAGGATCATGCCACTGCACTACAATCTGGGTGACAGAGTGAGACTCTATCTGAAAAAAACCAATTATGTCTTCTTAAATCCCTCAGGAACACACTCTCATTTCTTTAATTCACCTCCCTATTTGTAAGTATAATATTAATACCTCCCTCCTGGGGTTGTTGTGAGGGTTAAATGAAGCAATATTTTTTTTAGTCTAAAAAAGCACCTGGCTTATACTAGGGACTCACTGAATGATAGCTAATAGAAAATTCAGTACCAGGATCCTCAAAAACAATGTGACCACAGACACCACGCCCCCTGGCTAGCTTCTGGTTTTTCTTACTTTGAAGCAGGAGAAGCAGACTTCTTTCTGGTCGTACCAGCCTAGAAAGATCTAAGCTGAGCTACTAGTACAAGAAGATCACGGGGCAATGATTCAATCTTGACAAAAGATCTAGAAACATAGCTAACAGAAAACACAAAGATGACAGGAATATCAATAATCTCAACAACTGTAAACAGGTTACATTCCCTTATTAAAAGAGCTTTCAAATTCATTTTTTAAGGCAAGGTCCATCTATATGCTATTTACAAGAGATGTGTGTAACACAAAATAATGCAGAAAGGTTGAAAACATGCAGATGCCCAAAGAGAGACCAAGTGCTATAGTCTGAATATTTGTGTCCCCCCAAAATTCATATGTTAAAATCATAACCCCCAAGATGATGGCATTAGGAGGTGAGGGCCTTTCAGAGTTGATTAGAGCATGAGAGTGAAACCCTCATGAATGGGGTTAGGGCTCTTATAAAAGCAAGCCAAAAGAGACCCCTTTCCACCTCTACCATGTGAGGACACAGTGAGAAAGCATTGTCTATGAACCGAGAAGCAGACCATCTACAGACACTGAATCTGCCAGCACCTTGATCTTGGAATTTCCAGACTCCAGATATGTGAGAAATAAATTTCTGCTGTGCATAAGCCACCTAGTTTATGGCATTTTGTTGTAGCAGCCTGAAGGGACTAAGACAGCAGGGAAATATAAACAAAAAGAAAACAATATAGCAATATTAATATTACCTCAAATCGAATTCAAGGCAAAAAGCTCTATATGGGACAAAGAAAATTGTTTTATATTAATAAACAATAGATTCATCAGAATATATAGCAACCATGAACATTTTCACCCTGAATATCATGGCAGCAGATACATGGAGAGTAATGACAACACGTCAAGCACAATTCCAAGGTCATTGCATATAGCAACTCATAATCCTCCCAAGAACCCAGTAAACTAGATGATGTGATTTTACAGTTAAGGAAATGTGTCCAAGGTCTGTCAACTCATGAGGGTGGAGCGGGTATTCAAACCAGGCAGCCTGGCGTTAGCATCAATACTCTCAATTTTTTTACTATATTCTCTCCAAAAAGTAAAAAGAAGTGTTAGAAATTTTTTTTAAAGTTGGCCAGGTGTGGTGGCTCACACCTATAATCCCAGCACTTTGGGAGGCCAAGGCAGGAGGATCGCTGGAGCCCAGGAGTTCAAGACCAGCCTGGGCAACACAGCGAGACCCTGTCTCTTTTAAAAGGAAAAAGAAATTTAAAAAAAAAATAAATTTTGGGAGGCCGAGGCGGGCGGATCACGAGGTCAGGAGATCGAGACCATCCCGGCTAAAACGGTGAAACCCCGTCTCTACTAAAAATACAAAAAATTAGCCGGGCGTAGTGGCGGGCGCCTGTAGTCCCAGCTACTTGGGAGGCTGAGGCAGGAGAATGGCGTGAACCCGGGAGGCGGAGCTTGCAGTAAGCCGAGATCCCGCCACTGCACTCCAGCCTGGGCGACAGAGCGAGACTCCGTCTCAAAAAAAATATAAATAAATAAATAAATAAATTTGTTGTGTCAAGATGACAAAAATAAATATATAAAAGATGTGAATAATACATATTATAAGCTTGAATTCATAGCAAATTATGATCTCTCTAAAAATGAGACACATTCTTTTTAAATGTTTATGAAACATTCATTTAAAATACATAAAGAGAGGCCGGGTGTGGTGGCTCACGCTTGTAATTCCAGCACTTTGGGAGGCCCAGGCAGGTGGATCACGAGGTCAGGAGATAGAGACCATCCTGGCTAACACGGTGAAATTCTGTCTCTACTAAAAGTACAGAAAAATTAGCCGGGCAGGCTGAGGCAGGAGAATGGCGTGAACCTGGGAGGTGGAGCTTCCAGTGAGCCGAGATCACGCCACTGCACTCCAGCCTGGGCAACAGAGTAAGACTCCGTCTCAAAAAAAAAAAAATACATAAAGAGAAATCATTTACTAGGCCACAGAAAAATGTCTCCGTAAGTTTCTGATGGTAGAGTTCTTATAGGGTTCATTTACTGATTAAAATGGAATTAAATTCAAAACTTCATTGTTCTAAATAAGTCTGTGTCAAAGAATAAATAAAACCTTAATTTATAAATTATTTGAAAATTAACATATGTTGAAACACTAAATAGAAAATTCTATGGGAAGTAGCCAAAGTTTACTCAGGAAAAAAATCATATCCCTAAATAGGTTTTTTCCTAAAACAAGAAATGTCTAAAATAAATATTTTTGGAGCATTAGACTCAGAAGCTAGAAAAAGAACAACAAAATAAACAAAAGAAACCAATGAATTAGGAAGTTTAAAACAACTAGAATTGTTGAGTAAAACCAAGAGCTAGTTCTTTGTGGGGAAAAAAAGGATTAAGGGATGTCTGACAAATCTGTCAAAACAGAAAAAAGTTTGAGAACACATACGCTACATTAGCAATGAAAACATACATCTAACTACAGATAGGGAGGAGACTACTTTTAATAAAATAATACTATTTATATCCTTATGGCAATAATGTAAAGCCAAAAAAACTATTTTCTAAGTTACTACTACGAAAAAAAATTGAAATGATTAGTGAAATCAACTCCCCTCAAAACTTCCAGATGTTGGGTTTATTTAAAAAGTCATATAATGCTTTCAAGAACTCATTTCACAGGGCTAATGCAACCCTGATAGCAAAAGCTGAGAAAGTGAAAAAAGAACCAAAAGTCAAATTCATTTATTAATACATATATATGGAAACACCCTAAATATAATATTTACAAATAGAACCAACAACACATTAAAAGCACAATGTAACACCTTTACCTAGGATTTATTTTAGGAATTCAAGGATAGGTAGTTAGAAAAAATATGTCAATGTAATTCACTAGATTAATGAATAAAAATCAAATGGTCTTTTGATAAATGCAGAAAATGCAGTTGATAAATTTCTGAATCCATCCTGGGTTAAACTTATGGGTAAACTAGAAATAGAAGGAAACTTTAATATGATACAGATCTTTTTTTTTTTTTTTTTTTTGAGACAGGGTCTCACTCTGTCGTCCAGGCTGCAGTGCAGTGGTACAATCTCGGCTCACTGCAAACTTCACCTCCCGGGTTCAAAGCGGTTCTCCTGCCTCAGGCTCCCAAGTAGCTAGGACCACAGGTGTGCCCCACCACACCTGGATAATTTTTTGTATTTTTAGTAGAGACAAGGTTTCACCATGTTGGCCAGGCTGGTCTCAAACTCCTGACCTCAGGTGATCCGGCCGGCTTTGGCCTCCCAAAGTGCTGTGATTACAGGTGTGAGCCACTGCACCCAGCCAGTAACAGTCTCTTCAAAAAGTCACTATTATCTGGAGAAAAAAGTTAAGGGGCCGTTCTTTATTAAAAAGAAAGTAAAGAGACCTAAACACCAAAAGCAATGGGTAAAACTTTATTGACCCTTCGGTTTTAAAAAAATAAAAGCAGCAACAAAATATATTTTGAGGAGAAAATATGTACACAAAGAGCAGTAAAAAGGTTAGTATCTCTATCTGATGAAGAGTTATTGTAAATCAGTGTTATTTATTTATTCATTCATTTATTTTGAGACAGGGTCTCACTCTGTCACCCAGGCTGGAGTGCAGTGACATCATCACGTCTCACTCAACCTCGACCTCCCCAGACTCAGGTGATCCTCCCAACTCAGCCTCCCGAGTAGCTGGGACTACAGGAACACCACTGTGTCCAGCTAATTTACATAATTTTTGTAGAGACAGGGTTTCGCCCTGTTGCCCAGGCCTCGAACTCCTGGGCTTAAGCAATCTTCCTACCTTGGCCTCCCAAAATGCTAGGATTACAGGTATAAGCCACCATGCCCAGCCATAAATCCGTATTTTAAAAAGACAAGTAATCTCCTCTTGCCCCCCAAATAAGTAAAAAATCATGAACAGGACAATTTCAAAAGAAATACAAATTGCCACAAAAAAAAATATTTAAAAAGTATTTAGCCTGATTAATAGCCAAAGAAATTTAAATTAGAATAACAATGAAATATTTTTTTCAGTTTCAGATTAGCAAAGATTAAACAGAATGATAATATTCAAAGTTGGCAAAGGTGTAAAAATACTCTACTGATGAAGTGCAAACTAGTTCACCTTTTTGGAGGTCATGAATTAGATAATGTGCAACAAAATTTTTTAATTAAACATAAATATTCCTTTTGATCTAGCTGTTAAACTCCTAGAATATATCTAAGGGAAATAAGCAAGTAGGTAAAAATGAATATATATGATTTCTTATTGCAGTATTGTTTATAATTTTTTTAATTAAATCTAAATGACGAATTAAATAAGTTGTGCCAGAGCCATATAACCATATACTCTTAAGCACTTGGAAAGAACAAACACTGTAACTCTATGTATTAGCATAGAAAGAGGTCTGAAAAGTATTTTAAATTAAAACAGCTTATAGAAGAGTAGGTATGATTTTATCTAAAAAAAAGATACATATGTGCTAATACATGTGTTTATAGATGCATAGAAAAACTACTGGAAAAGTATACAACAAATCATAACAGTGGTTATATCTGTGGGGTAGAATTAAGAGGACTTTCTACTGTATGTCTAAAATTTTAGTGATTTATAATCAGCATATATTATGTTTACAATCAGAAAACTAATACCAGTACCTTGCAGAGAGAGAGAAAGAGGGATCCTGCGTTCTCTTTAATGAAGACAAAGTCCTTGCTCCATCTTAATGGGCTCCTCAAGACATACCCAGGCAAAGCCACTGGGCTTGGGGCAAAAACTCAGCCAGCACTGTGAAAATAAATCTTGCAGTATAAAGCTCCACACACCTGAGCCTTGAGTCATGTCAGAGATTGGGCCCTCTTTAAGTCATCCGTATTGCTACTGAAGTAACTACTCCACATCTGGGAATGAAAGTACATTTCCCCAAGGAAGCTCCTGTTTCCAAATCTCCACCCTGGTTTACCATCAGCTGAGACTCTTGGCCCCTCTTGGACCATCTGCTCAGCAGACCTCTGATCTGGTTAACAGCTTCATTATTTTTAAACTGTCTCTAAGCACAGATTCAGAAGCAAGGGCAGCAAGAATCTCTCCTAAGTCTCCGAAATAAAACAGTCCCTATAATCTGCTTCCCATGGCCCTCTGTGACTAGACCATGACAGGAGGTGTCATAATCATCATAACATCTTTGCCCTGAGCATCAGTACATAAAAGCAGGCGCTTAGCATGGGGCATCTGCCAGGTCAATCCAAGCCAGAGGCTAAGGGAGGGCTTTGCCAAAATGATTCTGAGTGTCACGGAGCTGTGTCTGAGGGCTTCAGCACCTGAGGGTGACTCAAGAAACAGGTCCAAGATGCTCGGTTAGCAAGGAAAGACAGACTCTGGGTAATTACGATCATGACTTGAATACCGTGTGTGAGTAATTAATAATCTATAAATGTCCTGAATGAGTGCACATATTGAGTTATTCCATCATTAAACACGGTGCCAATGTTAATGCAGTTCCTCTGGAGGGTTCATTAACTGGACAGAGCGTCAAGTCAGAGTGAATTTATTTTTTCATTTCTTCCATTTACTTGTTATTTTGTTTCCTTCCATTGTTCATAAATAGAAGTAGTAATTATGGGGGATGGAGGGGCAGCATTTCTCAATTCTTTTGCTGGATATTGTAGGGAAAGGTGGGAATTACCTGTAATCATCTTGCCAAGTCTGAAAGAAAACTAAGTGAAAGTAAATAATTAGCTGACAGATTTTGGATTTTTAGGTACTTTGAAAAGCCTAATTTCTAAATACTAGAAAGCTGTTGTTTTCATCATGCACTGTGTATATCTGACTCAGTGATCTTTAGGCTAGAGAAATCACTGTGCAGGACAATTCAAAAGACACAAAACTCCCATCTTGCCATGGAGGGCTGCAAGTGCCTGGAGAAAAGTTATCTATACCTAAGCCCCACCTCAGAATACTACCTGCTGCCCCAGCATCTCTCAGGATGAGCATCAGAAGGACCTGGCTGGGTTCTGAGAAAAATGGAATGTTAGAGAGATGAATAGATAGATAGAAAGATGGATGGGTGAACAGATGGATGAATGACTAGACAAGTAGAAAGACACAGACAAATGGATGGATAGTAGGTAGGTGGCTTCCTCTCTCCCTCCCTCCCTCCCTCTCTCCATGCCTGTCCATCCAAGCAAAGACCAGGGAATGTCTCCTACCTCAGACTAAGAGGTAGCCATACTGCTTCCCAGGACCAGTTCTCTTGTTGGCTTGATCACACTCCTTCTGCCCCCTCCCAAATCTTATTCCTCATCTATCCCCTGTCTTGATTAATCTCTCTCTCCACTAAAGATTCAGCTTACAAACACCTTCAGTTTTCCTGTAGGCTGATATATATATATATATACACATATGTATATATGTATTCCCCCAACCATCTTCTCATCAGGCTAAATTCAATTTCATTCCCTCATATGCTTCTTCTGGACCGAGTTCTCCACATCCTACCATCTATGTTCAGTCACCTCCACCCACTGCAACTTGAGGCCCACCCTCCACTCCATGCTCCTCAAAGGTCCCCAGCCCCCTTTCCCAACCTAAATCCCATGGTTTCCTCTCCTTGAAATATCTGAACCACATTATCTGCCTTGAAACTTTACTCCTGTTTCTTTGTTTTCCACATTTCCAGCAATCTTTCCTGATTTATTCATTCTTTAATTTATTCAATAAATATTTATTGAGAACTTATTTTGTTCCAGACACTGAGCTAGAGATGTAGGGAACACAAAATGACCAGTTCCTAGACCTTACTCTCAAGAGCTGAGAAAGAGAGCTAGTTATGTATGCAGGTGAGTTACAATAACATAGGATCAAGTAAACATTCATTCATTGATTCAAAAGGATTGCTGAGCACTTACTAGGTGCCAAGCATAGTTCTAAGAACTAGGGATACAACAATGAACAAAACTGATAAAGATTCTTCCTTTATTAAGTATGTACTAATGGAGGAGAAAAACACTATGCGAGTAAAATATAGAGTAGGTCAAAATATAATGTGTTATGGAGAAAAATAAAGTATGAAAGGAGAATAGAGAGAGGCCTGGGGGAGGGAGGGTTTGTAGTTTGCAATGGATTGATCACGGAAAAGCTTACTAAGGCAGAGACATTTGCACAAAGACTTGGCCGGGCATGATGGCTCACTCCTGTAATCCCAGCACTTTAGGAGGTCAAGGCGGGCAGATCACCTGAGGTCAGGAGTTCAAGACCAGCCTGGCCAAAATGGCAAAACCCCGTCTCTATTAAAAACACCAAAAAAATTAGCTTGGTGTGGTGGTGGGCACCTGTATTCCCAGCTACTCGGGAGGCTGAGGCAGGAAGAATTGCTTGAACCCAGGAGGTGGGGGTTGCAGTGAGCCAAGATCACGCCACTGCACTCCAGCCTGGGCAACAGAGCAAGACTCTGTCTCACAAAAAAAAAAAAAAAGGCTAGACGAGGTGAGGGAATAAGCCTTGTACGTATCTGACGAAAAGAATTCTGGCAGAAGGAACAGCAAATGGGAAGGCCCTGAGGCAGCGGGGTGTCCAGTGTCCTGGGACAGTGAGGGGGGTGAGAGTGGTGAAAGGCGAGGTCATAAATGTAGGGCGGGGGCAAGGCAGTGTGTAGGGCCTGTGGTCCCTCAGAGGCCTGGGAGTTCCGCTCTGCATGAGACAGGAGACCACCAGACACCTGGAACAAAGGAATAACATGATCTGAACTACATGCTGAAAAGATCCCTGTCCTGCATGTAAAACAGACTCCTGGAACACAGGCAGAAGCATGGAAACCCACCACAGTCCTGCAGGATAGAGTTGGGGGTGTCTTGGAGCAGGGGAAGTGGTGGGAGAGATACAAAATGATTGGATTTGGGGGACATTTCTAAGGCAGAACTAACAGATTTAGTGCCGGATTACAAGTGAGAGCTCTGCAGAGGTAGGAGTACCCAAAGAACCCACCAAAGTGCCCCCCAAGACAATCGGCTTCAAATGCCTGCCAGCCCAGGTTCAGCCGCCAGCTGACAACAGCACTAGTCAACCAAGGCCTTCCGCGGCTGGACTCCTCTCTCCCGAGCCCCTCCCACCTTCTCCCTGAAAGATGATCCCAAATGGTGGCCTCATTCTGAAGACGAGGGAAGTGGGGTATGATGCACGTTGGAGAAAAAGAGAAGAGGCCAACCAAGCCTCCTTTTGCCCAGTGCCAGTGGCCAACTTTTAGTTGGCCCAAGCTGGGGGAAGAGAAGAAGCATTAACATTGAATGAAATTACTGATTGTATTATTACACTGGCCTCGACATGCTAAGAGCAAGACCTACTGTTAACTAAAAGTGGTCAGAGGTGTACAATAATTTGCCCTAAATTTTCTTTCAATTAGGGTCAGGAAAAAACTAGTTCTATGGAATAAATGTCAAGGGACAGAAGACAAAAATACAGTTTTTATTATAATAAAGTCATGCTAACTCAATGAAACATTTACTTTGGGAAAACAAGACTGAAATAGTCAACAAAAGCTCTTATGGAAAGGCTGGTTTAAAAAAAAAAAAAAAAGCAACCTTATATCTAATTGATGATATATACTGCCAACCCTAAGCAGAGTTTGCAGGAGCACTGCTTTTATGGTTAAATCTTCAATAAAAGACACAGTCCACAGAAAAAGCCTCTCTCTCTGAAACAAAACTGCTAGAAGCTAGCAGGAAAACAAAGGGTTTTGTTGTTTCTGTTGTGGTTGCTGCGGGTGCAGTGTCGTTGTTCAGTAGAAGTCCTTAGGTTTTAGGAAGCAGAAATCCTGGGCTGAATTTATGACTTGAATAGGTAGTTCCACAGTAAAGGTAATCCTTCATTTGACATTTCTTCACTTAGTTGTTTTTTCCATATTGTTCACATCGAGCCTTGCCGTTTGATTTATTCTTACCATAATGCACTTGTACATTTGCTGTTTTGATTATTATCTCATACTTAAAGCTGAGTTGGCACTTTCTTCCAGGGCCTTCATTTCCAGTGGCTTATAAATTTTATGAACAAATTACTTTTTATTTATCAACCCCTTCCTCTGCCCAGCAGTGAATTTTTTGGAAGGTTGGCAGGGAATGCACAAATACTATTTTTTAAATGAAACATCCTAATGAAGAAGGCTGTGGTATTTGAGGGGGAATAAGCCAAGATACTCCTTTCTTTTAAATTATTGCATTACTCTAAAATAAAGAAATAAATATAATTTAGGAAACATAATATAAAGCAAATACATGTGCTAGTCTCCAAAAGCAGAATGAATTCCTTGGAGGAGGTACTGGGCCAGGATCTCATTTGTTCTGGTATATAGCTTCTAGGCTGGAATGTTTCCAAAGCAGTTATAATTCCATAACCCCATCAAGTTATGCAAAAAAAGTTGATAAGTTTATTATGATTTCAAGAATGACATTTGACTTACATAGGAGCAAGAAGCTGTCAGACTCTGGATTGACAGCATCCTCCATCAGCAGCACTGTAAAAAGATATTAAAGTCACCACAAGGGGGATAGGGTTGGTGCACATGAATAAACTCCATAGAAGAATGGATTCAACATTTACTTAGGCTACAAAACAAGCATTATTATCCCCACTTTGCAGAGAAAGATACTGAAATTCAGAGAGGCTGAATATCTTGCCCAAGTTCACACAGTCAGTGTTACAGCTTGGATCTAAACCAAAGATCTCTCTCTCCAAAATATTGCATTTTAATTTTAGATAATATTTTTTAACCTTCTCATCCTTCCCACCAAAATACACTATCCATCCTTCTAAAAATCAGAAAAATGGCCAATTTGGGGAGGTACAATAAATACTAAAAAGGCTGAAAGTCAAGAGTGTAGATGGTTTGATTTCTGGATGATGGTTTTGGAGGTAAAAAGCACAGCAGAGCCCAGGAGTCAGAAAATTCTGGGTTCCCCCTCCATTCCACCTCTCCCCTCTGCCGGTCATCTCAGCCACTCTCCCAACACCTGAGAGTCCAGCCTGAGAAGAATCACTTCCATTCATCAAAAAAGGAAACTCAGAAACATCAATTGCCCAGATTTACACAGTAAATGCTATTCTGACTCCTTAATAACTAGACAATGGTAAATTTGAATTAACCCATATCCAGAATTCTAGATCTCATAATTATCTGGTGTTAAGGAAATTCAGCCAAAGAGAGAATCCCCGATTATGTCTGTAGTCACAAAAAAAGCAGCACCCACCTTTAATGGTATATATCCTGAAATTCTACCAGATAACCGAAAAAAAAAAAAAAAACCCATAAAACTAAAACAAGTAGCTCTAGGCACTAAAATAAGAAAATATTTTTAACAGTGCTAAGAAGCCAAACTTCAATTATAAGAATATTGAAGGTTTTTATTGAGGATAAGAAAACACCCCAGGAGATTTCAGTTTTTACTCAGTATCACTTCCACAAAAAGGCAACTACATTATGCTGTTAGCAATTGCACAGGCTGCACTCCACTTCCTTGAGGAAAAAATGAGGAATTGGGCTCATATAAAAACATATGCAAGAAAGGAAGTGTCAAGATTTGTCTGGGAATATTACATATTTAACCTAAAGTGGGAGTCTAATGTTCACCTTAGCTTCCCAATAGGAATCCCTTTCTTTTTTTTTTTTTCTTCAACTTTTAAGTTCTGGGGTACATGCACAAGATGTTCAGGTGACATAGGTAAATGTGCGCCATGGTGGTTTGCTGCACAGATCAACCCATCACCTGGGTATTAAGTCCATCATTCATTAGCTATTCTTACTGATGCTCTCCCTCCCCCTACCCCCACCCCAGAGGCCCCAGTGTGTGTTGTTCCCCTACCCAATGTCAGTGTGCTTTCCTCATTCAGCTCCCACTTATAAGTGAGAACATGTCATGTTTGGTTTTCTGTTATTGAATTAGTTTGCTGAGGATAACAGTTTCTAGCTCCATCCATGTTCCTGTAAAAGACATGATCTTGTTCCTTTTTATGGCTGCATAGTATTTCATGGTGTATATGTGCCACATTTTATTTATCCAATCTATCATTGATAAGCATTTGGGTTGATTCCATATCATTGCTATTGTGAATAGCTCTGCAGTGAATATACGTGTGCATGTGTCTTTATAACAGAATGATTTCTATTCCTTTGGGTATATACTCAGTAATGGGATTACTGGGTCAAATGGTATTTCTGCCTCTAGGTCTTTGAGAATCACCACAAGGTATTCCACAATGGGTGAACTAATTTACACTCCCACCAACAGTGTAAAAGCATTCTTTTTTCTCCATAACCTTACCAGCATGTGTTGTTTCTTGACTTCTTAATTATCACCATTTTGACTGGCATGAGATGGTATCTCATTGTGGTTTCATTTTGCATTTCTCTAATCATCAGTGATGTTGAGCTTTTTTTCATGTTTCTTGGCCACATAAATGTCTTCTTTTGAGAAGCGTCTGAGGAACCCCTTTCTATGGGGAATTCCATACTGTTTGAGTTTTGATGTGGGGAGAAGATGGACAGTCACCCCTAGAGGAGCTGAAAATGTTACATAGTCCCTTGCCATGTGGGCACATTCGAAGCAAAGGTTCTGCCGATCAGAGAACCGCACCAGGCTTGGTACAGAAAATTCTCTCACACTAAGCGATTTCAATCTTTCTTTTTTCTTCCTCTCTCTCTTTTCCTCCCTCTCTCATACTAGCAGCAGCAGCAGTAGCTGCAAGGCAAAGCTCCTGGCACAGAAGCCACATTTAATACTGCCCAGGAGAAAATATGTGCAAACCATACACCTGATAAGAGATGAATATCCAAAATATATATATATCAGACAACTCAATAGCAAGAAAACAACCTGATTACAAAATAGACAAAGAAGATGAATAGACATTTCTCAAAAGAAGATATACAAATGACTAGCAGGTATATTTTAAAATGCTTAGCATCACTAATAATAAAAGAAAAACTTCAGCTGAATTAAATTTAAAGAAGTTTAATTGAGCAACAAATGAGTCATGAACTTGTTGTTCAAGGCAGCCTTCCTTGCCAGAGTGGGCCCAGAGACTCCAGCGCAGCCACATGGTGGGAGAAGATTTATGGACAGAAAAAGGAAAGTGAGGTACAGAAACAGCTGGATTGATTACAGTTCGGCATTTGCCTTATTTGAACACAGTTCGAACAGTTGGCTACAAGTGATTGACCAAAACTCAGTGATTGGCACAAGTATAGGTTACAGTATGGTTACACCTCCACTTGTTATATAGTTCATGGTGTACAGAAAACCCTTTAGGCTGAACTTAAAATATGTAAGGAGGCAACTTTAAGCTAAACTTGATTTAACACTCATCATCAGACAAATGCAAATTAAAACTACAAGAAGATATTCCCTCACACCTGTTAGATTGGCTATTATCACAAAGATGGAAAATAAGTGTTGGCAAGCATGCAGAAAAAAGAGAACCCTCGTACACTGTTGGTGGGAATGTAAATTAGTACAGCCATTATGGAAAACAATGTGGAGGTTCCTCAAAAAAATTAAAATAGAGCCACCATATGATCCAGCAACCCCACTTCTGAGTATAGATCCAAAGGAAATGAAATCAGTGTGTCGAAGAGGTATCTGTACTTGCATATTCATTGCAGCATTATTCACAACAGCCAAAATATAAAATCAACATGAATGTCCATTGACAGATGAATGGATAAAGAAAATGTGGCATATATATGCAATGGAATATAATTCAGCCTTAAAAAGGAAGAAAATCCTGTCATTTGCAACAACATGGATAAACCTGAAGGACATTATGCTAAGTAAAATAAGCCAGGCACAGAAAGACAAATACTGCATGATCTCACTTATATGTGGAATCTAAAAAAATTTGAACTCACAGAAGCAAAAGTAGAACACCAGTTGCCAGGGACTAGGGGCGGGACAGGGAGAAAATGGGAAGATGTTGATCAAAGGGCACAAAGTTTCAGCCAGAAAGGATGTATAAGTTCTGGAGCTCTACTGTACATGATAATTGTAGTTAATAATAATGTATTGTATACTTGAAAATTACTAAGAGAATAGATCTTAAATGTTCTCACCACAAAAATACAAGTATGTAAGGTGACAGACATGTTAATTAGCTTGATCTAATAATTTCAGTGTATACATAGAGTGAAACATCATGTTGTACATACCATAAATATATATAATTTTTATTTGTTGATTATATATTAATATAGCTGAGAAAGAATTTAAAATTTTAAAAAACAAAACTGTACTACCCAGTGCTCAGTGGCTGCAGTGGTGGTACTTTTCTTATAAGACCAGGCCTATGGCTGGTATTTAGACATTTTTTCTGGAAGTTCAGCCTCAAGACTGGGTGTCTCCAGTCCTCTATATATTTCTGTGAGCACCCTCTATCCTTAATAAACCAAAGTTCATTTTTGTTGTGTGCTACCAAGAATTCTGACAGAATCAAAACCCAGCTCGGACAGCACTTGCCTGTACAGTCCACCAACATTCTTTTAATGGATGACCTAAATCACTAAGGAAAGTTTCAATTATATTTTCTACATTCTGATTACTAGGATATAGAGTGTGGACTATCATTTTGGAAATTTCCATTTAAAAAAGAAAGAAATGGTTTTGTTAATTAAATCAAATCCTCCAAAACAACAATGCTATTGTCTGAGTATCTGTGTTCCTCCAAAATTTATATGTTGACATCTAATCACCAGTATGATGGTATTAGGAGGTGGGGCCTTCAGGAGGTGATTAGGTCATAAGCATAGAGACATTATAAATTTAGAATTAGTGCCCTTATAAGAGACCCCAGAAAGCCAGCTCACCCTTTTCCCCATGTGAGCATGCAATGAAAAGCCACCATCTATGAACTAGAAAATGGGCCCTTAGGAGACACCGAATCTGCTGCCCCCTTGATCTTGTACTTCCCAGCTTCCAGAACTATGAGAAATGAATTTCTATTGTTTATAAGCCACCCAGTCTGTGGTATTTTTGTTATAGCAGCCTGAACAGACTGAAACAAACAATCATCCAAACACTTTATGCCCAATCATACTAGGCTTCCATGGTATTACTGTGATATGATGTATGATACAATGCATAACACATTCCACACTAAAGAAATGCTTAGGAATGCCCAGAAAGCATTTATAGGGCATGGGTTTTGTGTTTGTATCTGGGATGGAGGTGGGGAACGTAAGAAGCAGAGGCAAAGAAATGGTTATAAACATCACCACTGTTGATTTGAGTTCATTTGAACAATTTTTAATAATTCCAAACTCACAATGTGATACTACATTGTGACTTGTAATTGCTAATAACTTCTTTGAGGGTGAAAGTAGGATAGGAGTTGAGGGAGAGATTACATCATTAATGTCTCTTTTTCAATTCATACTCTGGTTTTTAAAAAGAGATAAAGAAAAACATCTATTAACAGTAAATTATGTAAGAGTCTAACCGGACCATCAACCTTAACTTGATTATATGAAAAACAACTGGAGATCAAGGGCATTAAAAAAACATGTTTTATGAATGTATACGTATATAGCACATATTAGGTTGATGCAAAAGTAATTACAGTTTTGCCATTGAAAGTAATAGCAAAAACCACAATTACTTTTGCACCAATCTAATATAAATTATTTGTAATGGCAAAACCACAATTACTTTTGCACTAACCTAATATAAATACATTTAAGATTTGTTTCGTTTCAGCACATGGAATTCTACTAGACAGAGGGCTGGAAACAAACAAACAAAAAACCTGGCTGTCCCTTCAAGTAGCAGTAGTCTATAATGTAATCTAGAACATATAAACTGCTACATTACTAAAGAAAAGGCCATATCTCAAAGGAGCTCCATCAGTTTGAAACAAAAGAAAAGGGAATAAATTGAATCAAAAGAAAATGAAGGAAAGTCAGGAGAAAAGGTAAACTTCCTTAAGACAGAATACAAGGCAGGTCACCATGGATCGTTGTTAAGACTGTTTTGACTGAATTCATTAATTAAATTGATCAAACAGTTCAATGTCATCTAAAAAAACATTTAATGCTTTTGATGAAACTGATAGATAATTAATTACATAGACAGACAAAATAGTCCATGCAGGTGTGTGCTGATACAGCAAGAAGTCTTAAAGAAAAAGATCCTAAGAAAAGGACAAAACCAAATGAATATGTTCCTGAAAAAACAATGCTGAGAAACAGAAAGAGGCAAGTGATAGAGCAATCGCTCCTCAAAGGCTGTAAATTGTATCGGGTAAATGAAGACCTCTGATTAGCTCCTGGCTATGCTGCTAATAAGGGAAAATTCTTCAGATTACCTATGATTGCAGCAATTTTCAAAGCATTAGAATGTACAAGAGACAAGTGAATGATGGGTTCGAGGGGGTGAATGAAGAAAAAGAGTTAATATATTTTTAATAAAAACTGAAGGTGGAAACCAGCCATGGGATAATGTCGTGAAATAAAAAATGAGGTGGCAGAAGGGGTACCCTGCATCCCAAAAAGGAAACACTTCCAGTAGCAAGAAATAGACTGGCTCATAAAGAAAAGCCTTCCCCCTACTCTTTTCCAGCTATGTTTCAGAACAAACACTTTAAGATAGTTAATTTGATTTTTTTAATGAAACATGTCACACAACGATATTTTCTGACGGCAATGTCTAATTATATGAGATCGAGAGATCACGGTGAGACTAATACTGCTTTTCCCTACCTTCCTTTTGCTGTGTCCTTAACAGGTTGCAAGATCCCCTACACAGATCCACACAAAATTTACCAGTCTGCAGTCAGTCAATACATATGCATTGAGCACCTACTATGTGGCAGGCATTCTTCTGGGTGCTGGGATTTCAGCAGTAAACAAAACAAAAAATCCCTGTTCTTATGCAGTGAATATTCTAGTTGAGAGGGGAGAAAGACAGGCAAATAAATAAATAATACACACAGGAGGTCAGATTGTCATAAATGCTCTGGAGAATGATACAGCAAGGTCAAGAGAACCAGAATGGTTGGAGTAAGAAGCTGCCTGATAATCATACACGCGAACAGGAATGAGTGACTAGGGCCTGAAAGAAGACCTTGGGTCCTGGACTTTTTTGTTGTTCTTTTTTAATAGTGTTAAAATACATATAACATAAAATTTACCCTCTTAACCATTTTTAAGCATACAGTTCAGTGGTGTTAAGTACATTCATGTTGCTGTGCAACCGATCTTCAGAACTCTTTTTATCTTGCAAAACTGAAACTCCAATGCCGTTAAGAAACTCCCCATTTCCCACCCACCAACTCCCCAGCCCCTTGTGACCACATTTCACTGCACTAGGTGCCTCACAGAAGTGAAATGAGACAGAATTTGTTGGGTTCTGGGCTTCTTGTGGTGACTACTGGAAACTGCAATACAGTGCCTACAGAGATCAGTTCTGAGATGGTCAAGATGAAGAGAAATGAGACTAATCCCAGCTCTTTGGGAGGCCAAAGCAGGAGGACAGCTTTAGCCCAAGAGTTTGAAATCAGCCTGGACAACATAGTGAGATCCTGTCTCTACAAAAAAACTTAAAAATTAGTGGGGCCTCGTGCCGTGCACCTATCATCCCAGCTACTCAGGAGGCAGAGGCGGGAAGGTCACTTGAGCCTGAGGTCGAGGCTGCAGTGAGCTGTGATCATGCCACTGCATCCCCTCCTGGGTTACAGAACAAGACCCTGTCTCAAAAACAAAACAAAACAGAACAAAACCATAGTAAGGCTCTGCAGGTTAGAACTGACAGGGGACTTTTCCAGGCACAATCAGAATTATAGGACCTTTCTACACTCCTGCGTACGTGGCAGACTCCCAACTCTCAGGGTCTTCCTTGGCCCCTGCAGAATAAAATGTGAAAAGCCAAGCATCTTCTTACCTGAAGCAGGTGAAACTCCTGGGATCCCTCTTGACTGCCCAGAAATCTGGCTATTGCAGGGCAGGCAAAACACTCCCATGGTGCCCAACACATGAAGTGCACCCTCCAGAATGTTCTACACAAGGCTTAGTTTAGTGTGAGTACTCTGACCTTCCTTCCAAAAGGAAGCCCAGTTTTGTTATAAGGGAATCACTCTGCTCAACTGCCAAAGGGCAGGTCTACTTATATCTGCTCCTCAGAAAAACCAATGTGCCCCCTCCCATGAAGAGCACAGGCCAGTGCACTGAGGCCACCTGCTCCCACTCCAGGATCCTGCTACCTGGGCTCAGCTCTGCTCCTTCTCACTCTTGGGCCACAGTCATTGCAGCATAGGCCCCTTAGCCACTCAGAGCAGGGCAGGCCTTTTCACCCACCCAACCCCAACACAGACACATCTCCCTTAGCATTCTCACTCACACAAGAGTGTGGTCAGACACTCCCCTAGCCTCCTGAGCCATGTGTTGGCACACTATCAGTGACACTGGAGCCACCAATATTAATAAGTTTCTTACTGGTGGAGGACAAGGACAGATGAATTGGGATCAATTTCAGATAAGTTGCCTTCGTTCATCATCCCCTTTTGTTTTTAATAATTTTTTTAATAATTCTATAAAAAATAAATAATGTCTTTATTTTTATTTCCTAATTCATATTTGTTATAGTAAAATTAGAAAATACAGGTAGACTAAAAGAAAAAAGAACCACGCCATTCAGAGTTAATCATCATAAATATTTTGATGTTTAGTCTTTTAGATTATCTGTATTAATTACACAAACTGTAAAATAAAAACAGATTCAACCTGTTTTATTTGTATTTGTATTATGACCACCTTCATATATCCCTAATTTTAATTTTACAATATCCTCTTTCATTAATAGCTGTATCATATTCCATCAAATGGTTACAATACAATTTATCCCAATTTCCCATTGTTGACTTTTCATGTTGCTTCCAGAATTCTTCTTAATGTTGCTGTGAAAAGACTTTCTCAAAAGTCTAGCTTCAGGCATGTTTAATACAGGTATTTAAATGATATCATCTGGAATCAGTGTCTGTCCAAATTCTTTGGTTTCCAGTGGGTACACTTTATTATCAGTCAGACTCTCCCCACATGGTAGCAAGATGGCCACCAGCAGCTCCAGCCCTGATTATCTCTGCCAAACAAGTCTCAGAAGACACACCCATTGGAGTGGGTGCCTTCGCCACATGCCTAGGCCTCACTCAATCTGTGTGGTCAGAGAAATAGAACACCAGTTGACCAGCCCTCAGTCACAAATTCATCCCTGTGTTCTGGAGGTGGGGATGAGTCCCATCGAAACCACAAAGACAAAGAATTGGGGAGAAAGTGAGGAATGGAAGCTGAATAGCAAAACAACAGATATCCACTACAACCAGCTACATGGAAATCACTCTCCTCTCCTCCCATGAGCCACATCCTTCCATTGGGTCTCTGAGTCCTGAGGAACCACCTTCTGAGGGCTCTTACCCCCGTCACTGGCCCTCTCCCACCTCCCAGAACTGCACTGGGGTGGTAAAACTGTTCACCTCCTCTGCCCTCTGAAGGTGTTGTTCATACCCCATGTACCATAGTCAATCCGCACTCCCAGAGGGAGTCTTGCCAAAGCTCCCAATTGACTGTGACCTTCCTTCCTCTGTACTAGAGTTTCTATTTAGCAATTAATTATGTAACACTCTGTCCATGTCTTATATTTTTATTTAACTTTATCTGTATGAATCTTGTCTCTCCCCAGTTAGTCTTTAAAAGTGAATTTTTTTAAGAAGACACACACAATTTTTAAGGGCCCCCTCCAAACTACACATTTTGCCTAATTAGACATATATTTAATCTTTATAGGCCCCTCAGTTTGTCTCTTCTTTCCTTTCAGTTCCTTTCAGTAAGGTGAGCCACATTTGATTTACACTGGCTCACAAGAACTGATTGTTAAATTTTCAGGAACTTTGCAAGCAGATTGTTAAATAATTGGCAGTTCAAAATCTGCCATGGCAGGACTATTTACACCACAGAAATTGGCAAATATTATAAATTTTTTTCGGAAAGCCGGTTGTTAAACATTTGCCAATACCCCACCAGTCCCTTCTACCACTTGCCTTGCATTCAAATGATGTTTTAGATTTTGCAAAGCCCCGCATGTCACTCCCATCAGATCCTGTGGGTTGTGAAACACACAAGCTGAATGAGATTATAGCCAAAAACTAGCCAAAGCTCAGAGTAACAAGAATCCACACACACATATACAAGACATCTCCTTAGGCAATCTGTGGGTGAGGCTAGAGATCTAGATTTCTTGGTTAAAGCAGGTCTTCGCATTCCAATGTCCAGGGCAGGTCTTTGATGACGTGATAAGCCCAGCCTCCAAAGCAGCAGCAGAAGCAAAGCCTGACTTTATGTTTAGCTTTTATTCTGAAGAAGTCTTCTGTAACCTATCCTTCCTGTTATTGCTTATGTATCTTTTGATCTTTCTAGAGCCAGTAAGCTGCACGTGTGGAATGTGACTCTAAATCACTCTGGATTATCTGTATACTCCCTTCATTTTGGGTAGAAATCTGTCTCTTTGGTATAAATCTGTTCCTTTCCCAAATCTTTTCTTAGTAACCTCAATCTTTAACATGTTTCCATACCCTCATCTTTGACCTTTACATTTGTTCATGCAGAGTCACATCACACCCCTGTGAAATATGTAAGGCAGATTTACTAAGCCCATTTTACAGGTGGGGAAACTGACACCCAGAGATTTACTCAGGCTCACATAACTAGTTTACGGCAGAGCTGGGACTAAAATTCAGGACTCCAATGCCTTCAATTCATTCATTAACCTATTCGTTGATTTATTTATTCAGCAATATTTAATGATGCTATTAGAATGGCTGTTACTCCTCAGTTGGGCTAATGAGATTCTTGGCTTTATTATTACAGTCTGACTCTTTCCCACTAAGAATTGTTTCAAAAATACATTCAATTCCTATACCCTGTATGGGAATTTCCCGCCTCATGGAACTGACCTCTCCACCCCTGAGTGTTCCACATCTCAGAAAATCTAACTTGGAACCCGCAACCTAACCAAAAAAGCAGCAGGCAATAATGCCAAGACGGTGCCAGTCTCTCGCTAAATCTGATCCCCTGTAAATCTCCCAAGTATCTCTTTTAGAGCAGCGTGGCTATAAGCAACAGAAAGCAACTCTGGCATCTTTAATAAAAATTGACTCCATTGGGAGGATGTGAGGTAATTTATAGAATCAAAGAGATCTGGAAACCCAAGCCTTAGAAAGAACTCAAATCAGGTCCAGGGATACACATGGCAGGTACCCTCACCACCACAACCGGACTCTAACCATCTTTAGTCATGGTTTCACAAAACTCAGTATCCAAATCCCAGAGCAATTAGTTTGCATACCTTCCCATGGGGGAAAGGAGCTCTCTAGTCTAGAGCAAGATAGGGATGCTGACAATCCAAAAAAGGAAAGAATCCGACATAGTTAATAATCACAGAGGTTAACATGCATGTAGTATGTTAGAGTCTACAAAATACTTCCCCAACAATAGCTTTTATAAGGGCTCTATGAGATAAGCTGGACAGGTGGTGCTTTCCCAATTCCAGAAGATAAGAAACTCTTAGAGAGGTGAAGCGGCTTTGCCAAATCACTTCTCATTCCTGTTCTCTTTCTCCAAAGACTTCAATCCAATAACTACCCACCAGGCCACAAAAATACACGAGTATTCCCTAAGCCCTCATCTCTCTCCCAGACCTCTGTAATAAGCTCCTTATTGGTCTCCCTGCTGTCTCCCTTTTTCTCCCAATGACATTTTCTTTACACAGCAACCAGAGTAATCCTTTTAAAATACATCAAATTATTTCACTTCCAAGCTCAAAACCTCCTAATGGCTCTCTATCACAGAATAAAACTCAGAGTTTTATGTGGCCTACAATGCCTCACATGATCTGACCCACAGGCATCTCTTCTACCTTATCCCCTAGCACCCTACCATTTTCTTTCACTCTCACTGCACTCCAGTCACATCAGACTCTTTTCTGGACTTCAGCAGGCAGCAGACATTGTCATTTGAAGAATGACTCCCGCCTCAGGACCTTTGCACATGCGGTTCCTGCCGCTTGGAACACAACTTCTCCCAGACATCCAAACGGCTCTGTCCCCACCCAACAGAAGCCCTTCTGACTACATTATTGAAAATGCATATCCTATGCTCTCTGGTCTCTTATGAGATAATTAATTTCTAAACCCAAACACTTTTGAGAGTAAAAGGAGATGTTATTAATAATTACCCCCAAGATGACATAGGATCACCTAAACCAATTTATTTCTCTTTATGGCATCTATCAGTATCTGTAATTACATTATGTATCCATGTCTTCATGTTTCCATTGTCCATCTTCTCCACTAAAATGTAAGTTCTTGAACATCAGGGCCTCTGCCTTGGTAATTGCTCTATCTCATAACCTAGAATAGTACCTGGTATATAACAGGCACTCAACAAATATTTATTGAATGAATTAATGAACAAATGACCCTTGTTTTCTGCTTAATAATGTTTTAGGTGCTGTGGTAAAAATATCTAGACATCTGAAACATTTAGGAAACAATACAATTCCAGACTGGATGGTACTGACCACAGGTCTTACTTATGACAACCATCGGTGGCTATTATTGAGAAACAATTGGTAATTTTGATAAGGGAGGATTAAATGTAGCTATTTCATAAAGACATTACAGAAAGAAGAGATTTGAGCTGGGCTCTAAAAGGTAGGTAGGTTTTAAGCAAGAAAGAGGAAAAAGAATGTCCTCTCAGGCTGTTAAAAATCTGAAAAAGCATGGCATGAACAAATGACTATGAAAAGAACTTCCCAAAGGTCTTCTTTTACCTCTATACTCTCTTCCTAGGAGTTTGATTTGGGACATGTTGGGTTTGAGATGCCTGCAGGAGACGTCTAGCTTGTGTTTAGAAATCTGAGTTTGGAGCTTGGCCTAGAGATTCCAGAATTGGAAATCATCCACATAAAGGTAATAACTGCCACGGATGCCATCCAAGAAATCACAGCTCTCCTTAAGACTTATCCTAATACCCTACAGCTTTGGAGAGTTCAAACAGAAGATGGTATTCATGTTGAGAAACAATCCACACATTCAATCTCAAATCCAGCCAAGTAGCCATATTGCAAAAGCAAGCAAATCCAGAATGTTCCTCAGGTTTGTGCCTGCCCAATCTTACTCCAACACAGACGCCAGAGACCAATTTAGACTAGGGGGCAGGGAGGCAGATGATCTTACAGCTCAGTGTGCCCAGGACCATGCTATTAATAATTATTAATAGCACCCCTTTCATGCTCAAAACCATCCCAGTTTAGAAGATAAATTATATGCTCAATCTACTAATTCTACAAATGACAAATTGCCCAAATAACTAATTTCTTGAATGACCCATTCCCTAAAGAACAAATTTGCCTAACGTAATTGCTTCTTGTAACTTTCTAGTTTAGTTACTTGGTTTTCATTTTGCTTTCATAATACCACTTTGAGAAAGTCTATGTTTAGACTGCTTCTTCCCCAGCTCCCTAACACTTTAGCTGGAAACTTAACTACATCTGTGCCTCAGTTTCCCCTCACTGCCTCTGATTCTGTCCCTCAGCCTCCAGCAGCAACAGCAGGGAGCTAGGGTAGAGAAAAATTGAGCATGTTCTTCTTATGAATATATTCTCCTCATGAATATATTCATGTTTTACGAATATATTCAACGAAAATATTCTTTTTATGAATATAGTCTTTATAAATACTGCCTTCTTGCACATATTCTTAAATATGAAGAGTTCATATGAATGTATTATCCTAATGAATAATAACCTAATGAAAAATATAACAATTCTCCCTATTCCAGAATATATCGTTATGAATATATTTTTATCATGGTCCTCAAGGCCCCTCTCTCTGCCTCTCTATTTCCCCTGCTTCTGTCCCTCAGGTTCTTCAGCCTGACTAATCAAAAAACTGTCAAATAGTTCTCAAAATGCTATCAGAAAATCAAAATGAAAACCAAAACTAAATAGTATAGATAACATAAATAAGCTTGGTGAATTTGTCTTCCAGTGAATTAGGCCAGGTAACAAACTAGCTTTCAGCAAATTGGCTTTCCATTAGTTGGCTTTTAGCAACCTGATCTATGGCCTTCCTGACCAGTCCCTCTAAAATAGATCTGCCATTACCCTACCCATCACCTCAACCCCACCAAAATTCTCTACCAGAGGATTTATTTCTTTCATAGTTTTATCAAAACCCAAAATAATTGTGATCCTTTATTATTTTCTATTATCCCCACTTGGAATATCCTCATGAGGGCCAGGGGCCTATTCAGTTCTGTTCCCCAGTCATTCCACAGCCCAATCACAATCTCTGGCACATAAGTAGAGGGGCTCAATAAATATTTGTTGAATAAATCAGCAATGAGTCAATGAGTGAAGGAATGCACAGGGAATCCCAAGAGAGTCCCTAGATTCATGATAAAAACAAGACAGGGAGGATCAACCATGTACTAATCCCTACCTCAGTTCTGACCAGCATTATTTCAACCACCCTCCTTATCCACTGAAAAATAAACAGAAATAGTAAGCAAAACTTTTTTAATTGGGCATGAAAGGAAGGGGAGGAAAGTGACTCAAGAGATGAGCAAGCTTTAAACCATTTTTTAATCAAACTGAACCTGTTTGACCATCTCAAATCAGAATATACTGGAAAAAATTTCTCCCCCAGATGTTACAACATTGCCATTTAGTGCAGCGCTACTTGAGAGCAGATGGCGATGAGTCAGGATTTAACAAAGACCTTAATGGCTCTTCTGCCAGCCCTGGGCCATCATTTGCATAGGAAGCAGATTTGGCTCGGCTGCTGATGGTGATCGCCTCTTACCCACTTGGATGTGACCTCATTTTCACATCTCCATTTTCCATCTCTGCCATATGCACTCAAAGCCTTCTGGGAAATACTGTGCCACAAAATATAAAATAAAAGCAAATCCTAATCATTTGAAGCACTATTTTAATTATTATTTTACTGACATGCCTCCTCATTAGAAATTCATTTTTAATCAGTCTAACGCATTTGAGTTAGTATGACATGGTTTCCCTTTCACCGATTTAATGTCGCAAGTCCAAAGTTTATAGCATTGCATCAGGGTAGTTATATGAAGGGAGCCAGTTTTAAAGACGCATATAATTTTATTGTGGATTCACACTGTTTATGAATTAGGTTTATAGGCCTCACCTCATCTCTAGACACACTTACAATCATCAGAAGGAGAGAAAGAAGACATTTCACACATGAAAGCATAACCTCTTTCCCATTTGGAAACAAATCACCCAACCCTAACAAACACAAAGGCGTTTATTTACAGTTAGACAATTTACCTGGGGGAGGGTGGATGGGAACAAGGTCTTCATTTATCTGCCATTTCAACTCACTGAGGTTCAGCCAACAATGTATTTCCTCAGGAAAGGACAGGAGACAGAGGGGCTGGAGAGTGATATTATTCATTGTACTTTCTGAGAGCGGGAGTTCAAGGGACACAGCAGGAATCTTGGAAAGTCTCGCTTGTTTTCTTTCAAGTCCCTCAGAATTCCCCAGCCCAAAGTTCCAATAACTAAGTCCCATCATTTTCTAGCTTTCAAATACCCAGTGTTCCATACCAAGCCCTTAAGCTTTAGCCTGGCTCCTCCTCTGTGTCTAGAAATCTTAAATAGTTAATTTACCAAGGATGAAGACTAACTTATAAAAAATTGAACAATGTCCCCTATTGCTGACTGCTGTCCATAAGACTATAAGATGCTGATGAATATATTCTGAAATTGTATATATTTCAATTCAATATATATTGAATATATTTTGAAATTGTAATTAAAAACCCAGGGAAGGTATATGTTTTTAATGAAATACAATATAATAATAGAACATATTAGCATGTATTACACATAATAAATTTCTGTTTCAAATATGTGTGTGGAAGTATATACGTACTGAGTCAAATGTAAAAATATTATTAGCACACTCATGTAATGTTTAATATGTGCCAGGGACTGCGCCAAGTGCATTTACATGTATTA
This sequence comes from Homo sapiens, assembly GCF_000001405.40. NCBI lineage: Eukaryota > Metazoa > Chordata > Mammalia > Primates > Hominidae > Homo > Homo sapiens. Next base: position 68,900,646 of record NC_000005.10, read on the forward strand.
ACTCATTTAATCTTCAAGATCATCCACAAGATGGGACTATTTTTAGCCTATGTTTACAGTTGAATGAACCAGGCACTGAGAATTTAAGTAACATACCCAAGATCATCCAGCTGGCAAGTGGCAGAGACAGGATTCAGACCTAAGCAATTGGGTACTAGAGTCTATTCTCTTAACCACCGCACCAGCCTGCCTCACCTAAATGTATTTTTTGCTATGAGTCTTAGTTTTTTTAAAAAAAATAAAAAGGTTGATAAATACCAATTTAAGGGGATTAGATATAATGCATATCCTAGGTTCATTCCAATTTCAAATATTCCATGCAACTGTCCCGATACCATCAGGCCATATGAGGTACTGTTTTGCTCAGGAAATGTGGTCCCTGTGTCATATATTCTAGTGTCACTAATGATACCAGTCTTGCCACTAATCATAAACCAGAGGTCTTCTGCCTTGATCACCTGTCCCTGGGATAGTGCCAGTTCTTATGTTCAATGGTCCCAAGCCCTATGACATCAGAGTTAATTAAAAAAAAAAAACACCCAGCTGCTTATATTATGGCAAAACTATTACACCATCAGCAGTGAAAGCTGAGTTTTTGAGAGACTAGACTTTGGAGGTGGGGGTGGAGGGACTATAGAATTATGTCATAAAATAACCATTGCAAAGTTTATTTTCCTTATCCTACTTTACGAAGAACTGTGCTAACTACTAGCAGATCACATAATCCATAAGAGCATCCTTCAACTTACAGGCACAAAAGCTGACCTCTACTCTGCCACAGTTACATAACTCAGGCAAATCACTTATTAACAACTGCTTACATGAGTTAGAATTTTATGCTTTCCATAGCATGCTCACATTCATGGTTTTCAGGCCCCAACAACCACTCTCTGAGGAAGGCAGAGATGGCTTTTGGAGACAGGGGTGTCTCTATCCTCCCTCCCCATGCTTCTGCCTCCCTCTCTCTCTTCCCTCTCATCCATCGAACTCCCTTCCCAAGAAGAGAGATGGTCACGTGGGTCAGAACACAGCACAGTCACTGATGACAGCCAGCACCACATGAGGCACACTCTTTCGCACTCCTTGCTCTGCGCAGGCAGTCCATATGAAACATCCTCTTCTCTCTGGCTCATCCTCTCCATCCAGATCACCTTGGGTCCCCTGTACCAGTTCCGCGTTCCATTCTCCAGTTTCGCTGTGCTGCTTTGCTCCTAGGGTGGAGTCCACCACCTTCTTCAGAGGATTAGCCTGGAGCCACTCCACCCGGATGTACATAGAGCCATAGGTGCCCAAGAGTTGATGTTCCACCCACCACCCCTGCCTCCGAGTCGCCACCTAACCAGTGACTGAATACACAGAAGTAAAAAGCACAACGTCCACACCTCAGGGGAAAAGAACCTGAGATGTCAGTGACACTCCAGAGCTCCCCACGATATCAGGCTGAGTCTGGGAGCTCATCTGGAATACGCCCTTGCTTGGCTCTGCCCCTTCCCTAGTCTCTTCCTCCACGCCCTTGCAGGTCTCCCCTGGGGGCCCTTCCTTAATAAGTCACTTGCACCTGTATCCTAGCCCAAGAGTCTGTTTCTGGAATCCTCACCTAAACTGTCCCTCTGTTCTACGCCTAAACCTAAGAAGATGGCCTCACCAGGCTTTCTACATCTCTATGTGGCCTACTCATCATCTAACCGGGTTAAGGTAGGGAGCCCTCCGCAGAAATGGCGGCCATCTCAGAATCCAGAAGGAGAGCGTAACAGCCTCGCTTAAGTCGTCATGCCTTAGCCGGATTCTCCAACTCAGCTTCCGCCAGAGGCATGCTTTGGAGGTCAGTGTTCACTGGTCAGCTATCAATATAGCAGAGATTTCATATCCATTTAGCTACTGTTCTTAAACAGCTCCTCACCTAGAAAACTGAGGGGAGGAGTACTAAGTGGATTCAGGTATTCCTGTTTCCCTGGTCCTAAAACTAACATAATAGCAATAGAAACCTCACCTCTAACTTCCTACAACTATGTTGCCCTGGGGATCCGCTTCTGGATAGTAAAAGTCATCCCGTATAACTTAAGAGCTGGAAGAGACCTTTGAAATCTATCCTTTAGTGTACAGATAAAAGAAATGGAGCTAAAACCAGGTATTTTCCTAACATCCCCTTAACTGACAGTAAAACTCTTCACTGAATCTGAGTCTCTGGGCTTAGAGCAGAGTGGTGGGTACTGGCACCTGAATGAGGCTGCAGAGGGAGGTGAGGATAGGTCAGTTGACCATTGTCTTCCCAAATCTTACCCCCTGAAAGCATCTCTGGGTATCTGTAAATAGTCACAGCAATTGTCTGGTTTGAACTGCTTAATCTTTTGCCCATTAAGATACATAGCTTGAAACACAGAGTAACTCTCATCATCGGCCTTGAAGAAAATTTAATCCATATACTGTCATCCCTCCATATCCACAGGGGATTGGTTCCAAGACCCCTGAGGATACCAGAACCGGAGAATGCTCAAGTCTCTTACATAAAATGGCACAGAGTTTGCATATAACATATACACATCTTCCCATATACTTTAAATCATCTCTAGATTACTTATAGTGCCTACTGCAATGTAAATGATAAATAAACAGTTGTTATACTGTATTTTTTGTATTGTTTTATTGGGGCTTTTTTAAAACATTTTTAATCTTTGGTACATTGAATCCAAGGATGCAACCCCTGCAGATACAAAGAGCCAACCGTAGTCAGTTCAGTAAGGAGACTCAGACTACAGGGAATTACTCCAAATTTACCAACATATTATTATTTACATTTGACAGACAATTGAGGCTTAGAAAAGTTAAATACTGGCTGGGCGTGGTGGCTCACACCAGCACTTTGGGAGGCCGAGGCAGGCGGATCACGAGGTCAGGAGATCGAGACCATCCTGGCTAACACGGTGAAACCCCGTGTCTACTAAAAATACAAATATTAGCCGGGCATGATGGCGAGCACCTGTAGTCCCAGCTACTCGGGAGGCTAAGGCAGGAGAATGGCTTGAACCTGGGAGGCGGAGCTTGCAGTGAGCCGAGATCACACCACTGCACTCCAGCTTGGGCGACAGAGTGAGACTCCGTCTCAAAAAAAAAAAAAAAAAAGAAAAGAAAAGTTAAATACTTTGAGTATGTTTCAAAGTTATCAGATGAAAGAACTAGCATTCTACCTACCTTAGGACCTACCTAAGATCAAAGTCTAATGTTTTCCCTACTTCCTGCAACCTCCTTATGTAGTCATGTGCTGCCTGTATAATACTGTGGCCCTCTTAGATCCTCCAGAGGGCAACACAGAGACTATATCATTCTCTCTGACTTATGGTCAAAGTCTGGATTGAGAAGAGGGGCCATGAAACCCCAAACGTGACCTAAGGAGGTAACTAGGTCACGTTTGGGGTTTCATGCTCAGAGGATTCTGAAATCCTGAAACACCATCTTCCTAAATGCTCCTAAAGGAATGAACATGCCTTAAAGCCTTGGGCTCCCACAGTGGGACACGTTTCAGGTGGCTTTTATGTTGGCTTGAAATGGGACACTTGGAGGATCCAAACAGCTAAAGGGAAAAAGGGGTGTGGGCTAATAGTCCTGCTGTTGATTGAGGGCCAGGATCTGTTAAGGTCCATGGGTCCCAGGGTTCCTAGTTAGTCTTTCAGTTTTTGCTTATAAACTTCTCTCTATACAGCCTCTATGAGGCTGTGTTAGGGAAAAATTTGAGACAGCTTCTTCTCTGGACAATATTCATTCTCTCATTGCACACCAACTCTGCAGTAGGCCCTCTTCTAGCCATCGGGCCTAGAGTAGAAATAAAAAAGAAGTCCCTGATGTGAAACCTCCTTTCTGGTCAATGAGAGAAAAGATGATAAATAAGCAAACAAAGCAATAAGTAAGATCATTTTAGATAATAAATGCCACAGAGAAAAATGTTAAAGCATGAAGGAGTATCTTTTTATAAGAGATATGAGGTAGGGAGAGCATCAGTTCAGATAAGATGATCTGAGAAGGTCTCTCTGAGGAGGGAACTTTGATTAGAGGCACAAATCACCATCCCCTTTGGAGATCTAAGATTGGTTATCATGCCCGGTTGCTCCTGTCTTCCTAAAGAATCCCTTCCCCAAAGAATCCTTAATTTATAACAATCTTTTGGCAAGCCTGCCATACCAATTCAACACATAAGCCCAGACCTGTTCAGATTCCTCTTAGACAAAAGCTGGCATCTCTTTTACAGCAGCAATCACGTCAATATTATAACTACTACCATTACTGCAGGGCCCCTGCAGGACATCTGCTTCCCAACTACAACAAAGAAAGAAAAGGAATAAACCAGGAACAGCACATGGATGTGGGCTTCCTAAGGCAAAATAAATAGTAATAAAAGCAGGTTTGGTCAAATAACTCAAGGTCAGCAAGAAGATATACACTATTTTTACATGAGAACCAAGAACTATGCTTAGCAAATGATTCTTTAAGGAGATCCAGTGAGAAAATTCTCACAGTGTAAAATCTGGGTGTTTTTTTTTTTTTATCCGGAGGAAATATTTTTAAAAAGCAGAAAAGGGAAATGAAAAAGGTAAGCTGCCCCTGAAGTCAAGACCACCTATCATCCTTCCTCTTCTGCTCTCTCCCCAAGTCTTAGAGCTTCTACTCTCTCTACCCAGCAAAAGGAGGGCTTGGGAGAGACTAGCTATGACTCACGCCCTGTGATAAGAGAATGAGGATGTTTGAGGCATGCGAGGAGTGGGGACAAAGAGAGATGGAGACTTCTGGAGACAAAAGAGAGAAGAGGGTCTGGCTGAACACTCTATCCTAAGAGAGTACCCTTATGGGAGCATCCCAATTGTCTGGTCAGGGAGGCCCTCCTTGTTTGTAGAGCACAAACATAATTTAACCAAAATAAAGCTGCAACCCCTCACATTTTGTTCTCATCCCTACGATGCCTTTTCTTTATACTCTGGATACTCTATTATCATGAACTTGGAGTAAGGAACTGAAAGAAATTTCTTTAGGGTTTTGCGTGTTTGTGTTAGCTCACCAGGGAGAGGGATGTAGCCCACACCCCATGATTCCCCAGAGCCCCAATCCCAGAAGCACCTGGAACATCTTCAGTGTCAAAGGGAGCCATTCACAGCCATCACCTGACCAGGATAAAGGTGATTTTCGTGATCCACTTCTTCTTGCCACCCAGAAAAGTCCCACAGATTACCACCCCTTCCCACTCCACTCCACCTCACCCACTCCCACTCCCATTCCAGCCCAGAATAGACCCGTGACAGGTAACGTCATCTTTATCATTCTAATCTTTGGCATCATCCTTTCTTTTTCCTGTTTCTTTTCCCATTTTACAGATTAACAGTGATTAGGGCATTTTCTCAAGTTCACAGTGCCAGCAGACAGTTGAACTGAAACACAAACACCAATCATTCATTAATTCTTTTTCCAACTTCCTTATGATGACTATTTATATCAGATTTAAATCCATTAGCATAATAGAGTCTCTTTATGTGGTTATGGTGAACTGAGCAGCAGTCTTGAGCAATTATTCTGCTACTTTATCTACTATAATTCTGTAATACAATTTGTAGTATTTTTTATTTTGGTAATATATGCCATCAGAAAATTTACCATTTTAACTATTTTGAAGTATAAAGTTCAGTGGCATTAAGTATATTCACATTGTGGCTGGGCGTGGTGGCTCATGCCTATAATCCCAGCACTTTGGGAGGCCAAGGTAGGCAAATCACTTGAGGCCAGTTCGAGACCAGCCTCCCCAACATGGCGAAATCCCATCTCTACTAAAAATACAAAAAAAAAAAAAAAAGTATATTCACATTGTTGTGAAATCACTATCACCATCAGTCTCTAGAATTGTTTCATCTTCCCATTCTTCCCAAACTGAAACTCTGTACCCATTAAACAATAACTCCTCATTTCCCAATTCCCCAACCCCTGTTCCATTCTACTCTCTGTCTCTGTGTATTTGATTATTCTAGGTACCTCATATAAGTGGACTTATATAACATATGCCCTTTTGTGTCTGGCTTATTGCAACTTAGCATGAGGTCTTCAAGGTTCACTCATATTGTAGCATGTGTCAGAATGTCCTTCCTTTTTAAGGCTGAATAATATTCCATTGCATGTATACACCACATTTTGTTTACTCATTAATCTGTTGATGGACATGAGTTGTTTCTACCTTTCAGCTGTTGTGATAATGTTGCTATGAACCTGGTTGTACAAACATTTGTTCAAGTCTTTGCTTTCAGTTCTTTTGTGTATATACCCAGAAGTGTCATTGCTGGGTCAAATGGTAAATCTATGTTTAATTTTTTAAGAGAGGAAGAAAATATCTGGAAAAATATTCTTCTGTTTGAGCACTACACTATTTTTAGTCATGCTGGCCCTCAATTTTCCACTGTAAAAAATGGGAGGGACAATATTTACTTTCTATTGTAAATTTAGAAAAAATAATATATGTAAAGCAAAAAAAAAAAAATTCCTTTTTTAGGAATTGCCATACTGTTTTCTAGAGCTGCCGCACCATTTGACATTTCCACCAGCAATGCACAAGGGTTCTAATTCCTCCACATTCTCACTGACACTTGTTTTCTGTTTTTTGATAATAACCATTATACTGGGTGTGAAGTTGTATAATACATTTTAACCCAGTTAAAATACAGCTGCTCTCTCATTATAATTCTTTTTTAAAAAATGTTTTGGCCATTCTCTATTTTTTTCTCCAAGAACAATTTTGCTATTATGTGTAAGTCCCCAAAATATCTTACACAAATAATAATTAGAATTCTATTAAACATGTTTTTAAAAGTATGAACAGAATTCATACCTTTAAAACTTTTAACCCCAGTCTCACCAAAGAACATAAGGTCTTCTCTCATTTCCCTTGGTAAAGTTTACAATTTTTTTCATATTGGACCTAAACATTTCTTGTTAAGATTATCCCAAAGTATTTCATATTTTTGTGCTATTGCAAATGGAATAATCAGTCTCATTTTAGAAAATAATTTTTGGAGGAAGAAGCCCCATAATCAACAATAACACTCGCTTATGAAACATCTGCTACTTTAAGGTCAGTGATAAAGGTCAACAATGCCTGTCTTCTACGTGGAAATTTACTGTAAGAGAAAAAGAAAACATAGGTTAAAACTTCATTGGATTACCTCTGTTAAAAGCCCAGGGCATTTAAATTACTCCTAAGGAGGCATGCAAAATTGTAGGTAATTTAATGTTTAATCAATATTTGTTACAGCTATCATTAATTTTGGGTCAAATTCATGATGCATGCCTTTTCTTGTCTCCTACATGGACCTTACATTACACTGGCCTCTCCTTGTGGAGTTATACTCATTTTATTACTTTATTAATTTATCATCTATTACAGAATTCTACACCTATCATCTCTCCCTTATAATATATTGATATAGCTGTGATTTTCTGTTTTTATTATTGTTATAATTTAAGTTTTAGGGTACATGTGCACAACGTGCAGATTTGTTGTATATGTATACATGTAACAAACATGTTGGTGTGATGCACCCATTAACTCATCATTTAACATTAGGTATATCTCCTAATGCTATCCCTCCCCCCTCCCCCCACCCCACAACAGGCCCCGGTGTATGATGTTCCCCTTCCTGTGTCCATGTGTTCTCATTGTTCAATTCCCACCTATGAGTGAGAACATGCGGTGTTTGGTTTTTTGTCCTTGCGATAGTTTGCTGAGAATGATGGTTTCCAGCTTCATCCATGTCCCTACAAAAGACATGAACTCATCATTTTTTATGGCTGCATAGTATTCCATGGTATATGTGCCACATTTTCTTAATCCAGTCTATCATTGTTGGACATTTGGGTTGGTTCCAAGTCTTCACTATTGTGAACAGTGCCACAGTAAACATACGTGTGCATGTGTCTTTATAGCAGCATGATTTATAATCCTTTGGGTATATACCCAGTAATGGGATGGCTGGGTCAAATGGTATTTCTAGTTCTAGATCCCTGAGGAATCGCCACACTGACTTCCACAATGGTTGAACTAGTTTACAGTCCCACCAACAGTGTAAAAGTGTTCCTATTTCTCCACATCCTCTCCAGCACCTGTTGTTTCCTGACTCTTTAATGATCGCCATTCTAACTGGTGTGAGATGGTATCTCATTGTGGTTTTGATTTGCATTTATCAGATGGCCAGTGATGATGAGCATTTTTTCATGTGTCTTTTGGCTGCATAAATGTCTTCTTTTGAGAAGTGTCTGTTCATATCCTTTGCCCACTTTTTGATGGGGTTGTTTGTTTTTTTCTTGTAAATTTGTTTGAGTTCATTGTAGATTCTGGATATTAGCCCTTTGTCAGATGAGTAGATTGCAAAAATTTTCTCCCATCCTGTAGGTTGCCTGTTCACTCTGATGGTAGTTTCTTTTGCTGTGCAGAAGCTCTTTACTTTAATTAGATCCTATTTGTCAATTTTGGCTTTTGTTGCCATTGCTTTTGGTGTTTTAGACATGAAGTCCTTGCCCATGCCTATGTCCTGAATGGTACTGCCTAGGTTTTCTTCTAGGGTTTTTATGGTTTTAGGTTTAACATTTAAGTCTTTAATCCATCATGAATTAATTTTTGTATAAGGTGTAAGGAAGGGATCCAGTTTCAGCTTTCTACATATGGCTAGCCAGTTTTCCCAGCACCATTTATTAAATAGGGAATCCTTTCCCCATTTCTTGTTTTTGTCAGTTTTGTCAAAGATCAGGTAGTTGTAGATATGTGGCATTATTTCTGAGGGCTCTCTTCTGTTCCGTTGGTCTATATCTCTGTTTTGGTACCACTACCATGCTGTTTTGGTTACTATAGCCTCGTAGTATAGTTTGAAGTCAGGTAGCGTGATGCCTCCAGCTTTGTTCTTTTAGCTTAGGATTGACTTGGCAATGCGGGCTCTTTTTTGGTTCCATATGAACTTTAAAGTAGTTTTTTCCAATTCTGTGAAGAAAGTCATTGGTAGCTTGATGGGGATGGCATTGAATCTATAAATTACCTTGGGCAGTATGGCCATTTTAACGATATTGATTCTTCCTACCCATGAGCATGGAATATTCTTCCATTTGTTTGTATCCTCTTTTATTTCATTGAGCAGTGGTTTGTAGTTCTCCTTGAAGAGGTCCTTCACATCCCTTGTAAGTTGGATTCCTAGGTATTTTATTCTCTTTGAAGCAATTGTGAATGGGAGTTCACTCATGATTTGGCTCTCTGTTTGTCTGTTATTGGTATATAAGAATGCTTGTGATTTTTGTACATCGATTTTGTAACTTTTTTTTTTAAGTAGAGATGGGGTTTCACTGTGTTAGCCAGGATGGTCTCGATCTCCTGACCTCATGATCCACCCACCTCGGCCTCCCAAAGTGCTGGGATTACAGGCGTGAACCACCACGCCCGGCAATATAGCTGTGATTTTCTTACTGACAACTCTTCAGTCAGAAAAACAATCTTTTATTTTACTACATCTCCTAGGAACAAATGTGAGTCACTTTACAATTTACGTAAGACACTCTACTTTACTATATAGTTATTTTTGCTCATTACATAGAAAAGCTTCTATTGGCAAAATTCCTCTCTTGGCAAGGGAAAAAAATCGTCAACTCTGCTCTAGGTATTGACTGCAGTGTGGGTATATACTAATACCCATCAAAAATATAGAGTTTATGACTTTGCATATCCATATCCTCAGGAAATGTATGAAAATTTTCCTGTCCCTTTCTAAAAACAGCCTAAGAATGTTAAAAAAGAACAAAGTTACCACCTAATACATCTTCCTCCCTGACATTTTTCCCCTTCACATGGGGATAATTTTGTCAATAGAAGCAAAAGCAGCAAATGGCCCACAACATTTTGAATCCTGATGAGGTTGCACACCAACCCTATTTGCCCCCATCCTCCCCTGACCACCACCACTGAAGGGCCCACGAAAAGCACATTCATTGTGGCTCCTCTGTTTTTTAAGATTCATGCTTTGGCCTACAAGAGCAACAAAGGGTATTTTTGTATTATCCTACCAGAAACAAAAAAGGAAACAGACGCCCATCTAGGTGAACAGTGGGCCTCAGTCAACTCATTATACACCTTTTGGCTCATGCCACCTATTTTAATATACTTGTTCTCCTCCCCCAGCAGTAACTCCACTTACTTTCCAAGCCTTCATTTATGCACACAAATAGGCCAGGTAACAATAACATAAACTCCTCAAAGTTGGACAGAAAAATGTCATAACCACTGTGGGCAATTCACAGCATTTTTCCATGCTGCTACTGGGTCTCTTCTGACTGTTAAAACCTCTGTCCTCAGAAGAAGATCATTGTATGTGGGACATACATTCCAATTTGGGGCCTGGTATATGATATATTTTATCAGATGTGATAGTACTATTATTTACTGCTCTAAGGAAACAGATAGTATTACTTATTACTGATTAGGTAAATGAAAAAAATATCCAAGTCAAGCATTAACTTGTTTTTATTGCTCAATTAGTTCTAAAAATTACTACCAAAATTCTATCTATTGGGATTAGAAGGGTAATCTCAAACTAATGACAACTCAGTGGAATAAACCAGGGAAGAAAGTCATATGAAAGATGCAAACCCATCTTCTCAATTTCCAACAATTCTAGTGAACAGAAAAATCTTGTCTCTCCTAAATTATGTTTCCATGCTCTGTTCTTGCTACCCAAATCCAATCAGACAGTATTCTCATGAAAATGATCTTGGCTCTACGTAATTTGATTTGTCTAAGAGCATAAACTAAATAGTAAAAAGAATCTTAACTTGGAAAAAAAAGAATTATTGTTGTATAAAGACAAGCAAACAGTATAAATCTAGCTTAAGGCTCGGAATCACCCACGAGCTTTAGCCATTTTAAGTCAACATCTCTCTAATAGACATTTTATACAGCCAAGGCCTCTGTGCAAGTATCCTGCACCATCTCTGTGCCAATATGGATAAGCTAAGCTCTGCTGTGCTAACAAATAATCCTAAAATCTTGACAATAATATCTGCTAATTTCTTGCTCACATGATATGTCCACCATGAGAAGTTGCAGTGCTGCCCACACTGTCTGCACTCTGGGAAAACTGAGTATCACAAAGCAGGAACTGACTTTTAGAGCTTCTGCCCCACATTTCATTGGCCCGAGCAAGTGACATACCACCGCCTGAGTTCAAGAGGGCAAGGATATGTAGCTGTCCTCCTACAGCCCCTTAGCTGGTCTCTTTACCTCTAGTCTACATCCTGTCAAAGGCATCCCCCATCCCCTGCCCCCACTGCTCCCTGGGGTCCCTCTTCAAATGGGACCATATTCCTCCTCTGCCCAGAAATCTCCACAGCTGGACTTCTGTCGGTATGCGTATCACCACTGGAATGTATGGCAATGTGCCAGGAGAGTTCCAGAATAAACATGGTGACTTTCCCAGAATGCTGGTTTTACTTGAAGACATGGAAATATATATACTTGTTTAATAACATAAACTTGAATATATTATTAGATAAAATAAAAATGTCTTTCTCTAAAGAAAGTTGGTGTTTGAATTAGGTCTCATTAGCTACCCCACATCTACTGATGCCATGGGTGCAGGCTCATCTACTCTCAAGGGTACTTTAGTGGAAGAGGTTGAGAAGTCCTGGGCCCTACCTTATCTGGCAGCACCCTCCTTCTAGAGCAGTACTGTCCAATACAGTAACCAATAACCACATGTGGCTACTGAGCATGTGAACTGTGGCTAGGGTGACTGAGAGACTGAATGTTTAGTTTTATTTATTTTAATTGGTTTAAATTTAAATAGCCACATGTGGCTAGTGTCTACTATATTAGACAGCACAGATATAGAATGTTTCTATCTGTGGTAGGCAGCATAACAGCCTTCCAAAGACGTCCATGTCCTAATCCCCAGAACATGTGAATATGTGGTTGCATGGCAGGAGGAATTAAGGTAGTGGACAGCATTAAGATTGCTAATCAAGTGACCTGAAAATAGATTATCCTGGGCTACCAGCCTGGGCCCAGTGTAATCACAAAAATCCTTAAATGTGAGGGAGGGAAGCAAAAGAGTCAGCATCAGAGTGACAGTGTGAGGAAGACTCGGCCAGCATTGCTAGCTTTGAAACTGGAAGAAAAGGGTGCAGGCCAAGGAACTCAGGCAGCCTCCTGGAACTTGAAAAAGCAGGAAAATTGATTTTCCATGAGAATTTCCAGAAAGAAACATATCCCTGGTGGCACCTTGATTCTAGCCCAGTGCAGTGAGACACATTTTGGACTTCTGACCTCCAGAATTGTGAGATAATAAATTTGTGTTATTGTAAGTCACTAATTTTGTGGTAATTTGTTACAGCCTCAAGAGAAAGCAAATACACCACTGTTGCAGAAACTTCTAATGGGCAGTGCTGGTCTAGAATCATTTCTCAACATTCTCAATGCAGTTAGTTACATGCAGCAACTCTAAATTATCTGTTGTTCTCCACACACACTGTGCAATCTCACGCTGTTCTGTCTGCCTCGAACTCCTTTCCCCAACCCCTCTCCACGGATAACTCCTGTTCATCGTTTGGGATTTAACTCAGGTGTCAGCTCTTTAAGGAACTCTTTCACTACACCCTGGCCTAGGTCAGGTGTGCCTTTTCTGTACTCTTGAAATCTATGCATAGCTCTGTAATATGTGTGAATTTCAACCAAAATCAAGTATACAAAAACATCACTATCTTCATTTTACCTGCATGAAATGAAACCTAACTCTGAGCATGCCCCCTAACGGGCTGGCAGAAGCCTGAGCCTTCATTCTGGCCAGGAATTGCCCTCCACAGTGTTAGCAAACCGTCAAGAGACCCCTCTCATTATTTTCACTCTGCCCATATGGGTGGGTGACTGGTAAGATGCTGTTGTCCCGGTCCTCATGGCCCCTCTTCCAAGCCATGTTTAGGGTCCTGAAATCTGCAGCCAGACTGGATGGACATCCTGGTGCCTCAAGCCCAAGGCCCAGGAACCCCCAGGTGCACCACTCAGCCCAGCCTCTTAGACGCCTGTGCTCCACAGGGAGCTGCCTCCAAGCCAAGTTCTGCTACCTGCTGTTCCAGGACCCACCCACCCACCTCCTCCCATTCTCAGTGTCTTCTAAGACTTCTCTATCTGACCTCTCCTTCCCAGGACTCCTTATTCAGAGTTTCATGAAAAATAGGACCCTCCCTGAGACAAAGGGACATAAAAAGGGTTCAGCTTTCTGTTTGAAAGAGTGGGGGAACAGAGAGAGAAAACACCATTTAAATCTCAGTTAAGTATCTTGCCCCATCTTCATTATAAATAGCATTCAAAGCATTGAATTGAAAATGTATCCACGCAGGAATCACAGCAACATTAACACCAAGGTCAGCACCAACACAGCAACCACCTTGCTTGAGGACTCACTACATTATCTTATTTCATGCAGCATCAGTTTCATGAGGCAAGTATTATTATCCCCATTATATAGATGAGAAAACTGAGATGCTGAGTTTTAGTGATTTTGCTCAAAGTCACACAGTTATAAAGTGACAGTACAGGGCTTCAAATCCAGATCAAAAACCCAGTACTGCCTCGCACCTGCATCTACAGCAAGCAGGGCAGGTGCTCGGTCGATTGAACTGGGCCACTTGGACCCACATCTACAGCCTTCGGGTCTTCTCCTGTTGTTCTTCTCTGAGTCCAAGTCCAGAAACAACACCCTTCCCTTATTTGCCTTAATATAACAAAGATAAGCAGTTGGGTTCAAGCAGCATTTCTTAAAAAAAAAAAAAACAAGATACTGGGGAAAATAAGAAATTGCAAATAGGATCAGACAAAGACATAAAGGACTCTAATCTCGAGAATCTCAGTAAAAGCTTGAGACCGCTTTACGGAACCCCCATTCTCCTGCCAGTAACTGCTCTCGAACCACAGACAACTTAGTGCAATGTGCACCGTATTATTTAGGGTACTTCTCTCTGACTTCCCTGCCCCATGTCAAAATTGCAGCTATTTTTATTTCTCAATATGTGAGAGCTATCTATGGAAGTACTCCATCTAAGGACACCGTCTTCTCAATTACAATCAGAGGAGCAAACCCGATTTGAGTTTCTCCCTTGGGATACAGGGCACCCCAAGGAATCATCCTACACAGGCTGGTCAGTTATCACCTCCACCCCCCCACTCCCTGGCTCTGTGACTCATCCCTCAGGGCCGCACCCTTCCCCCTTCCCCACATGGTCCATCCCTCAGGAAAGTGGTCTTTTATAATTAGAGTTTTAATATTTAAAATTAGCTTATGCATACGGTGACCATAACACAAATAGACTGCAACAGGTTATTCTCTTACAAGGGCTTTCCTGAGTATTTATCCAAATCTTCCTAATATAACAGCCTGTTCTAACAAGGGTGGACCAAATATCTTTTAACCCCTTAAGACCTAGAAGTGTGCCTGGTACAAAGGCAAACACTCACTCTTACCCATTATCTACAGAGATCCCCATCGGGCATTACTTCAGATGAAATTTTTCAAATAAAATCTTTAGCAAAATATCATTAGGCACTATTCTTATTTTTGCATATAAAAATATGCTTATTTAGCTTTTTCTTGCATTCCAAATTGACTAATTTTCCTCCATAATAAAAAAAATCAGACTATTAGATCATACAGATCAGAAATTACTGGGTTATAAAAGAATATAATTTTTAAAAGAGCTAATAATATGCACTAACCCTTAATGTCAAAGCCAAAGATTGAGATTCCATATGAATGCATGAATCCATTAAGCAGAAGTCATTTTCAATTATCAAGAAGAAGAGATCTGTATTCTTTGCAGAAATTAGAAATGGCAGAAAATAACATAAACATTCATAACTGCTACAATTAGGACCAATAAAATTTTTAAATCAAATTAAAATCAGAGTGATGATAATAAGAGTAATGAAATTTATGTACCACCATGTTGCCCTATTTCCTCAGAGAAACCCCCAAGTCTATTATTTTGCAGGGATGAAAGGAATCAGTAGTCACTGCTTGCTTTTTCCAGGAGACTGGACTAAGGATTCACCTGCTCCAATAGGGAAATGTACCAAATGTCATCACACGGCTGTGGCTGATGCCTCTCCAGCACCCCATGACACCCAGCCCCCTCGGCTTCACTTGAGTTATGCAGTTCTACCAGGAGCCAGGGCAGGTTTTTTGTTTTTTTTTTTTTTTTGGCATATGTTTAAGGGGTACAAGTGGAGGGAGTTTTGAGGTTGTTTTGAAACAGAGTTTTGCTCTACTGCTCAGGCTGGAGTGCAGTGGTGCCATCTCAGCTCACTGCAACCTCCATCTCCTAGGTTCAAGCAATTCTCCTGCCTCAGCCTCCCAAGTGGCTGGGATTACAAGCATGTGCCACCATGCCTGGCTACTTTTTTGTATTTTCGGTAGAGATGGAGGTTTATCATGTTGGCCAGGCTGGTCTCGAACTCCTGACCTCAAGTGATCTGCCTGCCTCGGCCTCCCAAAGTGCTGGGATGACAGGCACGAGCCACCACACCCAGCCAGAGTTGTTTTTACATAGAGATATTGCACGATGGTGAAGTCTGAGTGTTTAGTGTTGCCATCACCTAAATAATGCATATTGTACTCATGAATTTCTCATCTCTCACCTCCTCCCACCCTTCCAAGTCTCCAATGTCTATTATCCCATACTCTATGTCCATATCTATATATTATTTAGCTCCCACTTATAAGTGGGAACATGTGGTATTTTACTGTGTTTCTGTGTTGTTTCATGTAAGTTAATGGCCCTCAGTTCCAGCCACATTGCTGCAAAATACATGATTTCATTTTTTATGGCTGAATAGTATTCCATTGTATATATAGATACATTTTCTCTATTTAATCATCCACTGATAAACACTTAGGTTGATTCCATATCTTTGCTATTGTAAATAGTGCTGTGATAAACATATAAGTATCTTTTGATATGATTTCTTTTCCTTTGGGTAGATACCCAGAAGTGGGATTGCTGGATCAAATGGTAGTTGTATTTTTAGTTCTTTGAGAAATCACCATACTTTTTCTGATAGAGGTTATACTAGTTTACAGTATAAGGATTCTCTTTTCTCCATCCTGCTAACATCTGTTATTTTTTTACTTTTTAATAATAGCCATTCATATTGGCATAAGATGATATTTCATTATGGTTGTAATTTGCATGGCTCTGATGATTAGTGACGTTGAGCATTTTTTCATATGCTTGTTGGTCATTTGTGTGTCTTCTTTTAAAAAATGTTTTTTCATTTCCTTTGAAGCCAGGGCAGACTGAGCCTAGGAAATGCCTGATCCTATGGTTCCACATATCCCCTGCATTCATTTGGCACTTGTGGATCCCTATCCTGGGTAACCTGACACATAAGGGAACGAGAATCAGAAGGGGCTTTAGAACTGAGAAGTCAGGCTGGGTGCAGTGGCTCACACCTATAATCCCAGCACTTTGGGAGGCCAAGGTGGGAGGATTGCTTGAGCTCGGGAGTTTGAGACCAGACTGGGCAACATGGAGAAACCCCGTCTACAAAAAATGTGAAAATTAGCCAGGCATGGTGGCACACACCTGCATTCCCAGCTACTCAGGAGGCTGAGGTGGGAGGATCGCTTGAGCCTGGGAAGCAGAGGTTGCACTGAACCAAGATTGTGCCACGGCACTCCAGATTGGGTCACAGAGTGAGACGCTGGCTCAAAGAAAAAGAACCGAGAAGTCAGATTTGTATAATTTAGCACACCCATGGTGGCTATATTTGTTTTTAAGGACTTATCTTGAAGATCCCACCCTATCAACATAATGCACATTTTTCATAATCCAGAATCAATAATAGGTATTAACATATTTAAGCCCATAAATCACCTTGAGAGTCTGATAGATGTCTCAAACCCTCTCACCAAAGAAAGTATACAAAAAGTATACAAAATACAAAAAAAAGCTATAAATATTTGTTTTTAAGGACTTATCCTGAAGATCCCACCCTATCAATATAGTGTACATTTTTCATAATCCTAAAATCCAGAATCAATGACAGGTATTAACCTATTTAGCCCACAAATCACCTTGAGAATCTGATAGAAGTCTCAAACCCTCTCACCAAAAAAAAAGTATACAAAATTCATTCAAATTTTTTCATTCAATTTCAGGAGGTTCACAAGCCTACTAAAGCCCAGCCAGACCCTCAGGGGACCTATGAATTAATCCCAAGCTAAGAAACCTGCTTTAGGGTCTTTTTGCATTTCCTTGAAATACTCAGGATTAAAATTAACTGGCTTAATTTGAAGTAAGAAATTAAAGTCCTAAACTAATAAAGTTGATGCTTATTAATGTTATTATGTATTTGGGGCCATGTCAAGACAGCCAGATATCTGGTCCCTAGTCTGGGATCACTGTTTGGATAAATAGGAGCTTGAAGAGAAACAAAATAGCTCTATGGAATTGTCACTGGACTGGGCATTTAAGTTTTATTCTAATGAAGTAGGATGCACTGTCCTGATGCCTTTTCCTGACACTAGTCTTAAGCAAACCTCACAGAGAGGAGAAGATACATATATAGAGAACATGTGCTCTAAGATGTCCTCTTACTCAAGAATCAGGAGCGTGATACGACATTCTGACAGGTTCTTCTTGCCTGCTGCCCAGGACAGCCAATGCACTGAGAACAGCACGTTTTGCAGCAAAGAGGAGTTCCATAATCACAAGGCCAGCCAAGCAGAAGGATGAGAGATAATTCTCAAATCCACCTCCCTGACAGCTCAGAGTCTAGGGTTTTGAAGGATAATTTTGTGGGCAGAAGGCTATAGAATGGGTGCTGCTGATTGGTTAGAGATGAAATCATAGGAATGTCCCAAATGTCTTCGTGTGCTGAGTCAATTTCTGGGGGGCAGGGGGTGGTGGGGTCACAAGACCAGGTGAGTCATGGGTCCAGGTGGAGTCAGTCAGTTGCCAGAATGCAAAAGCCTGGAAAATATTTCAAAGACCAACCTTAGGTATATTATCTATAGGAACAATTAGGAAAGTTTCAAATCTTGTGATCTCTGGCTATGTGACTCTTGACAGTAAACAATTTTAGAAAAGCAATCTAGGGAACAATACTGGTTATTGTTTACACCTATATCTCAGCAGAATTCAGGCCCCTCCCATAATGCTAATCTTATTGCCTTTCATTAGTATCACAAAAGCAATTTTGGTCCCCAAGCAAGGAGGGAGTTAGTTTTGCGAGGAAACTGTTATCATATTTGTTTTAAAGTTAACAAAGGCAGTTAGCTTGTGAGTTTAGAAACGAGAAGGGGCCAGGCGCGGGGGCTCATGCCTGTAATCCCAGCACTTTGGGAGGCTGAGGCAGGCGGATCACAAGGTCAGGAGATCGAGACCATCCTGGCTAACACAGTGAAACTCCGTCTCTACTAAAAATACAAAAAATTAGCCTGGCATGGTGGCGAGCGCCTGTAGTCCCACCTACTTGGGAGGCTGAGGCAAGAGAATGGCGTGAACCCAGAAGGTGGAGCTTGCAGTGAGCCGAGATTGCACCACTCACTGCACTCCAGCCTGGGCGACAGAGCAAGACTCCATCTCAAAAAAAAAAAAAAAAAAGAAAGAAAAGAAAAGAAACAAGATGGAATCAGTAAGGTCAGATTTCTCTGTTATAATTTTTGCAAGGCAGTTTCAATGACAAGAGTACTTTATGAAGAACTGGACACACTACAGGCTCTTAAAAAATAAACATAATAAGCCATATATAATTTGATGTTTAAAATATAAAGAAAAATGCTTTCTTATTGCACCTGAGTGTCATGGAGCCAATTCATACACAAGTTAGAGACTTCTGACCTAGAGCCTCTTTCTGAACTAAGAAATCATAGAAAACCATGAATTGATTCTCCCTTCTTTGTGGGCCTTGGTCTTACACGTATCTTTCAGCAGTCCACTTCAGTTCTCTTACTCTTGTCCTGACACGGATATAAGCTACTGACAGAAATCATCAGTGATGGGATCACACAGAGGGTAGAGTGAGAAGATATGACTGTGGTGCCCATTCTTTACAGCAATTTCTCAGCCCAGGCTAAAACTGTGAAAAGAAGAGGAAGAGAGGGTCCTCGGGAAAAGTATGTTAGCAGTGGCGAGTATCCGAGTCACCAGCAGCATATCCATACAGGTCTACAGCAACCTCAGTTCTTGCCTCCTCAGAAGAAAGAATTTGACTGAGAGGCATAAGGCAGAAAAAGAGACTGAGGCAAGTTTTAGAACAGAAGTGAAAGTTTATTAAAAAGCTTTAGAACACGAACGAAAAGAAAGTAAAGTACACTTGGAAGAGGGCCAAGCAGCCATCTTGCAGGACAAGTGCAAGGTTTGACCTCTTGACTTGGGGTTTTATATGTTGCCATTCTTCCAGGGTCTTACATCCCTCCTCTCTTGATTATTCCCTTGGGGTGAGCTGCCCACACAGCACAGTAGCCTACTAGCATTTGGGAGGTAAGCAAGCGCAGTGTGTTTACTGGAGTTGTATGCATGCCTACCTGAGGTGTTCTTCCCTTTATGGCCTCTGAAGGTCATAATATACCAGTTAAACTCCACCATTTTGCCTCTTAATGCGCATGCTTGGGCCCATTTGCCCAACTCCTGAGATCTTATTGGTAAGCTGCTGATCACCAGTTTCAGATGGTTGACAAGCAGTTTCTCAATTGCTGAAAATACTGACAATGGACAGATTAATAGGAGAAAAGGCAGACTAATTTATTGAATGTACATAAACCCAGCATGATTCCCCAACAACCCAATGGGGCACAGATGTTTATATACCCTTCTTCACAGGGGATGGGGAAGTTGGGGAATGTATGCAATTCTTTAAAGGGGTAGTAAATGATTATTAGGGAGAATGAATGGACCAGGGAGCCAAAAATTATTGGGAAACTGCCTTTCCCTGGCACTGGCTGTGACCAATTATTATTTTAGAGACAGCTTAACAACTGCCTGACCATCACCTGATGGTTTCCTGCTGAGAGGTGACAGTGTGCTGGCAGCCCTCGCTCGCTCTCGGCACCTCCTCGGCCTTGGCGCCCACTCTGGCCACACTTGAGGAGCCCTTCAGCCCACCACTGCACTATGGGAGCCCCTTTCTGGGCTGGTTGAGACCACAGCCAGCTTCCTCTGCTTGCAGGGAGGTGCGGAGGAGAGGCGCGGAAGGGAACCGGGGCTGCGCGCAGCAGACCAGCTCGAGTTCGGGGTGGGCATGGGCTCGGCGGGCCCCGCACTCAGAGCAGCCGGCCGGCACCCGCGGCCAGGGCAGTGAGGGGCTTAGCACCCGGGCCAGCAGCTGCGGAGGGTGCACCAGGTCCCCCAGCAGAGCCGGCCCGCTGGCACTGCGCTCAAATTCTCGCAGGGTCTCAGCTGCCTCCCTGTGGGGCAGGGCTCAGGAACTGCAGCCTGCCATGCCCAAGCCTCCCCCTAGCCGTGGGCTCCTGCGCGGCCTGAACCTCCCCGAGGAGCACAGCTCCCTACTCCACGGCACCTGGTCCCATCAGCCGCTCAAGGCCTGAGGAGTGCGGGTGCGCAGCGCAGGACTGGCGGGCAGCTCTGCCTGCAGCCCCCGGTGTGGGATCCACTGGGCTCCTGAGTCTAGTGGGGACTTGGAGAACCTTTATGTCTAGCTGAGGGATTGTAAATACACCAATCAGCACTCTGTGTCTAGCTCAAGGTTTGTAAACATACCAATCAGCACCCTGTGTCTAACTCAAGGTTTGTAAATGCACCAATCAGTGCTCTGTGTCTAGCTAATCTAGTGGGGACTTGGAGAACTTTTGTGTCTAACTCAGGGATTATAAAGGCACCAATCAGCACCCTGTCGAAACGGACCAATCAGCTCTCTGTAAAATGAACCAATCAGCAGGATGTGGGTGGGGCCAGATAAGGGAATAAAAGCAGGCTGCCCGAGCCAGCAGGGGCAACCCGCTCCGGTCCCTTTCCACACTGTGGAAGCTTTGTTCTTTCGCACTTTGCAATAAATCTTGCTGCTGCTCAGTCTTTGGGTCCGCACTGCCTTCATGAGCTGTAACACTCACCGCGAAGGTCTGCAGGTTCACTCCTGAGGCCAGCGAGACCACGAACCCAACAGAAGGAAGAAACTCTGAACACATCCTAACATCAGAAGGAACAAACTCCAGACACACCACCTTTAAGAATTGTAACACTCACTGCGAGGGTCCGCGGCTTCATTCTTGAAGTCAGTGAGACCAAGAACCCACCAATTCCAGACACACTGCCATTCCTGGTGGGGGCAAGGGCCCTCTCCTGCCCTGCTCATGCCTGACTGTCTACCTACTGTAACAAGCATAGCTACCAACAAGATTCCTTAATATTGCATCCCTGCTAATGTCTCCATTTTTAACCGTTAGATCTCTCCAAACGACTCTAGTTATTTACATTACTTTTTTGTGGCATTTCAAGTTGTTTGCAAGGAAACACTATATATATAGGTGAAGTAGCCCAGGGAATTCCACTCCAAAATATAGCACCATGGTATACTGATATTTTAAATTAAAGGCACTTGAAGGTCAGCAGATGCTTGAAAGAGGCTCTCCTCTGATATTCTCTTATCTACCTTAAGACTGGATCTGCCAAAGAGAACACAATTGCCTTCCATCCCTGCTCTGAAATCTCACTGCCCATCACAGAAAAGAAGACTGAGGAATGCAACCACACCTGGATGGACTTTTTCACAAGATAATGCCTGCCTCTTGGGCTCATTCAAATTGCAAAAAGAATCATTTACAAGTTAATTTCTGTCTCCCTGTTTCATTCATTCTCCCTAATAGTCAGTTACTACCCCTTAAAAGAATTGCCTACATTCCCCAACTTCCTCATCCCCTGTGAAGAACAGTATGTAAACATTTGTCCCCCACTGGGTTGTTGGGGGATCATTCTCATGCAATTCCCCTGGGCTTATGCACATTAAATAAATTGGTACACCTTTTCTCCTATTGATCTGTCCGTTGTCAGTACTGTCAGCAAACCTTCAGAGAAGTTTTCCTCCAGGGAAAGCTTTCCTTAGCTCCTTCAGCATAAGTCTAAGCATAAAACAAGAGAAAAAAGCAACAAGAGAGCTCAAAGGGGAAACGCAGGTGAGACCAACAGGATTGCAGGAAGCAACCTGCTCCTCTTAGGTTCAGGTGGTATTAAGACAGCCCTGCTGTGAATATTGCTTTAAGGGTTGGATTTAAAGTGAAGTGACTGTTGAAAGAATAAGGCACGCCCTCATATCAATGATAAGTCTCCTAACCAGGATTGACGATTCTTATGTATGGACTCCAATTATTTCAATGCCACATATTAAATTTCACCCCAAATTCTCAAAAGTGAATTCATTTTTTAATTTTAAGAAGAATAGATTTTCAAGTTTTGCATACTTTCAGTTAGATGATGGCCTTACCAAAAAAAAAAAAAAAAAAAAAAAAAAAAGGGTGTTGCCATACCCAAAGATTTTAGAAATCCTGGTCTAGAAAGCCCTTAAGAGAAGTAGTTCACAACTCTGGCAACGCTGGCTGCACATTGGAACCTCCTAGGACCCACTCCTAGAAAGTTTTATTGAATTTTTATGCCGTATACTCAGGCATTAGTATTGTTAAGGTTGAGAACCAGTTCTAGAAACTTGTTATAACAAATATGTACTTTTTCTTAAATATCCCAAGAACTGATCCCACATTCTTTTTGCTCTTGACTCCTTATAGCCGGTGTCTACGTCCTGAAATTATCAGTATGAGAGAAAAAGTAAGAAGTATGGCCTTCCCAGATTGGTGAGGCAGAAGATGACCTAGGGGCAGAGCATAAGATGCATGATTTGGTCCTATATAGTAGAAACACGTCAACAATAACTTACGCATACCCTGAGAATGACCCTTGTGGCAGATGCACCCGACAGCAACAAGTTAAGAAATTAGGGCTGCCACCAGGAGGTTGGTAGGGAGAGGGTGCTAAGTGAAGGTGCTACATAAACTGCGTGCTTTTCACAAGTGGTTGTTTCTCCTGTGCAGCCCACTCCCTCTGGACCGTCCCTATATATTCCCTGTATGCAAGTTCCCCCAAATAAAACCTTATGTCTTGTTTGCTGACTCCAGGTCTCTTCTTCGGCCTCTTGAAGTTGGTGCCATCCCTAGTAAAGTTAATAGGAGTCTGGGCATCTGGGGTAACAAGTTCCTCCCCAACTCACATTCCTGCTCACACCTGTCCATAGCCTCAAAAAAGGATGTGA
The DNA here is from genome assembly GCF_000001405.40 of Homo sapiens. Classification (NCBI taxonomy): domain Eukaryota; kingdom Metazoa; phylum Chordata; class Mammalia; order Primates; family Hominidae; genus Homo; species Homo sapiens. The sequence goes on from NC_000005.10 coordinate 68,923,951, forward strand.
TGACTGAAACTCATTTACATCCCCATTATTCCTGCATTATCATTGTTTGTAAATGCCATTTGTCTTTACCCCTGCCTAAAACAGAAATGAAAGCAAGAGGAGACAAAAAGGCTAATGCAACATTCCAGTAGAATCACAAAAGCAGGGCATGGGACTGCCTTATTAACTTCATTGTAGTGATGTGTTATAAAATGCAAATTGCCGAAAGAGGGCAGTAATTTGTTAATAAATATGTTAATTAGGCAGAGTAAATGCCATACTGCATGGAGGGGGGAAGAAAATCACTGATTGTAAACTCCACGCACAGCAGATTTCAGAGGGCAAGATGTAGTTAATAAAACTACCTTTATGTTTTATATTGCTGCTCTTTAACATAAATAGCTAATAAGCAATTTACATTAACGGTGTGGGCACAAATGTAAATTAGCCCATCTTTGGTTTATATTACTGCAATGCAGTCCTAATGCTAAAGTGTTGCATTTGGCGATTTCATTAAGGGAAAGATCTGAGAACCCCATACAGTCCTAGGGCCCGCTTCAAGGGATTTTAATATGAAACCAAAATTCCACTGCACATTCTTGTTCACCACGTGGGAATTTCCAGAAAGGGCTCTGCTATCAAATATTTTCCCTGTCCATGGCTATGTCCACAACTCTGAGCTCCTGTGGGTGTTCAAAATATCCTGCTCGCCAAAAATGCCTCACAACCCTGAGGCTGCAACAATATGGTCTTGTGCAATTGCAGTCTGGACTTCTGCTCAACTCTCTGCTTGCCGACTGGTAGCAGCCTGACTCAACTACAAACAAAGAGACCCTTGTTATCAAAGGGACTTTCACAGGTCCAGGTGGCTGGAGGAAGGAACTGAGGAGGACCTTCAGGGCTTTCTGAGTCTATATTCCCACTAGCCACAAAGATCGAATGCAAATGCTAGCAAATTCCAGCAACACACATTTGTGCTGCTTGAACCCATGGAAGTTTTCCATTTCTGGCCTCATTCATCTGCGACCTCTCCTACTCACAGGGTCTTTCTTTAGTCATGCTGTGCAAGCAGCTACTGTATATACCAAAAGTTAATTTTACTACACACTTCAGTGTGTCGCCGGAGGTGCAATAAATCACGAACCAATTTCCAATTTTGTTATGCCCTACTTGATAAGGACGTGAAGCATTCTTTCCCCCAGTATACATGTTTTTAAACATGAGGATTAGAAGTAGGAACACATCTCTTGATGCACAGTGACATTTTAGCCTTCCTTTACAAGAGAAGTTGACCCCTGCAGGTCCTATTAGAATAAAACATCAACTTGGGTCCAGAAGCTGCCTACAGGCCTTTAGAACACCTTGTAGAAGAAGTTTTGGTTTTCTTTTTTTTTTTTCCAACTTTAGCAAATAGATTCCTTTAGATGAAATACAAGTTGTTGGGGCAGTTTTATTCTCAATTGTGCTGCCTTTTTTTTAAAGGTATAGAATAAGGTATTGAAAAGTTCATAGAATCCAGTTCTTAGAGATGGATAAAGAGACTTTAGCATTCCTTCTACAAATTTAACTTTTTTTAATTTGCAAGTAAAAATTGCTTACATGTTTATAGTATATAATATGATGTTTTGATATACATTATGGAATGGCTAAATCAAGCTATTTCACATATGGTAACATATGACAACTAACCCTTTATATTAATTCCCTTGCTGCTGTCTATACTCACAATGACAATAAAGCCTATTTCTTGAGGTTATTCTGAGGTTTAAATAAGATTATACATCACTAATTGGCAATCACCACAGTAATAACTGTGTTTAGTGGTAATCATCAATGGATGCTAAAACTAGTGGGTAACACTTGGATGAGAAATAGGGTATTACGTAGTCTTAAAAAATGTCCCTACAAGAAAGATACCCACCAAAAAGTTGCTGGGTAGTTAATCTAGCGAGCAAAATGATACTGGAGTGGAGAGAGTCGAACAGGAGACACATATTACTTGGGTCTCAAAAAAAATGGAGTTAAAGATTTAGAAGAAGAATGAAGAAAAGAAAAAGAAATGCTCCATTACAGTGCAGGAGAAAAATATATTTTCTCATCTATCACTAGATTCACGGCTAAGCCTCCTATAACAAAAGAGATTAACAAGAAAAAAGCATAGAAATCTATTTAATGTAAGTTTTATGTGACATGGGGGCCCTCATAAGGAAATGAAGACCTGAAGAAATGGGTAAACCTATGTGTTTTTTATGCTTGGTTTGATGAAGTGGACAGTTGTAGAAAACACAATTGGACAAAGGGTATGATCTAATGGTAATAAACTGGGGGAAACTTAACAAGACCTAGGTGTTAGATTCTTCTATGTCCCTGTGTCTTTAAAAATAAGGGGGCTCCCTTCCTCTGGATATAGGGAGGCTGCCTCTCACATGAGGGTCTTATGACTTGCGTCAGGGAAAGGTCAGAGAATCCTTACTAGGTTTATGATTTGTTTCAGAGGAAAAGGGAAGGGGAAGGTGAGAGTGACCCTCCAGCTTCTGCAGTTTAGTCAAATGCCAAAATGCCCTATTTTGGTGTAGTACGTCCTGAACCCCACCACCAGCAAAAGAAAGGGAGCCAATGATTAGGGTCTCCTCCACAATCACATAAACAAGTACCACCCAAGCTACACATGAACTCATACTTTCACTTAGGCTCAAATCTCATATGCAAGGACGTAGGATGCCTTCAGGTAGAGGAGACAAAATATGAAACAACAGAAAGTGCAGAGAGTTTGAAGTAGAAGTCCTGGGTTCAAACCCCAGCCCCACCTCTTGCCAGAATCACACCTTTTGAAAGAAAAGGATATTAATAAATAAATCAATACAATTCCAAAACCTGACTATTACACATACATGCCACTCTCGGTCAATAAATAAATTTTGAAAGGATACATACAATCCCTTTGGAGAACAGTTTGGCAATATCTAGAGAAGTTTAAAATACACATCCTATGACTAAGGAATTTTCTTCCTAGGTAAATACCTTAGAGAAACTCACACACTTACATCAGGAGGCACATATAAGACTGTTCATTACAGTATTGTTTATGGTAGCAAAAACTGAAAGCAACGTAATCATCCATCAAACAGAAAATTAATGTATAGATTGTGATATATTCATATAATTAAATACCATATAGCTATGCAAATGAATACAGTAAAAGGCTGTATATACCTATGAAATGGGAGAGTTCTCTGGCCCCTTCACGGGACTTACGATAGGGGTGGCTCATTTACTCGGCCACCACATTCAATCCCATATAGAAGGGAGCACACAAGTGGACAAGTGTGAGAACTAGAGTGAACAAACGCTGGAGCCGGCCGCTTCTCTCTGGTGGGAGCAGGCTCTATGCGGGCCCTGTGGCAGCATCCAAGCATGTTATGTTGCTCTTTTAGGAGGGTGTGTCTGCCACCCCCAGAGCCCCAGAGGGCATGTGTTAACAATCAGTGCTCTTTTAGCATTTGCCATCTGCAGATGGCTGTTAAGCAGCTCAGTGGAGTTCAGGGTGACAGCCTTTTACACCCTGCCCTCTTGGTACCTGAGTTCTTGTCCAGCATCCAGGAAAAATCAGGTCACATGAATGAATTGAACTGTTGTGAATGTGGAGGACTTTATTGATGGTGGAATTGGCTCTTGGTGGAAAGGGAAGCTGAAAAGGGGGTGGAGTGGGAAGATAATCTTTCCCTGGAGTCTAGCCGTTCCTGGCCAAACTCCTCTCCAACCATAGTCTCCAACATCCAGCTGCTGCTTCTCCTCTCAACATTCAGACCCTTCTCTCTTCTGTGTGAGTCTCCTGAGTCTGGGGTCTGGGGCTCTTATGGGCACAGGATAGGGGGCAGGGCAGGGTAGGCCAAAAGGCAACATTCAGGTGGGAAAACAGGGATAGTTCTTACTTTGGGCCACAGTTTCAGGCTTGAGGGGGGGCCCTCGCTGGGGAATCACCCTCCTGCCTCTATCATGGCGTCATCTACATGAATGACTCTTATAATGCTGAATGAAAAATCATGATTTTCCATGCCACATACAATATGATTAGAATATGTACAATATGTGTAATATACAATATGATTCCATAAATATATTATTTTAAAACGTTACAGTTATGCACCACAAAGACATTTTGGTCAATGATGGACCACATATACAATGGTGGTCTCATAAGATTAAAATAGAGATAAAAATTTCCTATCACCTAGTGACTTCTTGATCATCTTGACCCTATGTAGTCCTAGGCTAATGTGTATGTCTGTGTCTAACTTTTCAACAACAAAAAAAAGCTTAAAAAATAAAAATAAAACATTTCTAAATAGAAAAAAAGCTGGCCAGGCATGATGGCTCACACTTGGCCATCATGCACTCTGGGAGGCCGAGGCGGGTGGATCACGAGGTCAGGAGATCAAGACCATCCTCGCTAACACAGTGAAACCCAGTCTTTACTAAAAATACAAAAACTTAGCCAGGCGTAGTGGCACGCACCTGTAGTCCCAGCTACTCAGAAGGCTGAGTCAGAAGAATCTCTTGAGCCCAGGAGGCGAAGGTTGCAGTCAGCCGAGGTCATGCCACTGCACTCCAGCCTGGGCAACTGAGTGAGACTCTGTCTCAAAAAAAAAAAAAAAAATGCTGATAAAGATATAAAGAAAATATTTTCATACAGCTATACAATGTGTCTTTTAAGCTAAGTGCTATTCCAAGAGTCAAAAGTTAAAAATTCAGCTTATAAAGTAAAAAAATTACAGTAAGCTAAGTTAAATTTATTACTGAAGAAATATTTTTATAAATTTAGCATAGCCTAAGTGTACAGTGTTTACTGTAGTAGTGTACAATAATGTCCTAGGCTTTCACACTCACTCAACACTGACTCACCTAGAGCAATCTCCAGTCCTGCAAGCTCCTTTGATGGTAAGTGCCATATACAGGTGTTTCATTATTTTTCATATCATATTTTTACTGTAATTTTTCTATGTTTAGATACACACGTACTTACCATTTTGTTACAATTGTAGTATTCAGTACAGTAACATGCTGTACAGTTGTATAGCCTAGGACCAATAGGCTCTACCATGTAGCCTAGGTGTGAAGTAGGCTATACCATCCATGTTTGTGTAAGTACACTCTATGATGTTTGCACAATGATGAAGTCACCTAATGATACATTTCTCAGAGCATACTCCCATTGTTAAGCAACTCATGACTCCCTATATATTGTTTAGGACACATAAATAAATCATAAAAGTATAAGGAGTGAGCATAGCAACCAAATTCAGAAGACCAATTACCTCTCGGAGGAAGATGGAATCAGGAAGGGGCTTCAACTGTATTGGCTTTATTTAATAGAGGGTGAGAAAACATATGCTTGTGGCATTATTCTTCATACGTTTGTCTTAAATATTACTTAATAATTATCTAATTTTCAAACAAAACTATATACATAGAAACCAACATATTCATAGAAGATTTCTGCAAGGAATCAAAAAGAAACTAAGGACAACACTTGCCCTCAGAGAGTGAACTGGGGGCCTAGGGTGGAAGAAAGAGTCACCCTTCATTATTATACAGTTTGAATTATACTGTTTGAATTTACACCATGTGAAATGTTATTTTCAAAACAATAACAATTTTTCTAACAGCTTAGCAAAGAGGAGTCACTTGATGCTACCATCACAAGGGCTTTTGTGCTAATCGTGGTCTAGCTCATTGCCTCGTGTATCTAAGCAGTTAATGAGCTCAACTCCCCTTCTCAGGAAATGAGATGTTAACTCTGTAGAGTGATATGGGCCACAGATGTCATGAACTCAAGGCACATTAGTACCGCATTTCATTCTATGTGTAATATTTTGCCTCCATAAAATCCTGTGTATGTGATCTTACAAACCTTCAGAAAAGCGAAAAGAATAATTTCAGTATACAGTCATGTTTCATTTAATGATGGTATATGCTCTGAGAAACATTTTTTTAGGTGATTTTGTCATTGTGTTCTTACACTAACCTGGATAGTATAGCCTACTACACATCTAAGTTATATGGTGTCATGCCAAGTGTCAGATTCCAACTAAGGTCCAAGGGTAGTTGGTGGAGTGGTGGGTAGCTGGAAAAACACTCAAAGAATCGTAGACAGTTTTGACATGGCTTTGTTCTATCTCTAGGTACAAGTAAGCCTGGGCACAAGCAAGCCATGGGCACAAGCGGTATGTACAGCATCAGCAGGGTAATTATATCTCTTGCAGACAACAGTGGCTCCAAGTCAAGCATAAGCTCATGTGAGTGATCACCTAATGCACCTTATGTGGTGTGCTTACATGACACACCTCATGTGGCGTGGTTACATAACATGCAGAGTTGTGCCCCTGTGCTCTAAACCCACTGAGTCATGCTGTGCCAGAAAGCCACCTCAGACTACTCCTGACTAAAGCACAGCCATCCGCCTTACACCCACAAGGCCGAGGGCATCCTCCAGACAGGGACACATGCCCATAGGGTGGAGTCCTGAATTCATAACCCACAACAATACAGACAGCAACAGTTCCAGATTATGGCAGGCAACCACTTCATGGTGACGTTACCCCAATGTTGCTTTATACATTAAGCCAGGTTTTTATTTCCCTACCTTTAGAAGCACTGGAGCAGGCAACAACAGGTTATGGTTCATTCCCATACCTGGTCAGAGGAACTCTTTCTTCCTTCCGTAAGTTTTGCCACGTGGCTTGACCCCACATAGGCCAGTGACCAACTAGCCACTTTTGTAACTTCTAGGTAGTTAACCACAAGGTTAACCCTCGATAAACTGCCCAGCTATTGGTGCAGATCATTATAGGTGTCACCTCCTTGGTAATCACCATTCATACCGCTCTAAGTTCAGCCCATTGGCTACTTTGCCCACCCCTGGTTTCAAACCATATGGTGTCAGTACTAGGTTGGACTGCAACAATGGTCCAGGCAGCAGTAGCACCTTGGCTAGACCCATCTGTGTACCACGCCCCATCGGGAATGGGAGAACACTTCTTAAATGGTGAAGACTCAGGGTCTAGGGGTGCCTCAGGCCCCATGGCCTTATCTTGCATTAGGACTACAGGTCCCAAGACCTCTTGCAACTGTTCTGCTAAGGGACTTTGTACTCAGCGTACTCTGCTGCTCTAAGTAGGTGCCCCACTTTGCTAAATTGGAATGTCTGTGCTTTCCCAGTCTCAGGGGTCATTATCCATGAATACACCCATCCCACTGTCGATGACTGTAGCCCATCTCATCATGCTCCCATGAGCCTGAAGGGCAGATATACGCTACTAACTGCTTTCCCAGTCCAAGAGGTCATTATCCATGAATGCACCCACCCTGCTATTGGGTAAGTCATCCACACAACAACTGTAGCCTGTCCTGCCATGTTCTCAGGGGCCTGAAGGGCAGCATATGCAGTTACCAACAGCTTCTCTATCAGTGAATATCAGAGGTCAGCTCCCTTCCATAGCTGGAACCAAAAACCCACTGGCATTCTGAAGCACTCCATGCACAATAGGCTCCAGCCAAAACTATCTGTGGTCACATACACATCCAGCTCAGGCTCCCCTGGTCAACTACCTGTAGGGCTTCTGCCTGCTAAATAGCCCACTTGGCTGCCAGGAAGGTGGTCTCAGCCACACCATCTTAATTCTAGGCAAGTAAAGCATTGCCACTTCTAAATCTGCAAAAGGATTAGAGGTTAGTATAATATCATTAACAAGACCATGACATATGGTGGGGCTACACATATAGCCCTGTGGCAACACTGTGAAAGTCCATTGTTGCCCTCCTGTGAAGGCAAACTATTACTGGCTCTCTGGAAAAGAATGTATTGGCCAAGTCCACTACACAGTGGTACTGTCCCAGCTCTGTCAAGTGGTCCATTGAGTCCATGATAGATGGCACAGCTGCCAAGCCATGTAAAATATCCACCCCCAGAAGGTATTTACACACACAGAATGTACTTAAACTTTCACTTTCATTGACCAGCTTTCATAGCTGTCTATGCTGCCTTATCCGGAAACTTACACAGGTTCCCATAGACAAGGCTACAATCTGAGCTGGTACCTACCAGTGCCAGTGCCCACTGTACAAATTAAACAGAAAAGGCTCTACACCCCTGCCTGACTGCAGTACATAACCTTTGAACTGAAGCACCTGGGGGGGACCAGGTCATGCAGCAATGTCCTTCTCCCCGTTGGCCATTTTCTGGAATTGCTACTCCTGAGACAGCTGTCTCCACAAAGTTTAGAGTACTTCATTGGGCTGCTTATCAGTTTTCTCTCAGTCAACCCCAACCAAAATCAAATCTATCCACATTTGTGAGCATGTCACTCGTTGGGGCCCCCTTTTCTCCCATGGAGGGGGTCCCCTGAAGGTGGGGCATCTTCCCCTTCTTTACAGTGCAGACTTCTTTGTCCTGCCAATGGCTTCCTCAAAATCAGACCAAGTGGGGATCTCCAGCCGAGACGACAGACCCAGGCCTGCATTTACAGCAGCCTCTAATTCCTTTTCCAAGCTCTGTAGCCAGGCCTCCAGGCGCCCCACCTGCACCTGAAGGTCCCCATTCATGGCAGCTTCTAACTCTTTTTCTGAACTGTGGAGCCAGGCTTCCAGGGACCCACCTGTTCCTGGAGGGCCCCTACCTCTGCTGCATCCCTCAGAGAATGGGTGTGTACTACTCATAGCGTAGTGAAAAACACCCATCCAACTCTGCCAGCAAAGGCTTGCTCCTTCTCAGTGCTCCGTGCTTCCAACTGCTTCAGCACCTTCTCTGTGCTCATCTACCACTGCCCAGGTTTCCACTGGAGCCCATCTGAGCAGCACAGCTCAGGATCCTGTTCATGATGTCAATTGTTAGGTTGTAACTAAAGTCCAAGGGGAGTCAGTGGCATAGTGGGTAGCTGGAAAAACACTCGAGGAATTGTAAAGAGTTTCAACATGCTTTTACTTTATCTCTGGGTGTGAGCAAGCCTGGTCACAATCCTGGGCACAAGCCACAGGTGCAAGCTGCACGTACAATGTCAGCAGGGTAATTATGGTGTGGTTACATAATGTGTGGAGTTGTGCACCTGCGCTCCAAACCTGCTGAGTCACACTGTGCTGGAAAGCTGCCTCAGCCTACTCCTGACTAAAGTGCAGCTATCTCCCTTACATATGATATAGTCTGTTGCTCCAACCACCATTGTATATGTGGCCCATTGTTGACTGAAATGTCATTATGCAAAGCATGAGTATTATTTTGTGATAGTGACCATTAATATTTTTGGCCATGCAATGTAGTCTACTGCCATTTCAAATTTAGTGCATTTTAATTCAAAAAATGGTTATTGAGTTCCTACTGTATTAGAAACTAAGGTAGAAACATGAATAAGACACAAGCCCTGATCTCTAGAACAGAAGCTTGTATTCTAATGAAGTACAATTGGCCATACTTTATCTTCAAAACTAATAATCTGAACTTGTTTTGAGAGCAGATTCATCACCACTGCTTACATTTATCTTTCTTCAACCTATCAATGAATAGCAAGCATCTTCCAATATTACCTCCTTGTTTTCAAGGTGTGAGAAAATGTCCATACTATGTGAACAACTCACAAAGACAACTGAGCAGATGTGCACATTGATTAGCATTGCAATCAAATCTTACAACCAACTTGATCTGCCACACATTTGATGATATGCATAATTGTTATCATGCCACCTGGTAATTAAGGATAATTGGTAAATAATTCATGTAAATTACTGTAATTGTTTCAGCTCCGCAGTTAAGCCAAGCATTTCAAGGGTCAGCTGAGTGGAGTAAGAAGTAGTAAGTTGGCCCAACTGAAAACCCCCTGGATCAGCTAAGACAGAGGAACCCATGCCTTTACTTGCCCCACTAAAGGCCTCCAACTATCTTGTTTCCCAGGAGCCCCAAGGTGATGGCTGCACCCACCCCACTTCCCACCACAGCTTCCCAACTCTGACACTTCCAAAATTTACAGTTGAGCTTGGTTTCCCTTAGGTAGTGGAGTTTTCTCCTATTCATGAATGAAAAAATGGTCAACAAGGTTAACACAGACCTTGGGCTTTGAGCTAGAAGCTTGGACAGAAGGCAAAGGAAGACGATTAACTCCTTTCTCCAGCATTGTGAGGGCCAAACGTGGGTTTTCTAAGGGCTGTGGCTGCAGCTTCCTTTTACCGCTCTCTTTTTTCTTCAAATTTTAAGTTCCAGGGTACATGTACAGGATGTGCAGGTTTGTTACATAGGTAAATGTGTGTCATGGTGGTTTTCTGCACAAATCAACCCATCACACCTAGGTTTAAAGCCCAGCACCCATTAGCTATACTTCCTGATGCTCTCCCCACCCCATGACAGGCCCCAGTATATGTTGTTTCCCTAACCCCATGTGTCCAAGTGTTCTCATCGTTCAGCTCCCACTTAGGAGAATATGCGGTGTTTGATTTTCTGTTTCAGCATTAGTTTGCTGAGGATAACAGTTTCTAGCTCCATTCATGTTCCTGCAAAAGACATGATCTTATTCCTTTTTATGGCTGCTTAGTATTCCATGGTACCACTTCCTTTTTAAGGACAGGCCCTCATTAGGGAAAACTGTCAAAGAACAGAACAAAAAAAAAAGGCTTCTGCCTAAAGTTTCTCCTCTGAAATTCTCCAATTTGCAGACCAGTACTCTGGAAGTGTAAAGGGGGCCCTCAGTCATTTGCACCTTGCACCTCTGGGTGCTTTTGTTTACTCAGCTTGGTTTCCCTACCCAGCTAGGAGTAGAACAGTAGTGGGAACTCGATGGGGTTGTTGCTTATGAATCATAGGTGGGAAATCATCCTAAAGGAAAGGAATGTGGCAGAGAATAGGACCTAGGTGAGAGCAAAGTGGTGACTGGGTGCCTTAGCAGCAGAGAAGCAAAGAGACTAAAATGTAGAAGAGAAACTGAAACACACCCACTCTTTGAAAAGAATATACACATTGGTACACACAAGCAGTAATAGAGTACGATTTCTGCCTTAATTTCATAGACTGAGCTTGTCTGCTTCTCAGCTCACTGTACAACAGAAAGCCATATGTGTGTCCTGTTTGCTGAAAAAGAAAGGGTCTCAGCAGGCCTGGGTCCCGGCAGCACTGAGGCGAGTGCAGGTCTTTCAGGTCTGTCCCAGTGCTCATCTGCTAATCCTTGTTATTATCCCAGACTTGGAAAGTCTCTCTGCATGGTTAATCCATCCATGTATATGGACAGGGTTCTAGGAATATACTTCAAGTGCCTATTGCCTCTGGGCTCACATCATTAATAATGCCAAGGAACATGCCTTTGTTTTTGATGCCTAATGGAAGAACTGCAGTGACCTAGAAGCCCACGGAAAGCCCTAAGGAAAGAATAACCTTTCCAGGAATGTTGGAAAGCACAGTCCTAGAATGCTGGAAAGGCAGTGAGATTGAGGGCAAAAAAGGGTTCAGATGAGTTGAGCTTATAGGACAGAAACAAGCATTGTCCCTCCATGAGAAGACACCAGAACCTGTTCTTATGGTCTCCTAGGCATGAACAGTAATGTGTTCACACAGAGCTACCAAAGATTTCCTAAAGAACATTCATAAGAACACTAATTCTATGGGATGTTAGTAGGTTCAGCAATCAAATAAATTTGGGAGCCTCTGGTTTAAACCAATTTAAACTGGTTTTCTTATTACAGGATGATACACTTTGGATCTGTGTCCCCACCAAATTTCATGCCAATTTGTAATTCCTAATGTTGGAGGGGCGGCCTAGTGAGAGGTGATTGGATCATGGGGGCAGATTTCTCATAAATAGTTCAGCACCATCCTCTTGGTACCATCCTCGTGATCATGAATTCTTGAGAGATCTGGTTGTTTATAAGTGAGTGACACCTCCCTCTTCTTTCTCTTACTCCTGCTCCTACCATGTGAGATGGCTCACTTCCTCTTTGCCTTCTGCCATGATTGGAAACTTCCTGAGGCCTCTCCCAGAAGCAGAAGCTGCTATGCTTTCCATACAGCCTGCAGAACCATGAGCCAATTAATCCTCTTTTCTTTATAAATTACCAAGTCTCAGATATTTCTTTACAGCAATGCGAGAATGGACTAACACACAGGACTTCTCAGAGCCTTTGATATGTCAATATATGTACACTGTGGAAATCCAAGCTAGGAAAAGAATAGGCACTGTTTCAAAAACTCATGTGATAAGATAATTTTGTGAGATATCAGTGCATATTTTCTCCCTATGCTTTTCATTTTCCCTTTCACCATTAGAGAAAAAGGAAGGCTCTACTCTGTCTTGCCTCAGGGGAGAGGGATATCAGGGCTTCTTGATTCTTATTCCCAAATCAAAGAAGTTTGGAAGAGAGAGAAGGTTAGAGGTCTTAAGAGCAGAGACACACGCTCCCTATTCCCTAGTTTTTCCCAAAGGCAAATCTTTGGGGCTTCTAACCTCATCAAAGACCCTGTGCCCCAAGCACAGGACAGAGGCAGCAGCAAGCCCATCTGAAGGGACTGTGCAGGTTGTTATAGTGAGCATCTCCACAACAAGCACTGTGGGTAGCATTTCTCCATTCCTTGGCAATCGGTAAGACCACAGAATCTTGACACAACCCTTTGGAAGGAAAAGTTTGCCCAAGTTTGTCCGACTTGAAATTTCCCATCAATCCGGAGGGATGGCAGATCAGAGCTAAAATCAGGTTGATTCATGAAAATAGAAGAATGTGATATTTCCCTGTATAATTAAGTTTGTGCACTGAGAGTCATATCTGCAGTGAGTATTGTCCATGGAGCCTTTTTGTTGTTGCTGATTATCTCACTAGTTTTTTGCAGAACATACATAAGAATAATGCTGAGGTAGATTATCCCGTCTGAAAAGAGACAACCACTGATCGATATTCTTGACTCAAGAACTGTTGCCTCTACAGAAAAGCTGTGATCTCTGAGTAAATCAGGAAGAGAATACCCAGAAGACCCAGAGGAAAGCAGGAGGTCCTTCAAGGAAATGTGTTGATGGAAATTGTGATGTTTGAGACCCCACTCTTTGAAGAAATAATTTTGAATGCCTAGAGAACAGCCAAAATTTTTAACAAAAATCCTAGGAGACACCAAGTAGATGCACACTGGAAATAAAGGGAAACTTCAAGGTCAAAAGTTGCTCCTCCTAACTGCCCACTGAGCCAGCTTTGTTCAAGCCCATGAGTACCACACAAGGAGCAGAGCTCACTCCCTACATGCACCAGGGCCTTTTGGCTGTGGCCCTCCCTCACTCATAATATGAAGATTGAACGTTGATGATCTTGAACACAGAATCTCTCTCCCTTTGTTTGTCTATTGCACCATTCTTCACAATAGCCAAGATATAGAGTTGACCTAAGAGTCCATTCACAGATGAAAGAATAAAGAAAAAGTGGTATATGTGCACAATGAAATACTGTTCAGCCTTTGAAAAGCAGGAAATCCTGTCATTTGTGACAACATGGATAAACCTGGAGGACATTATGCTAAGTGAAATAAGCCAAGTAGAGAGAGACAAATACTGTATGCTCTCCCTTACATGTATTATAGAATCTAAAAAGGCTAAACTCTCAAAAGCAAAGAGTACAGTGGTGGTTGCTAGAGGCTGGCTAATGGTGGATGGGGGAATACAGACATATTGGCCAAAGGGTACAAAGCTTCAGTTAGACAGGAGAAATATATTTTTAACATCAATTGCACAGCGTGGTTACTATGGTTAATAAGAATGCATTATATACCTCAAAATTGCTAAGAAAGTAGGTTTTAAATGTTCTCATAACAAAAAATCATAAGTATTTGAGGTGATAGACATGTTAATTGGATAGATTTAATCACTCCACATTGAATATATAAATATTACATTATAATCCGTAAATATATACAATTATAATTTATCAATAAGAATTTTTTATTTAACTGTTAAGTTCAGGGATACATATGCAGGTTTGTTATATAGGTAAGCTTGTATCATGGGGTTTTGTTGTACAGATTATTTTATCACCCAGGTATTAAGCCTAGTACCCATTAGTTATTTTTTCTGATCCTTTCCCTCTTCCCACCCCACCCCGACAGGCCCCAGTGTGTGTTTTTCCCCACCATGTGTCCATGTGTTCTCATCGTTTAGCTCCCACTTATAAGTGAAAACATGTAGTGTTTGGTTTTCTGTACCTGTATTAGTTTGCTAAGGATAATGGCCTCCAACTCCACCCATGTTCCTGTAAAGGATGTCATCTCATTCTTTACGGCTGCACAGTATATGGTGTATACATACATTTTCTTTATCCAGTCTACCATTTATGGGCATTTGGATTGATTCCATGTCTTTGTGATTGTGCATAGTGCTGCAATGAACATATATATGCACGCATGCTTTATGATAGAATTATTTATATTCCTTTGGGTATATACCCAGTAATGGGATTGCTGGGTCAAATGGTTATTTGTTTTTAAGTCTTTGAGGAATCACCACACTGTCTTCCACAATGGCTGAACTAACTTACACTCCCACCAACAGTGTATAAGCATCCATTTTTCCCTACAACCTCGCCAGCATTTGTTATCTTTTGGATTTTTAATAATAACCATTCTGACGGTGTGAGATGGTATCTCCTTGTGGTTTTGATTTGTGTTTCTCTAATGATCAGTGATGCTGAGCTCTTTTTCATATGATCGTTGGGCACATGTATATCCTGTTTTGCAAAGCATCTGTTCATGTCCTTTGCCTACTTTTTGTTTATTTGTTTTTGGTATTGCCAGACTGATCCATCGGTAGACATTTTGCCCACTCTTTAATAAGGTTGTTTGTTTTTTTCTTGTAGATTTATGTTCCTTATAGATGCTGGACATTAGACCTTTGTCAGAAGCATATTTTGTAAAAATCTTCTTCCATTCTGTAGTTGTCTATATATAAATATAAAAAATATTTTTTACAAAAATGTTAATGTGATGATCCTAAGGCATTTAGCAGAGTACTTAGTCTATAGTAAACATATCAGGGTGGTAGTGGTGGTAATGGTGATAGTGGTAATGGTGAAACCACATATAATCAAAAAATAGATGGACGTTCTCTTGTAGCAAACTCCCCAGGGGAGCTAGTTATACTTAAGATGTGTTAAAGCAGGAGTGTCATTATCATTATAGGACGAGAGGGGAGTGATATCAGAGCTGGCAGCCCACCATCCCAACTCAGGCTCTGACTACAGAAGAAAGGGCACATAATGAAATTCCTCTCTTCCAAGAAGCATTTCAGGGTGTTAGACTGTCATTACTAATGACCTTAGATATTATCACTCATTTGTCAGAAATAAATCTTCCCTTGAGCACATAGAAACTGCAAATGGATTCTAATAGGGATTCTAATAGGACGAATTCCTACACTTCTAGATGACGTATCAAGCCTGCATGAGCTGTGACCGCATAAACATTTCTGATCCAATGGCTGTATAACTTTTTAAAATTAACTTTTCATTCTTTGAAATCCCCTAAAAGTACAGTGTCTTGCCTTTTTCCAGATTCATATGACTGTGAGGAAATAGCCCCATTACTATAGAGTCACTAAGTATTAATATTATGTTTTAATATGCATGTTCCCTATTTTCCACCTTCCCTTACTCCTTCCAATGGTTTTTCTTGCCACAACAAGCCACCATTACCTACTCATTTCCATACACGGCAGCCATCTGGAATGGAGTGCTAAGGGAAGATATTGCTCTTTCAGAAATCTCCCTCCCACGCAAGATATGTGAAATGCAGAATTGATATTTTTAGCTTTTAAATCTCTTTATCAGGAGTCTTTCATTATCTAAGTCATCTGTTCTGAAAAACGTGCAGCCACATCAATAATTTTATGGCTTCCTTTGGAACTCAAAATATGTTTTAAAGCCATAAATTTTATTTTGTCAATCTTTCTCCTCAAAACTGACAGCCTCAGAGTCATGTATGGATTATTTAAAAAGCAGTTCAACTAGCTTTTCTTTTGCAGAATTTCAGCCACAATACTAGGCTTAATTTAGCCTTGTCTATGCCTTGTTCCCTTGAGCAATGGCTACTTCATTGAAAATCAAACATGTAAGAAGGTAATGGATGAATATTTAACAAGAGGCAATAGAACATTCTATGGTCAAGAGATCAAACCAGGTCTGGCCATATCCCAGCTCTGCCACCTACCAACTCAAAGACCTGAGCAAGTTACTTGACCTCCCTGGACTTCACTCTCTTTATCTACAAAATGGGCCTACAAAATAATCCATTTCATACCTAATGTAGATGACGGGTTGATGAGTGCAGCAAACCACCATGGCACGTGTATACCCATGTAACAAAACTGCACATTCTACACATGTACCCCAGAACTTAAAGTATCATTAAAAAAAAACAAAAAGAAAAGAACGCATTTCAAAGGATTGCTTCCAGGATTAAACAAGTGCTAACTAAAGCACTTAGAATAGTGCCTGGCACATAGTAACACTCAAATTTTAGAACTGGAAAAAACTATTTTAAAATTTATAGAAAACCAAAAAAGAATCCAAATAGCCAAAACAATCTTCTGACTTAGATAATGAGACTTAGATAACCTGACTTCAAACTATATTCTAAGGCTATAGGAACCAAAACAGCATGGTACTATACAAAAACAGACACATAAACCAATGGAACAGAATAGAGAACCTAGAAATAAAGCTGCACACCTACAGCCATCTGATCTTTGACAAAGTTGACAAAAATAAGCAACAGGGAAAGGACTCTGTATTCAATAAATGGTGCTGGGATAGCTGGTAAGCCATATGTAGAAGAATGAAATTTGATCCCTATAATTCACGATATACAAAAATTAACCCAAGATAGATTAAAGATTTAAATGTAAGACCTCAAACTATAAGAATCCTACAAGGAAACCTAAGAAACACCATTCTGGACATCAGCCTTGGGAAAGAATTTATGACTAAGTGCTCAAAAGCAATTGCAACAAAAACAAAAATTGGCAAGTGAGACTTAATTAAACTGAAGAGTTTCTGCACAGCAAAAGAAACTATCAACCAAGTAAAAAGACAACTTACAGAATGGAAGAAACTATGCATCTGACAAAGGTCTAATATTCAGAATCTATAAGAAACTTAACTGAACAAGTAAAAAACAAATAATCTCATTTAAAATGGGCAAAAGGCATGAACAGAAGACATACAAAAGAAGACATACAAGTAGCCAACAAACATATGAAAAAAATGTTCCACATCGCTAATTATCAGAGAAATGCAAACCAAAACCACAATGAGACACTATCTCACACCAGTCAGAATGGCTATTATTAAAAAGTCAAAAAAAAACACAGATGTTGGCAAGGCTGCAGAGAAAAGAGGATGCTTATACACTGTTGGTTGGAACGTAAATTAGTTCAGCCACTATGGAAAGCAGTTTAGAGATTTCTTAAAGAACTTAAAACACAACTACCATTCAACCCAGCAATCCCATTACAGAGTACACGGCCAAGCAAAAACAAATTGTTCTACCAAAAAGACACATGCACACGCATGTTCATCACAGCATTATTCACAATAGCAAAGATACGGAATCAACCTAGGTGCTCATCAACAGCAGACTGGATAAAGAAAATGTGGTACATATACACCATAGAATACTATGCAGCCATTAAAAAGAACAAAATTATGCCCTTTGCAGCAACATGGATGCAGCTGGAGACCATTATCCTAAGTGAATTAACACATGAACAGAAAACCAAACAGCACATATTCTCACTTATGAGTGGGAGCTAAACACTAGGTACTCGTGGATATGAAGATGGCAACAATAGACACTGGGGACTACTAGATGAGGGAGGTAGGGATGGGGGAAATGATTGAAAAGCTGAGCATGTTGGGTACCATGCTCAGTACCTGGGTGATGGGATCATTCATACATTCATAACCCAAACCTCAGCATCATGTAATATACCCAGGTAATAAACCTGCATATGTACCCCCAAATCTAAAATAAAAGTTGGAAAAAATAAATAAAAAGTTAAAATCCAGGATTATAATACACATTTCTCAAATTCTAACAAGAAATAGAAACATGAACATGTTCTTTTACATTAGGCTTTTCAAAAAATAAAAAATAAACTGGGGTTAATTGCGGTACTCTGATACTTAATCAACTTGTGAAAATTAAACTGGACCCTTCATAAATATTTGTTAGTGAAAGGAAGGAGAGAATGCACACAATGGTCACATATCAGCCTCTGGCACAGAGTGGAAGTTCAATAAATACAGTCTAAGGATATTCAGATGTCAGAGCCTGCCCCCTTGAGATCTTGTCAGCTTGGGTAGAACCACCAAGACCTATGAAAACCTGAAGTCCTCACCTGCTTTCTGCAAATTCCCAAGAGGTTTCATCCTCACGATCTCTGTCTCCTGGCAACCTGTGTCATCTCAACAATTGAATTCCACCCACTTCCACTTATAACACACACACAACCTAACTTTCATGAAACACCGGTAAGCTTTGCAGACTTTATCAAAAACTGGACCAGGAGCAGAAGAAGTCAAGTAGACTCTCTGAGGACATAAAAAACAAAGGTGAGTTCCCCTCACAGCAACATATACAATTTTTTTTTTTTTTTGAGACGGAGTCTCGCTCTTTCGCCCAGGCTGGAGTGCAGTGGCGCTATCTCAGCTCACTGCAAGCTCTGCCTCCCCAGTTCGCACCATTCTCCTGCCTCAGCCTCCCAAGTAGCTGGGACTACAGGTGCCCGCCACCACACCCGTCTAACTTTTTGTATTTTTAGTAGAGACGGAGTTTCACCGTGTTAGCCAGGATGGTCTCGATCTCCTCACCTCGTGATCCGCCAGCCTCGGCCTCCCAAAGTGCTGGGATTACAGGCGTGAGCCACCGCGCCAGGCCCAACACACACAGTTTTAATAAATCAGGAATAAGTCAAGGAGCACCACAGTTCTTAAAATGTCCTTTATCCCACAACCACCACCTTGCCAATTTGTTGGCCTCATCGCCCTCCTGCTTCACTCCTTTTGGCTGACTCCTCTTGCCTCTCTCCTCCCTTCTCTTCTCCTCACCCCATTCTTCTTCTTCTAAAAAGAATGGAGCTCTCCCAGTACCCACCTACCCCTCAACTCCTCTTACTAGGTTTTCACAACCAAACCCAAGGCACTAAATAGGAAAGGGACATTCCCTTTAACCAGACCCAACCTCCTTGAAAAAGGAGTTTTCATTAAAACAATGAAATTTCTGTTCCTATAACATTATATGTATAAATCCCAATAAGGATGGATTACTACTTTCATTTTACATACAAGGAAATTGAGACTAAAAGAGGTTAAATCCCTTGTCCAAGTCAAAGGGTAGAGTTAGAATTTGAACCCAGGTCTGCATAATTCCACAGACAGCATTGCAAACACTGCACTACCAAAAAAAATCTCCAAGAGGCCATTTGGCAATATTCAAGTCTGTGGCAATAGTATGTCCCATAATCTCAGCCAGCTGTCCCTCAGAGATATGCCAGCACTTTCAAGGGGCTTGGGCAAATAGCATGAATTATTCAGCACAAACTATCAGTCCCATTACAGAAACAATGCAACAAACATAATCCGCCATCTTCTATGAAGGGTGATTTTCATAATCATTTGAGATGCCATATTCTTTTGATGTTATTTCTTCAGACAAGTTATTTGTGAATACAAGCTCTTAGATTCTCTTCTACTTGGAATTACAGAATGTAATAATTCAGTGCATAATGGAGTATGTGTTCAATGGGAGTTTGATGATTAACCAAATGAATAACAATGTTTCCATCATGTGCAGCAGATGTGGGTAGTAGCGGGTGTAGAGGCCATGGAGTGGGTAGATATCTATTATTGAAGGGATTTTCATCTCTATTTCGCTTCAGCCCAAAGAAGGTGAATTCAGTCTTCATTACTTAATAATGGCTCCACAGATCCAAACTCGTGTTCATTTTACCACTCTTCTGTAAGGATTCATTTATTCCAAAAGACAAAGTATTTGTTTTGTTTTTGTCTTTTTTCTCAATGAAATTCCTTAGTCACCGAGTTATTTCAGGCCCTAACAGAAAAAAAGAAGGAACATTCAAATGACAGTGAGCTGAAGGCTTCAGTAACATTGATCTAAGACCACTGGCTCTGAAAACATCAAGAAAGCAGCATTGCTGCCTTGACAAAATAAGATCCTGGGGGCAACATCAATTCTTACCACACATAAGTACTTTGCTCTGTGTTTAGAAGCAATCAACACAAATCTGGAAACATTTGCAAAGGAAGAAATATTCGGTGGGAAAATTTTAAATTTTGAGAGCCTAAAGTAAATTTTTGCAAAAGTACTTTTTTCTAAGGCCACACTGTTCCCTAAAATGTCTTCATCAGACCCCTTACTTTGGTGAATTTCCCATTGTCTTCATCAGACACCCACCCCCTTTGGTAAACTTCCTGAGAATTATAAGAACCTTTTAGACAGTTAGTGGCTTAAAAGAATTTTTCCATGATATTCAGTCTGTTTTTATCCCACATGTGCCACAAATCAGCAGCATGGCCTTCAATCAGTCATTAAATGGCTGTAGGCCTCAGCCTCCTCCTGGGTAAGATGAGAGATTGGCCCTCATGCTCTCTAGAGCTGTCTTAGTCCATGCAGGCTGCTACAACAAAACCGTCAAAAACTAGGTGGCCTCTAAACCACAGAAATTTCTTTCTAACAGTTCTAGAGGCTGAGAAGTCCAAGATCAAGGCACCAATAAATTCTGTGTCTGCAGGGCCCGTTTCCCTGTTCATAGATGGCACCTTTGTGCTCCATCCACACATTTCTCAGAGGTTAGAACTGTTAGTGGTGGGGATACCACATCTCCATCTCTGGGCTCAGATTCCCTCCTAAGTTAGAGAAGTTGGTCCTACACAGGAGAAAGGGCCGGGGCTGCCATCTGGGCCTTGCACATGCACAGGCAGGCCACCTCTACTCAGAAGGACAGTCTCTTCTTAATTCACTTAAAAAAAATTGTTCTGGGCTCCTTTAAAAAGAAAAACAACAACTAAATAAAAACATACCTTTACTGCCTATTTGATAAGAGAATAGAACACACAGGTACAAGAAGGCCTGTAATTTCTTCTTCATTTCTCTTAAGCAACAATAACAACAAAAGCCAACTTTAAACAAATGGAAGAATACCCCTTACAAAGAATCATGACAGAAATCAATATAGGATTTTAAGGACATTTGTTGAATGGACCTCAGAAGATACTGAGAATTGGATTTAGAGGATATCTCCTTAATTTCAAGGCTTTCTCTGATGTGTGTCAGACCTTCTGAGTACCCGGCCTCCATGTCTCTCCCCTCAGCCCTGACATCACTCTTTCCTATTTTAAGCTTTATTCTTAAACCTGGGAGCACTCAGTAGTAGTCCCAACTGCACAGCGAATGGGCCCAACCTGACCCAGCATGGGCAGGAGATATGGAGAAAGCAGGAGGCCAAAGGGGAAGGCAGGAGGCAGCTGTCACTCCACCATCCACGCTGCTCTGTTTAGGACCAAAGTAAGGGGAGCCTGATTCCCTCCTCCAAGACCATGCTCTCTTTTACAGGATATAAGGGAAGGCCTCTGGAGGAGGCAGCATTTAAGCTGCAAACAAACTGATAAGGAGTCGGGCCTGGGAAGTATAGGAACAGAATATTCAGGCAAAAGGAACAGCATGACGTACAAAGCAGCCTAGAATGTTTAGAAGCATAAAGAAGAGCAGTGCAGCTAGAAAGCAGTCTGTGGGGTACAGTGGCTCTAGATGAGCTGGAGAGGTGGGCAGCCCAGACCAGACAAGACCAGACCTTTGGCTTATGTTGGGTTCCCTGAATCAGACCATGCACAAGGATTTGAACACAAGTAGTATGTTTTGGAGGAAGTACAGAAAAGGCACAGGAAAGTGAGGTAGGGTGGGATGAAAGGCAATACACAGTGTGCTAGCAAGCAGTTTACCTCTGTGGGCAGCTGGGTCTCACTCCCATGGGAGACTGCTGGAGATTGCACCAAGCACACCTCAGAGTTCTACCACCTGAGTGGCAAGACAGTGGGGGTATTTATCCACCTATTCTTGTCCATCACTGATTGAGACCTGCTCCTGGGGCATTAACTCCCAGACACTTTTTGTCTGCTACTAGCCAGAAAACCTCAGGTGGGGAGTTTTGGGTGGTCACAGCAGAAAGTTGCCGAACATTCAAGTACAACGAGTCCTAAAAGGAATATGCGCGGGACATCGGCCGTCTTGTAGCAGCCTTGTAGACAAAGGTAAGGACTTTGAATTGTATTCTAAGTGCAATGGGAAGCAACTGAAGGGTGTCAAAGCAGGCACAACACTTTCTAATATACATGTAAGATGACTGTTACTGCTGTGTAGAGAAAGGTTGGAGGGAGGGTAGCAGCACAAGAGTGGAGATGTCATTCATTCCAAAATGCCATATTGTTTAAGGTTAAGTAGTTGTCCCAGACCTCTCTCATACAGGCAAACCCCAAGTGTCTCCTGACCTCCTTCCTTTCAGCCATCCCCTCCTGAAGCCTCCCTTCCCTTTTCTTTCAGGCAATCTGGGTTCAAATCCTGACTTTCCCACTTAATTCCTGTGTGACCTGTGGCAAATTACTTAACATTGCCAAGGTTATAAAACGGGATAAAATTCTTTCCATAGAGAGTTTGAGCAATAAATGAGATATTAAAAGCATAGCGCAAGTACCAGCACACAATAAAGTCAACTAATATATGTACAGTTTAAAATATTATTAATACACAGTGAATATTCAAGTATGCCCTTACCACAGAGTAGTCCCTTATGGAGTCAGAAAGAAAATGAAGCTGAAACACATATGCACACACACAGGCACACACACACACAACTTTGTTTATTCTGATGATCTGCCTGGTTTGAAGTAATCTAAGCCAAGGTTTTCTCCCATTATCCTGAAAAATTGCATACGGGCGCTGTATGCGCTGTTCCCTGAACATCTAAGAAATCATCTGACTTATTGTCTAGGCACTTCAGAATGTCAGCATGAAGAATGTCAAGGAAAATTTAAGGAATATTAAGCAACCATCTGATATTCCTAGTTCCAAAGCCAAAGAGGAACATTTTGTTCCTACTTTAAAGCTATCATATAGGGAGAAAATAGTGATTTTCTCTAGAAATTCAAGCGCTATGAGAAATAATATGATGTCAAGGACTGGGTCCCACCCACTCTTCCCCATATAAGTGAACAGCATGACTTTGGCAGCAATTAAAGTTAATGGTTTGCCAATAATGAGCTCTTCATCAAAAAGATAAACTAGAAGCTATTTGGGACTTTTTCTGTTTTGACTTACACCAATTCCCTAGTGTCCATAATTTAAAATGGGCCAAATACCACATTCCTCACTTATTTAAATGAAAGTGGAAAATTACAATACTGACCCACATATAGACTGATCTTTTTTAACAGGTATTACATCTGAAAAACTAGGGGTGAAGGGAAGGCGTCTTAGTCCATGCCTCCCCCTTTCCCTGCCATACCCTGTGATTACTAAGCATGCAGACTCTGTGAAGACACTTACAGAATAATTTAAGAGCATCAAACCTGGAATCAGGAGACTCCATCTCTGGGCTTCAATTTTGTCATCAGTAAAATGAGAGTGTTGAATTACAGACCGATAACAAATCTTTCTGGACTTAAATATTCTATGCTGTCAGGTTCTGGTAAGGCAACTAGACCAATGCTTCCCCCCTGGAAAATGCAGGTGGCAGGAGGTGGTTCCAAACTTTTCCAGAGAGGAATAAAAGTGGTGGAAAAGGTGCAGAATCAAGGCACAAAGGGAGGAGGAAATAGTAGATATTGTTGCTAAGAGGATCTCCAGAACCCCCTGTGAAGAAGTACATGGTATAAATGAGGAATCAGTCATGAGACACAACCTCCTACCACCTGTTGGAAAGATGAAAAGTTGATCTTCTCTACAATTCTAAAATATCCAAACTTTACAGTGCATATTCAGCTTTCAAAGTAGTTTCAAAATCATTTCAATCCTTGTCAACACCTTAAGCATCCTTCTGAATATCTAATAAATTTAGCAGCTTCTCCCAGAGTATATATGTCTAAGCACATACCTCCCTTAGTGTTTTAGTTCAAGATGTGTTCTGTCTCTGCACACCCTTACATTACAAGGACTGTGTTCTTTTAGATTGCATTTGACAGTTTCTTCTATCAGCTGCATGCTCATGTAGACCCACAATATTCTTTTGCCAATTCTATCCCCTGCAGGAGGAAATGCAGGATGTCTTAAAAATTCAGAGCGCTGGTCAGCTTTAGCAAATACTCTTTTCGCTTCTCTTGTCAAATCCACAAAGACATGCAGATGTAGATGTACCACCAATATATGCCTAAGACCAAGCTGTCAAAGAAAGAGCTGTAGCAGCCACATTTTACAATAATTATGCCTAACGTTTCCATAGTTGTTTTGTTCCTGCCACTTTGAAGTTAATATTTAGGACAATGAGTCTCAAACTTGAGTGTGGATCAGAATCACCTGCAGGACTCTTTTTTTCCTTCAACCTTTAAGTTCAAGGGTACATGTGCAGGATGCGCAGGTTTGTTATGTAGGTAACACGTGTCATCATGGTTTGCTGCAGACCATCCCATCACCTAGGTATGAAGGCCAGCATCCATTAGCTATTCTTCCTGATGCTCTCCCTGCCTCACCCTTGACTCCAACAGGCTCCAGTGTGTGTTCCCTCTCCATATGTCCATGTGTTCTCATTATTCAGTTCCCACTTATAAGTGAGAACATGCAGTGTTTAATTTCTAGAGGACTTTTTGAAGCATAGATTGCTACCCTTCACCACCCACTAAGTCTAGGATGGGGCCTAAGAATTCACATTTCTCACAGGTTCCCAGGTGCCTGATACTGGGTGGGCCAGCACCCACACTTTGAGAATCACAGGTATGGAGAAATCTGTGAGCAGTCAGTATGCTGGAACCTGCTCTTTCCTCAGCTCAAAAGAAGTCAGAGAAGGAAATCTGGGCTCATTTTATTTCTTCATTAAATTCAGATCCAACTAACATTTACTGAGTTATACAAGGCACTGGGTTAAGTGTTTTCCAACACTTTTAATTCTCGTAATGACCTCTGCTGTAGCTATTGTCATCCTCATTCTAAAGAGGAGCAAACTGAGGCTGCAGAGAGATTAAGTAACTTGCCCAAGACCACAGAGCTAATAAGTAGAAGAGCCAGAATTCAAGGTCAAGTCTATGGATTCCAAGTCTCTCAGGTAACCTCAGTGATGCTGTAAATTCCCACTGTCTATGAGGCAGCCATGGGGCTTGGAGTAGGAGTTGTAAATGGCATTGATGGAGGATGGGGACATTCCTCCAGGAACTGCGGAGAGGCATTAAAGGAACTCTCTTCACATGCACATCTGGCTAAGTGGGCTAAGACACACCAATTCCTTTCCCTGTACCTCAGCTCTGCCAACTGTGAAACAGAAGACCAAAATAGTTGCCACCTACCCCCCAGCTTGTTCTCAAGAATGAGATAAGAGCTCCCAGCTATTACATAAGAAACACTTTTCTCTCCAAACTCTAGGCTCCCTGAGTAGTCTGAACGGCTGCAAGCTTCCTGAAGGACGGGGCTCACCCTCACCCTCTTGAATCTACTGCAGTGGTCACCCTTTTATCCCATCCTCTGACCTCCACCCCTCCCCTCTAGCCCTATCATTGACAGGCTGGGAACTCAGAGTTCAAAACGTGTTCCCAAAATGATGTGTGTATTTTAGAACCTCCACTTGTTCCTGCAGAGTTGACTATCAGAGAATTTCTCTGACAGCCCAGTTGGACGCATTTTTAGGTGTTCTCCAGATTCTTCCCCAGTCTGTACCTCACAGGCCCCTAAGGCATAGTATGCTGGAGGCTTTGCCCTCTGGGGAACTGGCAGGAGGCATGTCACACCTATTTTGTAAGCTTGGAAGGGCTCCTGTGGAGAGCCTCATCCCCTCAGAATTAAGAATCCTTTGCTGTGCTTCACTGGTCCCATCTAATGAACGAGAGAAACTCTCAGGTTCCACATTAGTCAACGACAGAACCATCCAGAGAATACATAAGTGTTCTGGAGTCAAAGTGAGCAAATAAAAGATGGATTTCTTTTTGTTTCCTTTTCTTGGCTTCGTGTCTTAAAGGGATGGCCAACCTCCCTTCTCCCCAGTCCTTCCTTGTGGGTGTTTGTTTATTAATGGAGTGGAGTGAAACCCTGAAAGCTGTGCCCTTGCTCTGAAGTTCTGATTGTAATGGAAACAGTTGCCAGGGGGGTGAAGTGTCACCGTGGTTATCTACTGATCAAGGACAGCATGCCTGAGAGAGAGAGCAGCCAGAGCCTCTGCCTGTCAAGACAAGCCTCATTCCGCCTCCACTCGCTCTGCCCTGCCAGTGGCTAATTGATTTGTGAAAATGCTTGGAGGTAGTCTGAGTGAGAAAGACACTTTATGTCTGCTTACGACAAATCCTCGGAGGAACAAAAAATCCATTTCATGCACACATTCCCCTGCTTGAGTCTTTCTTCCATTCAATTCCCAATTAGCTAAATCTTCAGCACCCAAAGAACTAAGCAGATGAAAAAAATCTTCTGATGGCCAGCTCCTGCCAAACAGAGAGAATGGCACATACAGAAAAGAAACCTGCATCAATGGTAATAAAATAAAATAAAAATGAGGAACAGAAAAGCAGGCAGTAAGGAAGGAAAATGGCCCTCTGGCCTTTAAGCTACAATTTAAGAGAATAACTAAATCCAAAAGTCAAGTTCTAACAGTGACCAGTAACAAGAATAACTCATGAAAAGCCTGAATCCTGTAGTGCAACCTCCTGGCAACCTCATTTAACACAAGTAAATTCTAGTACACTGATTTTCTGTTGACGTCCAGCAATCAGTCTAGTGTCTCTATGCATAGACTCAGAAGTACTGTCGGTCTTCTATAAACCCATCCCCTGCAAAATGGACCAGAGCATTGGTTTGGGATTTCCTGCTGCCCAACTGGGGATGGGACCTGCCTTCTGACTTTCCAGTTTAGCTTCTGCCTACAGTGTATTTGCTTTTCAAAAAGAGTTTGCCAGGGCTGTTGAAAAAGTTGAAGGAATGTTGATAACAGAACTGACTTTTCATCAAAAGCTGCTTCTTGTAAGTGAACTTGGCTCAAACTCAAAGCTCTTCCCCTGTTGCCAATTGATCCTTGGGTACCCTTGGGTAAAAGCCAGTAAAGTTATTCCTGGGCCTTTTTTATGTGCAAGTGTTAAATTTTTTTGAACAGCTGGGATAATGAGGCTAACTTCATTCACTTATTCACTCAGTCAGTATTTATTAATTACCAGAAATGTGCCAGACTCGTAAGTAAAACTTATTCTTTAATCACTAATTGTAATGTTTGTTCTGCAGAAATAACCACTCCACTGTTTTGGAGCAGTATACCATGAGAAAGTAGATGGAGAGAGAAAATAAAGGAACCCACTTTTTTCCCTTCTTCACAGCCTCTAAGTTTCAAAGGGCAAGGATAGTAGAGAGAGTTCCAGAGCATTGAGCTATTTTCAAACTGCTAACTACTTTGGATTACTTTGGCAACTCCTGTTCCAATGGTTTAAATCTGGTACAACACAGCACAATACATAGCTTTCCAGAACCATCTACATTCAGAACTCATTAAATACAACCTCACTAAGACATTTTCTAGGCCCGGGCGCGGTGGCTCACGCCTGTAATCCCAGCACTTTGGGAGGCCAAGGCGGGTGGATCACAGGGTCAGGAGATCGAGACCATCCTGGCTAACAAGGTGAAACCCCGTCTCTACTAAAAATACAAAAAATTAGCTGGGCATGATGGCGGGTGCCTGCAGCCTCAGCTACCCGGGAGGCTGAGGCAGGAGAATGGCATGAACCCAGGAGGCGGAGCTTGCAGTGAGCCGAGATCGCGCCACTGCACTCCAGCCTGGGTGACAGAACGAGACTCCGTCTCAAAAAAACAAACAAAAAAAAAGACATTTTCTAAAATACCCACTTATGCAGCTGAGATTTTTTTTTTTTTTTCCCCAAACAGAGTCTCGCTCAGTCACCCAGGCTGGAGTGTAGTGGCACAATCACAACTTATTGCAGCCTTGACTTCCTGAGCTCACATGATCCTCCCACCTCAGCCTCCCAAGTAGCTGGAACTACAGGCATGCCACCACACCAGGCTAATTTTTTATTTTTATTTTTTTGTAGTGATGAGGTCTCACTATGTTGCCCAGGCTAGTCTCGAACTCCTAAGCTCCAGCGATCCTCCCATCTCAGCCTCCCAAAGTGCTAGGATTACAAGTGTGAGCCCCTGCAACTGGCTGAGAATTTTTTTAGTGAATTTTAGAGATACTTGGAGGCTATTCTCCTAGCCATTGCCAGGCTCTCTCAATCCCCACAGGTGTCCAGGCAAGACATCAAAAACAAGTCAAAAAAAACCATGGCTGATCTTTTTAACCTCTTCCAAATTCAGTCTAATTGCCATCATTCTTGTTCTATAAAATTGATAGATCAGGTATTTGTCCAGTCTCATAGGATTTAAATCTATCTTTCATTGCTGTAAAGACAAAGTAATGCAATTATAATTAAATAAAGAAGTTGTATTTGTACCATCCTTACTGGTTGATAAAACATCTTTATGGTTTACAAAGCATTTTTCATTTAATTAAAAGAACATTAAATATTCATTCAACAAACACTTTTTGACACCTCCCCCCATGGATATCCCTGGTGCCTAGCACAGTACTTGACATATAAAGAATAAGATACATTCTGTACCCTCAGGAAGTCCAGAGTCAAGTGGATGAGAAAAACAAGTCAACAATTATTACAATAAGATAAAAGTGCAATTGAGAAATATGAAAGTATAGTGGTAGGCAGAAGAAGGAAAATAGACATATTAAGAATTCAAAGTTCAAAATGGTATTGCGGGTCCAATTTACTTATAAGTGTCTAGGCTACAAGGATGTCTAAGTATACATGCATAGATAGAAACATAATAAAATGGTTTTGATGGTGGTGGCAAGGCTGAGCGTAGCCACTATTGTGGGGGAACGGCTGCTGGTGATAAAGGTGATGATGACGGTGGGTTTCAGAAGACAGGGATATTTATTGGGTGATCGGAATTGGTATCCTTTCTTGCTACAGTACCAATTCTCAACCATCCCTGAGACCTCTCTCTTCATACATTCCAGTGGTTCACCATAGAGGTAATATCCATCCAGCCACAGCAACAACAGCCACAAAATGTTAGCAGCAATGGCCTATTTGGTAACAAACCATGTGGAATTGCTGACAGCCTGTGGTCACTTAGAGATGCACCCAAATGCCAAGAAATCAAAAACGAAGCCCTCTGCTCAAACCTGCCTTAGATTAGTTGAGGGCCATTTGCCTGACCAGGAGAAACAACGATAACTTTGAGGAGGGTGAGAAAGCCAGGAAGGGGAGGAAGAAACTAAACATGAATTGAAAGCAGATGACACAAGCCCCTGGCTCATATAACCCTGCAAGAAAGAGCATGAAACACGTTTCTTGCAGAAGGATGATTATCAGAAAGAAAAAAAAAAGATTGCAATAAATCCTAACCAAAACCAACAAAAGAAAATGTTGGACAGTTTGTTGGATAAATATTCAGTAAGGCTGATCCAACTCACTGAGTTGTTATAAAGAACAGCTAATAAAAAAAGATTGTCAAGGACACTGCAAACATAGAAGAACTAACCAATAATAAGAACATTAATAATAAGGGAGGACCTAGGAATAAAACCAATTCAATCAAGACCTACAATGTTGAGCAACTAGCACAGAAATAAAGAAAACAGATATGACTGTCTGGAGGTGGTCCAAACAAACAAGAACCAAAACCACTTTTTTGCTCTTAATTTTTAAAAGAAGACAAGTTTACAGGGTATACGACTATAAATAAATATTAGCCAACGGGCTCTTGCTTTTCCCTAGAGACAGCTCCCTTGGAAACGACTTCCTGGATGGAGAGGGTAAGGAAGTTGAAGTCTCTTACTCTCCTCCCCAGAGCTCAGGGTCCATGACAGGAAGACTTCCCTCCCTAGTCTGACAATTTGGGATTGGAAAAAAAACGCTGGAAGGAATCCAAAGCTGTGGTTCATTTCATTCTTTCATTCTCTGCTTTCGCCAAATGCTGACAATTACAAACAAATGTTTTCTTCACAAATACTTTCTTCTAGATGAACATTCTGCTCATTTTGGTTGCTTATGTATAAATGGCTTGAGAAACACTTTCTAAATCCCCAAGGTGACAGAATTTCCACGTAATGATAATGATTATTTAATATCATCATCACAATGGGCTGCCTGGGCAAATGAAATGCTTGCTGGGTCTAAAGCATTCACTCAAGTGAGGTAAATTAACGCTTTCCAGGGTACCAGATTTCCCGTTGGGACCCTAAAGAAGATAACTCATTACTCAGGCATTCTCTACCCCCAACACTGCTGTCTACCAGCAAGTTCTTCAGTTGCTTTAAACTGTCAGGCTTCTCAGCCAGTGCAGGGAAGTCCAAGAGAGATAAGAATACGCTGAAAAGGTCCACACTAGGTGGATATTTTTAGTCATCTGAAGACAGTCCAGGAGTTATAATCATCATAATAACCCATGTGACGCAGCTCATCTTCCTTCTCAAAGCACTTACAACATGTTAATCATCCCCTTTGATCCTCACAATAATCCCTGAGGTATGCAAAGCAGGTATTATTATAGTCAGCACCTGGCTATAGTAGCGAGAAGGACATAGACAAATGATATGGAGGTAAGCCTCAGAGACACAGAAAAGCAAGACAGGGTGTAGCAGGAAGAGGGAGCAGGCCCCAAAACCACTAGCATCAAAAGCAGTGAGGGTTTGGGACCAGGGTCCCTATGGAGTCAAACCGCATATTAGCACATGGAGACAGAAACATGACGAGGCTTGAGGGTCTCATTGGGTAGACTGAGTTTAAAAGATGATCTAGTGATGATTTACTGTTTAAAGATTATTGTTTCTATGGCCAAAATCAAGAAAAATGGAAATGAAAATGGACTCTGCATCCATTTTACTATTTGTACTATGTGTCAGGTGTTTTTCTATAAAATACTAACTCATTAAGTCTACACAACTAATCTCTGCAAGACAGATATTATCAACCTATTTTATATTACAGATGAGAAGACTGAGGCCCAAAGAAGTTATGCTATTTGCCCAAGGTCACATATCTGCTAAGTGGTGCAGATGAGATTCAGGGACTAGGAGAAAGAAAGCAACAGAAGGTTGGGGGCACAGGCCGGGAATAACTGAGCCATAAGTTACAGGCAGCAACAATAAGAGCATCTAGATAAGCATTTAAGAATAAGGAATGAATGCTTCCTGAGCCCTGGGCTCTATGTCCTTCCTGCCCAGAGCATCGCCTGCTCTTGAAGCATATCAGAGGCTGGGCTCACAGAGCCTGGTGAGAGGGCCATCCGACTGAGGTGGAAGAGAGAGGATAACAGGCAAGATGATTCCTGGCCATTAGCACCCTTTCACAGAGAGGGAAAGTAAGTCCTAGGGAGGAAAGTTCACGAAAAAGCTGGGGAGAAGTTGCTTTTCTCCTGCAACAGCAAGGGGAAGCTATAATGTCTGAAAACAGAAATCTAGGAGGATCATGGTAGCCAGCAAGCAGTTTGCCTAAAGCGTTAGGTTAATGTTGGTGAGAGCCAGAGATGGTGGAAGGAAGTAGAATGACCAGAGCCAAAGGAACATAAGAGAAGGCGTAGATTAGTGGAAAAAAGTCCTCTACTTTGGATTCCTTTGCTAGGACACCTTGGACAAGATACTTCTCCAAGCTCCATCCACAAAACTGAATCAATAAAATCCACCTCATTGTGACTCTATATATACGCGTCATCATAACAATACATATAGTCTGAGTGGCCGTTGTTATTCTTAAACTTTTGAAAGAAGTTTTGATGTCGAGGTAGATGGTCTCCAGGGAGGGTAATGTAACAGGCAAGAATTTGGACTTGGAGTGATCTTCTTCTTTGCAGTTAATAAAATGTTTCTGTTGAAAACCTACTTTCACCAATCCTTATGAATTTCAACCTATGTCATTAGCAAGACTTGATTCTAAGAAGCACATAGAAAGCCATTTCAGTGACCTTTTCCTTCTTCGAGATTTATAGAACATGTTTCTTCTGACAAGCACGAACCATCATACTTTAAATAAAAAGGTTCCTCCTGGAGGGAGAATTAATCAAGAACAATAACATTCTGCCCAACCTTCTTAGCATGTAAGGGTCACATCCAGTAACAGTGTGTGAAGACTTCCAACAAATTGCCTTCAGTCTCTCTAAAAGATTTGTCCAACAGAGCCCATTTGTGCTTATTTCCGCAGAAACTTCGGGCACCAAGACAGCAGTTTCCAAGATGGAGATATAGCAATTGTAAGCAATGTTATTTATAGAATTATCTGCAAAGGTGCTTAGAAAGGTTCATCTTACAAGCCTGGAATAATTCAGAGAATCTTAGAGGTGGCAAGAACCTTGTAGACCACTAGGCCTAACCCCCAATCTAATCCCGATGTTCAGTGTCCTTCCAGAGCTAACATGAGGCTTCTTTGTATAGACCTGGGTTTGGGGAACTTATTTCTAGAAGTGCTCAGAGGACTCTTAGAGCTGAATATAACAGTACCAGAGAGGCCGCCATATGCAAAAACATGGATGAACCTAGATGACATTAGACTAAGTGAAACAAGCCAGACGCAGAAAGAAACGCACTTCATGACCTCACTTATATGTGGAAACTGAAAAAAGACATCAAGTGTATAGAAACAGCAGAAAAGTGGTTATCAGGGCTGGGAAAAATAAGGAGATGTAACATGAAGAGTAGAAAGTTGTAGTTCTGCAGGATAAATAAGTCTAGAGGTCTAATGTACAGCATGAAGACAATACTTAATAATATTGTATTATATACTGGAAATTTCCTAAGAGAGATTTGAGGTTCTCTTATTACACAAAAAAAGTACCTGTGAGGTAAGGGATACGTTAATTTGCTTAACTGCAGTAATCACTTCACTATGTATATGTGTATCAAAGCATCATGTTGTACAACTTCAAGTTATACAATTTTAAAAATGTGTAAATGCAATAGTACCAGGAGCCACTAAATGATTCATATTCTAATCCTCTAATTCTAGTATTATTTCTGAACATTTATATTTTATATTAATATAATCTTTTTTTTTTTTGAGACAGAGTTTCACTCTTACTGCCCAGGCTAGAGTGCAATGGCGTGATCTCGGCTAACTGCAACCTCTGCCTCCCAGGTTCAAGCAATTCTCCTGCCTCAGCCTCCCAAGTAGCTGGAGTTACAGGCATGTGCCACCATGCCTGGCTAATTTTTGTATTTTTAGTAAACATGGGGTTTCACCATGTTGGCCAGGCTGGTCTCAAACTCCTGACCTCAGGTGATCCACCTGCCTCAGCCTCCCAAAGTGCTGGGATTACAGGTGTGAGCCACCATGCCTGGCCCAATATAGTCTTATAATATGCACACAGCCTTGCAGTGCTTAGCCCCTCTGTGAATAGGCCCAGCATATCCTCTTCATCTTCTCCCCCTCTGCCAAGTCCCCTCCACAGGCCACAACACTGGTCACCCTCCAAACACAGACCCAGAGTGAGCTGAGCACAATGGCCATGAGATGATCCTCCCTCCATGCCCTCCCATCTGTCAAGTGAGGACAGGGGAGGGCTGATGCCTAAAACCAGACCAGTCAGACTCCAACTCAGCCCTGTCCCTGTCCTTTGTCATCTGGCAGCATTCTGTCACAAGGCATTGCAAGTGGACATTAGTTTACTTAAGGTTCAGCATGGAAGGCCACCTGGCCACCAAAAGCTGGCAAAGAAATGAGGACTCCTGGCAGGTTATAAGCAGCCTGCAGCAACTCCTGAGGACCTGAAAGAGGCTGCAGAATAAACTTGGGCTTCCCTCTTTACAACGTGATGTGGGATGCACAGTGCTTCTGTCATAGAGTCAGGCAAACTTTATGTGTGGCTGTTAAAGTAGGGAGCAAACCTTGTGCTCTAATCTGTCTGATAGATTAGCCAGGAAAATATCACTGAAAACATTCCATGGAATTTGTTTTAAGGTTCCCAGTCAGCACAAGCTATTAAAAGGAAACAAAGTCATAGCTTGCTCCTCAGTAAGTCTTATCTTTCTGTTGTCTGAGGATTTCCCATGATATTAGGATAAGGTTTGTATAATGTTTGCTTCAGGTGACTTAGTCATCATTAGAGGTGGAGAAGAGGGAAAAACTCAGTGGGTTATTTCTGCCTAAATGCCCCCTCAAAGCCGCCAACTGCTTGACCTGGCTTAACTCGAACAACTAGAACAGTGGTTTTCTTTTTCTTTTTTAGAATGGGTGGCTCTCCAAACTTGAAATGGGGAGAGGGGCCTGAAGATGCAGTGGTATGACTGAAGCTACCAAAACTGTCACCCAATACCATCCTCCTCTGTTTCAACACAAAAGAGAATCAGTTTTGAGAGCACAACCTTAGAATAAACTGTGTTAGACCTAAAGGTTGCAGGGAACTGGAAAGCCTAGCTGAACTCTCCCTGGCAGAACAAGCAGCTGGCGAAATCATTAACTAGCAGTTCTCTCCTGCCCCACAGTGCCCTTGGTTGCCCAAAGGCCCCCTGAGCCCAAGACTCCAGGTCTTTCCTTTCCTCCAAGTCAGCTTCTTCTGTGTCCTGTTCCCTCAGAGCAAAGCACTGTACTTTCCAAGGTAACACCTAGCTAAGCTAATATAATCTAATCTGAAAGACTTAGTATTATTGGATTATTATGCTATTACTCCTAGAGAATACAATTTGCATTCTAGAGACACACAGGCTTAAACTGAAGGAGTGGGAATTTCCATTACACTGTCAGGAGAGGAAGGGATGCAATTTTACAAGCGGTGGGAATTTCAAGACCAAATGTTAAAACTTAAAACAGCCTTGCCTGTTCCTACAGCTGGGAAGGTTTTGAGTTTCATTATTTAAAAGCTACCAACTCAACAGGCCCGGTGACTCACACCTGTAATCCCAGCACTTTGGGAGGCCAAGGCAGGCAGATCACCTGAGGTCGGGAGTTCGAGGCTAGCCTGACCAACATGGAGAAACCCCCGTCTCTACTAAAAAATACAAAAAAATTAGCTGGGTGTGGTGGCACATGCCTGTAATCCCAGCTACTCGGGAGGCTGAGGCGGGAGAATCGCTTGAACCCAGGAGGCGGAGGTCGTGGTGAGCCAAGATCATGCATTGCACTCCAGCCTGGGCAACAAGAGTGAAACTCTGTCTAAAAAAAAAAAAACAACTACCAACCCCTGCCTCTACGTAATCTTTTTTTCTAAAATGTTCCCCCATCTCCTCAGTATTGATGTGTTCAGAGGCTCTGGGCTTTCTTTTGACCTGAGTAATAGTAATGATTGGTCATGCCAGAGCTGTACTTCATCAGTGGGTTTTTTAAAATAATATTTTAAAAATAATACTACCTCCCCAGTTATTTAAAAGTAACCATGCCCTTGTTCTCACTCATAGGTGGGAATTGAACAATGAGAACACTTGGACACAGGAAGGGGAATATCACACACCGGGGCTTGTCGTGGGGTGGGGGGAGGGGGGAGGGATAGCATTAGGAGATATACCTAATGTAAATGACGAGTTAATGGGTGCAGCACACCAACATGGAGCATGTATACATATGTAACAAACCTGCATGTTGTGCACATGTACCCTAGAACATAAAGTATAATTTAAAAAAAAGAAAAGAAAAAAATTTAAAAATTAAATATAAAAAAATAAAAAAATTAAAGTAACCATGCCTTACATTTAATTCTTTTAATTTTGGTCTATTTTTTAATAAACCTAATAAGCTGCTTCAAAGATATGCAAGAACTCTTAGAAATAACTACCACTTATTGTATATATACTAGATGTCAATATAGTATACAATAGACGCTAAGCCAATTATATATTTGGTCTCATGACACACAACCCTATGAACTAGATGCTACTATTTCTTTTCTTTAGGCCTGAAAACTGATGTTCTGAGAATTTAAATAAATGTAGCCAAGATCACAGTAGTTGAAGTGTTGGAGGAAGCATTCAAACACAATTCTGTCTGCATTCAGAGCCTGCCGTCTTAATTACGAACTTTTCCTACCAGCTAAGGGAAAGGCAGTGTAGGGACAAACAACAATACTTCTACTATCTTGAGTTTAACAATCTTGCAGTAAGTGAGGTAGTAACTCCCAGGTGTGGTCCCTGAAACAGCAACATCATCATCCCCCAGCAAAGTTGTTCAAACTGCAAAATTTAGGGCCCACCTCAGACTTTAAAAATCAGAAACCCTGGAGATGGAACCCAGCAATCTGTGTTTCAAGACACACGCTTAAGTTTGAGAACCCATAAACTAAGCATCTGTATTAGTCCATTCTCACACTGCTATAAAGAACTACCTGAGCTTGGGTAATTTATGAAGAAAAGGGGTTTAATTGACTCACAGTTCCACAGTTTTAACGGCAAGCATGACTGGGAGGCCTCAGGAAACTTACAATCATGGTGGAAGGTGAAGCGGAGGCAAGCAGCTTCTTCACATGGTCACAGGAGAGAAAGAGAGAGAAAAGGGGAAGTTCCACACACTTTTAAACCCTCAGATCTCTTGATAACTCACTCACTATTACAAGAACAGCAAGGGAGAAATCTACCCCCATAATCCAACCACCTCCCACCAAGCCCCTCCTCCAATTCAACGTGAGATTTGGGCGGGGATACAAATTCAAATCATATCAGCATCAGTGTGAATACTTTGGAAATGGATCAATCACAACTGCTTTTTTAAACATTCATTTCTTGAATAATTCTTTTTCAGTAGAAACTTGCACATAATTTTATTCTAACTCCAGAGAGATTTGAACAAACATTGTTGCCACATGCTTGACAGGTGTGTAACATTGTGAGTGGAAAAGAAGTAATCAAGAGAAAACCATTTCTCAAAATCCTGTGAGGTAACCTAGTACAACTGACTTTAAAAGCAGTGTAACAGGTGTTTCTGAGTTTTACAAGATGAAGAGTTATCTAAGTTAGTTATATAATACCTAGTGAGTTCCCAGTAGTCTCCTCCCTGTCTGTGCAAAATTACAAGGAACGGCGTTGAAAAGCACCTGTAGGGCTCATTTGACGAGCCTGCCTCACCCTTCCTCTTCGCTCTGTGCTGCTTCTTTCTCTAATCAAAATAAGACAGGGGCCGGGCATGGTGGCTCACGCCTGTAATCCTAACACTTTGAGATGCTGAGGCAAGTGGATTGCTTGAGCCCAGGAGTTCAAGACCTGCTTGGGTAACATGGTGAAATACTGCCTCTACAAAAAATACAAAAAAATTGGCTGGGTGTAGTGCTGTGTGCTGTAGTCCCAGCTACTCAGGAGGCTGAGGTGCAATGATCACTTGACCTGGGGAAGTCAAGTCTGCAGTGAGCCGTGATCGGGCCAGTGCACTCCAGCCTGGGAGAGAGAGTGAGACCCCATCTCAAAAAATAAAACATAAAAAAAAATTAAGACCGAGAGGCCAGCTTTGGTCTGGGTGACACTACCAGTTTGGGGTCTTCCACTCCCTCTAGCTGGAGAACCTCTGGGCAATCGCCCAGTGTGCAGGTGCTCTGTGCACCTGCCCTAATGACTCAGGTCTGGGAATGGACCATTTTCCAAGAGGCAGGCTCTACATTCAGTTTCTCAAAACCCTTGTGTCTTCCATTTCCTTGAAGTTTGTTCAATATTAGCCTAGGTGTGCCCTGAATAAAAGAAAATAGAAATTCATGGCATCATTTTGTCTTTACCTGAAAAAGAAAAACGATTTGAGTTGGTTTTCAAACAGGGCCAGAGGTCAGAAGTCGAAGGGCAACTTCCTTGCTGGGGCTGAGTCAGTGACTTCAACCTTCTCAGACCAGGGTTCAGCTGTGCACACCCTGCTTCCTGCAGGGAAGGAGTTGTTCTGGTAGAAAACAGTTTGGATTCTACAGGCCAGTGGTGCAATTCCAGCTCAGGAAATTGCTAGCTCCGAAGCAGTTGTTCCTCCGTGTCTGACTTTGGGCGATGTATTTCACATTCTTCAGCCTGGTTTCCTGAACTGCACTGTTTGGGATGGAAAGGGCAGGAATATCAACCCAATGAGAATGGAGAGAAGTAGGACTCAGTGGCCTAACCTCACTAGACTACCTCAGGAAATGCTAAATTAATGTCAGCACTGCCGGCTGGGCATGGTGCCTCACAGCTGTAATCTCAACACTCTGGGAGGCTGAGGCAGGTGGATCGCTTGAGCCCAGGAGTTCAAGACTAACCTGGGCAACATACTGAAATCCCGCCTCTGCAGAAAATACAAAAATAGCCAGGCATAGTGGCATGTGCCTGTAGTCCCAGCTTCTCAGGAGGCTGGGGTGGGAGGATTGTTTGAGGTAGAGGTTGCAGTAAGCTGAGATGGCGCCCCTGCACTCCAGCCTGGGTGACAGAGTGAGACTCTGTCCTTAAAAAAAAAAGTGTTGGGGTAGGGGGGTGGTCAGTGCTTTTCCTCTTCCCCTTGAAAGTAATGAGACAGATTTTCACCTGACTTTTTGGGAACACTAACCTGAAAGAGCAGTCACCAGGGGTCATATAAACAGGGTTTACGGCCCGATCATCTCACAAGCATATCCCAGAAAACTGGGATATATGTGTGTGGTTTCTAATCTTGAAACACAGGACAAGGCCAGGATGCCTCATACACTGAAGAAGGGAAAAACTATAATCCCTGGTTCTGGATCAAGTCACAGGCTTTCTCCTCAGACCTCTGGGGAATGCTGGACTCTCTTCCTCTCCACAACACCCCACACATAAACACACTCAAAACACAGACAAATTCAGTATTCAGCTAATCCCTAAATATTCAAGGGAGCGACACACCAATCCACTGCAGAGAAGAGAAACACCACACTCGGTGCCCGGCTGTGAAGTTTAAAACCTTTCCCGGAGACATTTGTATTTTTCCCAAAAGGAGAGAGCCCTCTGCTGGTGAATGGACACCGTGCTGGGGAAGGGTGACCGGACTGTCCACGTTAAGTCACCCTTACCGGCTGTTTGCTCCTTTTCAGGCAGCAAATGTGTAAGTTATTACCAACTGGCTAAGTTTTCATCCGTGGCAGGAACAAATTCCAGTATTATTTAATGAATGTTGATGGTACAAAGCCCAAATCCCATAAAACCCTCTTGGCTGGACTGATTACAGTTTACTACAGCAAAAAGCGGGGAAAAAGAGAGGATACAAGAACTTTTTTCGGCTCTTCCATAGTTCATGGATAATCTCCTCGAAATGTTTCATGCAGACGGCTCTGCCCAGTATTTGGGCTGTAAAAACATCGTGTCAGACAGTTTGGAAGACGTTGTAAACAACCTAAATGTCCGTCAAAAGAAAATGAGTAGGTGAGTTATGGTGGATCCAAACAACGGAATACTATGCAGCTTTAAAAAAAATAGTGAGGAAGTTCATTCGGTAAGAATATAGAAAGATCGCCACATCGTTATGTTTGTGAAGGAAAAGCATAGAAACAATATGCATAATACACTGTCATTTGTGTAAGAAGGAGGAGATATGTTTGTGTTTGCTTCTACATGCATGAAGTATTTCTTACTTTTTTTTTTTTTTAACAGAGTCTTGCTCTGTCACCTGGGCTGAAGTGCAGTGGGGCCATCTTGGCTCTCTGCAAGCTCCACCTCCCGGGTTCACGCCATTCTCCTGCCTCAGCCTCCCAAGTAGCTGGGACTACAGGCACCTGCCACCACACCCGGCTAAATTTTTTTTTGTATTTTTAGTAGAGACGGGGTTTCACCGTGTTAGCCAGGATGGTCTCGATCTACTGACCTTGTGATCCGCCCGCCTCGGCCTCCCAAAGTGCTGGGATTACAGCATGAAGTATTTCTAAAAGTTTGCCCAAAGAATTAATTCCAGTGGTTACATGTTTATAGGGGTGTGAGAACTGCAGGAATGGAGGACACAGGTGAGAAGAAACGTTCCACTTTGTTATATATTTCGACCTTTGATGTGACTATTTTAATCAAACATTAAGTCGTTTTTAAATGACAGCCAGAATGGGCATGAAGTTTCCTTTTACCCAACACTTTGATAACAATTAACATTTATTTAGCACTTACTATGTGCCAGGCAACATGCTAAACGCCTTAGGTGCATTAACTCATTTATTTAACCCTCACAACTACCCTATAAGGTAGGAACTATTCCTGTCATCCACATTCCAGAGACAAGGAAACTAAGGGACAGAGAGGTTATTGGCCCAGGTTCACACAGAGAAGGCCTCTCAGCAGGCTGACTCCAGATTTCTGCACCAACACCGTTCTATGCAGCTGCTCCAGAGAAAGTGTCTCCAACACAGTAAAGCTGATATCAGAGAATATTGTTGGCTAAAATTCCAGGAATCCTGAAGTTTGGAGAAATCCTTTACTAGTGGTCTCAAACATGAGATTTCCTTTGATTAGACAAACGTACACCATTATTCACAAACATACACTCATAGATTCTCACAATTCAAACATGCATACATTCTCACATTCACACATACTCACACATCCTAAACTCACACACACATCCTCTCACGCAGTCACACTCATATATCTCACACAAATTCACACTCACATCCTCTCACACACATTCACACTCACATCCTCTCACACACACATCCTCTCTCACACACACTCATCCTCTTACACACACATCATCTCACACACTCACACACATCCTCACACAGTCACACACATACATCCTCTCACGCACTCACTCTCATACATCCTCTCACACACACATCGTCCACATACACATCCTCTCACACACGCACACACATCCTCTCACACACATACACACATCCTCTCACACACATACACATACCTCCTCACACACACACATTCTCTGACACATACACATACCTCCTCCCACACACACACACATCCTCACACACATCTTCTCACACACTCACACACATCTTTTCACACACATCCTCTCACACACATCCTCACACACACATACATCCTCACATACACACATACATCCTCTCACACTCACACACATCCTTTCACACACACATCCTCTCACACATTCACACACACAATCCTCTCACACTCACAGTCATACATCCTCTCACACACACACATCCTCATACACACACATCCTCTCACACACACATACCTCCTCTCACACACACACATCCTTTCACAGACACATCCTCTCACACACACACGTCTTCTCACACACTCACACATCCTCACACACACATACATCCTCACATACACACTCATACATCCTCTCACACACTCACACACATCTCTCACACACATCCTTACACACACATATCCTCTCACACACACATCCTCTCACACACATATACATTCCTTCTCTCACACACCCTCTCACACACTGACACATCCTCTCACACATCCTCACACACACATCCTCACACACACTCACATCCTCTCACACACACATACATTCACACAGTGACACACACATCCTCTCACACACATCCTCTCACACACTCACACACATCCTCTCACACACACACATCTTCTCACACACATATATCCTCTCACACACATTCATACATCTTCTAACACTCTCACACACATCCTCACTCACACTCATACATCCTCACACACATACATCCTCTCACACACACATCCTTTCACACACACATCCTCTCACACATTCACACACACAATCCTCTCACACACTCACAGTCATACATCCTCTCACACACACACATCCTCATACACACACATCCTCTCACACACATACACATACCTCCTCTCACACACACACATCCTTTCACAGACACATCCTCACACACACACGTCTTCTCACACACTCACACACACATCCTCTCACATACACACACATCTTCTCACACACACATCCTCTCACACACTCATGCATCCTCTCAAACACACACACATCCTCTCAAACACTCACACACCTCTCACACATTCACACACATCCTCTCACACACACACATCCTCTCACACACACACACATGCCCTCTCACACACACACATCCGCTCACACACACACCCACTCACACTTACACATCCTCTCACACACTGACACATTCCCACATACACTCATACCCACTCCCACACCCACTTGCCAACTCAAACACACCCTCACACCTTCTCTGGCTCCAGCCTACCCTCTCCTCTCTCCCGCCCCACACAGCCCCAGAGCGTTGGTCCTGGTACACTCCAGTCCAAGGATTCCTGGGCCTCTCTCAGGCCCACTCTCCCTTTGCCAATCTCAGGATCTCCTCTCCATGCATCAGCCTCTCCTGACTAAAATGTGGGCGTCCGTATTTCTGTTCCACACAACCCACTTCTACCTCCTAAACGTGCTCCACACACATTTGCACAAAGAACTAATAACACTGGTTACTATCATTAGTGCTCCATGCTACCCAATTCCAGCTTTATTTCTCCTGACAACAAAGACTTTCTCTTCCTCAGGACCTTAAGAGGGAAAGATTGTTTTTCCATTCTACTTATACTTTCAGCTTCTCTGCTTGCATAGTGAATGAAGAATTTCATGCAATTTCATTTTTGACAAGAAAGAGTTACAACCTTCCATCTATCTTAGGACAAGCTGCAGCGCATCTCCTCCCGGTGCTGGAGGACGCACAAACACTGTGAGACCAACATTTTGTTCTGCCAACAAGCCATTTAGTGTCCCTGGAGCACTGACCTGCAAATATGCTAGATGCAAAACCATTTAAAAGGGAGAATGAGATATAGCATTTGACACATGCACTTTTCATTTTTGGGGAGGGGTTGGCTTTACAACATAACAATTCTTGAACATTTTACTGCGGCCCCAAACTCCCTGTTGCTCTGCTGTTTCAAATTCTGAAGGCCGAAAATCTATGTCTATGTCTATGTCTATGTCTGTGTTGTACATTATTTTATTATATAGTGGCTGTAAAAGGATATCAAGGCCAGGCATAGTGGCTCACACCTATAATCTCAGCACTTTGGGAGGCCAAGGCAGGCAGATGGCTTGAGATGGCTTGGGCCCAGGAGTTTGACACCAGCCTGAGCAACACAGCAAGACCCTGTCTCTAATTTCTCTAATTTTTTTTTTTTTTTTTTTGAGATAGAGTTTCACTCTTGTTGCCCAGGCTGGAGTGCAATGGCACAATCTCGGCTCACCGCAACCTCCGCCTCCCGGGTTCAAGCAATTCTCCAGCCTCAGCCTCCCGAGTAGCTGGGATTACAGGCATGTGCCACCATGCCTGGCTAATTTTGTATAATTTTTTAGTAGAGACAGGGTTTCTCCATATTTGTCAGGCTGGTTTCAAACTCCTGACCTCAGGTGATCCGCCCGCCCGGCCTCCCAAAGTGCTGGGATTACAAGCGTGAGCCACCATGCCCCGCCCTGTCTCTAATTTTTTAAAAAAAAGAATATCAAAATGCCAGAATGCCAGGTATTCATCTGGAATTGTTCCATTTATAATGATTATTAACATTAAAAAGTACTCTTAAGTCCATTAAAAGTTCATCATCTCATTTAATGTCCCTCTGTAACATTGATGTTATTGTTCCCATTTTACAGATAAGAAAGCTGAGGTCACAAAAAGGAAAGTGACTGGTCCAAGTTGAAATTGATCGTAATTAGCAGAGCCAGAAGTTGAAACCAGTTCTGTTTTATTATAAATCCACACCACACTTTGGATCACACATCATCAGTGGCCCAAACTCTCAGCTCTTGCAAATAAAAATAAATCAACAGTTTTTAGTGTCAAGTCTCTGTACAACATGTGCTGGTCCACATTTCATGCCTTGGGGCTAGTTATTGCCTTGTATTAATTATTATCTTTCATGTAGACTTTGCCTCCTAAGTAGTAACTAAATTGCTAACTCTTTATAGTCAAAAATATGTGTTTTCCATCTTTGTGCCCCACACTTAGAAGAGCTTTTTGCACATTTAGGTGATTTTTAGATCACCACGATAATGATAGTAGCTTTCTGCCTCTCTAGACTGCCCAACAATCTCTGGACAAATCAGGCCTCTCTGCCTATAAAGATGTGATGCAGGCTGGCT
Organism: Homo sapiens; assembly: GCF_000001405.40. Taxonomy (NCBI): domain Eukaryota; kingdom Metazoa; phylum Chordata; class Mammalia; order Primates; family Hominidae; genus Homo; species Homo sapiens. The sequence goes on from NC_000005.10 coordinate 68,968,156, forward strand.
GCAGTGGTTCATGAGTATAATCCCAGCACTTTGGGAGGCCAAGGCAGAAGGATCAGTTGGGGCTAGGAGTTCAAGATCAGCCTGGGCAACATAGTGAGAACCTATCTCTACAAAAAATGTTTGTTTAATTTGCCAGAGTTCAAGGCTGCAGTGAGCTATGATCACTGCACTCCAGCTTGGGTGACACAGCAAGAGAAGAAAGAGAAAGAAAGGAAAGAAAGAAAGAGAGAAAGAGAGAGAGTGTGTAAGACAGCGAGAGAGAGAGAGAAAGGAGGGAAGGGAAGGGGAAGGGAAGGGAAAGGGGAAGGGAAGGAGAAGGGAGGGGAGGGGAGGGGAAGGGAAGGGAGGGGAGGGGAGGGGAAGGGAAGGGAAGGGAAGGGAAGGGAAGGGAAGGGAAGGGAAGGGAAGGGAAGGGGCAAACATGTTTCTCACAGGATTCTTTACACAGGCAAATAGGAAGCAGCTCAAATACCCCACAGGAAAAGAGAAGTTAAATGAACTATGAACTATGGGACATCTGCATGAGAGAATGTTACACAACTATTTAACATCATGTTTTCAGAAACTACTGAATAAGAGGAAAATGTTTACCAAATATTGTGATGCCTTTTGCATTTATAGCAAAGGAAAAAAAAAGCTTAGAGAAAAATACAACAAAATGTCAACTTTTGTTATCTCTGAGGGGAATAAAATACAGAGAACTTTTATTTTCTCTTTCTGAACATTAACTTCTTTTCTGGTAATCCTTGGGGCCACTCATTTCAACATGTTAGCTTCATTTCTCTTCACCTATAAAAATAGGAGCAATATTAGTTTCCTCACAAGGCTCTTATAAATAGTTAAAACTTTTCCAAAAAGAATTGGTTTGTAAATGAAAAACAATGGTATTAAATTATACAATAAAATCATGGTATAATTTTATGCAGTTTTCATAACAAAGTCTTTAGAGGGAGTGATGCCCTGTCAACTAGGAGTGGAAATTTTAGTGGAATTTTTCTTTTAAAACCCTACAAATGTATCCATTCTTTTGAAAGACTAAGACTGTGCTTGTCCTAGAGGCAGTGAATTATCAGAAAATGATTCTCCATTAATAATCCAAGGAAAACAGCAACCCCCCCTGCATCCCTAACCTAAATAGTTCAGCATCTCTTTGTATGGGATGGAGGCTAGACTTACCAGCATTATAACTTAGGGATCCCCTTGCTTTGCTGTTCACACAGTTGCGTGATCTAGATAGGGCAGGCATGACCAGGAGCTTCTCCCCAGCCTGCTCAGGGTCCACTGCAGGCCCGACACATGGCATGGCTATGGGGCCAGCCAGGCTTCTCACCTGGTGGGAGCCCCTCCAGGACCAATTGCCACACAAAACAGCCATTACCCAGGCAGCCCAGCTACCACCAGCAGGTTCCACTCCAGGAGCCCTTCCCTTGCAGTCTCCCCAGGAAGACTTTTCCCTCCTCTCCCTCCGCCACACTCCATCACATTCAGCTCTAGGCGTGATAGCCAGAGCACTGGGTGGGAGACAGCCAGTCTGGAAAGCAGTTCCCTTCAGTGCTACGAATATGCATTCAGCACCACTCTGCGCCCAGCACCAAGCACATCTGCTCTTTAAACTCAATAAATTAGCCAGGCGTGATGGCACGTACCTGTAATCCTAGCTACTTGGGAGGCTGAAGCAGGAGGATCCCTTGAGCCCGGGAGTTTGAGGTTACAATAAGCTATCATTGTGTCACTGCACTCTAGCCTGGGTGACAGGGTGAGACCCTGTCTCAAAAAAAGAAAAAAAAAATTAGAAAGAAAAACCTCGAGTCATTTTTACAACAGCTTTTCCTCCTATTTCATCCCCTTTCCACACAATCCAGCCATATACATGACTTCATTGGTAAGTAACCAATAACCCCATATCTCACCAACCTCAGCGATTTCAATTCTACAAACCCAGAGAAAAAGAACCAACCTTAATCACCTGGTAACACTTCAGCCTCACAGAATCCTTTGGGAAAAGCCAAGCTTTCTAGACAATCACAGGTCTTTTAAGCATCGAAACTTCTATGACATCTATGGTTTTGAATGGAAATCCTTCTCCATGACAGGCTGTGCTCTCTGCTTTCTTCCACAGATTACATTGAACTGAACTTCTCCCTGATGGTGCATCCTCAGGCCCCCCAGTGACTACCTTCATGGGGGCTGTTGATGGGTAGGGCCCTTTGCCTCTAGGTTCATTAGCCCCACACTGCTCTCTTCTGAGGTTTCAGTTTTTCTGTCTCTTTCATTCGGGGGCTCACTGTTTCTGCTTCCTTCCACCTTCCCAGCTCCCTTTTCTAATCCATTGCTAATTATCTGCTGGATGTTTGGACCTTGAGAGCTTGTTTGGAGGTTCTAGCAAGCGGGCACAGCTACTTGTATACCCTTGACCAAAGACTGGTCCTCCTCTATCCGGGATGGTCATCCTCTTCAACCAAGCGCACAGATTCAGGAGGGACACACATGGAGCAGTAAGTGGGGAAAGGGACACCCACCTAGCCAGCCAGATCAACTGAATCAACCCTGGTAATCAAGGGGGTGACAGAAGTCACAGCCAGATCACCCTCACATGTATCTGCTGGGTGTTTGGAACCCACTGATCACACTTGTTTTCAGCGCATGCTCAGCGTGGGTTCCGAGGGCCTTTCCCATGAGTAAAATGCCCACGCCTCAGTTCATCAGCTTGATGCTGCCTCTTTTGCTCAGTCTTGTCAGCTCATTTCCTGGTTCTTGCTGTGTTCTAGGCAGATGATTCAAGAGATGTTTTAGACAGTCTCAGTAGAAGCTTTCACTGCATTGGAAGTCATACCTGGGAACTAGACTTAAAATAATAACTCTCCAATGACCCCTGGAGGAACGAGTGGGTGACTTGAGAGGAACACACTGCTGTAGCAAAGACTGGAAATTTCAAAAAAGAAAAAGAAACATAAAGAAAACAGGGAATAAGAGGAAGATTTTTATACTTTCTCTTTTTTTTCCCAGCTAGCTAGTTGCTTTAATTTTTCAAATATTTACTTCCTCACCTCAACCCTGTTCCATAACCTCAACAGAGGGTAAAGTAGACCACCAGAATACATGATGGAAAGTGTAATAAAGAGAGATGAAGATGATTCCAAACATAAGAGTAGGCATTATGTATTCTAATTCGTTCAATCACTTGGACCTAAAAAAAATTCTATTTTGTTTCAGTGACTAAACTGGATAAAAGGGTGAGACTTGTTGCTTATGAAACACACTGCTAGGTTTTCAGAGTTTCACAGAACCCTTCTTTGTGAACACAAAGTTCTGTTTCCAAGTTGTCTCCTCAGTCTTCAGAGCTATTTTTTCATCCATGTTACCAAAACTCCTCATGCTAACTTCGACCTTCATTCACTTAGTAACATTTACCCAGGTCCTGCTACATGCCTGGCACTTCCCAGGGCATAGTCCCAACAGCACTTCCCTCAGCTTTTTGTCCCTCTTTGATTAAAGACAACCAAAAGGCCTCTAGAACTTGTTAGAATTCTTCCTAACAAATGAACATAAATATACAAAAGCGTGTTCATTGCAACACTGTTTAAATAGCAAAATGTTGACAAGAATCTAAATGCTCTAAAATGGGTAATTGATACAATGGAATATGCTGTGCATCTATAGTTATGGACCCGAGAATACAGTCATCTTGTATTAATAAGTGAGAAAAGATACATTTTACAGACAGACAAGTAACTACAGCATAATCGCTTTTATAGAACTCCATATTACTTATAAACATAGAGATGCATTTTTTAGTTAGAAGAATGTACACCAAAATAGGTGACAGAACTGTGAATGATTTTCCTCTCTTTTTGCTTGTCTCTATTTTCTAATGTTGTTTTAAGCAATTATGGATTTTAAAAAATCAACCAACATTTTAAAAAAAAATTTCTCTGATCAAGAGAAACAACTCCATTGCCTTATCAGTCACTGCAAACCTTACTAAAGTATGAGAAAGCCTCTCCTTAAAACCAAGTGCATTAAATCCAAGAGATGGAAACAGAGATGTCAATAATCTGCATCAGGAAAATCCCGAATGTTATGTCACAGAACTACTGGAACTGGTGTGCAGAGAGGATGCAGGCAGAAATACAGTAAGAAAAGAGACAATTCACCAACAAAGCAAATTAAAGAGGCTCAGGTCCCACGTAGACCAGTGGGCAGGGATGAGATACAAAACAGAAAAGAGAGGAATGAGGGTAAGGGGGAAGTTTCTGTAAGAGCAGTTGCTCTGCCTCTTCTCTTCCCACTCTCAGGACATAAGGCTCTGTATAGTACAAATCAAGGCTCGGGGTGAACTCACAGAAATTAATTGAAAGTATACACAGAAAATGATTTCACTCCAAATCTTTCCATCCACTCCTTAGAACATGTCCAGTCAGGCCAGGCGCAGTGGCTCATGCCTGTAATCCCAGCACTCTGGGAGGCTGAGGCAGGCAGATCACCTGAGGTCAGGAGTTTGAGACCAGCCTGACCAATATGGTGAAACCCAATCCCTACTAAAAATACAAAATTAGCCGGCATGGTGGCGCATGCCTGTAATCCCAGCTATTCGGGAGGCTGAGGCAGAAGAATCACTTGAACCCGGGAGGCAGTGGTTGCAGTGAGCCAAGATTGCGCCATTGCACTCCAGCCTGGGCAACAAGAGCGAAACTCCATCTCAAAAAAAGAAAAAAAAAAAAAAAAAGAACATGTCTAATCAAAGGGCTATCTCCAGCTAGGCATGGTGCCTCATGCCTCTAATTCCAGCATTTTGGAAGGCTGAGGCAGGTGGATCAGGAATTCGAGACCAGCCTGGCCAACATGGTGAAACTCCCTCTCTACTAAAAATACAAAATTAGCCAAGCATGGTGACAGGTGCCTGTAATCCCAGCTGATTGGGAGGCTGAGGCAAGGGAATCACTTGAGCCCAGGAGGCAGAGGTTGCAGTGAGCTGAGATTGTGCCACTGCACTCCAGCTAGGCAACACAGCAAGACTCGAAAGACTTTGTCTTTAAAAAAAAAAAAAAAAAAGCTATCTCCCAAGTCAGGAGATCAGAAGACTCTTCTCTGAAGTACCAGTGGAAAAAATTCTTCTTACTGACGTGAGGGGAATCTCCCATAAAATGAGTCTCCTGGTACAATGATGTAGAAGCAAATCGATCATTCGACAAGCTTTACAAGCCTGCATGACTTCCAATTCACTTTTTAGTGCCTCATTCTTAATATGAAATGGCAACCTAGGATCACCAGATCTATGAGAAAACTCCTAAAATGAAAGAGTAGTACCTAAAATCAATGAAGGATAAAGCAACTCAGAAGAAACCAAAATGATGCATGGGGCGGGAACACTTTTTTAATGCCCATTAATACCCTCAAAGAGACTTCATAGAGCAGAGAGGCAGGGCAAGATGGCAGAATAGAAGGCTTCATCAGTTGTCCCCCAACCCCCACAAAGACACCAATTTGACAACTATCTACACAGAAAAAATACCTGCATAAGAACCAAAAATCAGGCAAGCACTCATAGTACCTAGTTTTCACTTCATATCACTGAAAGAGGCACTGAAGAGATAGAAAAAAACAGTTCTGAATAGCCGATGCCACCCCTCCCCATCCCAGGCATCAGCTGTGTAGTGCAGAGAATATCTCTGAGCACTGCGGGAGGGAGAGCACAGCAATTGTGAGTCACTGAACTCTGTGCTGTCCTGTTAGAGGAGAAAGGAAAACCAGACCAAACTCGCTGATGCCTGCCCATGGAGAGAGCATTTAAACCAGACCTAGACAGAGGGGAATCGCCAATCCCAGCAGTCTGAACAGTAAACTTGAAAGGCAGTCTAGGCTATATGAACTGAAACTCTTAGGAAAGTTCAGGTGCTGAACTAGGCCCAGAAACGGTGGAATCAGGGGACACATGACATACTAAGACACTAGTTGCAGCAGCCAAAGGAATGATGGCACCACCCCTCCCCTAACCCCAAGCTTCACAGCTCACCCCTTCCTTCTACTTGAGGAGAGGAGAGGGAAGAGTGGGGAGGACTTTGTCTTGCACTTTGGATAACAGCTCAACCACAGCAGTATAGGGGACTGGTCAGAGTCGTGAGGCCCCTGTTCCAGGCCCTAGCTCCCAGATGGCATTTCTAGACATACCCTGGGCCATAAGAGAATCTGCTGCCTTAAAGGAAAGGACCCAGTTCTAGCAGCATTCATCACCTGCTAAATGAAGAGTCCTTGGGCCCCTGAATAACCAGTAGCAATACCCAGGTACATCAAGGGCCTTGGGTAAGACCTCGAGACTTGCTGGCTTCAGGTGAGACTCAGCACATTACCAGCTGTGGTGCATATGGGGCAAAACTCCTTCTGCTTGAGAAAAGCAGAGGGGAAAGTAAAGGGGACTTTGTCTTGCACCTTAGGTACCAGCACAGTCACAGTGGGGTAGAACACCAAGTGGGCTCTTGGGATCTCCAATTCCAGGACTTGGCTCTTGGATGGCATTTCTGGACCTGCCCTGGGTCAGAGGGGAGCCCCCTGCCCTAAAGGTTGAGTCCCAGGCCAGGCATCATTCACCATAAGCTGACTTAAGGGCCTTTGGGTCATAAGGGAATATCAGAGGTAGTCTGGCAGTACTCCTCATGGCCAGGGGTAGTGGTGGCTACAGGGTGAGGCTCCTCTGACTTTGGAAAGGGGAGGGAAAAGTGGGAAGGACGGCATCTTGTGTTTTGACTGCCAACTCAGCAGCACTACAACAGAATACCAGGTAGGCTTCTAAGGTTTTTGACTCTAGTCTCTGACTTCCAGACAGTACCTCTGGACCCATCAAGGGCCTAGAGTACCTCCCTGCCATGAGGGGCAAGACACAGGACTGTCTGGCTTTGCCACTGGCTGATTGTAGAGCCCCAGGACCTAGAGTGAACATAGGCAGTAACCAGGGAGTGGTTACAGCAGGCCTTGAGCAAGATCCAGTTGTGTGCTGGCTTCAGGTCTGACCCAGAGCAGTCATAGTTTTAGTGACCACGGGGTGCTTGTGTCACCCCACCCCCAGCTTTAGGTAGCTCAGAACAGAGAGAGAGAGACTCTATTTGTTTGGAAGAAAGTAAGCAAAAAGAACAAGAGTCTCTGCCTGGTAATCCAGAGAATTCTCCAGTATCTTATCCAAGACCAAAACAGTAACTCTACGAGTCTGCAAGAAGCACAGCATTACTGGGGCTAGGGTGTCCCCTAAAGCAGATACAGCTTAGGTCAAAACAGCCAAGTCTTTTCAAATATCTGCAGAGCCTTCCCAAAAAGGATGGGTACAAATAAGCCCAGATAGTGAAGTCTACAATAAATATCTAACTCTTCACTGCCTAGACACTGAAGAACATCTACTAGCCTCAGTACCATCCAGGAAAACCTTATTTAGTTCACCAAATGAACTAAATAAGGTACCACAGACCAATCCTAGAGAAACAGACTTCTGTGATCTTTCAGACACAGAATTCAAAATAGCTGTACTGAGGAAACTCAAATAAATTCAAGATAATATAGAGAAGGAATTCATAATTCTTTTTGGGGGGACTCATAATTCTATCAGATAAATTTAACAAAGAGATTGAAATAATCAAAAAGCATCAAGCAGAAATTCTGGCACTGAAAAATTCCATTGGCATAGTGAAGAATGCATCAGAGTCCTTTAATTGATCAAGCAGAAGAGATACTTAGTGAGCTTGGAGACAGGCTCTTTTTGAAAATATACAGTCAGAGGAGACAAAAGAAAAAAACAATAAAAAACAACAAATAATGCTTACAGGATCTAGAAAATAGCCTCAAAAAAGCAAATCTAAAAGTTTTGGCCTCAAAGAGGGGATAAAGAGATAGGAGTAGAAACTTTATTGAAAGGGATAATAACAAAGAACTTCCCAAACCTAAAGAAAGATATCAATATCCAAGTAGAAGAGAATTATACAACACGAAGAAGATTTAGAGTACCTCAAGGCATTTAATAATCAAACTCCCAAAAGTCAAGGATAAAGAAAGAATCCTAAAAGCAGCAAGAGAAAAGAAACAAATAACATACAATGGAACTCTAATACATCTGGCAGCAGACTTTTCAGCAGAAACCTCATAGGCCAGGAGAGAGTGGTATAGCATATTTAAAGTGCTGAAGGAAAAAAATTTCTAACCTAGAATAGTATATCCAGCAAAAATATCCTTCAAACACGAAGGAGAAATAAAGACTTTCCCAGACATACAAAAGCTGAGGGATTTCATCAACACCAGATCTGTCCTACAAGAAATGCTAAAGTGAGTTCTTCAATTGGAAAGAAAAAGACGTTAATGAGCAAGAAGAAACCATCTGAAGATAAAAAACTCACTGGTAATAGTAAGTATTAAAAAAAAACACAAAATATGATAACACCATAGCTGTGGTGTGTAAACTACTCTTACCATACATACAAAGAATAAATGATGAACCAACCAAAAATAATAAACACAACAACTTTTCAAGACATAGTACAATAAGATATAAATAGAAACAACAAAAAGTTAAAAAGCGAGAGGATGAAGTTAAGGCATAGAGTTTTTATTGGTTTTCTTTTTGCTTATTTGTTTGTTTGTTTATGCAAACAGTGTTAAGTTGTTATCAGGTTAAAATAATGGATTATAAGATAGTATTTGCAAGCCTCATGGTAACCTCAAACCAAAAAACATCCAATGGATACACAAAAACTTAAAAGCAAGAAACTAAATCATGTCCATATTGTTATTGATAAGTAAGAACTTACATAATATTATGTCATTTACATAACATTGAATGCAAATGGACTAACTTATCCAATCAAAAGACATAGAGTGGAGGAATGGATGAAAAAACAAGACCTATTGATCTGTTGCACACAAGAAACACACTTCACCTATAAAGACATACATACACTGAAAATAAAAGGTTAGAAAAAGGTACTTCATGCCAACAGAAACCAAAAAAAGAGTAGGAGTAGCTATACTTCTATCCGACCAAATAGATTTCAAGAAAAAAACTGTAAGAGACAAAGAAGGTCACTACATAATGATAAAGGGGTCAATTCAACAAGAGGCTATAACAATTATATATGCACCCAACACTGGAGCACCCAGATATATAAAGCAAATATTATTAGAACTAAAGAGAGAGATAGGCCCCAATACAATAATAGCTGGAGACTTAACAACTCACTTTCAGCATTGGACAAATCTTCCAGACAGAAAATCAACAAAGAAACATCAGACTTAATCTGCACTACAGACCAAATAGATTTAATAGATATTTACAGGACATTTTATCCAATGGCTGCAGAATACACATTCTTTTCCTGAGCACATGGATCATTCTCAAAAACAGACCATACCTTATGTCACAAAGCACACCTTAAAACACTCAAAAACTGAAATAATATCAGGCATCCTCTCTGACTACAATGGAATAAAACTAGAAATTAATAATAAGAGGAATTTTGGAAACCATACAAATACATGGAAATTAAACAATATGCTCCTTAATGACCAGTAGATCAATGAAGAAATTTAGAAGAAAATTGAAATTTTTCTTGGAAAAAATGATAATGGAAACACAACATACCAAAACCTATGGGATACAACAAAAGCAGTACTCAGAGGGAAGTTTTATTGTAGGCTGTAAGTGCCTACAATAAAAAAGAGGAAAATCTTCAAATAATCTAATGAAGCATCTTAAAGAACTAGAAAAGTAAGACCAAACCAAACCCAAAATTAGTAGAAGAAAAAAAAAATAAAGATCATAGCAGAAACAAATGAAATTGAAAAAAAAAATACAAGGCCAGTGCTGTGGCTCACACCTGTAATTCCAGCATTTTGGGAAGCCAAGGCCGGCAGATCATCTGAGGTCAGGAATTCAAGACCAGCCTGGCCAACATAGTGAAACACTGTCTCTACCAAAAATACAAAAATTAGCTGCACATGGTGGCACGTGCTGGTAGTCCCAGCTACTTGGGAGGCTGAGGCAGGAGAATCACTTGAACCCAGGAGACAGATGTTGCAGCAAGCCAAGATTATGCCACTGCACTCCAGCCTGGGTGACAGAGTGAGACTCCGTGAAGAAAAAAAAAAAAAAAAAAAAAAAAAGATCAATGAAACAAAAAGTTGTTTTTTTGAAAAGTTAAACAAAAATGACAAACCTTTAGCCATACTAACAAAGGGGAAAAAAAGAAGATACAAATAAATAAAATCAGAAATGAAAAAGGAGACATTACAACTGATACTGCAGAAATTCAGAGGATAATTAGTGGCTACTATGAGCAACTATATGCCAATACATTGGAAACCCTAGAAGAAATAAACAAATTCCTAGACACATACAACCTACCAAGATTGAATCAGGAATAAATCCAAAACCTGAACAGACCAATAACAAGTAACAAGATTGAAGCCATAATAAAAAGTCTCCCAGTAAAGAAAAGCCTGAGACTTGATGCCTTCACTGCTGAATTCTACCAAACATTTAAAGATGGACTAATACCAATCCTACCCAAACTATTCCAAAAAATAGAGGAGGAGGGATACTCCTTCCAAACTCATTCTATGAGGCCAGGGTTACCCTGATACAAAAACCAGACAAAGACATATCAAAAAAAGAAAACTATAGGCCAATATTGAATTGAATATTGATGAATATTGATGCAAAATTCCTCCACCAAATACTAGCAAACCAAATTCAACAATACATTAGAAAGATCATCCAACATGACCAAATGGGATTTATCCCTGGGATGCTAGGATGGTTCAGTATATGCAAATCAATCAATGTGATACACCATATCAAAGGAATGAAGGATAAAACCCATATGATCATTTCAACTGGTGCTGAAAAAGCATTTGATGAAAATCAACATCCCTTCATGATAAAAACTCCCAAAAGACAGGATAGAAGGAACATACCTCAACATAATAAAAGCCATATATGACTGACCCACAGTGAATATCATATGGAATGGGGGAAAACTGAAAGCCTTTCCTCTAAGATCTGGAACACAACAAGGATGCCCACTGTCACCACTGTTAATTCAGCATGGTACTGGAAATTCTAGCTAGAGCAATCAGACAAGAGAAAGATATAAAGAGCATCCAAATTGGAAAGGGAAACGTCAAATTATCCTTGTTTGCAGGTAATATAATCTTATATTTGGAAAACGCTAAAGACTCCACAAGGAAACTATTAGAACTGATAAACAAATTCAGCAAAGTTGCAGGATACAAAATCAACATACAAAAATCAGTAGCATTTCTATATGTGAACAGTGAAAAACGTGAAAAAGAAATCAAAAAAGTAATCCCATTTACAATGGCCACACATAAAATTAAATACCTCGGAATTAACGAAAGAAGTGAAATATCTCTATAATGAAAACTATAAAACACTGATGAAAGAAATTGAAGAGGACACCAAAAAATGGAAAAATATTCCATGTTCACAAATTGGAAAAATCAGTATTGTTAAAAATGCCCATACTACCCAAAGCCATATACAATCCACAGATTCCACGCAATCCCTATCAAAATACTAAAGACATTCTTCACAGAACTACAAAAAAAATCCTAAAATTTTTACAGAACTACAAAAGGCCCAGACCAGCCAAAGTCATCCTAAGCAAAAAGAACAAAACTGGAGGAATCACATTACCTGACTTCAAATTATACTACAGAGCTATAGTAAGCAAAACAGCATAGTACTGCCATAAAAACAGACACATAGACCAATGGAATAGAATAGAGAACCCAGAAACAAATCCATACATCTACAGTGAACTGATTTTGACAAAGGTACCAAGAACAGACACTGTGGAAAAGATAGCCTCTTCAATGAATAGTATTGGGAAAACTGGATATCCATATGCAGAAGAATGAAACTAGACCTGTATCTCTTACCATATAAAAAATCAAATCAAAATGGATTAGGGACTTAAATCTAAGACCTCAAACTATGAAACTACTAAAAGAAAACACTGGGAAAGTCTCCAGGATATTGGACTGGGCAAAGATTTCTCAACCAATACTCCACAAGCACAGGCAACCAAAGCAAAAATGGACAAATGAGATCCTATCAAGTGAAAAGCTTATGCACAGCAAACAAAGTGAAGCAATCAACAAAGTGAAGAGACAATCCACAGAATGGGAGAAAATATTTGCAAACAACTCATCTGACAAAGGATTAATAACCAGAATATATAAAGATCTCAAACAACTCTATAGGAAAAAAAATCTAATACTCTGATTTTAAAATGAGCAAAAGTTCTGAATAAACATTTCTCAAAAAAGGACATACAAATGGCAAACAGGCTTTTGAAAAAGTGATCAACACCACTGATCATCAGAGAAATGCAAATCAAAACTACAATGAGATATTATCTCACCCTTGTTAAAATGGCTTATATCCAAAAGACAGGCAACAACAAATGCTAGAGAGGATGTGGAGAAAAGGGAACACTTGTACACTGTTGGTGGGAATGTGATTTAGTACAACCACTATGGAGAACATTTTGGAGGTTCCTCAAAAAACTAAAAATAGAGCTACTATATGATGCAGCAATTCACTGCTGGGTATATACCCAAAAGAAAGGAAGTAAGTATATCAATGAGATACCTGCACTCCTATGTTTGTTGCTGCACTGTTTAGAATAGCTAAAATTTGGAAGCAATGTAAGTGTCCATCAACAGATGAATGGATAAAGAAAATGTGGTACATATACTCAGTGGAGTACAATTCAGCCATAAAAAGTAATGAGATCCCATCATTTGCAACAAGGATGGAACTGGAGATCATTTTGTTAAGTGAAATAACAAACATCACAACCGAGAGACAAACATCACATGTTCTCACTTTTTTGTGGGATCTAAAAATCAAAACAATTGAACTCATGAACATAGAGTGGTTACCAGAGGCTGGGAAGCGTAGAAGGGGGCTGGGAAGGAGGTAGAGATGGTTGCTGAGTACAAAAAAAAAAATAGAAGAAATAAGACCTACTATTTGATAGCACAATAGGGTGACTATAGTCAATAATAACTTTTTTATTTTTTTTTTTGAGACAGAGTTTCACTCTTCTTGCCCAGGCTGGAGTGCAATGGCGTGATCTCAGCTCACTGCAACCTCTGCTCCTGGGTTCAAGCGATTCCTGCCTCAGCCTCCCAAATAGCTGCGATTACAGGCAAGTGCGACCATGCCCAGCTAATTTTTCTATTTTTAGTAGAGATAGGGTTTCACCATGTTAGCCAGGCTGTTCTCAAACTCCTGACCTCAGGTGATCCACCTGCCTCAACCTCCCAAAGTGCTGGGATTACAGGCGTTAGCCATTGAGCCAGGCCAATAATAACTTAATTATACATTTTAAAATAACCTAAAGAGTGTAATTGAATTGTTTGTAACCCAAAGGATAAATTCTTGAGGGAATGGATACCCCATTCTCCATGATCTGCTTATTTCACATTGCATGTTTTTATCAAAACATCTCATATACCCCATAAATAATACACCTATTATGTAACTCAGAAAAAAAATTTTTAATGTTTTAAAGGCAAAAAAATAGAGACTTCATAAAGATATTGTATAACAACATAAGAACAGGGACCTATGAAAAAAGAAAAGTAAAAAATTAAGAAAAAGCACCTGGAAATTAAAAATAAAATAGCCAAAATAAATGAATAAACAAACAGCCAAAAGAAATATTTCAATATAAAGTTTGAGAGAGAGGCCGGGCGCGGTGGCTCATGCCTGTAATCCCAGCACTTTGGGAGGCTGAGGCAGGCAGATCACCTGAGGTCAGGAGTTCGAGACCAGTCTGCCCAACATGGCAAAACCCCATCTCTACGGAAAATACAAAAAATTAGCTTGGCATGCTGGTGGGTGCCTGTAAGCCCAGCTACTCGGGAGGCTGAGGCAAGAGACTCGCTTCAACATGGGTGGCAGAGGTTGCAGTGAGCCGAGATCATGCCATTGCACTCCAGCCTGGGCGAAAAGCATGAAACTCTGTCTCAATAAATTAATTAATTAATTAATTAATTAATTAATTAATTTGGGAGAGAAAGTCAAGAAATTCTCAGAAAAATAAAAGCTTAAAAACCAGAGGGAAAACATGAGAAAAAATACAATAATTGATGCTTATTGAGTGCTTATCTTATGTCAGTTCTAAGAATTTTACATGTATTCATACATTTAGTGCTTCACAGTTTTATGAGATAGGAGCTATTCTTATAATCAACCCATTTTACATATGAGAAAACTGAGGCATGGAGAAATTAAATAACTTGCCCAAGGCAAACAGCTAGTAAATAAATGGCACAGCTAGAATTTGCAACCAGAGCAGTCTGCCCCTTAACCAGTATGCTATACTGCCAGATGAAACATAAAGATCGAAATATCATGCTATCCTGATTGAAATAATGGAAGAAGGACTCGAAATATAATTGCAAATGTTGTCGAAGAATGTATTATGAATGCATTGAATGATACCCTAGAGAAATTCAGCCATAAGAGGTTGTAGTGAGCCGAGATCACACCACTGCACTCCAGCCTGAGCAACAGAGCAAGACTCCATCTCAAAAAAAAAAAAGAAGAAAGAAGAAAAGAAAAGAAATTTAGCCATAAATTTCCAGCTGCAAAAGCCAAAACCTCTCATTGAAGATGGCACCACTAAAGAGGATCTACATTATTTAGCAACCTCAAAAATCCAAAGCTAGAAAGTAAACACAAATAATGATTGAATTTAATTGATATCTAATAGCTGGATATTCCTGTATTGTAAGTCGTAAAAGCTAAGAAAAAAAAAGTGTAAAGGCATTAGAATAGTAGTTGGTAAATAACATAATAGATACCAATTTCCAGTCAAGATCGGGCAATGAGTTCATGCTTTGATTTCCTCTTTATTATCCAAATATGTGAAAATATGGAATAAAATATATAAAAGGAGAAAATGTGTCATATTCAAAAAAAGACAAACATCTCCATGGAACAGAGGTGCAAAACTGAGAGCCAGGCTAAAGCTGTGGCTGTGGTGGCCAGAAACAGCTCCATGGGAGTCAACGAGTTTTAAAATTTCCATAAATTAGGCAGAAATCAGGCTTGCTGCTTGAGGAAATAGACTGAACAAAACATAGCCAACTTCTGCTTAGAGCTGTTGCAGTGTTTTTCAACTTTTATTTTCATTATTATCCCTCTAAAAAGATAAATGTTTAAATTTTTCCTAGTGAGAGAAATTAAATGCTAGGGAATATAATTTTTAGGAGGCAGGATTGTGCTTTGAAGAGCCACAAACCATTGTAATATCTAAGATTATTCACCTTCTAAGAATCAAATGTTAAATGATCAGGAGCAACATTGCCCCTGTGGAGAATGCATACATTATAGCTTAAAAACTCACAGCCTTGCCACTAAGAATGGAGCCAAACTGCTCATTGGCCATATGACTGGCTCTTGGGTACTCTACCATCACTATAGTGCAGGAACTCCAACCAGCAATTAATTTAAAGCCTCATTATAGATTTAGGGTTCTGAAGGACATTGTAAGGGAGAACTGCAAAAATGTTGAACAGAGAGGCATATGGGCAAAGATGGGAGAAGGAGAGACAAATGAAAAATGAAAAAAAAAAAGGCTTATTCAAAATTACTGGTAAACCAAAATTCCAAAAAACAAAAATACATTGCTACTAAAGAAAGCCAACAAAATTAATAATCATGTATTCTCTCTGGAAAATTAATTTTATTAGACAGCTGAACAAAGACTAAATTATAAACAGTGAGCATTTACAAAAAAGAGAAAACAAAAGAATACAAAATTCTTCAACAAAAACAGGTTTTAAAATACCACAAGATAAGCGAACATTTAAAAGAAGCAATTAGAAATTTAGAAAATGATATATATTGATTGAATTTCAAAATACAAATACAGGACCAGGCACCATGGCTTGCACCTGTAATCTCACTACTTTGGGATGCTGAGGTGGGAGGATCACGTGAAGCCAGGAGTTTGAGATCAGCCTGGGCAGCATAGTGAGACCCCATCCATATGAAAAAAAATTTTTTATTACCCAGGCATGGTGGCACGTGTCTGCAGTCCAGCTATTAGGAGGCTTAGGCAGGAGGATGGCTTGAGTCCAGGAGTTTAAAGTTACCATGAGCTATGATCATACCACTGCACTCCAGCCTGGTCAACAGAGAAAGGCCTTGTCTCTTAAAAAAATAGATAAATACAATAAACAGGACTATACTGTTCTCCCTTTTAGAGAGAGAGAAAGAGAGAGAATTTAAGTAGCAATGTATGAAACATGAAAGATAGACTGAGAGATTCCAAATATTTTAATGAATAGGATTTCCAAAAGAAGAAACTGAAATGAATGATGAGGAATAAATATCTGAAAAAATTGTTGCTGAACAGGCATGGTGGTTCACGTCCCAGCACTGTGGGAGACCAAGGTGGGCAGATCACTTGAGGCCAGGAGTTTGAGACCAGCCTGGCCAATATGGCAAAACCCCATTTCTACTAAAAATACAAAAATCAGCCAGGCATGGTGGCACATGCCTGTCATCCCAGCTACTTGGGAGGCTGAGGCACAAGAATCACTTGAATCCAGGAGGCAGAGGTTGCAATGAGCCGAGATCACACCACCGCACTCCAGCCTGGGCAACAGAGTGAAACTCTGCCTCAAAAAAAAAAAAAAAAAAGTTGCTGATCTTTTTCTAGAATTAAAGAAAGAAACCTGATTAATCATCGGATCAGTATGATCCAAATACTAAGTAGAATAAATACAAATAAAACCAAGCTTGGACACACTGAAGTGAAATGTTGAAATCAAGTGTAAAGAGACAGTCTTAAAATTCATCAGTGAGAAAGACAAACAACCTAAAACAGTGTGACAATTGTACTGACAGCAGATTCCTTGTTAGCAAAAGTAGATATAAGAAGTTAATGAAATAATATTTTAAAACATCAGAGAGGTGGTCATCTAAGATATTAACATAAGGGCAAATACGGGTGAGGAGCACACAAAAACTCTGTATTATCTTTGCTACTTTTCTGTAACTCTAAAATAATTCCCTTAAAAAGGTTTTTTTTTTTAATGTAGTGAAAAGGAAACAAAACAGTTAAGCTAGAATTTTATAGCCAGCTAATCCATCTGCCAAAGACATGAAAATAATTATATGAGAATATAGAAAAGCAAGAAGTGCATCAAACACAGTGAAAAGTTGTAAGATTACAAAAAAAAACTGACTAGCCTAGAAACTGATTCCTGTCTTCCTTTCTTCCTCCTTCCTTCATGAATAATTCAGTCCAAAATCAACTAGGTAGGGCCAAGCAAGGTAGGTCTCTGGAGGCTGTGGGGAGAAAAGTAGCAGCGGCAGCTCAGCATGGGGTATCAAAGCTGGAGCAAAATGAGATCATCTGTGCACCCATTTAGCACCATGCTAAATCTGAACAACCCAAATTTAGCATGGGTTGTCCAAGCTAAATCAAAGGAAGAGGGTGTCTACTCAGTAGAGAGGTGGTCATAGCCCAGCACAAAGGGTCAAAAGCCAAGTAGAATGAGATCATCTGTGCAGGGGGGAACAGTGGTGGTGGATGAAATGCTCATGGGAGCATTTCAGAATTTGGATTTTTGGATTTGGAAAGCTCAAGCAGTAAGTATAATGCGAATATTCCAAAATCAAAAAAAAATGAAAAAAATTGAAACAAAATACTTCTCAGTCCCAAGCATTTCAGATAAGAGATACTCAACCTGTAATAAATAAATATGTTGAGAATAATAAAAGCCAGGTTTTTTACTTCAGAGATAAGTTGTAAATAAAAGGAGAAAAGTAGAATGAACTCCATGATGTTTGCTTGGAATTGGAAGCATGAGTGGGAACTCATGGTTTTCAATATGTGTGTGCAGGTATATTGTGTATAGAGCTTTGTCAATTGAGAGAGCCTAAGAAGATCAGCACCCAAAAGGTTTGAGCACACCTAGTGCCCAAATCTTCATTTCTGAATATCATTGTTTGCTAAAAAGAATCAGGGTTCTTGGCCGGGCATGGTGGCTCATGCCTATAATCCCAGCACTTTGGGAGGTCGAGGCAGGTAGATCACCTGAGGTCAGGAGTTCGAGACCAGCCTGACCAACATGGTAAAACCCCTTCTTTACTAAAAATACAAAATTAGCCATGTGTGGTGGTGCATGCCTGTAATCCCAGCTACTCGGGAGGCTGAGGCAGGAGAGTCTCTTGAACCTGGGAGGCAGAGGTTGCAGTGAGCCGAGATTGCACCATTGTACTCCAGCCTGGGCGAGAAGAGTGAAACTCTGTTTCAAAAAAAAAAAGAATCAGGGTTTCTTGGGAAAATGCCTGTTTCCAAAGCTGGCAGGGGAAGTGCTCAAAAAATGATGAGAAGGGCAGGCTAACAATCTCTTCAACAAGTGATGCTAGGAGAACTGGATATTCACTTGCAAAAGAATGAAGTTGGATTCTTACTTCACGCCATATACAAAAAATTAATTTAAAATGGATCAAAGATCAAAATGTATGCACTAAAACTATAAAACTCTTAGAAGAACACATAAGGGTAAATCTTCATGACTTTGGATTTGTCAATGGTTTCTTAGGTATGACACCAAAATCACAGCAACAAAAGAAAAAATAGATAAATTGGACTTCATTAAAATTTAAAAAGCTTTGTGCATCAAAGAATCAAGAGTGAAAATGCAAACTTCAGAATGGGACAAAATATTTGCAAGCCATCTATCTGACGAGGATCTAGTATCCAGAATACATAAGGAACTCCTACAATTCAACAACAAAAAAAAGAAACAACACTATTTAAAATGAGTTGAGTATTAATTTCTCCAAAGATATATAAATGGCCAAAAAGCACATGAAAACAGTCTCAACATCATTAGTTATTAGAGAAATGCAAATCAAAACCACAATGAGATACCACTTCACACTCAGTAGGATAGCAATTAAAATGGGGGAGGGGGATCAGTGTTTGTGAGGAAGTGAAGTCATCGGATTGGAACCCTTATATATTGCTGGTGGGAATGTAAAATAATGCAGCCACTGTGGAAAACAGTTTGGATGTTCCTCAATGTGGTAAACATAGAATTATCATGTGATCCATCATTCCCACTCCTAGGTATATACCAAAAATAACTGGAAATAGCATTCAAACAAAAACACGTATGTAAATTTTCATAGCAGCACTATTCACAAGAGCCAAAAGATGGAAACAGCCCAAATATTCATCAATAGATGAATAGATAAATAAAATGTGGTATATCCACACAATGGAATATTATTAAACTATAAAAAGAAATGAAGTACTGATACATACTACAACATGAATGAACCATGAAGGCATTACACTAAGTGAAGGAAGACACAAAAGACCATATATTGTATTTATATGAAATATCCAGAATAGGCAAATCCATTGAGACAGAAAGCAGATTTGTGGTTGCCAGGAGGGCAGAAATGGGGAATGAATGCTTAATTATTAATAGTATGGGGTTTCCATTCGGGGTGACAAAAATTTCTCAAACTAGATATTTCACAATATATAGTGATGATTTCACAATATCGGCTAAGCATGGTGGCTCATGCCTGTAATCCCAGCACTTTGGGAGGCTGAAGCAGGCGGATCACCTGAGGTTGGGAGTTCCAAACCAGCCTGGACAACATGGTGAAACACCTGTCTCTACTAAAAATACAAAAAAAAAAAAAAGAAAGAAAGAAAGAAGAAAAACGTTAGCCAGGTGTGGTGGTGCATGCCTGTAATCTTGGCTACTCGGGAGGCTGAGGTAGGAGAATCACTTGAACCCGAGAGGCAGAGGTTGCAGTGCACGAGATCGCGCCATTGCACTCAGCCTGGGCAACAAGAGCGAAACTCTGTCTCAAAAAAAAAGAAAAAAAAAAAATCATGAAAGTACTTAATGCCATTGAGCTGTCGAAACAGTTTAAATAACAAAAATTAGAATAAAAAAATAAAATTGTCATAATGGTAAATTTTATGTTATATGTATTTTGCCACAATAAAAAAAATTAAATGATCAAAATAAAATTATGGAGCCATGTCAAAGGACATAGAAACCAACTTGAAGCACTTCCCACTGGCCTGTCTGGGAAAATGTGAACATCAATAAGTAGTAATAGAAATAGATCCATTGAATAAAATAGAAATCCATGAAATTCAATATGAGAGTCCAAAAGAGGAAAGAGAAAATTTTTCCTTACAGTGCAATTCAAAATAATATTTATAAAAGGAATGATGAAACTCACCATTTAGTAAACATCATAGTAAAAATTAATTCAACCAAGAAGCATCAATGGATAAGAGTCAATAAAAGTTTGATGAGGAAAGAAATATATACATAGTCTCAAAGTCCCTCCTCACAAAACATTTTATAATTACAAAAGGAAAAAGAATAACTTTATAGGAAAAAAACCCGACAGACACCACCTTAATCAAGTGATCAAACTTAACATCATCAGTAGTGGGACAAACCAAAATCGTGTACCACCTCACAGGCTGCAATGAGAACATAGCATCTCTGCCATCAATCAGGTGTATGAAATTGGGCAAATAACTCACGTCTTTAGACCTCTGTTTCTTCGTCTGAAAAAGGAAGTAAGTAGAATAGATAATATCTAACATCCTCTCCAGCTCTAAATTTCTACTATTCTAATACTTATTAAACTCATCTAAATATATGTCTTCATGTTCAGAACTTGGCAGGGGGAGGTAGAAACCTTTCTCTCAGCTTAAGTGGTTGATGTTCTTATATAAGCAAACTGGGTGTAAAGTGCACAAAATGAAATACACAGTAAAATTTTCAAACTTGAATAGTTTAAATGACAAAAAAAAATCCCTAATTTCATAGAGACTACTGGAAAAGTCAAAATTTAAGAGTTTTAAAAGCAATAATAATTATTCCTTTCAAAGGAATACCTGCGTTTAAACTAGTATAGGAAAACAATTATATGGAAATAAATGCTTACATAAATAAGTGCTTGAAATGCTTTTCTTCCCTTAAGAAAGGTGAACATGGCTACTCCAACTGGTCAACCCCATTAAGAAGCTTGGCAAAATCTCTGAGGTGTGGAAAAACTCCAGACCTTTCAAGCAAGGCACTCACACATCCCAATCACTAAGAGCATCTTCAATACAGGGAAGAACTCTCTACTTGGCTGAAAGTCACTGCTTTCTGAGAGGTAAGATTAATGTCATTTAGTTAAGCAGGAGAGAATGGTTCTGTAAAATAACTCAAGCCCTCACAGGGCAATTCAAATGATCAACAACCTCATAAATAAATGCAGTCATATCAATATTCAGCTGGCAAACCATCAAAATGTGAAGTCTGAACCAATCTTATACTATTTAGCTTCAGCTATCAGCTTTTTTGCAAACAGAAACACATTAATTGGTAATTACTAATCTTTTAAGGTTGGAAGAGCCAACTCATTATAATTATTTTTACTAAATTTTTATTATCCCTTCCACATACAGAACAAAGTATATAAATTGAAACTATCAGAGTTTGAATGGTTCTGGCAAAGAACGAGTTATTAACTCATGTTTTTTTTATTACTTTTAATTAAATTTTTATTATCCCTTCCACATACAGAACAAAGTGTATAAATTGAAACTATCAGAGTTTGAATGGTTCTGGCAAAGAACGAGTTATTAACTCATGTTTTTTTAAATTATTTTTAATATTCACACACTAAAAACATAACCTAATTATAGTGCACTTGGATCATTTGGGCCCCTTTCCTCTCTGTCATCACCTATATCCAGTCTGGTCACAAAATTATGCCAACTCTTCCTTCTCAAGTGTTTCTAGAATCCAATCCTCCACTCCCACGGCCACCCTTCTAGACCAGGCCCTCATCACACCAAGCATGGTTTAGTACAAGACTTCTACATACAGCATCTACTATGGCTTGCCAGGTCTTTCAAAATCTACTAATCAATCTGACATAAAAACTATCTCTCCATCTTTGTATTGCTGCAAATCTGACCAAATTCTCTCTACACAGAATTTATTTTTTTTTTTTTTTTTGAGACGAAGTCTCACTCTTGTCGCCCAGGCTGGAGTGCAGTAGCACAATCTCAGCTCAATGCAACCTCCACCTCCCGAGTTCAAGCGATTCTCCTGCCTCAGCCTCCTGAGTAGCTAGGATTACAGGTGCCTGCCACCACGCCTGGCTAATTTTTGTATTTTTAGTAGAGACGGGGTTTCACCATGTTGGCCAGGCTGGTCTTGAACTCCTGACCTCAGACGATCCACCCGCCTTGGCCTCCCAAAGGGCTGGGATTACAGGCATGAGCCACCGTGCCCGGCCTACTCAGAGTATTTTTAATCAGGTTCATGGGACAGGTGCAAGACTTGAGGTACTCTCCTACAGATCTTCAAGTTCCCACCAATCCATTCTTTGACACTACTTTGGTACACACAGTTCTAACCCACCTACCTGTCCTACTATCCAACCCACATTCTTCCATATTCTGTTCTTCCATTATAAATTATCCTATCAAATTACTTGCTGAGACCTCAGAAACCCACACCTTCAGAATACTCCCCAGTAATAACTTCTGAGCCTCATTTGCAGGCACCCTCTCATCTGCCAGCCCTCCAAAAGATGGAGTATTCTAGACAGGACTCAGCCTTCTTCTCCTTTCTATTTTCATCCCATCCCTAGATGAGCTCATCCAGTCCCATAAATATCTTTATACTGACAACTCCCAAATTTACATCTCCAAGCTTGCTCTCTTTCCTGAGCTCCAGACTCAAATATCCAACTGTACACTCAGAATTTTTCCTGGGCATGTCAAACATAACATATCCAAAGACTTCTACATCTGAGTACATGGGGAACCATCGACTCAATTAATTAAAAAGTTTGGATTCGCCCTTTGCCCTTCCATTAATTTATCTCTAAACATCCAATACGACAATATATCTCTCTATCTCTCTGAAATATATCCCAAATTCAACCTATTGCTGTCACCATAGTCCAATTCATTACATTTCTCTTTCAGGTTATTGCAATACACTCCCAACTGGTGATGAGGTCCTGTCATTCATTCAGACATTCAGTCAGAACAACAGGAATTCTCAAAAAGCAAGTTCACTTAACATGATGTACATTTAATTAAACCAATTGCTGTTGGAAATGACCACCTTCTTTCTTCTTTTTCTCATTCTCTCTCTCTACTTTCTCTCTATCATTCTTATTCTCTTCCTAATTCCTCTTTCTCTCTCCCTCTTCTTGTTTTCTTCTTTCTCTCTTCCTCTCCCTGTTGTTTTACTGACCAACTAGGTACATAGTATAGTAGAAAAATGCTAGGAGTTAAAAGTAAAAGGTTTATTCCTGTGGGCTGTTATGGTAATTATGATGAAGTCAGTTTCTATTTCTGGCCCTCAGCTGTCTCATCTATTAAATAAAGAAATTATACTGGATGGTCTCTGAGGTCCCTTAAAGTTCTAGAAATCTATTCAAAGTATTTATTGAGTAAAGCGCTATGTTCCTTGTTCTTTAAAGTAGGTAAATTCAATACTTTATATTTCCCTGAAGGAAAAAAAGCAAATTAGGTTTTTTTACAAGGCCTTTAATTAATCCTTTTCTATCAGGGGTCAGTGGCTCTCAATAGAAAAAATGCACCTCTCCCTTGGTATAGTCTGAATATTCAATACCTCTGTAGTTATTTCTGTCTTTGGGCCTTTCTTGGAACAAGCAGTTTCCAAGAAGAGGCCAACAGTCCACTTAATATGAAAGCTATCATTTATACTGGGCACTTTTTCTGTTCCAGGTTCTGTGCTAAGGCTTTTTTTTTTTTTTTCATTTAATCCTCAAGAAAAGTCTACAAAAGGTAGATATGATATCACTCCTATTTTGCAGAAGAGGAAACTAAGGTACAAAAAGGTTAAGAAATTTGCCTAAGGGCACCCAGTCAATAGATGGTAGAGCCAAAATTTGGACCAAGGTCTGACTTAAAAGCCCATGCTCTCAAAGATGACACTGTACTTCCTCCTCCTGAAATGCTGGACCCCTACAGCCTAACTTCAGGTCTCCATTACCTCCAGGACTGACAAAGCATATGGCCTCTGATGTCCTGGAGTTCACACCCTAGCCTCTGTAACTACAGTACAAAGGTTTTGAGAACAGAGACTCATAATTTCTCATGGTATCTGGTGCCAGCCATGTGAGCACTCAATAAGTACTCTTGACTGAGGAAAGCCATAATGAGAATCAACTTATACAGCTAGGACTGCCTAATGTGAACTCTGGTGATACAAAGTAAAATGTCTGGATGGGGGAGAGATTATGGTGACACTAGCAATATGGTCAGGCATCCAATAAAGTCTAATTTCTATAATCTCATTACCATTTGCAGAAATTTGAGAGAGCTATTGATACACCTAGAGAATTGCTTTAGAGAATGAACGAAAATTGGTTTAATTAAGACTGAAGGTATTTCAGTGAAATATCAGGTCAGAGCATTTATGAAAAAAACTTCTCTTTTGAAAATGCTTTAAAAAGTCTTCAGAATTGGGGTGTAATTTGCATCATCATCTTCTGAGCAGCATCAAAGCAGAATTTATTCTCAGGGAGACTTTGTACCTGAGGTATTTATGGGTTCTCTGGCCGAAGGGATCAATTGGCAATGTCTCTAAAACTCCACCCCAATCTCTCCTAGAAGCATCTTTAGTATAGACAGAAAACCCTCACTGAATTATGAGACTATTGAACACCAGATATCTTCCTGTGACAGTGGTTTGGTGTTGATAAATAGGAAAGCCATTTAAATGTCCTCAGCCCTGGGACTGGTCATCTAAAGCTTCCCAAAACTTTAGAAGGACACAAAGATCCAGACTATTGTTTGGGGTGTTCTACATTTAGAGAACAGTAACACTGGAGGAAAGAGAGTGAGGGGGTTCAGGACACAGGCACTGTAAGGCCTTCAAGGTGATAGGCACGAACTCCCACTGAGGCCACCAATCCCCAAGGCAAAGAACAACATTGGTAATAGCAGGACAGATGTTTGAGAGGCTGAGAGTCTCCAGGGAGAACATGTGCATCACCCAGGACGAGGCCAGAGAAAGGGAAAGAGCCTGGGAAGTGGACAGGAAAAAGAAGGATTAATGTCCCAAGGATTCTGCCTGGTAAGTGCTCAAAGTCAAAACCATTTGTGGCCATCACCCTCCCCTTGGCTTTCCAAGCCTGTCCCCTCAGATTGGTGTGACTTGGAAAAAGCAAGTTAGAAACATTGTCAAGTAACAGTATTTTTTTTTTCTTTTTCTTTTTCTTTTTTTTTTTTTTTGAGACAGAGTTTTGCTCTTGTTGCCCAGGCTGGAGTGCACTGACCAGATCTCGGCTCACTGCAACCTCCGCCTCCCAGGTTCAAGCAATTCTCCTGCCTCAGCCTCCCGAGTAGCTGAGATTACAGACATGCGCCACCACACCCGGCTAATTTTTGTATTTTTAGTAAGGACAGGGCTTCATCATGTTGGCCAGGCCAGTCTCAAACTCCTGACCTCAAGTGATCCGCTTGCCTCGGCCTCCCAAAGTGCTGGGATTACAGGTGTGAGCCACCGTGCCCAGCCAAGTAACAGTATTATATTTGCAGAAAAAAATGTTGATTATGGATATTTCTTTCTTTCTTTCTTTTTTTTCTTTTTGAGATAGGGTCTCATCCTGTCACCCAGGCTGGAGTGCAGTGGCGCAATCACAGCTCACTGCAGCCTCGACCTCCTGGGCTCAAGCAATCCTCCCACCTCAGCCTCCCAAGCAGCTGGGATGCCACAGGTGCACACCACACCCAGAAAATTTTTTTTCTTTGGAAAGACGGGATCTCCCTATGTTGCCCAGGCTGGTCTCAAACTCCTGGACTCAAGTGATTCTCCTGCTTCAGCCTCATAAAGTGCTGGAATTACAGACATGAGCCACTGAGCCAGCTTCTTCCTTCTCTGATACTTCCTTGGTAAGAACATTTTTTCCCAACCTATCTAAGAGTCTGCTTCTGATTTATCTTTGCTAGTTAACTGCAACACACAGCTAAAATAAAAGAATTCAACCAAAAAATGACAACAGACATTAAATTCAGGTAAGCAAATATAGTTTTCCTTTCTCTTTACTCAAAAAAGGTAATATTATTGACTCTACCCACCAAAAGAACATTAGGCACTTTACCCATCACACAGAACTCTCATTTTCCCTTCCTTCTTTTCAAAATGAACTTTTAAATTCCAACATGACATTCTAAGCAATCACTGAGAAGTGTAAAGGAGAGTATAATAGCCATAATTAACACTGTTTATATACCAGACAGACTTACATTTTGCTATAAATATTCCACACAAAAATCTTTGAAAGAGGGACAATTATGCTGAGAGGTTTATCTGTATGGCATTTGTCAAAAGAAGAAAAAAACAGGCTGCATTTCCTATTTGAAAAAAGGATTGCCTGGAATAATGCAAGATTGTACACTCACCAAAGGGAAAAAAATGAGTCGTCATCTTGAGTTAAAATGATAAAGCACATCCACTTTTTAAAGCTGTAGGCCTCTGCCCCTGCACGCCAAGCTATCATTAAAACGCAGAGCACACACAAGGGGATATAAGCTCATCTCATCTTCAGTACCACACTAGTACTGGTCACTGAGAGAACAGGCAGAAACAGAAATCTCACTTTCACGTGTGCTCTGCCACAGAAAAAGTCCATTTTGCTCCTCACATTTTGCTCATTACAGCTCAAAATGAAATTACCATTTGAAACTAAAATCTTTCTTGCCTTTATAGTTCTTACTTAGAATATATTACATTCATTTTGTTCTTCCTCTGCCACTTGTCACATAACTGTTTATCTTAGTTTTGACGGGGAGAAAAACAAAATGTTTCAGTGTTCCTGTTTACTTTTCTGTCTTTTTTGCCCCCAAGGCTCTTGATTACAAATGTGGGCTTCAATCTAATTTAGCAGAAGTTTGCATACATTTTGCAGAGCGAGTTACAACTTCTAGGATGTGGTCCTTTGGGGGTCCTGAAGCCCTATTAATCCAATCTGGGAAATCAGTCCCTTTTTTTTTTTTTTTTTGAGACAGCATCGCACTCTGTTGCCCAAGCTGGACTGCAGTGGTATGATCTCAGCTCACTGCAACTTCTGCCTCCCAGGCTCAAGCGATTCTCATGCCTCGGCCTGTAGCTGGGACTCATGCCTGTAGCTGGGACTACAGACATGCGCCACCATGCCCTGCTAGTTTTTGTTTGTTTAGTAGAGACAGGGTTTCCCAGTGTTGGCCAGGCTGGTCTCAAACTCCTGGCCTCAAGTGATCTGCCCACCTCAGCCTCCCAAAGTGCTGGGATTACAGACATGAGCCACTGCACCTGGCAAATTTTTGTATATTTAGTAGAGACGGGGTGTCACCATGTTGGCCAGGCTGGCCCTTTTCTGTCTTTATCTCTACTGATTTATCTGCAACATTTCCCCCTATTGACCACTTCCTCCTCCTTGAAACTCTCTCTTACCATGTCTTATGACATTTTATCTTGATTTTTCTCATATTTCTCTTTCTCAACCTAATAACCTTTCCCTTTTTCCATGAACCTCTAAAACATTGTTAGCTCCCAGATCATTGCTCCCTGATTATCACACTCTCATCTAGGGTGATCACATCCATTTTTGTCTATATCGATGTACAGTACTGTAAATGTGCAAAACTAAACTCAACTTTTCCTTTAAATCTGGTACTCAGCCTGTTTCTGATTTCAGCGATGACGCCAGGAACGAGTCACCCAAACCAGAAACCTCACAATTGTTCCTGACTTCTAATTTCCCACTAATCCCCATAAACAATAGCTCAACAAATAATTCCAGCCTGTTTTACCTTCTTGGTGTGTCCTGAATCTTTCACATCCACTCCCTCTTCACTGACACAGCTTCATTTCAATCCCTAATGTTTCTCCCATTTCTCTACCAGCTTCCCAACTGGTCTCTGTTTTGTCTTTATTCTTCACACTGATGTCGGAATTACCTTCCTGAAATGACTGCACACACACACACAAATCTAGGACTTGCTTTCTCCTATAATCACTCACAGCCCTCTGTGCATACCATTATCATGACACCTACACAGTAGTCTAATGCAGGGGTCCCCAACCCCCAGGCCACACAGCAGGAGGTGAACGGCGGGTGAGTGAACATTACCACTTGAGCTCCATTTCCTGTCAGATCAACGGGGGCATTAGATTCTCATAGGAACGTGAACCCTACTGTGAACTGCGCATGCAAGGAATCTAGTTTGCACGTTCCTTATGGGAATCTATTGTCTGATGATCTGTCACTGTATATATTACATGTAATAACATATGCATATATACACGTATACATTATGTATTATAATACAATGTAATAATAATAGAAATAAAGTTCACAATAAATGTAATGTGCTTGAATCATCCCAAAACCATTCCCCCGATCTCCTTCCATAGAAAAATTGTCTTCCACAAAACCAATACCTGGTGCCGAAAAAGCTGGGGACTGATGATCTAATGTGTTACATTATTTGTGGTCTTCCCAACTAGAATATCAGTCGGTTGAGTGCAGCTTCCAGGTCTTAGTGAGCTTTGGTGATACCATGCCTGACGTGGCAGATGCTCACTTAACATTTGTTGAATGAATTAACTGGAAAGCACTACTAATATTAAATAAGAAGACTTGAAGAATTGAAAAGGGGAATTTGGAAAGAAATGTAGAAACAAGTCTGCCTCTCTGGTACTCTCCGATGGAAGGTGGAGGAGAGAATGTAACGCACATCTTCCTAACCTTTGTTGCATCATGCATCCTTTTGAGAATCTGATGAAAATTAAGGGATCTCTCCAAAGGAAAAAATGCATCTAAACACATTACACAAAAATCTGTGCACAATTTCAGGGGGTTCTCTCTACAGATGTTCTAAGGATCTATAATTCCAAGATGTCACAGAGGGTGTACGGGATGTACCAGAGATTGAGTGTGTCTGAAAATGATAATTTGTACTAGAAAAAAGGAAAGTTTCACTCTATCACACATTATACAAAACTACATATTGGATACAGTAAAGGATTAAGTAATTTTTTTACCAACAAAGTCTTAGGGAAAATATTTTTTATAATCTGGGAGCAGGAAAATTAAGCCATAAAAGAAAAAAGATGGGCAGATTTGTCTACATACACATCTTTACAATATAAAACGCCATGGACAAAGAAAAATGGCTCAGTTTGTTGGGCACAATGACTCATGTCTGTAATCCTAGTACTTTGGGAGGCTGAGGTGGACCGCTTGAGCTCAGGAGTTGGAGACCAGCCTGGGCAACATGGCAAAACTCTGATGTCTACAAAAAAATACGAAAATTAGTCAGACATGGTGGCACACACCCGTGGTCTCAGCTACTTGGGAGGCTGAAGTGGGAGGATTGCTTGAGCCCAGGAGATGGAGGCTGCAGTGAGCCAAGATCACACCACTGCACTACAGCCTGGGCAACAGAGCAAGACCCTGTCTCAAAAAAAAAAAAAAAAAAGAAAAGAAAAGAAAAATGACAAATGTCTAAAGTGTATAAAATATGTGAAATACATAAAATCCAAGTAATTTGTATTTAGAAAATAGTGACTCTAAGTCAATAAAACAAAAAACAATAGAAAAATGCACAATGAAAAAGAATAGACATTTCACAAACAAATGCAAATGGTCAATTAGTAAGGAAAATATGTTCGACATTTATATTTCCTAATCAAGGAAATATAAAACAATTAAGTCACTCTTCTTTATCCCCCATATTGACAAAAATTATCAAGATTAAACATATCCAGGGTAGTCAAGGATGTAGGAAAAACAGTTACTCTTACACACTGATGGTGGAAATAAAAATGACTATTTTTTAGATGACAATTTGGCAGTATCTGTCAATATTGTAAGTATACATACAGTTCTACCCAGAAATTTCACTGCCAAGCCTCTCTTCTAGAGAAATGCTTACACCTGTTCACAAAGAAGCACAAACAAGGATCTTCACTGCAGTACTGTTTACAGTAGAGAACGTTAAATGTCCACCAAAAGAAGAATAACACTATGGTTTAAAGAATGAAGTTGATCTATTTGTACTAAGACATATTGCTAAATAGCAAGTATGCATTATCATCCCAGTTACTTTCCACACTTAAATGCATACATACATTTGGGTATGAAAGGTTGATGTACACAGAAAACAGTGGTTACCTCTGGGGAGGGGAGTAAAATTCAGGGGAGATGAGAAATTAGAAAATGTTTACTTTTTTGGTGGGGGGAGACAAGAGTCTTGCTCTGTCACCCAGGCTGAAGTGCAGTGGCATGATCTCGGCTGACTGTAGCCTCCACCTCCCAGGTTCAAGTGATTCTCCTGCCTCAGCCTTCCTAGTAGGGGGGATTACAGGTGCACACCACCACACCCAGCTAATTTTTTGTATTTTTAGTACAGATGGGGTTTCGCCATGTTAGCCAGTCTGGTCTTGAACTCCTGACCTCAAGTTATCCACCCACCTCGGCCTCCCAAAGTGCTGGAATTACAGGTGTGAGCCACCACACCTGGCCCAGAAAATGTTCACTTTTTATTCTATATTCTGTTATGTTGTTTGAACATTTCGCAACCAGGCTAGATGGGGGTGGAGCAATTGTTTAAAGGGAACATTACACCATATTGACCAATTCCTCATTCATTCTGGCCTCTGAAATTTCTCACAGTTTTGTCTAACTTCTGTTGTTCACTGACACTTCATGTAATCCACAAATTTTGTGTGCCCTCTCTTGGTTCACACTAGAGCCTGCAGGCTCATATGGGCAGCCATCTCCAGCCTTGCCTTGGAGTCAGAGAGCCACATCACTGGCCAACTGCAGAGTCCTGGTGGCCTCGTCAAGAAGCAGGAGACTTTAATGACACCTGAGAAAGCCCTATGTCCTGCTTCTGCCATCTATGTTGTTCTCTTTGAGGATTTTTCAGAAGAATCCATGATTCTGTAAAAATGGGAAAGGTCAGCGACAGATCCATATTCGGTTGTAAATTAAATGGCGTTACTTCATGACTTGGCATGTGAGCTGTGAAATAGTTATGTTTATAAGAATGTTCTCTAACCTAATGGGAAACAGAAATGATAAAATAAACCAAATGATAAAATAAACTACAGGAGAGCACTGTGGTCATCTGCCATTAATCCTTGGCATCCTAGGAATTAGCCATGAACTTCATCTCTGGGCTTCCTCAAGATAATCAGCTTCTAATCCATGGGAGTTTTTCCCTCACACTTACTATTGCCAGGTTGAGTTTATGACTCTTAGGATACATTTTACAGAGAATGCTTTAAATGCCTAAATAAATGACATTGTCCTGGTCCACCCCACCTACTAATCAGTTAACACTGCAGCCTCTTAATAAATTTAAATATATGTATATCTGCCCCGGTTTGTTCCTGTGATCAGGCACTTAGATAAGCATTTCTGATCTACTATCTCTTTCAGTCAGCCAGATATCCTTAAATATTAATGCTTCTTTTGTGTGTGTGTGTGTGTGTGTGTGTGTGTGTGTGTGAGAAAGAGTTTTGCTCTTGTTGCCCAGGCTGGAGTGCAATGACGAGATCTCGGCTCACTGCAAACTCCGCCTCCCGGGTTCAAGCGATTCTCCTGTCTCAGCCTCCCGAGTAGCTGGGATTACAGGCACATGCCACCACGCCCGGCTAATTTTTGTATTTTTAGTAGAGACAGGGTTTCATCATATTGGTCAGGCTAGTCTCGAACTCCTGACCTCAGGTGATCCGCCCACCTCGGCCTCCCAAAATGCTGTGATTACACATGTGAGCCACCACACCTGGCCAATACTTCTTTTTTAAAATCATATTTCAATTTTTATTCTTTTCAAAAACCCAGATATGTTTCATGTAAACAAAAAGTATTACAGTAATATATGTGGGGGGGTTATGTCCCAGCATTTAGGGTAATATCAATGTTGGCATCTTCATTTTATGAAGAGAAAACAGACATGGAAAGGCTTAGGTTCCTGGAATTCACAGGAAAATGAGCTTGGAAATCTTACCAGGTTCATTATTCCCTTTGCCATGTATAGAAATGTTGGTCACACAGGCCTCAACTGTATTTCCATGGTAATCACCCCAGATAGCCCACAGGCTCAAGCCAGGCCCTGCACCCATACATAGGTGTTCACCAAGATATGTGCTGGGTGTTGGTAAAGTACAGCTGATGCCCCAGGCTAGGAAAAACATAGAACTCTAGGCCTTTCACCTTTGTTTCTTCTCCCAGACCTGGGCCCTTTCAGGGCAGAACACTGAAGGCAGTGCATTAACATAAAGGCAAACAGAAATGTCCGTTTTTCCATGTTTAATGCCAGTTGGACAGTTTATTCACCCAGTCTACCCCCATAAACACAGCTAAACTGTGCCCTGTGGAGAGGCACCTGTGGGTCAGATGAGCACTCCAAGTGCTGTGTCATGTGTATCAAGGGCTCTCGGGCTACAGAGTGATTCATTCGAATCAGGATCCATTTTGCATGGTGCAGCTTTATGCATGCCTCATTGAAGAAGTCTTCTCTGCGCAGTGTATGTTATTATAAGTAATCCGCCCACACACCACAGATTTTAATGCATCCTAGAGAGCAAATTACTGGCAACAATAAGTTACAAGACATCCCTGACCAAATTAGTTGGTCATTCATCTGAAGACCAACAAACTCAGCCTCTATTGAGCCATGAAGGAAAGGGAAAACATCGAACAATTATATAGATATTCTATAATTGGGGGTTGGAAAGTGACTATATTGAAATACTTCCCTTAGCATAGCTTAACTGCAAAAGGTCTGGGGAGGTCATTTGGTCCAGCTACTGCCTCATCCTGCTGCAGACTCCAGGGATCCATTAGCATAGTCCAGCAGAAAGAAAAAGACAGATACCAAGAAAATGTGTATCTTGTTGCACATCTGACAGCTACATTTTTCCTAGGGCTACTCCACTGGAAGTAGAACAAGATGTCATGAATAACTTAGGAGAAGTTTTTTTAAAAACTGTCCTAGGGATATGTAAGAAAGTTGGCTAAGCCACGAAAAAAAGAAGGAAAGCAACAGAAGGGCCCCCCCTCAACCAGCTCAGATCACCCCTCACCTGGCCAATGCAGGCTGCTCAGCCAGCAGATTCCAATGCAGTAGCTGGCAGATGAAGGAGAAAACGGGGACTGGGAGCTATTTTTCTATTTCCATACTTTTAATTATTCTTAATCCATACTCCCTAGATGGCTTAATCACTAACAGGCTGCAGCTATGGTCTGGCATAACACTGGGTTAATTATGCTCTTTGGGTTACAAAGGACAGAAATAAATTCACTTAGGCTACCTCAGGTAATGAGGGTTCACTGGTCAGTTACACATGACAATATATGTGGCTTCTTCTCTCTACCTACATGCCCCCGCGCTCTCACCAACCCCAACCCCCAATCTAGCTGGCTGATCCTGTCCATATTTCTCAGCTCAAATTCCAGAGTGTCTGTTTCACCAACGTAATTACCTAACTCCCACTGGTCAGAGCTTTCCCTGCCAGACCACCCTTCAAGCTACTTGCCAGCCTATGAACTGGTTGCCCTCGGGTCAGGTGGCTGCCTCTGGTCCAATCAGCAGGTGCCCACTGCACAACTTACAGTTTAGGGCCACTTCCTTTGGCAAGGGGCTGTGTACCAAGGCAGCTTTCCTTAGAAAAGGGTGGTGGGAATTTCAGGTGCATCTCTATGTAAAAAGTGGCCACCAAATACTTAAGTACAGATAAACTACTGATTTGGAGGTAAGAGTCTTTGTAGGAGCAGGACCAGCTTTGCAGACTTACCACCTGTGCAGTTACACAGGGTCCCTGTGCTCAAAAGGGCCCACACTTGGGTAAATGCTGTGCCCATCTTTAAATATTACATGATTTTTGAACAGGGGACCTGCATTTTCATTTTGCACAGGGATTTGCAAGTTATGCAACTATTCCTGTATAGGACTTATTATTAAATTATAAAAAGTGAAAGGATTTTCATAGAATCAAATAATTTTGGATCCAGTGATTCTTCTAAGATCATCTACTACAAATATTCATTTAACAAATAAGAAAACTGAGGTCAAAGAAAGGATAATTGGCTTAATTTAGATCCAACAGTGAGTACTAGCAATGTCAGACCAGAAACAGATTCTTACCCCTCCAAGTCCAGACTTCTCATTCTTTCATGGGACAGGCTTTCTCCTGGCAACAACTACCTGATGCTGGTCCATTTTGCCAGGATATTTGGTAGACTACTTAGAAATTTCATAAAAGAAAGGCTGATGGGCAGGGCGCAATGGCTCACGCCTGTAATCCCAGCACTTTGAGAGACTGAGGCGGGCAGATCACGAGGTCAAGAGATCCAGACTATCCTGGCCAACATGCTGAAACCCCATCTCTACTAAAAATACAAAAATTAGCTGGGCGTGGTGGTGCACGCCTCTAGTCCCAGCTACTCGGGAGGCTGAGGCAGGATAATCGCTTGAACCTGGGAGGTAGAGGTTGCAGTGAGCCAAGATCACTCCACTGCACTCCAGCCTGGCGACAGAGCAAGACTCCGTCTCAAATGTAAATACATAAATAAATAAATAAATAAATAAATAATAAAGACTGATGTTAAAACACAAATGTGGATCTTTTCTTGTTCAATCTTACAGCTTGTTTCTTAACCTTTGACCCCCTCAGAACAAATTCCACTGACAATCCCCAGAATCTAAAACAAAAGCTGATTGGCAGAATGTAAACTAATAGAATCTCTATGGAGGATCATTTGTAATAGATATCAAAATTACAATGTTCATACTCCTCAACCCCACAATCCCATTCTAGATATAGTTGCACATATGCAAAAATATGCATGCTTAAGACTATTCATTTTGATGTTATTCATAATAGCAAAAGATTGGAAACAACCTAGATAACCAGATAACCATAAACCGGAGACTAGTTTTTTTTGTTTATTTGTGGTTTTTTCTGTTTTTTTTGTTTTTTTTTTTTTGAGACAGAGTCTCACTCTGTCGCCAGGCTGGTGTGCAGTGGCATGATCTCTGCTCACTGCAACATCTGCCTCCCAGGTTGAAGCGATTCTCTTACCTCAGCCTCCTGAGTAGCTGGGACTACAGGCACATGCCACCATGCCCAGCTATTTTTTTGTATCTTTAGTAGAGACGGGGTTTTACCATGTTGGCCAGGATGGTCTTGATCTCTTGGTCTCGATCTCTTGACCTTGTGATCTGCCGCCTTGGCCTCCCAAAGTGCTGGGATTACAGGCATGAGCCACCGCACCTGGCTGTTTTTTGTTTTTTTGTTTTTTTGTTTTTTTTTTAAAAAAAAAGAGGATGATGCAATAAAATACTATGTAGCTCTTGGGAAAAAAGGAGTTAATCTAGATTTACTGATACAGAACAATTTGCAGTTCATCATTTCATGAAAAAGCAAGGTGCAAACCGTATACAGTATGCTTCTGTTTGTGAGGGAAAAAGATATATAACCAAATATCCTACAATTATACATACACAGAGAGAGAGTGGATATTTGTATATGTATAGAATTTGTCTGGAAGGGTGGGAGATGGTGGCTCACAGCTGTAATCCCAGCACTTTGGGAGGCCAAGGTGGGCAGATCACCTGAAGTCAGGAATTTAAGACCAGCCTGGCCAACATGGCAAAACCCCATCTCTACTAAAAATACAAAAATTAACCAGGCATGGTGGCATGTGACTGTAGTCCCAGCTACTTGAGAGGCTGAGGCAGGAGAATCACTTGAACCTGGGAGGCAGAGGTTGCAGTGAACCAACATTGTGCCACTGCACGCCAGCCTGGGTGGCAGAGTGAGACTCCATCTCGAAAAAAGAAAAAAAAGAGAATTTGTCCAGAAGGATATACAATAAAGAGCAACTGTCTCTGAGGAAGGGACATGAGGGACTCAGGAATGGAAATTGGGCGGGGGGGGTTTGTATTTGGTGCCTTGTTTTTCCCTTAAAATTTGTACTATGTGCACAAATTATCTCTTCAAAAACTAGTTAAATGAGTGCCTGAAAGAGGACCCCATGACGCTGCCAGTATTGCATCATATCTGCAATAATAAGCAACACACTATTGCTATCATTTTTGCTAAAGATTTTGCTGAAATCTTGTATATCAAACTTAGAGACAAAGGAAATTAAACGTAGTTAAATTAGACTTTAAAAACCAATTCTCTCCCCCTCCCTGCTCTGCTATAGACAAAAGGAAAAACCTGAAAAGTTTTCAAAACCTGCATAATCCATTGCTTGTTTAGTCATTGGCACAGCTGCGTGATACAATGGAGAAAACGAGAAATGTTCCCAACTCTTCCTTTGGAAATTTGCCAGTATCATCTCCAAAGTATCCTTCAGACGTTATCCACTTATGTTTTTCCAGTGTACCCACCAGCAGAGTTCCCAAGCACTTTAACAAGAGCTGTATTTTGAATCAAAAGCATGAAGCGGGATACAAACCTCAATATTGCCCTAGTTTAGTAAAACATTTGCCTCGGGTGACAGCAGAAAAGGAAGCTTAGTCCTTCTGATTCCTAGCTAGGAAAGACAGGAAATGTGTTTCCCCCACATATTTTCTTTGTTGCTTCAGTTCCACACATTCTATAGTTATGCAACCCCCATGTGGTGGATCAAAGATGGCTACAAATTCTTTGACACTCCTCTCCTGTGGAGAAGGGATCTGTTTCCATTATTCTTGATTCTGGGCTGTCCTGTGACTGCTTTGACCAATGGAGTATCACAGAATTGGTGCTATGCCAATTCCAACCCTAGTCTCTAAAATAACCGGCAGAGTCCTAAGTGAGCCACTATGTAAGAGTCCAACTGGCATTCTAAAGAGAACACGTAGAGATACTCTAAGACTACATCGAGAGGGAGAAGGGCACAAAGCCTGTCAGCCATTCCTGTCAAGACACTAGGCATATGAGGGAAGCCATCTTGGATGCTTCAGCCCACACCAGACTGTTAAGTGACTCCAGTCAATGCCATGTGAAGCAGAAGAATCACCCAACCAAGCACTGAGCAAATTCCTGACCAAGGAACTTGTGAGATAATTAAAATATGGTTTTAAGACACTAAGTTTTGGGGTAGTATGCTATGCCGCAATACATAACCAAGACACCACACTATCAAAAATTAAACACTAGCATCTGCAAACCTTTAATACTCAAAATTCAATCTTTCCTGAATTACCTTAGATTATTGATAGAACAATCTCATGCCAGGCAGACACAGCTACTAGGAGAAGGGGCCAGGTTCAAGTTAAGACAACAGAAGAATTTTCCAGCACCTCCTTTCCAGCCAGAGATAAGTCTCCATTGGCCAGTACTGCCAGACAGAACTCCAGAGATCATGGCCAGGGATCCTGGAGTTTCTCAGCTCACACAGGACCACCATTTCTCAGGGTGTCATTTGACCAGCCCCAACCACTCCAGTACTCTGCCCATGTCCACCAATGCCATGTCCACCACCTCATGGGTGTCACATGTGGTTATTCCTGGAGGTAGGTTAAGAACCAGACCCTCAGCCAGGTGTGGTAACTCACACCTGTAATCCCAGGACTTTGGGAGGCTGAGGCAGGCAGATCACTTGAGGTGAGGAGTTCGAAGTAAGTCAGCCTGGCCAACATGGTGAAACCCCATCTGTACTAAAAATACAAAAAATTAGCCAGGCATGGTGGCTTGAGCCTGTAATCTCGGTACTTGGGAGGCTGAGGCAAGAGGATAGCTTGAACCCAGGAGGCGGAGTTTGCCATGAGCCAAGATCAAGCCACTGCACTCCAGCATGGGTGACAGAGAAAAACTCTGTCTCAAAAAAAAAAAAAAAAAAAAAAAAAGAACCAGACCCTCTACTCCAGCCCTTGCCCTTTCAGGCTGGGATGAGGGAAGGAGGGCTAAGTCTTGGAAGGAGAGATTCCTGGATTAACTTCCTCAGCCCACAACGACTGGCAGTTGCCACCCACTCCAGCCATGTGCCTGTTCTCACCCACCCACAGGGTTGCCAAGGCCTGAGGGAGGTGGCACTGGCAGAAACCATAATTAGGGATTTCATCATATACTTTAGCTAGAATTGAGAACAAATTCTTCCTTACAACATGCAAATCTATTGTTCGACTTTCAAACATCCAACTAACTTTCAAACACATTTTTGGGAACCCATTAGATACGTAAGGAAGACACTACCTCTTCTGAACTGTAGACATGGCCTTGAAATTCAGACAAGAGCATGTCCAGGGTTGACACAATAATGGAAGATTCAAAAAACACGTGATGAAAGAGAACATGGAGGTCAGCAAACATGGTCCAGCAAGGTCCAGGTTGCACCAAGGCAAGCACAGACCCAGAAGCTATGAGGGAAGGAAAGGGGGAAGTACAAAGAGGGTCTTCATCCCTCCTGTGTCCCTGGCTTCAAAGGAGTGAATTCCCATTCAATTTCATAAAAGACTTTTCACCATTTCCTATATAGACAAATTAAAGCAGCAAGTTGACCATCTGAATAATCTATTGTTATAGATCAATGTCTGGATATTACTGGGGGAGAGAGGTGTTTGAGCTTTGAGCTTTTTCTCAAAGGCTAAAGGGACAAATTTTAGGATTTTCCCAAATTATCTCAATAATTTTTTCAACCCTTCACTTCAGACAAAATATTTAAGGAAATGCTATTTCCATAGTATTCTTGGGTCATACCTATAGAGCCACAGCCAAGGGAGGGGCACAGGAGGGAAGAAGGAGGGGTAGAGTCACCCAGATTACCTGTCTGGTTGCTTAGACTGGTCCAATTTCACTAAGAATCACACAAACCTCTTCATTCCTTCTGCTTTGTTCACCTGACCTTTTTCAATTTCTTTTTCCTTTCTCCATTACCCTAAGGGAGTAATCTAGCCACTCTGGCTTTCTTTGCATGCAAAATGTAACAGTTCCTTCTTTCGTCTTTCAGATAAAGGCAGTCTTGGGGAGGGGAAGAGAAAAGTGCCTGGCTTCTCCAAATTAGCTCTGAAATAAAAGTCACTGCCAGATGTTATATAAAAGGTGACGTAATCCTAAAGTACTTCATTACATATGCAGCTCTGCTGTTCAGCCCAGGAGGAGTTTATTACATTTTGTCGATCCCATTTTCTATACCCACATCATTTTTACATAATTTTTCCTGCCTGACAGACATCTTCACATTTTCACAGCAACCCATCAAGATAGCGTTACAACAGCACAGGAAACCAGGCTAGCAGTTTACAAATAATGGTGTTAATAAGTCAGATTTGTCCCTGAGATACAAATCAGGAGTAAATGGTCTATCCATGTGTGTGAAAAGCACATCTATTTCAGAATAACAGGGAAGAAAGCAGAGCACCATTTCAACTGGCACCGTGTTCCTTCAGAACACGTACCAAACCTATTCGACAAGTAGGAAAATGGAGAAATGTCAATCTAAAGTTATTCTTGCAATTCTTTTCGTTTTCCTAATAAATTCTTGGCTCAGAGTGAAATAGATGACCATGGAAAATGCATTAAGATCAAACTTCCTGCCTTTTTGGATTGCACAAAATTTAGAAGAAAATACACCATTCGTACCAATGAAGTATCTAGCTACTGAGATGCTTTAAGTGCAAACACTGAGAGACACTTCCTCCCACTCGCCAGGTGCTAAGCATCCTTCCCTGTCTCCCTGGGCACTCATGGCCCCACTGCCCCCTGATGGTAAAAAGCAGCAGTGCAGGCTGGACCATTCTTCAAGGAGGATTGACAGACTGGAGTGGACGGTTCAAAGGCATTTGCCTTAAGGTCAGTGTGAGAGGCCAAAGACACTGAGCTCCTAGTTACTAGTCAGAAACAAACTTATGCGACTCAGAATTCCAGTGGGATAAGAAAATGCCTGTGACTCCCACCCCAAGGAATCATACATAGAAGGAAATTTCATCTTTAGAACCTCCTTCAGCCTTAAGGAAAGATCCCTGTAAAAATGAACTTTGTGTTTTTAAACAGTAATTATAAACTTAGAGTAATGGAGGTTTTATTCTTTTATAAGAGTGGGACTTGGATATAGGAGAAGGGGAGATGTAAAGGCTTCATGGAGGAATTTTGACCCCCTCCCTTCCACTCCCACCCCCTCACTGCCTAGAAAATAAGAGGTATTAGCAACTAGCCCCAAAATAAATGTACCTAATGTCATACTTTTATCCAAAGTCATCACATTCCATAGTTCTACAAGTAGTTTGTTTCACAGGTTCAAATTTTCTTCTCCTTTTTAAAGCAGTTTTTCTTTATATCAAAGTAATTCATGCACATAGTATAAAGAGTCAAACTGTTCTACAGCAGTCCAAGCAGTCCCTACCTCGTGTTTCCTGCTCCCAGAAGGCAGATACTTCCAGCTCTTTTAACTGAACCATTTACTTTTTACCTCTATATCTCTAAATGTCATGTTCATGTTGCTGCCTCTTGATTTTTTAGTTTAAGCTTCATATATTGACTTTGCACTATGGAAGATGACTTCATAAGTACCCGCACACACATACACAACCCCACCATACATATATACTTCCCAGTATAATTTTGGTAAGAGCAATAATCAATATTTATAGAGCTATAACTATTAAATTCTTGACCACAAAGCCATGTGGTATATCCTGTTCACATTTCCTTTCCTGAACAAGTTTATATTTTCCCTGGAATTAAAAAAACAGTCTTTTCTTCACATGCTATGTTTTATATGTATTGATTATATTAGTTTCCTAGGACTGCCATAACCAAGTACCACAAACCAGGTGGCTTTAAACAACAGAAGTTTATTGTCTTATAGTTCTGGAGACTAAAAGTCTAAAATTAAGTTATCACCAAGGCCATGCCCTCTCTGCAGGCTCTTCCTGCCCCCTTCAGCTTTTGGCATTTGCCAGCAATCCTCAGCAGCCCTTGGCTTGCAGATGTGTCACTCCAATCTCTGCCTTGTTACTTGTTATATGGCCTTTTCCTTTTTTACTTTTTTTTTTTTAACAGGGTCTCACTCTGTTGCCCAGACTGGAGTGCATTGGCATGATCATGGCTAACTGCAGCCTCAATTTCCTGGGCTCAAGCCTTCCTCCTCCCACCTCAGCCTCCCAAGTAGCTAGGAGTACAGGTACATGCCACCACTTCTAGCTAATTTTTTTTTTTTTTTGGAGAGACAGGGTCTCACTATGTTGCCCAGGCTGGTCTCAAACTCCTGGCCTCAAGCAATCCTCCCACCTCAGCCTCCCACAGTGCTGGGTTTACAGTTGTGGGCTACTGCACCTGGCCTATGTGGCCTTTTTCCACGTGTGTGTCTGTCTTCACATGGCATCTCTTCTCTATGTGTGTCTGTCTCTGTGTCTCTTCTCTTGTTATAAGAACACCAGTCATCTTGGATTAAGGGCCTACTCTACTCTTGTATGACCTCATTTTTAACTGACTTCTTAATTATGTCTACAAAGACCCTGTTTCCAATAAGTCATGTTCCCAGGTACCCAGAGTTAGGACTTCAACATATCTTTAGTTGGAGGTGGCAGCGAGAGCACAATTCAGCCCACACTGATCTCCACTAATTTATCCCCAACTCTGAGCAATTGTCTAAGTCTCCTCTGAGTATATTCAAACATTATCTATTTTCTATCAATCAGGTTTCACCTTCTGTGTCAGTTCACTCTCAAATGGGCTTTCTCTTTATAATTGGCTACAACTACAGCACATATCCTTTCAGGTTCAAGTGGAAAAACAGGACATATTTCTCCCTCAGTAGCC
Organism: Homo sapiens; assembly: GCF_000001405.40. Taxonomy (NCBI): domain Eukaryota; kingdom Metazoa; phylum Chordata; class Mammalia; order Primates; family Hominidae; genus Homo; species Homo sapiens. Next base: position 69,010,021 of record NC_000005.10, read on the forward strand.
TCATTGGCTCCCCAGGATCACATGCCAATCTCCAACCAGTCACTATAGGCAGGAGAAGACTGCACGCATGTGACTTAATCCTGGGTTATATGCTCCCTAGATAGAGCTGGGCATAAGACCAGCTTTATTTTACTAAATGACCTGATCCTGGAGAAGAGAGGATTCCACAAAGGGTGAATGGATGGATACTGAACACCAAAACTAAATTAACATCCACTACTGCAGCCTGTTAGAAAACACTTTAAGAGGGGTCATGTTCTCCCCAAGACTGGAACACAGATTTTGTCCTTCCAGAGAATTTCATAATAATCTCTTCCTTCCAGGAAGTTTCAGGAAGCAAAAAAGATATTGAACAAAAAATACATTCAGATCTACATTTTCTCCTTTTTCTGCTTTCATAGAGATTAATCTGGTAATATCTGAGGGAAAAAATACATGTCACTTTAGTACATTTTTACATCCTAAATTGTTTGGAGAGAAGGTACTTATTATCCCAAATACAAAATGTCATACACACGGAGGGAAATATCCTCTGGTCAAATCCCCATGATTTCAAATAGAATGACGCAGAAAATAAAAAATTCCAGCCAGGCAGGCAATAACCATCCTGTTCATAAAAACGCTCTCCTGCTGAGATGCCACAAGAAGTTTTCTTCAAATGAGCTTTCACACTGCAATCTAGTTGTCCAACATCATCTCTTGCCATCTGTGAAGAGTTTGGGAAACAATGGCCTCATTCCCCTCTCCACCTGACAGCATCTGCCTCTGTGAAGGAGTTCAGAAATGGTGAACTTTGAGTTTTCTTTCCATCCGTTTTCCTTTCTTTTTTTTTTCTGCTTTTGACCTAATTTTTTACATTTTTGAACTACAGATCACAAACTTTAAACATTAACCTTGTTCACTGGAACAGATTGCTTGAATCTAAGAAAAATTAATGATCTTTTCCTGTCAGAGCACTTCGATCAAAGCAAAACAAAGAACATAGGAACTAAGATGACAAAATCGAAAAGAAAAATAGGGGAAAATGGGAGAGGATGGAGTCAGAAGGAAGCTAGGAAAAGAGAAAGCCAGAGAAACCAAGGAATAAAAAAAAGTGGATATGACTCAGAACCATTTAAAATAATTTTTTTTAAAGTGGAGGGAATAAAAAAGATGAGAAAAACCCTAACCTAGGCTTGAGGACCTGCACTGTGGCCAACTGCTTCAACCCAACCCTGTGCACCTGTCGGGGTGGCCTCTCTGGGCCTCAGTCTTCCCCCACTGGGTGGAGTGACCCAACACATCTCCTGAGCCCCTTCAGTTCCAAGACATGTGATCTTGAGTCCTCCACAAGGGCTATGGAAGAGGTGGGAGCCACCTACTCAGTTAACACTCACATGGCAGGTGCCTACCCAGGAGGGGCATCATCCCTGTGAGGATGACAATCGAGCAGCCCATTGCAGGGGCTGGCTTTCGCACTGCCTTTGCCGATAGAGCTGTCTTCTGCTCTCTGAGATCAGAAGGAGATCTAAGTGCTGGATATAAAGCTGCCAAACCAGCAGGCCCAAGAGAGGCACTCTAAGAGGAGTATTTCCTAAAAACGCAGCATTGAAAATGACAAATCTTGACAACCCATTCCCAGAACCCATCACCTAGCCTTCCCTGGGGTTTTAACAGTTTAAAAAACAGTGAGCTGCCTATTCCAGGTGATGGTAGCAACAAGGCCTAATTCCCAGACCAATGCCCTCAGCCAAATACACCAAAGCAGAGATATAAGCTCTTCTATAACTTATTCTCTCTTCTATTTGCTGCAGGTAAGCTCCTGAAATTTTATAAAGTATTGAGTATTGAGAAATTTGGGCCAGCAGTGATTTTCAACCCTGAGACATTCAACTCAGCTAGAGAGTTGTCTGTGTGTGTGTGTGTGTGTGTGTGTGTGTGTGTGTCCCCTTCCTTATTTAATTGATCTGATGGGGGATCCAGGCATCAGCCTTTTTTAACCACTTCCCAGGTGATTCTAACACGAGGCTAGTGTGAGAACCACGGGGCAGAGGGATTGCAGTGTTTCCAGGGCGTTCCAAGTAGCAGGCAGAGCCTCAGACACATCTGCTTTACATTCCCATTGTTAAAAACTTGTCATTCTTAGCAGAAGGGAAATTCCACCCACAATAGCAGTAGATGCTGTGTACTTTGGTCTGGCTTCTCTAACCCTCATAGAACCTGCAGCTGGTACAGACATTCCCCAAGCAAGCAAGGGTCCTAGAAAGCTACCGAATTCTCGCTAAACCAGTGCCATTTTAAACTTAAAGCTGACTTTGCCACATCAGAACTTACACTAATAATCCATGTACCTCCACATAAGGGAATGTATTTCAATGCCAAGCTCTTCAGGTTCTATAACATATTCATTGACAAAGCTACATCTTAGGGTAGTAGAGAAACTAGAGTCAATGCCCATATGTTCCTGAATATTAATCTTTCTCCAGCATTCCTAGAAGTTTGCCTCTCTATGAAGTTTAAAAGAGCTATATCCAGCCAGGCACAGTGGATCATGCCTGTAACCCCAACACTTTGGGAGGCCAAGGTGGGCAGATCACCTGAGGTCAGGAATTCAAGACCAGCCTGGCCAACATGGCGAAACCCTGTCTCTACTAAACATACAAAAATTAGCCAGGCATGGTGGCGCGTGCCTGTAATCCCAGCTACTTGGGAGGCTGAGGCAGGAGAATCGCTTGAACTTGGGAGTTGGAGGTTGCAGTGAGCCAAGACCACACCACTGCACTCCAGCCTGGGCGACAGAATGAAACTGTCTCAAAAAATAAATAAATAAATAAAATAAAAATAAAAAACAAGCTATATCCATTTCTCCTGAGCACTATCTCACAGTGAATTTTTAAAGTAAATTATCTGGCTTCTGTGGCCATCAATTTTCACTTTTGAAATTTGGCAATGATAATCCTCACTGTAACCTACCAACCACATATTTGGCCCTTACAATGTATCAGGCACTCTAAGCTCTAGTATCTAGAGATGGACTAACCCTACAAAACAAGCACCATTTTTCCAAGTTCTCAATGAGATACCTCATGGCTAGTAACTGTTAGAACTGGGATTTAAATTCAAATCTGCCTGACTCCAAAAACAACAATCTTTTCACAATGCTCTACTGCCCACAGAAAATCTGTTGGAAGGTCAGTAACACAACAATAAAAGTAAATATTTGTATAGCAAATAACAGCATCACCCCAATGTTCTTTCCTACCCTGAGCCAAAGAAAGGCATTTTTAAGTCCCAGCCTTAACATCCTCAATCATGTCAAAGAAAAGTCCGTAAAGCAACCAAGTCCTCTGAGAATGGAAATTCTTCCTGGTTAATTTGTGGGGTGTGTTATAAAGTCACTACTAAATTGTTGTGTAATCAGGTCCTATAGACATTGACTCATTATGACCAGTAGAGTGGGAACCGGAAGGTCCAAGAGACAGATGGACATATTTTGCAGTCAAGTAGGAAAGAAAATTATCACCAAGCAATGCCAATTCCTATGCAGGCCAGGCTCCCTGAGAGGGAAAGGAGATTTTGAGCATATGTCAGGAATATTTATTCAGCCACATTCAAAGCCAGATACACTCAGTGCCTACCCTCCCCAGTCTAATGGTGGAGTGTTAACCAAATAATCTCACAAACATGATTATGTGAAAAGCGCTAGGAAGGAAAAGCACAGTATCTTTTGACAGCATATAACGGAGCACTTCATCTAAATGGAGGGCAGGGAGCAGGCACATATAGTGAAGAAAGCCTTCCCTGAAGAATTTTTATTTTCTGAGTAAGAGTTAACTGTTCCCAAGTTAGCTGATGCTACATTCTGGATTATGTAACAATGATGGCCAGACATGATCTACTGCCCTACCTTTATCATCATCTTCTTCTTCTTCTTCTTCTTCTTCTTCTTCTTCTTCTTCTTCTTCTTCTTCTTCTTTCTTCTTCTTCTTCTTCTTCTTCTTCCTCTTCCTCTTCCTCCTCTTCCTCTTCCTCTTCCTCTTCCTCTTCTTCTTCTTCCTCTTCTTCTTCTTCTTCCTCTTCTTCTTCTTCTTTTTCTTCCTCTTCTTCCTCTTCTTCCTCTTCTTCCTCTTCCTCTTCTTCCTCTTCTTCCTCTTCTTCTTTCTTCTTCTTCTTCCTCTTCTTCCTCTTCTTCCTCTTCCTCTTCTTCCTCTTCCTCTTCTTCCTCTTCTTCCTCTTCTTTTTTTTTAATGGAGTCTCACTCTGTCACCCAGGCTGAAGTGCAGTGGTGCAATCTTGGCTCACTGCAACCTCTGCCTCTCGGATTCAGGCAATCCTCCCACCTCAGCCTCTAGAGTAGGTGGGATTACAGGTGTGCGCCACCACACCCAGCTAATTTTTGTCTGTTTAGTAGAGATGGGGTTTCACCACGTTGCCCAGGCTGGTCTTGAACTCCTGGCTTTGAGTGATCCTCCCGCCTCGGCCTCCCAAAGTGCTGTGATTACAGGCGTGAGCCACCACACCCAGCCCCACCTCTGTCTTCAAAGCCATCAACCAGGCCCATAAGATAATGGACATGAGCCATTCAAGTTGTCTGTAACTCCTGATTTTTCTGGCCTTCTCCTCTTCAAAGGCTTGAGTTTCTAGGTTTTAGTCTTAATGACATGAATCCACACCCCTCCCTTTTCCTGCCCCCACTGTTCTCCTCTTCCTCACTCTTAACACCCAGCCTAACAACTGCATAGCCATGAGCTAACGGCAATTGTCCCGTATCTTCAAAGACAAGAATATTAGTGTTCTTTCCAGCCTTTTTGGAACAAAGAAAGTTGACCACAGCTCTCTACAAGCCAAGTGAATTGACTACATACCTATAACATTTGGTCAGCTACATCCAGCCAGGCTTGTCTTACATAAGCAAGGAAAAACATCACCATAATGTACAAGCCCCTACCTTATTGGGTATGTTATACAAACGCTGGAGGGATATTGTACTTTGAATATTTAAATCCCAGTAGAGTTGGCCGTTCTCACAGAGACAACCCAGACTTGAAGAAAGACTGTCCTTCTCTTCTCAGTTATTAGTAGGCAGCAGCCGCCTCGCCATCCCTTCCAGAGTCAGGAAAGGCTATTATCTGCCTCATGGATTTAGTGAAGCAAATAGAAGTTTGATTTCTTTTCAGATAAAAGAGAGGATGCAAATGAGAATTTTATCTTGCCTGGAGGAGTGACAAAGTAGGAGAATGAATCCTACTTGATTACAATCTTCCATCATTCTGATTTTATAATTACTGAATGGAATCAATCAGCTTTCAATTGTTACCTTGGTGAAAGATTAAAACATCATTACTTGTCCTACATATTTCACACTTTAGCAAATTTTAATAAACGGAATGCATAAGAAATGGTTATACTATCTTTCATGATATTGGGATGCTAATGACATCTCTATTGATTTTAATTCACATTTGTTGGTCAAAACGAGTCATTCTCCAGTGAGGCATAGCATCCTATAATCAACACTAACAAATGGAGACCACTGAACATTGAAATGGCCCAAATGAAATCATTAATCAGAAATACCATAAAATGATTGCCAAAAAACTAGGGAGGTCTTATCTTCCTAATGAACATCTTTTACAGTATATTGATTCATTTGTAACTTTTGCACATTGGTGATTTCACTATTAAAATATTTTTAAATACATATATAAATAGCATTTCAAAAAGGCAAAATTGGGAGCACATCAATTTATCGATGAAGGGGATCATAGGCACCTCCATATAAAAGGTGAAAACAACTCCTGAAGATCATAGAGTACAAATAACTCTTCCTTAAAACTATTTGAGTCTGGAAAATTTGTAGCCCAATATGGGAAAAGACCACACAGAATTATCAGATAACGTAATACAGAATAAGAATTAAGTGCGTGGGTCTTGTAGTTAGATGTCAGGGCTTCAAATAACTTTGGCCACTTTACGTGTGTGTGCCTCAGTCCTCTCATCTGTAAAATAGGGATAAAATAATAATGCCCACTTCAGAGTGCTGTTCTGGGGATGACATGTGATCACATTTCAGCATACTCCAGTCTGCTGAAATTTGTGAAACTGCATTTCCGCAATTAAAAACAGCATTACATTTCACATGTGTGAAATTTTGATTCTCCCAAATTCTCTGTTTACATTTTTTCCAATACTTATTCTTCTCAATAGTTAGTAAATTGGACCATACTTCCTAGGAGACTAATCAACCGTGGGAGGGTCAGGTATGCAGAGTTGAGACCTGCAAGAGGTAAAGAGTAAGGGTGATAAGGAGATGAGAGAGAGCAAACTGTTAAATGCTCAACAATGTGAACCTTTACCCCCACAGCCCCTGTCTTTAATAGTCCTATAAAAATCATGATAGGCCAGGCACAGTGGCTCACGCCTGTAATCCCAGCACTTTGGGAGGCTGAGGCAGGCAGATCACCTGATGTCGGGAGTTCGAGACCAGGCTGACCAACATGGAGAAACCCCATCTCTACTAAAAATACAAAATTAGCCGAGCGTGGTGGTGCATGCCCGTAATCCCAGCTACTCGGGAGGCTGAGGCAGTAGAATCACTTGAACCCAGGAGGCAGATGTTGCCGTGAGCCGAGATCCAGCCTGGGCAACAAGAGCGAAACTCCAGCCTGGGCAACAAGAGTGAAACTCGGTCTCAAAAAAAAAAAAAAAAAGTCATGATAAATGCCCTCTGTGGAATTCCATTTCTTGTAAAAGGTGGAAAAGGCAAAGTTTTGCTCTGAGAGAATAAAATACAGACAGCCCTGGAAATACATGAGACTGGAAACTAGGGATCCCAGCTATATAAGAGCAAGCATCTGCAGAGAGTTGCTGGAAGGGTACTGGCGGCATGTGGGCTGAGTCTGCTTGACTCTTCAGGAGACAGGCAGTGGAGGGATGACAATGCAAGTCCCAGGTGACACCACCAGGATTTCAATATAAAATCAATCCCTCAAAAGCCCCATTTTCTCAATTTAAGATTCAATGGACTTCCTTTCCATTTGAGTTTTGAAAGAACCTCATGACACCAATTCAACACACTGTTCTTCAAATTCCAGTTAAATTCATTCTGCCATCCTTTTTAATCAGCTTTTTATTATCCCACATCTTCCTTTAAGATTATTTGAAGCTATCAACTATTGAGATTTTGTAATCAAAGTGCTAGGTCAAAGCATCCCTTGTATCTGATTTAGAAAAACATTATGCAAGCCATTCAGGCCTTGACCACAATGATGACAAGTATAGCGGTTATTGTTTATGGAGCACTCATTATGAACCAGGCATCATGCTAATTGCTTTACTTACATTATTATATTTACCTTCACAACATTCAGACACAGTAGTTTCCGTTATTAGAGATGAGAGAACTAAAGATAAGAGAAGTAATTGTCCAAGTTCATAAAGTTAGTGGTGAAACCAGGATTAGTTCATTCCTTTAGCAACTATACATTAGGGGTATAATATATCAAATAAGCCACTTTAAAAATATATATATAGATTAAAGAAAAGAGAAATGCAGTAATATTTTTTAAGTATATTATCCACAAGAGCAACGTTCTCAACAAACTGAGAGCAATCACAAATAAATAGAGAGCTTCATATCAAAGACCTTGGAGTAGGTTTTATTTTTCAGAATGAACCACATCCATACTTCCTATCTGACATGCCCTTAATGTAATTTTAACTGTGCTCACATCAAGATATGGTGGTCTAGTTTCCCTTCCTTGTATCTAGGAGGGCTTATGACTCTAATGCAAGTGACACTATGTACTTCTAAGACTAGTTCATAAAAGGTTCACAGTTTCTACCACGTTCTCTTGGGATGCTGCTCTTGGAACCCAGCTACCATACTATGGCAAAGCCCAACTATCAAGAACCCAGCTTTAGATGCTCCTGCTGACATCCCCAGCTGAGGTCTCAGCCAATAGTGAGCATCAACCTGTAGACGTATGAATGAAAGAGCCTTTGGATGGCTTTAGACCGCAGCAAACAAGTTGTCCCCAGTCTGCAAGTCTTCCCAACTGAGGCCCCATTCATCGTGGAGCAGAGATGAGCTGTACCCACTGTGCTGACTCAACTCTTCTGAATTTCTGACCTACGGTATCCATGAGCATGATAAAATAGTTGCTGTTTTACAACAAATTTTGGTGGTATGTTACACAGCAATAGGATCTGGAATAGCATTCAACAAATATCATTGGTGTTTACTAATTAAGCACCAAAGAATAAAAACATAAAATTGCAGATAGCCTAGAGAGTTGTGTCCACCTTTTCCTCAACTTTGGCCAAGTTACCCTTAGGTTCTTCCAAAAAGAAGAGCCTCTAAAGCTTAATGGAGAGTTTCTGAAATATTCATTAAAATGATCATGGTGGATACTACATTAAAGTAAGAAAAAGGTTTCTGGTATGATCTTAAGTGGAAAGAAAGCAGAATACCAATTTTCCTTCATGTTATGATTACTCTGGGTAAATGTTATGTATGCACATGGAAAAAAAAGTCTAGAAGCAAATATGGAAGCATTAAGATAATTGATCTGGTATTATAGTAAAATCTTATAAATTTTTTTCTCACAACTGACATATAACTTCTGTATTATAGATGGAAAATATGTTAAAACAAAATCATCAGAGAAAGCCATTGGGCAAAGTTTCACTTTCCTCCTGGAAACTCATTCACATGACTGGAAACAACTTTCTTCATTACATGGCGCCTCTCTGCCTCACTTTCTTTTCCCATAAAATGATGATGATAATAATAATAGCACTTATTTCGCAGGGTTGTTGTGAGAAGTAAGTTAATTTGGTAAAGCCTTAAACAGTGCTTGCTGGGTGTGGTGGTGCACACCTGTAATCCTTGCTCTCCTGGAGGCTGAGGCAGGAGGATTGCTTGAGCCCAAGAGTTCAAGACCAGCCTGGGCAACATAGCAAGACCTTGTCTCAAAAAAAAGCTAGGGGGTGCTGGGGGTCAGGACACATGGAGATTAATAAACGTTAGCTTGTGTTATTCTCTAATTCAACTTCTAATAATATAGATTGCGGTTATCTCTGTTAATTCTGCCTTTAATTCCCAAACCCTACCACCAACAAGCACAAGAGGACAGGACAACTAGGAATTGGGAGATCTTCGTCCTATGTCAACTAAGGAAAGGAGCTGTGTGACCTTGATCAAGTCTCTTGGCTTCCATTTCCTCAAGTGTAAAATGAAGTTTATGCCTACTTTTCTGAGTTCTTATGAAAAACAACTGATATAAATGTGTAAGAAAAGATTTGGTCAAAGTCCAAAACACATGCTATTTGTCTTTCTTCTTATTTTATCAACTGTATTAGTTTGCTAGGGCTGCCTAACAAAGTACCACAAACTGAATGCTTACACACAGAAATTAGTTGCTCACAGTTCTGAAGTTTATAAGTTCAAGATCAAGGTTAACAGGGTTGGTAACTTCTGAAGGCTGTGAGGAAGAATCTGTTTCCTGCCTTCTCTTCTTCTAGTGATTTGTGACCATTTTTGGCATTCTTTGGCTAGTAGACACATCACTCTGATCTCTGCCTTAATGTTTACCTGATGTCCTCCCTGTGTGCCTATCTATGTACAAATTTCCCTTGATTATAAGGACACCAGTCATATTGGATTAGGGCCCACTTTAATGACCTCGTTTTAACTTGATTGGCTCTGTAAAGATCCTGTCTCCAAATAAGGTCATATTCTGAGGTACTGGGAGTTAGGACTTCAGTATATGAATCTGGGAGGGACACAGCTGAACCCATAACACCAAGGAAGACATGAGGATCTAAAATGGGTAGCGAGGTCATTTAGGGAGAGCAGGACACAAATCCAGCAGACGATGACAACTTGCTTGATGTGTAGAGAGAAATGTGTGAAACACGTGTTCTGAAATCCCAGACTAAGCAACTCTGGCTGGATCACTTTACGAACCTCAAATTCAGCCCAGATTCATAAATCCTTGAAGAAAATTCAAGCCAATTTTGGAGTTTCTGACAAGCTCCAGAGGCTGAATGGATCAGGCACAATTTCACTTGGTATTTAGGATTATTGAGTCTAACCTGAAACCTAATGCAAATTCATGGAACACAAACTCCTTACAAATTGAATAGATGCAAATACAAAGGGCTTCTGAGCCATCTGGACTGCACATGCTGAATGTTGGAAGTTTTTCCATCTCAATAACATGGGGGAGGCAGGGAGAACTAGGCTGGCAAGTTCTCCCCATCACCGACTCTGCAATGTAGTACATTTGCCACTCCTGTGAATTTGCATTATTTCAAATAGTGCAATACACAAAGTAATAATAATAAAGTTTCACTTTGTGACCAAAATTTAAAACATATGAATCTCCTTAAATGTGGAAATTTGTCAAAATTTGCAAAATTTCAAGGGGGCAGGCTGAGAAGTTTGTAAGCTGTGTTTTTGTTACTGCATTGGAAAGTGTCACTTTAACGGGTTACAGAAATACCTGCCATCGTTAATCAACAAGCACTGTTGTGCAGGCACAACCACACTTCGGCCAATGGTCTTAGTGGCCATCAGGGTCTTATTTTAAATTTCACAGTAGTTAAGAATTAAAGTCTTTTGAATAGTCTATAACAGTGTCATCCAACAGCTCATGTAAGTGATGGCCCTACTGCTGAAAAACGTGCTGGAAAATCAATAGCTGTGGACTGGAAGTTAGATGTGATAAAAAGTTATGAGGAAGGCCAGATATCAACCTTGATATGCTCTGTTGTTAAATTAAGAGGGAGCACTGTGTAAATGATGTAAGGCTGAGAAAACAAAGGCAAAAATAGACCACAATAGGTGTGGGGCTTTGCACTTTGAAGACACATCCCTTCTACTTTACTTCTATTTCTATGGGAAAATTAACTTGAAATTGTGCAAGGTTTGAATTAGGCAAGATCTTTAGGAGCATGTCTTTTGAATTAAAAGCCACCATCCCGTATTTTCTTAATAACTTTACTGAAATAGATACGTCATAAATATATATTTTTATGCCATAAAAATAAATGTATGCCATAAGATTCACTCCTTCTACATGTATAATTCAATGATTTTTTAATAAATTTACTCACTTGTGTAACCATCCACATCGTCTAGTTATATTTTTTATTTTTTCCAGTTTTTATTTTTATTACGCTAGTAAGATCTCTCAATGCCCATTTACAATTAATCCTCATTCCTTCCTCCAACCCCAAGCAACTACTAATCAACTTTTTCTCTTTTAGATTTGCTTTTTTGGACTTTTCACACAAATGGAATCCTACAATATGTGGGTTTTCTGTCTGGCTTCTCTCACTTAGCATGATGTTTTTGAGGTTGAGCATCCATGTTATCACATGTATCAGTATTTTGCTCCTTTTTGTTACTGAATAGCATTCCGTTACATGGATCCTGTAGCAGTTTTTTTGTTTGTTTGTTTGTTTGTTTTGGTTTGGTTTTTGGCTTAAATTTAGATGGCCCAAAAGTATAGCCACTTCTTACTGTGTGTCAGATGTGGCTATGAAAATGTGTGGTAGATACTAATCAAATATGGCCTCCAACAATTCTTCCCCTCTCTGTATACAGATTGAGAGGTGGAGTCTATTTCTCCTCCCCTAGAATCTGGGCTGGCCCTATCACTTGTCTTGTCCAAAAGGATGTAGCACCAGCTGGTGGGGCATGGTGGCTCATATCTGTAATCCCAGTACTTTGGGAGGCTGAGGCAGGCAGATAGCTTGAGCTCAGAAGTTTGAGACCAGCCTGGGCAACATGACAAAACCTCGTCTCCACAAAAAAATTTAAAGAAATTAGCCGGGTGTGGTGGCATATGCCTGTGGTCCCAGTTCCTTGGGAGGCTGAGGTGGGAGGATGGCTTGAGCCCAGGAGGCGGAGGTTGCAGTGAGCCAAGATTGCACCACTGCACTCCAGCCTGGGCAACAGAGCCAGACCCTGTCAAGGGAAGCGAAGGGGAGGGGAGGGGAGGGGAGGGGAGGGGAGGGGAGGGGAGGGAAAGGAATGGAATTCTGAGACTTCTAAACCCAGACCTTAAGAGAATTGCAAATTCTGCTTCCTCTTCTTAGAAGCCAGCTGTCATGCTGTAATGAAGCTGGCGCTACCCAAAAAGATATGTTGAAGTCCTAACCTCTGGTACCTATAACTGTGAGCTTATTTGGAAATAGGCTCTTTGCAGATGGAATCAAGTTAAGATGAGGTCACTAGGGTGGGACCTAATCCAGTTTGACTGGCATCCTTATGAGAAAAGGAAAGTCATGTGAAAACAGAGATGCACAGCAAAAATGTCACATAGTGACAGAGGCAGAGATGAGAGTGACACAGCTGCAAACCAAGGAATGCCAAGGACTGCTGGCCACCACCAAAAGCTGGGAGACAGGCATGAACCAATTCTCCTCCAGAGCCTTTGGAGGGAGCACAGCTCTGTTGACTCCTTGATTTCAGACTTCTGGCCACCATAACTGTGAAAGAATCAATGTCTGTCATTTTAAGCCATCCAGTTTGTGGTGTTTTGTTTGTTAAGGCAGCCCTAGAAATTAATACCCCTGTTCAGGAGCTGGGATTTTACTCTGGGTGCAAGAGAAATTCCTGGAGCTCCAAGCAGGGGTGTGGCATCATTTGATTTGCACATGGAAAATGCATGTGTGTGGTCTCAAGAAGAGCTGATCAAATAAAACAGGGAAGCCAACTGGAGGTATACAATGTTGGTGACCATAACCAGGGTGGTGACAGTGGCCTTGGTAAAAATGCACAGATTTGGAAGATATTTTGGAGACAGATCAGCATGACTTGATGGTGGATCAGAAGTGAAGAATGAAGGAAAGAGGTCTCAAGGACACATATAGATTTTTGGATGACATCTAAGGTTTTTGCCAATTCTCAGAGCTTATGGCATCCATGAGAAGAGTGTTTCTGTGTCTGGAGATGCCATAGGTGAATTCCTGGATGATTCCAGGAGTGAATGTGGGTGCATCAGAAAATTTCACCCATCTTGGCCCCACTATTTGGTTCCCACTGTGAGCCAGTGCTGGCTGGTCTCCCTCAGTCCAGCTGCCCAAAAGTAATAAATAATCCCTTCATGTTTGTCTCATCAATAAATATATTCTTTTTTTTTTCCAGAAAAAAGAGAAGAAGAAGTTGAGGCTAGACTACTGGATAAGATATCACAGGCAGAAAGCTCTGCACAATATGAGGCCATCTTGGATGTTCCAGCTCCAGCCAAGCTCCCAGCTGAATACAGCTGCATGAATGACCACAGCTCCACCACATGGAGCAGAGAAACCACCGAGCTTAGCCCAGTCAACTCACATAATCATGAGAAATAATGCATGATAGTTGCTTTGAGCCACTCCATTTTGGTTGTGTTTGTTTGTTTGTTTGAGATGGAGTTTTGCTCTTGTTGCCCAGGCTGGAGTGCAATGGTGTGATCTCGGCTCACTGCAACCTCTGCCTCCTGGGTTCAAGCGATTCTCCTGCCTCAGCCTCCCGAGTAGCTGGGATTACAGGCATGTGCCACCACACCTGGCTAATTTTGTATTTTTAGTAGAGATGAGGTTTCTCCATGTTGATCAGGCTGGTCTCAAACTCCCAACCTCAGGTAATCCGCCCACATCGGCCTCCCAAAGTGCTGGGATTACAGGTGTGAGCCACTGCATCTGGCCAGCTTTGGTTTTTTATGGTGTGTTATGCAGCATTGGTAACTGAAACATCATGATTTCACCAGTCTTTCTCCTTCCCTTAATTCTTGTTAATTATGTTCTCTTTTAATTTTTATAGTTTTATTCCATTCTATGGAGATTTCTAGTGGACCCTAAATTTAACATCACTTTCTTGGCTGTTTGTGGCACATTGAAGAGTTTTATGTCAATCTGCTTCCTGATATTCATATGCTGAAATCTTGGGACAACATTTTCTAAATGGTCTGAAGAGAATCGCCTGGAGAGCTTTATAAAAATTGATTCTCCATTCTCCCCTCCACGCCCTCACAGTGATGGATAAGAAACTGGTATCCAGCTGCTCCCGAAACAGTGTACAAGTTAATTTGATAATCTCACCAAGAAAGCTATTTCAATAACTCAATTAAGTATTTCCTGAATTTTGATTAAAGGAAAAAACAGCATGCTAAACCCTATGCATAAAGATACAAAAACTATCAAAATATAACCCTTACCCTCAAAAAGTTTATAATTAGATTGCAAAAAAAAATGCATGGCAATATGTGATTAACATTCAATCAACCCTTGAAGTTGACTAACAAATCGCCCTTCAAGTTTCACCCTCAGCATGCCCTTTGAGTTGTCCAACTCTAGGGGGCACCATTCACAAAGAAAACCACATGAACGGTGCCTCCCTAGAGCTGTTTAACAGACTGCATTCAATTGCAAAGATAAAAAGGGCTATGACTATTCCTGCATATAGTTCAAGAGTTGGAACTTGTTGCTCATCTTTGTCGATTCACATTCTCCGCCCAGCACCTGGCACAACACGGGTGCTCAATAAAGCTAAGTCAGTGAACATCACTGAGATGACAAAATTTCAATGGGCTTTGGTGGTCAAGGAAGCCTTCATGAAGGAGAGGAGAGGAGACTGAAGGAGGAGAGGAAACTGAAGTTGGACACTGGAGAAAGGGATGAAGTGAAAGAGGCATCATAGGAGCTAAATAGGCCTAATGAAGCGTTGCTTCCTTCAATGGAGAAGAAATCCTCAATGTGGAACTAGATGAATACACTGATCAGCAAATACCACTGGATTCATGCTTACCCAGGAGCCTTAAAAACTGCCTTCCTCAATTCCAGTCATCTGCATGCACCTCAGATAAGATAAAGATACAAAGAGGAAGAAAGTAAGTGCCACCATAACAACACCCCACATGGAAGGGTCTATCTCCTGCTTTGAGCAACACAGTTCTCTAGAATCACAGATCAGGGGAGTCCAAGGACTCTCTTTACAGTTTTTTTTGTTTTTGGGGGGGTTTTTTTGGTTTTTTTTGAGACGGATTCTCGCTCTGTCGCCCAGGCTGGAGTGCAGTGGCGCGATCTCGGCTCACTGCAAGCTCCGCCTCCCAGGTTCACACCATTCTCCTGCCTCAGCCTCCCGAGTAGCTGGGACTACAGGCACCCGCCACCACGCCCAGCTAATTTTTTGTATTTTTAGTAGAGACGGGGTTTCACCGTGTTAGCCAGGATGGTTGATCTCCTGACCTTGTAATCTGCCCGCCTTGGCCTCCCAAAGTGCTGGGATTACAGGTGTGAGCTACCGCGCCCAGCCTACAGCTTTTTAAATTGGAGTGGCAAGAACTACAGAGCTGCAATATTGAGCTATGTCTCCATCTCATTGTACCTCTGCTGTATTTGAATGGGAGCTCCCAAAAAATGAGACTAATCCTAATTTCTCATCTTCTGATATCATCAGAGTCTGTAGAGGACTTCAGATGGCTGAGAAGCCAAGCGAAGTCTGAAGAAGACATGTGTTTGAAGCAGGAGGCACCCAAAGATGGTCACACAACTTTAGTTGGAGCCCCCAGCACTCGATGGCAAAACATAATGCTTCCATGCTGGTTTGAGAGGCTGCTCAGGCATAGGTCAGAAGAAATGCGTGCTCAGGAAAATATGCGAATTAAAATATAAAATACATCCCCCAACATGAACCCTCTGTCAGCAGGCTGATATAGACTGCTACCACGTCATATCAGTGGCTAGACTGTTAAGTAGGTGAAGATCTAAAGCAAGGGTATCTTATTGACTCATGGGTTTACAGACCCTTCCTACAAAACCAACAAGTCCCTGAGAAGGAAAAACAAGCATAACTTTCTATTGGTCTAAGACAAAGTACAACTCAGCCATGGGTGACATTCTGTGCAAATGCCATGGACCAATTTCTACAGTGTTCATGAGTCTAGAGTGGGAGGAGTGGGTGGGAGAAGGTGGGCCCTGTGCAATTTGGATACTTCACAAATGTGAAATATTTATTTGTAATTTATTTATTATTTGTCCCAGACAAATGTGGCCAGGCCTAAGGTATTACAAATAAATATTCTAGAGAAAGTTGTTGTGTTAGGCACAGAGGTTGTGACCAGGACACCCACTGGAAGAAATGAAATGGGAAGAGAGAACCAAGCATGTATGGCTGAGCCCCTTCTGGGGACGGCATCTTTCTTTCACAGTGGCCCCTTCTTGGGAAGTAGGCATTGTCTTCCACACACAGTAAGCTGCCACCTTGCTGTGCTGGCCCAGATCTGCCCACGACTCTTTCAGTAAGTGTAAGTTTCATTCCCCAGTTACCTCTATTAGGAACAAAGCTGTTCTTCATCAATTTATTCCATGTTTCATTACCCAGGAAAGAGGGGTGTTGTATATGCTCCTTCCAAAGCCCCTAGAGTGACCTTCTGGCCCTCCCATGCCTTCTGAGGAAGAATCAGAGAAAAGACTTTGCTCTGTCTAACTTCTGGAAACTGTTGCAATGATCTCAGTGTTGGGTAAAATGAAAAGCTGGAAGAGCCCAAGAAAGGTCAAATTAATTTACTCATGAGAAAGAGTATGGAGCTCATCTGGAAAGAATATAATAGACCTCGGAGGTGAGAGGAAAAATCAAAGGGCTAGAGTTTACAGAAAAGAGGCTGCAGAGAGACATTGAGAAGCAGCTAGGGTGCTGAGGTGGCCTTCAGGAAGAGAGATCTATAAAGATGATCCCGGGTGGTGCAGTTATCCTTTGGCTCCCTCTCCAAGAGGCATCTGTCTTGATCAACATACGTTGTTTTTCAAGGTGGGTGATTTTTTCAGCCAGACTTGGATTTCCTTTGGATGTCTCAGTATGCTGAGAGTGGCGTATAGGACAGCTCTGTTTCACTCAAGTTATAATACATTGGGACTGGCTAAAAAAGATAAAGGAAAGGGAAACATTTCCCAGAGTGCTTTGCAGAACACTGGTACCCACTTAGAGATTTACAATGGATATTAACATTCCAGTCAAGGTTCTGGAAAAATGGTCAGCAAAAGAGCTTATATGTCTTTAATCAGCAGCTCCCAAATGTAATGTGCCACAGAGCTTTTTTCATGTAAGACATCTTGAGAACCCTGGCACAAAGGACAAAACAATAAGATTCAAAATTACTGCTTGGTGATATGAGGAGAGAGCACATTAGATATTATCAAAAGAAAATTATAGCATTCATATGTCTGCCTATGAAGAAACTGTTTTAACTTCAGCTTCAGTTAAAAGTTAACTGTTGGCCAGGCATGATGGTTCACGCCTATAATCCCAGCACTTTGGGAGGCCGAGGCGGGCGGATCACCTGAGGTCAGGAGTTCGAGACCAGCCTGACCAACATGGAGAAACCCTGTCTCTACTTAAAATACAAAATTAGCCAGGCATGGTGGCACATGCCTGTAATCCCAGCTACTTGGGAGGCTGAGGCAGGAGATTCACTTGAATCCGGGAGGCAGAGGTTGCAGTGAGCCGAGATCACACCATTGCACTCCAGCCTGGGCAACAAGAGTCAAACTCCATCTCAAAAAAAAAACAAAGTTAACTGTTTTAATGTTAACTTCAACCAAGAGGAACTCCTGTCATAAAAGAAATTGGATGGAGGAAAGGAAGTTGGCGGAGAGGGAGGAGGTGACGAGAAATCATCTGCCATGGCCACAAGAGAACGGGAGAGTGCAGCTCTTGCAGAAAAAGAGCTAAAGACACAAGTCTCCTGCTTGTTGGAGAGAAAAGAAGCTTTGCACAGGCAGGGCCAATGTATGCTACATTAGAGGGAAGCCTTCCATGAAATCAATAGAGGAAAACACAATACTTAAAGACTGCATAAGCAAAGATTAGAATTTATGAGTAAGGCCTTGGAAGCAAGAAAAGGCTGAGACAAGAACAAGACAATACCTACAGAAGGAAATCCAGACCAGGCCATAACTAGTCACACAAGTTAAATGCTCGTGTTCAGTTCCTCAGTGAAGTGATCCTGGAAAATAATATGAATAGCAAGGCTGACCTTAGAACTACTGTGTATCATTATAGTTTATTGTATATTGACTGCTGCAGGTGACTCTGTTAAATAACCTACATATTCTTCTCATAATAAAGTGCTTTTCTCAACCCCATAAAGTCCTGAGTTAAATAAACCTATTAGGTGAAAATGTGAATAGATCAAGCACTGTAAAAAAAAAAAAAAAAAAAAAAGTTGAAAATGTAATCAATGACATAATTTCTAAAGTGGCATCTGGCCTAAGAGAGTTGTATTCAATGAGTTCCACCAAACTTCAAGAAACAGGTGATGTTTGGGTGTTTTTCTATTTCCACAAGGCATCAAAAAAAATGCAGGTAATCTGAGGACCACCATTGGAGAACCACTGTCTTTGTAGAATGCCGCCTTAATGAAGCTTATTTTGATCTGGGTGTGTTTCAGCTATTAGAAAAGGAGGATTCGAACTCTAAACATGGAAGACAGGGCAGCAACACAGAAAGGAATTATATGAAGATCTCCTTATCAAAGCGGCCTGGCAAATAGGGCACAATGAGATGCAACAAAATTAGGCAGACCAGTCTTCCTAAAGATCCAGCTAAAACCAAAGAAGATAATTTGGAGTTGGGCCAGGGTAAGATCCAGAAACTAAGATTTCTCGGTTATTTATAGAGCAGTCATCATATTTGTAAGATGCCTATGAGATACATATATATGACAAAGGAAGGAGGTGGCTCAGGTCTGTCTATTAGGGATTCCTTCAGCAAAGTCTCAACTGGGATCAAGTCTTGTTCAAAGTAAAGCCTTCTTTCTAAATCCACCTACCTCTGTTAACTATTGTTTTCTTCTGTCTCTTCTCAACTATGCTCTTACTGAAACATCAGCTCCTGGGACATCCCTTGTCTTGTTTCCCAGTTTTGTTCCTACCTATGTTTTGCCAGGATTCAGAGGAGCTGGGTTCTAGGCTTGATTAAAATCTTTCTAATCGTGTCATCTTGTTAACATCTTGTTGGTCATCTGTTTACACCTCTTGAATATCAGATCTAGCCCAGATCTGATCCTTTCCCCCATACTCATATTAAAATGCACCCCCACCTTCGCCTGTAGAGGGCCATCCTTGCCCCACTCCACATATTTAGCTCAGGAGTTATTGTCTCCATCCTGGCTAATCAGAGTTAACCACATACTAGGAAAACAGAACTAAGAGATGTCAAGGGAATCTGGGCCCTGATGGTATCAATCGAACATCTCTTTCAAGGCACATTGAAAGCTCACTCTAGTCCTGAACTTTTCAATTCTGTGAGCCAAAACACAGAGACAGAGACAGACAGAGAGACAGATACCTTTTACTGTGTAATCCACTTTGAGTTTTCTGTCGCTTGTAATGCATCTTTCTTGGAAGCATGTTTTTCATCAATAAAACAAGGATAATACTTGCTACCAAGCTTCAGTAGGATGTAAGTATTTTGGAAAGTCTAAAGCCTATTCAAACATAAAGTATTATTCCTACTTCCTCTTTTATGCTCTTGCCTGAGTTCCTTGCATACTAATACTTTCAAAGCATAAAACATAATACTATACCAAAAGAACATTTTCATTACCTGATATTCCTGTTCTGTGTTCAGGGACTTTTGATCCCATCTGTTCTACAGAATCTTTTATATAATAGAATTCTTTGAAACCAGACCAGCAAAGTTCTGTTTCAATGAACCATTTGTTCCCTAAGCCACAAAAATAGCTCCTGCAAATAAACCCTATGTTTAAAATGGTGTTTGTGAAAACCTCATTTTACCTGTGATATATATGAATGTACTTTGGAAATAAATTTGCCTTGTAAATTTGTCATTGATGTCTAGTAAATTTTCATTACTACTAATTAGTTAAAGTATTAGTTCCTTCTGATTTCTTGATCTTGGGACTTGCTGCTCAAAAAAGGCACTGGCTTTGGGGATCCAACAATGAAAGATCTTGGGTCTTTATTCAAACAGCAGATGATTTTCTTTTCAATGCTGCTGATTTTACTTCTGTGGTTCTTTTTTCTTCATTTCTGCTTCTCCCTCCTTTTCACGACTAATTTGGCTTTGAAATTTGATTCTTTGATTTAATCCATCTGCAATATTTATTCCTCATAGCTATTATCAGTGCCTTTGCAGAAAGTCATCTGTTGCCTGAGGAATTAGAAGACAAGGAGATATTAGGGGTTTGAGTTGCACTCTAAAAAATTAGAGAACAGAAGCAATATATTGGGATGTTAATCCAATCTCAATAAAGCTGTTACTTAAAGAGAAAAAAAGCAATGAGTTAATACTGGCCGACCCCTCAAGAACCCATGCAGAATCACAAACTGATCCTCCCCTGGGTTCATCAGCATGAAGGATGATGGCATTCTTTTCTCGATCCAAATAAAACCCAGCAAACCCTTCTTCAAGTGTTACCAATGAGGCATGTAGAATCACAGTAAGGAGATTTAACTGATAAAGGCATTTTATTTTCCAGCATTTAAGTGTACACTTTAAAGACTAAAATCAATTCCAACGTCCCTATTTATACTCTGGTGGTACACATGTGTATATATAGCAAACCAGCCATTAGGAAAGAAGCTTTGCATCTTTCCACATAATCCAAAATAATGGCAAATTATGATGTGGTGATTAAATCAAGACCTTCCATATCAAAAAATATATTGCGGACTGGATCTATTCAAAGCTACCTTCTTTTTCAATTTTTTATATTTTATTCCACCTTGCCAATGTACTTTCCTTATAATTCATTCTCTAGCTCAGCTGGACTTATTGCTACTTAGAATGGCACATACAACAGTGAAAAGATGATGTCACCCTTTAGCCAAATTGCACTATTATTCCAGAACTGCATGTACTCTCATTCATTTATCTCTGCTGACATCGCTCCACAGGAAGGTTTTCCAGGGCAGATGCGTGCTCCCTTGGCAATAAAAGTGGTGGAGATTGCACATCCATTTTAAAATCCTGAAAGGTAGATTTTAGTAAATCTCAACTTTTTAAAAATGTATTGTGATTAAAGGAGGCATCAGTTGTTGTCCCCAAACCTGTTCTGGTTAAAAACCTCAAAGAATCTTGAATGTGAAACAACCTTCAAAATTTATTCTCATTATACAAATATTTTCTTCATTTAAAGGCATGTTTTAAAAGCTGAATTTAAGAAGAATTGTGCAGATTATAGTGGTCTATTTTGCAAGTATGTGCATATATGCTAAGAAATAACTATACACTTTAGTGAACATTTGATAAGGAGTCGGGGGAAAAATTAGTGAAAGATTATTATGCAGGATTCTATTCAAGTGTGCCAGAACAGCTTTAAAATCAAATGCAAGCATTAGAGATAGGAAGAGACTTTAGGAAGAGGAAGACAAGCAATTGCAGAAATTGTATAAAACAGAAAAGGCAACGTAGGAAGTAAGAGTGAAGAGAAAATCCAGGAAAAATAGGGTTGGGTACAGTGGCTCATAGTTGTAATCCCAACATTTTAGGAAACTGAGGCAAGACAATCGCTTAAGGCCAGGAGTTCAAGACCAGCCTGGACAACATAGTGAAACCCCATCTCTACAAAAAATTTAAAAATTAGCCAGATGTGGTGGCACACACCTGTGGTCCCAGCTACTCAGGAGGCTGAGGCAGGAGGATGGCTTGAGCCCAGGAGTTCAAGGCTGCAGTGAGCCACGATCACACCACTGCACTCCAGCCTGGGTGACAGAGCAAGATTCTGTCTCTTTAAAAAAAAAAATGTGGGGAGGTAGTTTTTAAAAATACATTTTCTTATGTTTTAATCTTTTTAGAATGTAATCCATGCACACAGCAAAAATCCCAATAGCACAAAAGGATATACAAAGAATAGGAATCTCTTTCCCACTCCTGACTCCAGACCCCTAGAATTCATCCCCCACCCAAGGCAAACACTGTTACCACTTTCTTGTTCTCTTCATTTTTGTGTGTGTACCACAGACCACTTCAGTATCTGATAAAGCTTATGGATCCCCCTCTCAGAACAATGTTTGAAAATATGTAAGCTAAAGTGCAGAGGATTACAAAAGAAACCAATTTGCCTGTAATACTGTTCTATCTGTGAATCCCTTAGGGATCCATGGACTCCAGGATAAGAGCATCTACTCTTAGATTCCCATGCATGTACAAGCATATATAGTACAGTATCCTTCCTGCAGTACGCCATCTGCAGGGGGTGCTGCTGTAGCTCGGCCTAGATCCCCTGAAGAAGCCAGTGCACCCATCTCTTGGCTGCTATGAGTGTTAGCAGCTAATGGTTCACAGTTGCCCCCTTCTATAGAGAATTCTCCATCCTGCGGCACATTGTAGCCAGCACAGGGGTATAAAAGGTTGGACAGCTTTATGGTGCAATTCATGCTCCAGAACTCCCTGTGGGATCAGGCTAACACTGATATCCACTGAGATCATCTCTTGCTTACCTTTTATCCACTACTCTATGCTGTTCCCACCCCATCTCCTGGGAGCAACCTCTCCTAAAAACACAAGAATCCCTGTCTCAGTCTTTGCTTCCAGAGATCTCAGCCTAAGACACTTACTCACTGTTTCTTACCTTGCTTTTTTTATTTATTAATTTCTTGGAAAGAATTCCATATCTGTACATTGGAATTGTTGTATTCTTTTAACTGTTGCATTCTTTTAACAGCCCCAATATTATTGTATTCTTTTAACTATTGCATTCTTTTAACAGCCACATACTATTCCATTAAATGGATTTACCATAATTAATTTAGCCCATCTCCAACAGAGCCATTTCCAATAGTTCCTCTCTGGAAACTTACAAATCTAATTTTTACACATCTAAATGCAATTACCTGTACCACCTTGCCACATTTTAAGTATCTAACTAGTTGCTAAGGACCCTTTCTCTAACCTCATGAGCTACAAAACTTTAGTGATTTGCTTTCTTTTTAGGATAAAGCTTTATTCTCAAAACAATTTATCTTTATATTTGACAAACTGTGAAGACTCAGCTGGCTTTTAGCCCCTGCATCTCTTAATCCCCACAGCCCCAGCCTCAGAGCATCAGATCAAGGATTGAGCAATGGACCAATCTCCATTCTAAACTGAAGAAAAACAAGGACCTGCAAATGCTTAACTTGGACCCTCAAATCTCTGGGCCTCATCACTTGCCTCCCTGCTAGTAAGAGGAGTAGATGGGCCTCTTCATTCTGCTAGGAAACTGCTAGATCTCTTGCTCCGTCACACACCCCTCCTAATGACAAACATTAATCCCCAGGGACAGCACAGTATAAACACCTAAAGGGAAGAGAAACAATGTCCTATCTGCCCACACACTGAAAAGCAGTTTTGGCTGGACGCGGTGGCTCACACCTGTAATCCCAGCACTTTGGAAGGCCCAGGCAGGCAGATTGGTTGAGGTCTGGAGTTCGAGACCAGCCTGGCCAACATGGTGAAACCATGCCTCTACTGAAAATACAAAACAAAACAAAACAAAACAAAATTAGCCAGATGTGGTGGCACATGCCTGTCATCCCAGCTACTCAGGAGGCTGAGGTGGGAAGATCACTTGAACACAGGAGGCAGAGGTTGCAGTGAGCCGAGATTGCCACTGCACTCCAGCCTGGGAGACAGAGCAAGACTCCATCTCAAAAAAAAAAAAAAAAAAAAATTAAAATTTTTTTTAAAAAAGCAGTTTCACCCCACAGTATAGTATTTGCCAAAGGTATTTGTTTCAGGCTGCCCCGCACCTTTTGAAAAGCTTTCCTATGTTTAAGAACTTCCCACAGTTTAAATTCCACTTCCCCAATACTGAAATCAGCACTTACCTCCCGTTTTGCAGGTGACTCACACTTTACACAACTATCAAAAAGAGAGGAACACAAATAGGCAGGTGTTGCTTGGAATTCATTTTCTGGCCAAGAAGGAACAGAGTGACCCAGGGAGCCTGGGCTGAAGGTAGGGTGTCCACTGGATTGGTTTGATGGTATAAGTTCTGTTACTTGCATCAGAGAACTCAGGCTGATAACTTCCTACACATTCATTTCTCTTTCCCTCACAGGCTCCTCTCTCCTCCAACCATAAAAAGATACTCAATTTCAATCAAAATCAGAGAAATGCAAAAGAAATCAAGAGAAATATCATTTTCTACCAATAGATTGGCAAAGATGAAAACATTTGCTGTAGTGAATGGGGGAGAGATATGAATGATTAATGGGTACTAAAAAATAGTTCAAATGAATGAATAAGGCCTAGTATTTGATAGCACAACAGGGTGACTATTGGTAATAATAATTTAAGTGTACATTTTAAAACAGCTAAAAGAGTATAATTGGATTGTTTGTAACACAAGGGATAAATGCTTGAGGGAATGGATATTCCATTTTCCATGATGTGATTATTATGCATTGCATGCCTGCATCAAAACAT
The DNA here is from genome assembly GCF_000001405.40 of Homo sapiens. Lineage (NCBI taxonomy): Eukaryota > Metazoa > Chordata > Mammalia > Primates > Hominidae > Homo > Homo sapiens. The sequence continues at coordinate 69,034,424 of NC_000005.10, forward strand.
CTCATGTACCCCATAAATATATACACCTACTACATACCCACAAAAATTATAATAAATTATTTAAAAATTATTTAAATCATCAGCCAATAAAAAGAAAACATTTGATGTGCTGCAATGGTGAGAACATGGTAAAGTACACTGCTAGTGGAAGAATAAAGTAGTACAACCTCTACGAAAAGAATTTGGCCATAACAATCAAGTAGGAAATGCAAAATCCTTGACCCAGCAATTCTACTAATAGGAATTTATCAGCTGGGTGCCATGGCTCACGCCTGTAATCCCAACACTTTGGAGGCCAAGGTGGGTGGATCACCTGAGGTCAAGAGTTCAAGAGCAGCTTGGCCAACATGGTGAAACACTGTCTCTACTAAAAATACAAAAAAAAAAAAAAAAATTAGCCACATGAGGTGGCAAGCACCTATAATCCCAGCTATGTGAGAGGCTGAGGCAGGAGAATCGCTTGAACACTGGAGGCGGAGGTTGCAGCGAACCGAGATGGCGCCACTGTACTCTAGCCTGGGCAACAGAGTGAGACTCTGCCTCAAAAAAAAAAAAACGAAAAAGAATTCATCCTATAGCTCAGAGGCAAGCAAACTTTTGCAAAAGGACCAAATAGTAAATGTTTTAGACTTCCAGGCCATACATCACTATTACAACTACTCAACCCTGCTATTGTAGCATGAAAGGAGCCATAGACGACAGGCAAACAAATGAGCACAGCTGTGTTCCAATAAAACTTTACTTTTTTTAATGGCAGGTTGAATTTGACCCACAGGCTATACTTTGCCAACCTCTGCTAGGTATCCTAGCACATATAAATGAAAACATGTATACATATAATTATTGTATTCATCACAGCAATAGCCTAACAGCGGCAAACAACTTGATGTCCATTAAGAAAGGACTAGACAAGTAAATTATGGCACCTCTATTCAATGGAATACTTGCCGTCACTAAAAAGAAGGAGGTAGCTCTATGTGCACTGATAAGGGTTGGTATTCAAAATACATCAAATTTTTTTAAAAAGCAAGTACAGAACACGGTACAGTAAGCCTCCATTTTTATTGAAAATTTATATGTGCATATGTACATATTTGCTTATCTAAGCATAGCATGTATCTGAAGGACAAAGAGATTGGGGAGGGGAAGTGGATGGCTGTGGGACAGGAGGGTGAAGGCTTTTTTTTTTTCTACTATGCCCTTTTGTGCCTTTTGAATTTTATACCACGTGCTTTACCAATGAATGACAAATAAATATAATTTAATGTTTTAAATGCATATGTTCTCGCAGTAGTGTTTTTAGATTACAAAGTATAGATATAAAAATTAATTGGAGCTCTGGACAGCAGACTATCTATTTCCAAAGTCCTCTCCCATGCCCAGAAGCCATGTGGAATCCGTCAAAGAACATCATAGTGGGAATCGGGAGACCTGGCTCCAAGCCCAGGCTGTTACCCACTCTCTGCGCTGCCTGGGGCCAGCCACCTCATCTCTCTGAACATCTCCTTCCTCCTCTGTAAAATGGAGGCAGTAGTACTTGAGAGCTGTGTTATATGAAATAATATTACTGTTATTGGGGAAATCTCAATGCCTCTGGACCTGTTTCTTGATCTGCAAAATCAGAAAGTTGGACAAAATGAGCCTTTTGACTCCCGTGTCAATAAAGAAAATTGTTATTTGTAAGAACTCAGGCAAAATCAAACTTGGTAAGCAAGTAAGGACTCTTTTTGCTTATCTCAAGAAAGTAATCTCCAAGACCAAAAAGAAAATAGGAGACATGTTTGGACTCAGACATCAAGTCCAACCTGGAGGTGGAGAAAAGCTGCCTTCCTCCAAGGACACCACTTCTTGTTTCCTCAACCCAGCTGACTCAGTGATTGTCAACCAGTCAACATTTTTTGAGCTACCACTGGGTACAGAACACACTCTGTAGGAAAAAGTTTAGGAAATGTCACTCATAAAGAGGGATACACTAATAGAGTCAAATAATAGACTTATGAAGGCCAGTGGGACAAATGAATGAAAAGAATGGGTGAGAGGGGCCATTCAGGGAGGGTCCTCTGCCCTGACCTGACTTCTGGTCTCTGCTAAGAGCCATCATTTGTGTTGTTTCAGGGACTCCAGGGAGATGACAGGACAGTAACAAGGAAAAGCAGTGTTGCACTATTCTCTTCTCTTTTTTTTTCTTTTTCTTCTTTTTTTTTTTTTTTTTTTTTTTTTTTTGGACACAGGGTTCCGCTCTGTTGCCCAGGCTGGAGTGTGGTGTCAAGATCACAGCTCACTGCAGGCTCAACCTCCCCTGGCTCAGGTGATCTTCCCACCTCAGCCTCCTAAGTGCCACCCTGCCTGGCTAATTTTGTATTTTTTGTAGAGGTGGAGTTTCACCACTTTGCCCAGGCTGGTCTTGAACTCCTGGGCTCAAGGGATCCACCTGCCTCAGCCTCCCAAAGTGTCCTCTTATTTCTGAGAATTAACAACGGGAACTGGTTATTGTTAAACAAAAGTTTTGGGTGAGTTAAACTGACAGGAAATAGCATACATGTTGAATTATAAGGTGGCAAATGTGAAATCCATTTTCAGACAAAGCCGATTCGATGAGAATGTGCTGATATGACAAGGGGCAGAGCTCTCAGCAACATGTCAACTGGTGGAAAACTCTTTCCTTTCCTTCCTCACTTCTGTGGGCTTGGGTGTAACTCTCCAGACCCTTTGAAAGTAATGTTGCAAAGACTCTGTGTTCCTGGCTCTAAAGAACTTTTTACACCCAAATAAACCGGTTTTGCTCCCTCAATCTTAAAATGAAGGCAGCCAGTCAAATCTAAGAGAATTTCACAAATCATAGACGCTCCCTGGCAATACAGAGAGCATGGCAAGGGTATAGTCCCAAAAATGATGGGATGGGGCAAGGGCGGGGAATGCGGTACCCTAAGTAAGCAGAAAAAGAGGGTGGGATTTCAAGTGCGAATTTAAAAATACACTTTCTCGGCCAGGCGCGGTGGCTTACGCCTGTAATCCCAGCACTTTGGGAGGCCGAGGCGGGCGGATCACGAGGTCAGGAGATCAAGACCATCCTGGATAACACGGTGAAACCCCGTCTCTACTAAAAATACAAAAGAATAGCCAGGCGTGGTGGCGGGCACCTGTAGTCCCAGCTACTCGGGAGGCTGAGGCAGGAGAATGGCGTGAACCCGGAAGGCGGAGTTTGCAGTGAGCCGACCAGCCTGGGCAACTGGGCGAGACTCCGTCTCAAAAAAAAAAAAAAAAAAAAAAAAAAATACACTTTCTCTTTGAGAGGTGGGAGATAAATGTTTATTTAGGGTTTGGTAACAATTTTGGTGGAGTATGGGAACAAGAAGAAATAGGATGAAAAAGGGAAGAGAAAAAGGAAAATGAGGCTGGGTGTGGTGGTTCATGCCTGTAATCCCAGAGCTTTGGGAGGCCAAGGAGGCTGGATCACGGGGTCAGGAGTTCGAGACCGGTGAAACCCTGGCTCTACTAAAAATACAAAAAATTAGCTGGGCGTGGTGGCAGGCGCCTGTAATCCCAGCCACTCGGAAGGCTGAGGCAGGAGAATCACTTGAACCCAGGAAGCAGAGGTTGCAGTGAGCCAAGACGGTGCCACTGCACTCCAGCCTGGGCAACGGAGCGAGACTCCGTCTCAGAAAAAAAAAAAAAAAAAAGGAAAACGAATGAGTGAATTCAGTACGAGAAAAATTTGCTATGTGCCCACTCTTTGGGCTGCTTCATGAGGAGGAATCTCCTGAAGGGGGACTTTGTGCTAGAGGAGAACAGGCAAGCCGTGATGGGGCTGGGGCCTGAGAGAGAGCATTTGAAGGACCAGCACCCGAGAGTGTGAGAAGGGGACCCACGTGGGATGGCCTTTTTGTTCCCTCACAGTCTCAGTCCCCTCAGACTCCCTAGGGCAGCAGTCCCCAACCCTTTTGGCACCGGGGACTGGTTTCATGGAAGACAATTTTTCCACAGATGGGGGGCAGGGGGTGGTTTCAGGATGATTCAAGAACATTACATTTATTGTGCACTTTATTTCTATTATTATTACATTGTAATATATAATGAAATAATTATACAACTCACCATAATGTAGAATCAGTGGGAGCCCTGAGCTTGTTTTCCTGCAACGAGATGGTCCCATCTGGGTGTGATGGGAGACAGTGACAGATCATCAGGCATTCTCATAAGGAGCACACAACCTAGATGTCTCGCATGCATGTTTCACAATAGGGCTCGCGCTCCTATGAGAATCTAATGCCACCACTGATCTGACAGGAGGTGGAGCTCAGGAGGTAATGTGTGCAATGGCGAGCGGCTATAGGTACATACAGATGAAGCTTTGCCTGCTCGCCAGACACTCACAACCTGCTGTCCAGCCAGTTCCTAAATTAGCTTATTTCCACCATACCAATCCATGGCCCAGGGACTGGAGACCCGTGCCCTATGAGGAACTGTTACTATGAATTAGGCTTAGTCTTTTGTTTTGTTTTGTTTTGTTTTTTTTGAGACAGAGTTTCAGTCTGTCACCCAGGCTGGAGTGCAGTGGCGCAATCTTGGCTCTCTGCAAGCTCTGCCTCCCCTCCCAGGTTCACACCATTCTCCTGCCTCAGCCTCCAGAGTAGCTGGGACTACAGGCGCCTGCCACCAAGCCCGGCTGATTTTTTGCATTTTTAGTAGAGACAGGGTTTCACTGTGTTAGCCAGGATGGTCTCGATCTCCTGACCTCGTGATCCACCTGCCTTGGCCTCCCAAAGTGCTGGGATTACAGTCATGAGCCACCGCACTTGGCCTAGGCTTAGTCTTTCAGCCTGTATTTTGCTGCATATATACCTATCTGCAAACAAAAGATACTTTTCTTTGTGTGTTAATTTCTACCCAACTTGGAAAAAATAGTAGCATCTAGTATACATCTTTCTGCAACTTGCTTTTTAAAAAAAAAAAAAACCTCATTGCCTCCTAATATATATTGATTGAGTTCATTCATTTCAACCACTTTGCATCATTTCATCATATAAACATACCTTGATTATTTATACATTCCCCTTTTGATGGGCATTAGCTTATTTCCAATTTTCATATTTTGCAAGCAGTGCCATAATATACAGCCTTTTCCATGTCTCCTAGTGCATATGTGCAAAAAGTTCTAGACCAATGAGTACCTAGAATTGGAATTGTTGGATCCTGTGGCATGCTTACTTTCAACTTTACAAGATATTGCCAAATTATTTTCCAAAGTGGTTGCACCATCTAGGCACAGTGGTTCACACCTGTAATCCCAGTGCTTTGGGAGGACAAGGTGGGATGATCACTTGAGGCTGGGAGTTTGAGACTTGCCTGGGATACATAGCAAGATCCCATCTCAATTTTAAAAATAATAAAAATATAAAATATATATAAATAAACAAAGTGGATGTATTAATTTACACTTGTACCCACTCCCCAAAGACTATTCTATGACTTTTTTTACTTTTGCCCTTATAATGCATATGAAGTGCTATCTTGTTTTAGTTTGCATTTTCCAGATTACTAATGAGGTTGTGCATCTTTTCATATACATTTTCCATCTGTGACTTGTCTATTTATACCCTTTGCCCATTTTTCTGCTTTATTTTTTGTCTGTTCCATATTGATTTGTAGGAGTTCCTTATATATTCTAGAAATTATTCCTGTGTTTCATATACCTGTTTTTTGTCCAACAGTTTGGAAACCAAAATATCACTAATCATTTCTGGAATATAGCATTCAGTTACATAGGCATTAATATCAGAAAAAATACCACTTGGTTTTCTAACCTAAAAAAATTTATAAAATAGTTTCTATCTTTGACTCTGATACACCAAAAATTTTACAAAGGGTCAGTTACTGGACCATCCAAGAATAGTTTATCACGTGGTCCAAAAAAAACTTGATACAATAGAAGAACTTTCTCTCACACTTGTTTTAAACTTCCTGTATCAGTCCAGTTCTCTCCACCTCAAGGAACAAAAACAGATGGCACACACGAATTAGGAAAATTGGAGGAGGTTTTATTTACAGAGGGACTAATTACAAAGGGGTGAGTGGGGATAGCAGAGCCATAAGAGATAGTGGCAGTGGAACTGTATAGGAATAGGGTAAAAGAGAGCTTGCCAGAACCCAAAAAGAGAATGGCATAGAGCAGGCCACCTAGACAAGAGCAGTGACATTCTGTTGAGAGACTCAGCAACTTGTGTCAACCTCGCAGGAAGGAACCAAGGAAATATATGCCCTGACCCCATGCTCCTTTCTCTCTCCCTCCCATCTCCTGCGGAAAGCCAGAAGGCATAGGTGCCTTTGCTGTGATCCACACAGGACAGCCTCCCAGAACAGAAAATTATGGATAAAGGTGGAAAATGAATCTAAAAGGTCAAATTGAAGAAATCCAGCAAGCTTGCCTAGCCAAATAACTTCAGATTCTATACCACACAAAAGAAAGGCAGATAAACTTTAAATGTAAAGAGTGACTTAAAGCACTTTTCTGGGCACAGTGGCTCACCCCTGTAATCCCAGCACTTTGGAAGGCTGAGGCGTATGGATCACCTGAAGTCAGGAGTTTGAGATCAGCCTGGCCAACATGGTGAAACCTCGTCTCTACCAAAAATACAAAAACTATCCCAGCATGGCGGTTCATGCTACTTAGGAGGCTGAGGCAGGAGAATCACTTGAACTCGAGAGGCGGAGGTTGCAGTGAGCCAGGATCATGCCACTGCACTCCAGCCTGGGCAATAGAGCGAGACTGCATCTCAAAAAGAAATTTTTTAAAAAGAGCACTTTCTGGAATTATACAAGAGTAGTGAAAGATGGATAATAGAGGCAGATACCACTTTATCTCCTATTTTCTATCTTTCATTTCTGCCAAGGAGAAAGATTACTGGCCAGAAAATAATACAACAAGGATTAAGATAAAAGATCTAAAAATCCAAACTGGTGGAAAAATCATAAGAAAGCATCTGGGTTCTCTACATCGGTGCAAACCTCCTGGCCCCAACAAACTACATCCTAGCCTATACCTAGAAGAGATTGGTGACAAAATGAGCTGCTGTTCGTTATCACAAAGAATTCTAGAAACTGGGGCAGGAATCAATAGTGCAATTCTCAGGCAGGTTGTCTAACACCACCTTGAACATGGAGAGAAGAAAGGGGAGTATTTAATTGTGCATAAGATTCAGATAGGGAAAGTCATGACTAATGAATTAACAGGACTTCTGTTTTTATCCAAACTCTGCCAGACTGACAAATCAGAAGAAGCTGTCAATACGCAGCTTCACCATTTGAACTCAGCATTTGACAGAGACTTTTACCTTGTGAACAAGACAGAAGAATGTGGCCCAGATGATCACAAAGATAGGTGCTAATTATGAATCAATGTCAGCCCAGAGTTTCTAGTGTAAAGGAATTCTGTTTGCAGACTTGTCCTGTTCATTGAGTAAATAGTTGAGTGTACAGTTGGCTTGCTAATGCACTTCTCTGACTGCTGGGAAAGGTAGCCAATATATTTAATATGGCAGAGTGAAGATCCAAAGGCTCTAACGATAAGCCAAACTTAATAAAAATTTTAACTGAAATAAATGTAAAGCCCTACGCTTACATTTTTTTCGTGCATAAGAACAGAATCAGGTCCAGGCGCGGTGGCTCACACCTGTAATCCCAGCACTTTGAGAGGCCGAGGTGGGCGGATCACCTGAGGACGGGAGTTCAAGACCGCCTGACCAACATGGAGAAACCCCGTCTCTACTAAAAATACAAAAAAAAAAATTAGCCGGGCATGGTGGCGCATGCCTTTAATCCCGGCTACTCGGGAGGCTGAGGCAGGAGAATCGCTTGAACCCGGGAGGCGGAGGTTGTGGTGAGCCGAGATTGCACCATTGCACTCCAGCCTGGGCAACAAGAGTGGAAACTCCGTCTCAAAAAAAAAAGAACAGAATCAGAAAAACATGACTAGGCCCCTAATTAAACATGGTGGGGTTTATTTCTTTCTTGTTTTATTTCTTCTGTCCTCCCAAACCTATCAAAATGATAATAGATTAATTTTTGACAAAAAGTAAAACTCAAAAAAAAAAGAATGAGAGAGGAGAAATAGAAGACAGGAGATATGAGCAATAATTTGAAACACAGAAAGTGCATAGTAACTGATTTAGCAGAGCCTACCGTCAATGGGTCTGCAAAGAAGAATTCCAATGAAAGTGAAACCAATTCACTCCCAAGAACCCTGGAAAGACCTAGCACTAGGTTCTGTCCGGGTGCTGCAGAAAGGAGTGGTGAAGCACTGAGTGAAAAGTAATAGTGTGTGAAAGTATTCATATTAATAGAATGAGCTGCTTAGTGAGGGTGTGTTTTCATTCACTGAAGATGTTGGAGCAGAATTAAACACTAATCAAATATGTTATAAAAGTGATTCAAATGTTGGACACAAACTTGACTCCAATGACTTTTAAAGCCCCATCACTCTGAAATCCTATGATTCTAGAATTTATAGTTACTTACAAAATTGTGTAGACAGGACTTCAATAGGTTTTAGGTACTTCCGGATGTATTTTTATCAGCGTCCAATAGGTGGCGCTGTGGTATAAGATGAGACTCAGCAAATGGCTGCCCTTACTTGATTCTCCTGTGCCCTACCGAGTGTCTAATAACAAGTAACAGCTAGAATGTTTGATTTTTTTTAATCGGAAATCTAAACCCAGAGATTCAGAACACCTAGGTTTCATAGTTCTTGTGGCGCATGAGCCTTTGTGTGATTTAGTTTGTCATCCTTCTCTGTCCTTCCGTCTTATTCCTATCCAAGTTGTGGCACTTCAATGTATTTGTCGTTCTCGGACAGCAAAGTAAGTCAAACGCGAAACAACTCCCCCTTCACATCCCGGATGCCCTGCCTCCATTGCGTGTACCCTTTATCTCAGGGCTCTGAGTGTGTGGGGCTCTACAAGCGTTATCTCCCTTGATTTAAAAAATAATAATAAATAAAAACAAGACAAAACAAAGAACTTACTGTTCCAGCACAAGTTTACATCAGTATCGATCAGGAATACGATTGTCTCCGGCTGTCCTCCCTTTTCTGCTGATTAGGAGATTCATGCTTCGCTTCTTTGTTTTTGTTGTTTTTGTTTTCGTTTTGATTTATTAAATGAATTCCTTCATATCATAGCCAAGTCCAATACACTTTGCTTCCTAAAAGCTAATTACTTAATATCTAGCTCTTATTGACAAATTTTGCCACTCATCAAAGTTGTAAAACTTGGTTTCTTCATTTCCCTTTATCTGCTTCAGATTTACAAGGTCCCTGGGGAATTTCTGCTTCTCATCAAGGAATGTCTCCATCAACTCCATATATTCAGGTAACTCTGCTCCCACATTGAAGACTCAAATCCAGGAAAATTTCCTAACATGAGGCATCTGTAAAGCTGTCCAATTCACCCTCTTGGCATAACCTGTCCCGCAGGGTTTTTCAACTTAATGATTTTTTTTTTCATTTTGGCTAAATGCCATTAGTCCACCCAGAAAGCAAGACTGGCCTTTTTGTTTGTTTGTTTTTAACGGAGGTTTCACTCTTGTTGCCCAGGCTGGAGTGCAGTGGCGCGATCTCAGCTCACTGCAACCTCCGCCTTCCAGGTTCAAGCAATTCTCCTCCCTCAGCCTCCCAAGTAGTTGAGATTACAGGCACGTGCCACCACTCACAGCCAATTTTTGTATTTTTATTAAAGACGGGGTTTCACCATGTTGCATGTTGGCCAGGCTGGTCTCAAACTCCTGACCTCAAGTGATATGCCTGCCTCAGCCTCCCAAAGTGCTGGGATTACAGACGTGAGCCATTGCACCGGCCAAGGCTGCCTTTTTTAAATACTTGAGTCTAGTCTAACTGACAAGAAATGTTAGTGAGTTGAGCTGGGGGGGAAAAGGCCCATACTCACAATGCAAAACAGTAACAAACCCCAAACAACAACAGCAACAACAACAAAAAACCAGCATTCTTTCCATGACCAGATTTTCAATAGTAATTTCATCTTTGCACCTTGTGTAAGTACACATCCTAGCAGCCTTGCTCAGTTACATATCTGATTGACTCCTGTTGTTTTACTTGGTTTTCTAAAATGTCCTCTGTACTAATCTGATCTGAACTCATATTTTCCATCAGTTCTATACCAACTTTCTAGACTTGATCTTTCTGTTGTTCTCTGGAAAGAACAGAAGTATTTAGAGCAGTTAATAAGCACTTGTGGAAACCTCTCTGAGTTGTTTGTCTCACAGAAGGAAGAGTTACACCTGGCTAATTAGTCCTCCAACTACATCGTTTCTGTAGTTTCAAAACGTTCTCACATTTCCAACATCAGTGGTGTAAGTGAACACCCACCCACCCCAAATCACAAAATAAAAAACTTTCAAAGGAATGTTATGCATTTGTCATACAGATTCTCATATGTTTATTTTAAATTTATTATGTTCATAACATATTTAGTCTGTTAAGTAGCTTATAATGTTGGGTTGGAAGTAGTGTTCTTAGTGGTCCTTGTAATCTGCTATCAGGCAAATTGCAGAGCCTATTGAAAAGGAAAGATTTTCAACTTTGTGGGTTCGAATTCTACATACAAGCCCCTACTCAAGCCGCATTCATTTATGTTGTGATGAAGCTGTGTACTGGGAGACCCTGGAACGGCCCAATGGGTTCACCTTTCCCGCTGCCTAGACAGAGCGAATTTATCAAGACAGGGGAATTGCAGTAGAGAAAGAGTAATTCACACAGAGCTGGCTGTGCAGGACACCAGAGTTTTATTATTACTCAAATCAGTCGCCCTGAGCATTCAGGTATCAGAGTTTTTAAGGACAACTTAGTGAGTTGCGGGAAGCCAGTGAGCCAGGAGTGCTGATTGGTTAGGTAGGAGATGAAATCATAGGGAACTGAAGCTGTCCTCTTGCGCTGAGTCAGTTCCTGGGTGGGGGCCACAAGATCAGATGAGCCAGTTTATCGATCTCGGTGGTTCCAGCTGATCCATCAAGTGCGGGTCTGCAAAATGTCTCAAGCACTGATCTTAGGATCAGTTGAGGGAGGATCAGAATCTTGTAGCCTCCAGCTGCATGACTCCAAAACCATAATTTCTAATCTTGTGGCTAATTTCTTAGTCCTACAGAGGCAGTCTAGTCCCCACACAAGAAAGAGTTTTGTTTTGGGAAAGGGCTATTATTGTCTTTGTTTTAAACTATAAGTTCCTCCCAAAGTTAGTTCGGCCTATGCCCAGGAGGGAGAAAGGACAGCTTAAAGGTTAGAACCAAGATAGAGCCAGTTAGATCTCTTTCACTGTCTGTCATAATTTTGCAAAGGCAGTTTCAACCCTAAGGATGAGGCACACCAGTGTCTCTGTAACTCAAGCATCTTAAACATAGATGTGGTTTGCCTCCCACCAGGACAAAGGAGAAGCTTTCTAAAGCTGATGAAAGAGCTGCTCAAGAGAGCATACAAGCGCAGTGGCTCATGCCTGTAATCCCAGCACTTTGGGAGGCCGAGGTGAGCAGATCACTTGAGGTCAGGAGTTTGAGACCAGCCTGGCCAACATGGTAAAACCCCGTCTCTACTAAAAATACAAAATTAGTCAGGCCTAGTGGCACATGCCTGCAATCCCAGGGAGGCCTAAGGCAGGAGAATCACTTGAACCCAGGAGACAGAGGTTGCTTGACCCGGGAGACAGAGGTTTCGGTGAGCCAAGATCATGCCACACTGCACTCCAGCCTGGGCAACAAGAGTGAAACTCTATCTCAAAAAAAAAAAAAAAAAATGCATACAAGTTTTTGGTTTCTAAAGCAAAATAATAATAATCAACTTGAGCCTATACTTGCTTCAAGAAAATTTTCAGTCAGATTTAAAACAAATAACAATCACAAAAAAAAAAAAAACCTGACTAGGCTTCTATGAGATTATACCACCTAAAGTATGCCCTAGCTCAGGCTGCCATAGCAAAATATCATAGGCTGAAGAGAAACAATGGAAATCTATTCTCTCGCAGTTCTGGACGCCGTTCCCAGAACTGGAAGGTGCAATGCTGCCGTAGCAACAAATAAACCCAGGTCACCATGCTGACTCTTCAGCTGCTGTGTTCATTGACCCACCATCATGGTGACTCAGCAACTTTCTTTCTCTGCTCCTCCAGCTCCACTGCTACCAACCTCTTTAATATCAACTTTGAGTATCTTTTCTCTACCTCACAACTAACATAACTTCTGCTAGTCCGTGGCTTTTACAGCCTCTTGCATTTGTGTACTGCATCTCTGGAGAGCCCAGATCTGCTTCCGTTATCAATTGTCTGCCTCTTGTCCTTTATTGATCACCAGTACAAATTCTTGAGAGAGAAAACCTGATTGAGTTAGCAAGTAACTATAGGCTTCCTCACAGGCCTCCAGCCCAGTGGGTCTCAAATGTGAGCATGGAATCACCTGGAAGGCTTCTTAAAACACAGATTGCCAACGGGAGTGGTGGCTCACGCCTGTAATTCCAGCACTTTGGGAGGCCAAGGCAGGCAGATCACTTGAGGTCTCGAGACCAGCCTGACCAAGATGGTGAAATCCCATCTTTACTAAAAATACAAAAATTAGCCAGGCATGGTGGTGCGCACCTATAATCCCAGCTACTCAGGAGGCTGATCAGGAGAATCGCTTGAACCTGGGAGGCACAGGTTGCAGTGGGCCGAGATTGCACCATGGCAGCACTCCAGCCTGGATGACAGAGTGATTCTCTGTCTCAAAAAAAAAAGAAAGAAAGAAAGAAAAAACACACAGATTGCTATGCACTACCCTCAGAAGTTCTAATTCGGCAGATCTCCAGCAGAGTCCGATCACCCATATTGCTATACATTTCCAGGTGATGCTGATGTTTCTGATCTTGAGACCACACTTTGAAAACCACTGCTCTAGCCTGTAGGTGAACGGTCCTTGGGTAAGATGTCCATCAGCTGTAGGCCGGGGAATATGTGATGTGGTTGTGGATGTGGCCACCTATGGATAAGGATAATAAGACTTCCAGGGGATTCTATGCTCACATTTGAGAACCACTGGGCTGGAGGCCTGTGAGGAAGCCTATAGTTACTTGCTAACTCAATCAGGTTTTCTCTGTCAAGAATTTGCACTGGTGATCAATAAAAGACAAGAGGCAGGAATTGGTAATGGAAGCAGAGCTGGGCTCTCCAGAGATACAGTCAACAAATGCAAGAGGCTGTAGAAGTGTCCATTTCCCTCAACAAAAGGCTCTGGACATAAACATTTTAATATGGCCTGTGGACAGGCAAGCTGTTGTCTGACATTTTCCCTGTTCTGTCTTTTACTATGAGACGTCCACCAGGCTTTCACTGAGTGCCTACTACATGCCAAGCTTTCATTGTGCTAAGCATTGGAGATATAAAACTCAGCCATTTTAACTTGTAATCACGGAGGACTTAGCTAGATAAATTTTAATGACTTGTAAAAATTAAGATAAATGTTTTGGTTCCCTTTTAAATAGAAAGACATATCAAAAGATAACTACAGAAATTCTCAAAAGTTTCCACTCAAATCGAGTTGTGATAAAAACAGAAGTGTGAGGGGTGCATAAGTAAGAAAAGCACATTCAAAAAAATAATTCAGTTAAAAGAATTAGTTATGAACTACTCAGAATGTTTAACACAGAGCAAACCAACATATATTATGTTGAAAATAAACTAGCCTCGGTGCTCTCAAAATCCAGATTCATGCAAAGAAGTAAAGCCAGCATTTCTGAAAAGGAAGAGTTATTCAGCAGATCTGCTAGAGGCAGGAAATAAGCAAAATGTATACTGAATTTTTAGTAAAGGCTAAAAACCTGCTTCCATCCCTAAGTCATTCAGGTTCCATTGCCCACCCTTCCCATCTCTGAATTTTGGCATTTGCCCTGCCTAAATTCGGGGTGGATTGTGTTGTATTATATCGTCCTCTAGTGGTTTCAAAAATTTCTTGTCTCCCTTCTCTACAGTCAGTGCCTATCACAGGGCCACACAGACACTTGATGTGAATGAATGTTAAATGGACTGATGGATGACATAGGTCCTACATCCTACTTGATGACTGAGACTGGGTGACACAACCTATGTCAGCTTCACTAGGAGAATGAGCATACAAGTATTTTAGGCTCAAGCTACTTATGCCATCATTGATTGTCCTTAAAAATAGACAACGAGGCTGGGTGCAGTGGCTCACACCAGTAATCCCAGCACTTTGGGAGGCCGAAGCAGGCATATCACCTGAGGTCAGGAGTTCAAGACCAGCCTGACCAACATGGTGAAACCCCGTCTCTACTAAAAATACAAAAAATTATCTGGGCATGGTGGCAAGTGCCTGTAATCCCAGCTACTCAGGAGGCTAAGGCAGGAGAATTGCTTGACCTGGAAGGCAGAGGTTGCAGTGAGCTGAGATTGCGCCACTGCACTCCAGCCTGGGCAACAAGAATGAAACTCCATCTTAAAAAATATATATATATTCTGTGAGCTAATTTTTGTTGTTGTTGTTGTTGTTGTTGCCAGCTTGGTTTATTATGCTTTTTGGTTTGAGGTGTTTTTTGTGTGTGGATTTTTTTTTTCACTTTATGTATTTGTTCAACAAGTGTTTATTGCTTCCACTATGTGCAAGGGACCCTGATGGTGAGTTTGGGGAGCAATTGAGGTGCAAATGGGATATATCCTTGCCCTCAAAGTGCTTACAGCATAGGAAGAAACCAGAGTAAACACGGATTCCACTCCAGCAATGTTTCAGGGTGCCCCAAGAGAGTAATGGTTTTAAAAGTTCAGAGAAGGGAGAGGTTGCCTCTGAAATAATTATCTCTGGACATATGACACCTGTCTCTCTTTCCTAAATGAAGACCACTCAACAGCAAACAAATCACAGGATGTCAACATGACAGAGCTGATGTCATAGTCTACACTTAAGCTGTGACTAAGTTCAAGAGTCCATTCCTGTTCTTCAAGTAACAAAAATGCTACTAGATTTCAACACAGAAATAATATTCACTCAGTATTTACTGACTTTAAAATACCTTACCAGTTACCATGAGGAAAGAAAAAAAAATAGCTAAGATATTGACTCTGACATGAAGGAAATTATTATATAGTGGGAGAAAGTTGCTTAGGATTAGTAATTAAGCAATGTATCAGAACTGAGATCTTATGATTCTCCAATTTAAACTCAGCTATTAAAGTTTATTGAAATAATTTATAACATATCTAGGTGTTAGTATTGGAACTGGAGGTAGAAAAAAAGTTTTATCTTCTTTGCTGGAAAGAAATTTGCAAAACGTTTGTTGATGAAGGAATGGTATAGGCAGAATATAAAGTTTTCCTACAAGTTAGTAATAAAAAGACAAACCACCTAATCAAAAGTTGGATGAAATACTCAAACAGACGTTTCTCAAAAGAAGACATAAAAAGGTGAGCACGTTTTCATGTGCTTATTGGCCATTTCTATTAGTCATCAGGGAAATGCAAAGTAAATGAGATACCACTATCCACCTATCAGAATGGCTTACAATTAAAAAGATTGATAGCACCAGCTGTGATGCAGATATAGAAAATCAGAACTCTCAGACATTGTTGGTAGGCTTGTAAAATGATACAAGTATTTTGGGAAAAGGCCTGACATGTTCTTATAAAGCTAGACAGGCACCTACCCTGTGATGTCACAATTCTACTCCTAGATATTTAACAAAGGAAAAAAAATACTGTCTAGCCAAATGTGGTGGCTCCTGCCTGTAACCCCAGCTACTTGGGGAGCTGAGGCAGGAGGATCCCTGGAGGCCAGGTGTTTAAGAGCAGCCTGGGCAACCTAGCAAGACCCTGTCTCTACAAAAAAAAAAAAAAAAGTTTAATTAGCTGGATGTAGTGGTGCGCACCTGCAGTCCTAGCTATTCAAGTGGCTGAGGCAGGAGGATTGCTTGAGCCCAGGAGTTCAAGGTCGTAGTGAGCTATGATTATGCTACTGCACTCCCGCCTGGATGACAGAGAGTGACCTCATTTCTTTCTTTTTTTTTTCTTCTGTAAATTATGAATAACCTTGGAAGAGACCTTGTTTATTTAAAAAAAAAAAAAGCCTCTCTTTCCCCTAAACTGTATTCATCAATAAGGGAATTAATAAACTGTGCTACACTTACACAGTGAAGAAAAAGTAACAAAATACACATCAACAAAAAATAGTAAACTATTGATATAGCAGCATATAGCAGCAACATTGATACATCCCAAAAACATTATGTTGAGTGAAATGAGTCTTACTCAAAAGAGAACACATTATAAGATTCCGTTTATATGAAGTTCTAGGACAGTCAAATCTACTCTGTGGTAGAAGAAAAAATGAAAACAGTTGTTTCTTCTTTTGGGTGACTGCTATCACTTGAATGTGTGTGTTCCCTCAAAATTCATATGTTGAAACCTAATCACCAATGCAATAGTATTAAGAGATGGGGTCTTTGGAAGGTGATTAGGATAGGAAGGAGGAGCCCTCATCAATAGGATTTGGGCTCTTAGAAAAGAGACCTAGCCTGGCATTGTGGCTCACGCCTGTAATCCTAAAACTTTGGGAGACATGGATCACTTGAGCTCAGGAGTTCGAGACCAGCCTGGGCAACATGACGAAACCCCATCTCTACAAAAAAGTACAAAAATTAGCCAGGTGTGGTGGTGTGCTCCTATAGTCCCAGCTACTTGGGGACTAGGGCAGGAGGATAGCTTGAACCTGGGAGGTCAAGGCTGCAGTGAACTGAGATCATGCCACTGCACTCCAGCCTGGGTGACAAAGTGAGACCCTGTCTCAAAAAAAAGAGAGACCCAAGAGAGCTGCCTTGCCCCTTCCACCATGTGAGGATGCAACAAGAAGTCATCTAAGAACTAGGAAAAGTCATCCTAAGAACTAGGAAACAGGCCCTCACCAGTCACTGAATCTGCCAGAGCCTTGATCTTGGACTTCCCAGCCTCTGGAACTATAAGAGACAAATTTCTGTTGTTTATAAACCTCTAGTTTGTGATATTTTGTTATAGCAGCCTGAATACACAAGGACAGTGGGGGTGGAGATGGACTGAGAAGGGACATGAAGGAAGTTTTTGAGTTGATGATAATGTCCCATGTCTTGCTGGGAGTTTGGTTACAAATATATATGTATTTGTCAAAACTTGATAAATGTACACATAAGATAGTGTATTTCATTTTACATAAATTTTATATCAAAAGAAAAATCTATAAATATTAAACTTCACTTAGTAGTATACATGCTGAAGTATTTAGGGAAAGTGTATTGATACCTACAATTAACTTTGAAATATATCAAAAAATATAACGGGTGATGTGAGTGGGGCTTGTGGGTTAAAAATATACATGATGGAACAATTAATGAGTAGATGAACAGACATGACCAAACAAGCATGATATTATGTTAATAGAATCTGTGTCATGGGTATGTAGATGGATGTTCATTGTAACTCATTATAAAATTGTAAAATTCTTTTTACTTTGCTGTATGTTTGGAAATTTTTATAACAAAATGTTGAAAATATATATATAATCAATAGACTTCAAAGTGGAGCATAATGGTATAAATACTGAAATAAGTGTGTCTACAGAAATTTATTTATTTATTTATTTATTTTGAGACAGATTCTTGCTCTGTGGCCCAGGTTGGAGTGCAGTGGCGTGATCTTGGCTCACTGCAACCTCCGCCTCCTGGGTTCAAGCAACTCTCCTGCCTCAGCCTCCCGAATAAGTGGGATTACAGGCTCACGCCACCATGTCCGGCTAGTTTTTGTATTTTTGTAGAGACGGTGTTTCACCATGTTGGCCAGGCTAGTCTTAAACTCCTGACCTCAGGTAATCCACCCGCCTCAGCCTCCCAAAGTGCTGGGATTATAGGCATGAGCCACCGTGCCCAGCCTACAGAAATATTTTTAAAATATGGTTGTAGTCAGCATTATTACCATGATATTCTACTTTTTAAAAAATCTGTCATTATTTTACACTGTTCTATGTTTATTCATTGTCTTTATATTTATCCTTTTAAATGACTGCATAGTTATACACCAATATCACTATGCCAAAAGCAACTTAACTATGCCTCTACAGTAGATGTTCACTATAGCAGAGGCAGGAGGAAAAGCCCTAGAATAGAGGCCAGATGTTGGGGTTCCAGTCCTCCTCAACTCAGTCTCTGCTGGCTACTCTCTGTCTGATCCTTGCTGGGCAGGTTCTCTATCTCACCTGTCCTCAGTCTTCTCCTGTGTTAACTGAGGTACCAAGATTAAAAGAAATCTACAGCCCCTGCCAGCTCTGTACTTGGTGCTTTTATAAGGGTGGTTTGTAGTTTTTACTTTGTTATGAATAAAACCATTATGAATAATTTTAGAGAGTTACTTGTCAAATTGTAAAAATAATAATATTGGCTGAGTGACATAAGATTCAGAAAAATAAGAAAATGTTTAAAAGTTTAAACAAAAAAAACTAATCACACATAAGCACTCTACCCAAAGATTATAATTGTCAACATTCCAGTGTATCTTCTTCTACATTAGATTTGCAGTGAGCCATGATTGCACCACTGCACTCCACTGTATGTACTTTCAAACATACAGCAAAGTTCAAAGAACTTTAGAATGAATTACAATGGGGCCAGGTGCGGTGGCTCACGCCTGTAATCCCAGAACTTTGGGAGGCCAAGGAGGGTGGATCATGAGGTCAGGAGTTTGAGACCAGCCTGGCCAACATGGTGGCACCCTGTCTCTACTGAAAATACAAAAAAAAAAAAAAATTAGCTAGGCATGGTGGTGTGCGCCTGTAATCCCAGCTACTCGGGAGGCTGAGGCACGAGAATCGCTTGAATCCTGGAGGTGGAGGTTGCAGTGAGCCAAGATCGAGCCACTGCACTCCAGCCTGGGCGACAGGGCAAGACTGCATCTCGGGGGAAAAAAAAAAAAAAAAAAGAATGAATTACAATAAACATCCATCCACATACCCATGACCTAGATTCTATTAACATAATATTATACTTGTTTTGTCACACCTGTTCATCTACCCATTAATGGCTCCATCATATATATTTTTAACCCAGAAGCCCCACTCACACTGCTACATATTTTTTGATGCATTTTAATTTTTGTTTTTCTTTTTGAGACAGGGTCTCATTCTGTCACCCAGGCTGGAGTGCAGTGGTGCAATAATGGCTCACTGCAGCCTCGAACTCCCGGGCTCAGGTGATCCTTCCACCTCAGCTTCCCAAGTAGTTTGGACTACAGTTAGGTGCCACCATACCTGGCTAACTTTTTTTATTTTTTGTAGAGACAGGGATCTCACTCTGTTGCCCAGGCTGATCTTGAACTCTTGGCATCAGTGATCATCCTGCCTTGGACTCCCAAAGTGTTGGGATTTACAGGTGTGAGCAACTGTGCCCAGCCTGATTTGTCAATTTTTTAATGTGTTAGTATGAAATTTCTTAGAAAAAAATTCCTTACACAGGTTGGGTTCTCCAGGAGCACAGTGATTTGGGATCTGCATGCAATATATTTATTCAAAATCAACACCCATAGAAGGAAGGGAGAAGGAAGCAGGATTGGGCAGATGGAAAAGTGGAACGCCAGTGCAGGCCTGGTGAAGTCTCAGCCATAGGATGTGCTACGGAGTATGTATGATGGAACAGAATTGCTGTGCATTAAGACAAAATAACCAGGCCTTGTAACATGGCTTCAATCAGTCATTGGTTGTGGGCTACCCCAGGAAGCTGAGGCAAGCCCTGAAGAAGCTGACAGTTGGGGGCTGTGAGCTAACAACCAGACAAGCTCCCCCTGGAAGTGGGATCCATGACACACATCTCTGTGTCCACCACGGCATATTTTGTTTTGATTTGCATTTCTTTCACTATTAGTGAAGTTTTAAAATATTTATAGATTAAAATGCATATTGAATCATGTTTAAAACACTTTCAATCTAATGTACAACCCCTTCCCCAACAAGGGGCCGCTGAATTATTCCATTCTTTGAAGTGCCTTCAAGCCCTAGTGCAGTTTAGGCAGGAAAGATAGTGATGAGGTTGGATAGGGAGGGAAGGATAGAACCCAATTGAGAAGAGAGGTTGGAACTTTATGTACTGGCAATAAGACAGTCACCTAATGTCGCTGAATAGGGGGATGTCATGATGAAATTCTGGCCTATCACAGTGATTCTAGCAAAAGATGTCAGCACCACAATCCAGCCTTAAACAACACCCAGACAACTCTTCTTGAGCAAGACTTGACGTTTCTGACTTTCTGAGAGTTTGACCTTTCAGAGTTCTTCCATATCCAATTCTCACTGGAAAACCACCCAACCATGGTGAATAAGTTAAGGTTAAAGATTATGGTAAGCAGCACTGGGCACAGTGGCTCACGCTTGTAATCCCAGCACTTTGGGAGGCTGAGGCGGGCGGATCACGAGGTCAGGAGTTCAAGACCAGCCTCACCAACATGGTGAAACCCCATCTCTAATAAAAATACAAAAATTAGCCAGGTGTGATGGTGGGCACCTGTAATCCCAGCTACTCAGGAGGCTGAGGCAGGAGAATCACTTGAACCCAGGAGGCGAAGCCTGCAGTGAGCCGAGATCGTGCCATTGCACTCAAGCCTGGGTGACAGAGTGAGACTCCGTCTCAAAAAAAAAAAAAAAAAAAAAAAAAGATTATGGTAAGCAGCAACAAGCGATGGATCAGAAAATAAATAAGACATGTCCGGGCGTGACGGCCCACACCTGTAACCCCAGCACTTTGGGAGACCAAGGCAGGCCAATTACCTGAAGTCAGGAGTTCAAGACCACGCTGGCCAACATGGCAAAACCCTGTCTCTACCAAAAATACAAAAATTAGCTGGGCGTGGTGGCAGGTGCCTATAATCCCAGCTATTCAGGAGGCTGAGGCAGGAGAATCACTTGAACCCAGGAGGCAGAAGTTGCAGTGAACCAAGATCTCAGCATTGCACTGAAGCCTGGGCAATAGAGCAAGACTATCTCAAAAAAAAAAGAAGAGAAGAGAAGAGAAGAGAGAAAGAAAGGAAGGAAGAAAGAAAGAAAGAAAGAAAGAAAAGAAAGAAAGAAAAAGAGGAAAAAGAAGAAAACAGTGTAGAAGCTATACCTGAACATGGTCCAGGCAAGAACCCCACAGCTGGAATTAGAGTCTAAGGAGGCCGAGTGCATTGGCTCATGCCTATAATCCCAGCACTCTGGGAGGCCAAGGCAGGCAGATCACCTGAGGTCAGGAGTTTGAGACCAGCCTGGCCAACATGGCAAGACCCCATCTCTACAAAAATACAAAAATTAGCTGGGCATGATGGCAGGTGCCTGTAATCCCAGCTACTCGGGAGGCTGAGGCCGGAGAATCACTTGAACCCAAGAGGCAGAGATTGCAGTGAGCCAAGATTGTGCCATTGCACTCCAGCCTGGGCGACTGAGCAAGACTCTGTCTCAGAAAGAAAAAAAAAAAAGTTGTTAATTGTTATAAGTACATAATAGGTATATATTTTTATGGGGTGCATAAGATATTTTGATACAGGCATACAATGAGTAATAATCACATTAAAGTAAATGGAGTATCCATCAGCTTGAACATTTATCATTTCTGTATGTTACAAACATTTCAATTATAGCTTTTTAGTTATTTTATTTTATTTTTACGTTATGTACTTTTTGTTTTTTTTTTTTTGAAACGGAGTTTCACTCTTTTTGCACAGGCTGGAGTGCAATGGCTCGATCTCAGCTCATTGCAACTTCCACCTTCCAGGTTCAAGCAATTCTCCTGCCTCAGCCTCCCAAGTAGCTGGGGGTATAGGCATGCGCCACCACTCCCAGCTAATTTTTTTGTATTTTTAGTAGAGACGGGGTTTCACTATGTTGGTCAGGCTTGTCACGAACTCCTGATCTCGGGTGATCCACCCGCCTCAGCCTCCTAAAGTGTTGGGATTACAGGCTTGAGCCACCACATCTGGCCCAGTTTTTAGTTATTTAAAATGTACAGGCTGGGCACAGTGGCTCATGCCTGTAATCCCAGCATTTTGGGAGGCTGAGGCAGGTGGATCACCTGTGGTCAGGAGTTCGAGACCAGCCTGACCAACATGGCAAAACCCCGTCTCCACTAAAAATACAAAATTACCCGGGTATGGTGGTACACACCTGTAATCCCAGCTACTCAGGAGGCTGAGGCAGGAGAATCGCCTGAACCCGGGAGAAGGAGGTTGCAGTGAGCCGAGATTGCACCATTGCACTCCAGCCTGGGCAACAAGAGTGAAACTCCATCTCAAAAAAAGTACAATAAATTATTGCTGACTATAGACACCCTGTTGTGGTATCAAATACTAAATATTATATTCATTCTATGTAACTGTATTTTTGTGCCCACTAACCATCTCCACTTCTGCCCACTCCCAACTATCCTTCCCACCCTCCAGTAACCATCCTTCTACTCTCAGCCTCCATGAGTTCAATTTTTTAAATTTTGAGCTCCCACAATTAAGTGAGAACTTGCAAAGTTTGTCTGTCTATTCCTGGCTTATTTCACTTAACATAATGTCCTCTAGTTCCATCCATGTTGTTACAAATGACTAGATCTCATTCTTTTTTATGGCTAAATAGTACTCCATTGTGGCCGGGCGCGGTGGCTCACACCTGTAATCCCAGCACTTTGGGAGGCCAAGACAGGTGGATCACGAGGTCAGGAGTTCAAGACCAGCCTGGCCAAGATGGTGAAACCCCGTCTCCACTAAAAATACAAAAAATTAGGCAGGCATGGTGGTGGGCACCTGTAATCACAGCTACTCAGGAGGCTAAGGCAGAGACTTGCTTGAACCCGGGAGGCGGAGGTTGCAGTGAGCCGAGATCATGCCACTGCACTCCACCCTGGATGACAGAACGAGACTCCATCTCAAAAAAAAAAAAAAAAAGAAGGGCGTGCGGTGGTTCACGCCTGTAATCCTAGCACTTTGGGAGGCCAAGGCGGGCAGATCACGAGGCCAACAAGGTGAAACCCTGTCTCTACTAAAACTCCAAAAATCAGCTGGGCTTGGCGGCGTGCCCTGGAGTCCCAGCTACTTGGGAGGCTGAGGCAGGAGAATCGCTTGAACCCAGGAGGCAGAGGTTGCAGTGAGTTGAGATCATGCCACTGCACTCCAGCCTCAGCGACAGACCAAGACTCTGTCTCAATAATAATAATAATAATAATATTCTATTGTATATGTGTACCACATTTTCTTTATCCATTCATCCATTGATGAACACAGGTTGCTTCCAAATCTTGGCTATTGTAAACAGTGCTGCAATAAACATGGAGTGCAGATACCTCCTCAACATGCTGATTTCATTTCCTTTGGATAAATACCCAGTAATGGGATTCTTGAATCATATGGTACCTCTATTTTTAGTTTTTTGTTGAACCTCCAAACTCTTCTCCATAATAGCTGCACTAATTTACATTCCCACCAAGAGTTCCTTTTTTTCACATTCTCACCAGCATTCATTATTGCCTGTGTATTGCTTAAATACAATTTTTACTGAGGTGAGATGATATCTCATCATAGTTTTGATTTGCATTTCTCTGATGCTCAGTGATGTTGAGAACCTTCTCATATACCCATTTGCCATTTGTATTTCTTCTTTTGAGAAATGTCTATTCAGATCTTTTGCCCTTTTTTAATCAGATTAATAGATTTTTTTCCTGTAGAGTTGTTTGAGCTCCTTATATATTCTGATTATTAATGCCTTGTCAGATGGATAGTTTGCAAATATTTTCTCCCATTCTGTGGGTTGTCTCTTCACTTTGTTGATTGTTTCCTTTGTTGTGCAGAAGTTTTTAACTTGATGTGATCCCATTTGTCCAGTTTGGCTTTAGTTGCCTGTGCTTTGGGATATTGCTTAAGAAATCTCTGCTCAGACCAATGTCCTGCAGTTTCCCTGATGTTTTCTTTTAGTAGTTTCATCATTTGAAGTCTTAGATTTAGGTCTTTAATCCATTTTGATTTGATTTTTTCTATGGTAAGAGATAGGGGTCTAGTTTCATTCTTCTGCATATGGATATCCAGTTTGCCCAGCATCATTTATTAAAAAGACTGTCCTTTCACCAACATATGGTCTTGGCACCTTTGTCAAAAATGAGTTCACTGTAGATGCAGGGATTTGTTTCTGAGTTCTTTATTCTGTTCCATTGGTCATGTGTCTGTTTTTATACAACTGCCATGCTGTTTTTATTACTGTAGCTCTGTAGTATAATTTGAAGTCAGATAATGTGAGTCTTCCAGTTTTGCTCAGGATGGCTTTGGCTATTCTGGGTCTTTTGCAGTTCCACATAAATTTTAGGATTAATTTTTCTATTTCTGTGAAGAATGTCATTGGTATTTTGATAGAGATTATATCAAATCTGAGGATTGCTTTGGGTAGTATGAATGTTTTAACAATATTGATTCTTCCAATTCATGAACGTGGAATGTCGTTCCATTTTTTTGTGTCCTGTTCAATTTCTTGCATCAATGTATTATAGTTTTCATTGTAGACATCTTCTCTGCTTTCATTAAGTTTATGTGTAGGAATCTTATTTTATTTTTAGCTATTGTAAATGGGATTAATTCTTTATTTCTTTTTCAGATCGTCCATTGTTCACATATAGAAATCCTACTGATTTTTGTGTTGATTTTGTATCCTACAGTTTTACTAAGTTTATTAGTTGTAATAGTTTAGTGGTGAAGTCTTTAGGTTTTTCCAAATGTAAGATTGTCTCAGCAAACAAGGATAATTTGACTTCTTCCTTTCCAATTTGGATGCCTTTTATTTCTCTTATCTGATTGCTCTAGGTAGGACTTCCAGTACTATGTTAAATAACAGTAGTGAAAGTGGGTACACTGGTCTTATTCCAGATCTTAGAGGAAAGGCTTTCAGTTTTTCCCTGTTCAGTATGATACTAGCTATGGGTCTGTCATATATGGCTTTTACTGTGTTAAGGTATCTTCCTTCTATTCCCAGTTTTTTCTTTTTCTTAGGGATGTTAGATTTTATCAAATGCTTTTTCAGCATCAATGGAAATGATCATATGGTTTTTATCTTTAATTCTGTTGATATGATATATCACATCGATTGATTTGCATATGTTGGATCATGCTTGCATCTCTAGAATAAATCCCACTTGGTCATGATAAATGATCTTTTAAATGAGTTGTTGAATTTAATTTACTGGTATTTTGTTGAGGGTTTTTATATCAATGTTCATCAAGGATATTGGACTGTAGTTTTCTTTTTTTGATGCATCTTTGTCTGATGTTGGTATCAGGGTAATACCAGCCTCATAGGATGAGTATGGACTTGTATTCTCCTCCTCTATTTTTCAGAATAGCTTGAGTAAGATTGGTATTAGTCCTTCTTTAAATGTTTGGTAAAATTCATCAGTCAAGCCATTGGGTCCCAGGTTTTTCTTTGCTGGGAAAGTTTTTATTACGGCTTCAATCTCATTACTTGTTATTGGTCTCTTCAAGTTTGAGATTTCTTCATAGTTCAGTCTTGGTAGGTTGTATGTATCTAGGAATTTATCCATTTCATCTAGGTTTTCCAACTTACTGGCATATAGTTGCACGTAACAGCCTCTAATGATCCTTTGAATTTCTGCAGTAATCCATTCTAATGTCTCCTTTTCATCTCCGATTTTATTTGGGTCTTCTCTCTTTTTTTCTTAGTTAGTCTGGCTAATGGTTTGTCAATTTTCTTGATCTTTTCAAAAAACCAACTTTTTGTTTCATTGATCTTTTGTATTTTCTTCATTTTAATTTCATTTATTTCTGCTCTGATCTATATTATTTATTTTCTTCTAAATTTTGGGTTTGGTTTGCTCTTGCTTTTCTAATTCTTTACGACAGTGGTTCCCAACCTTTTTGGCACCAGGGACCAGTTTCATGGAAGACGATTTTTCCATGGACAGCAGGGGGTGATGGGGGATGGTTTTAGGATGAAACTATTCCACCTCAGAACATCAGGCATTAGATTCTCATAAAAAGCACGCAACCTAGATCTCTTGCATGCGCAGTTAACAGTAGGGTTTGTGCTCCTATGAGAATCTAATGCCACCACTGATCTGACAGGAGGCGGAGCTCAGGTGGTAGTATTCACTTGCCCACCCGCCACTCACCTCCTGCTGTGCAGCCTGGTTCCTAACAGGCTACGGACCAGTACCAGTCCATGGCCAGGGGGTTGGGGACCCTGCTTTAAGATGCATAATTAGGTTGTTTATTTGAAGTTTTGCTACTTTTTTATGTAAGTGCTCATTGCTATAAAGTTTTCTCTTAAGACTGTACCCCATATGGTTTGCTATGTTGTGTTTCCATTTTCATTTGTTTCAAGAAATTTTTTATTTCTTCATTGACCCATTGGTCATTCAGGAGCATATTGTTTAATTTTCTTTCATGTGTTTGTACAGTTTCCAAAGTTCCTCCTGTTATTGATTTCTAGTTTTATTCCACTGTGGTCAGAAAAGACACTTGATATGATTTCAATTTTTTTGATTTTTTGAAGACTTGTTTTGTGGCCTAACATATGGTTTATCCTTGAGAACAATCCATGTGCTGAGAAGAATATGTATTCTGTAGCCATTGTACGAAATGTTAGGTGAATATCTATTAAGTCCATTTGGTCTATAGCACAGATTAAGTCTGATATTTGTTGATTTTCTGTCTGGATAATCTGTACAATGCTGAAAGCGTGGTGTTGAAGTCTCCAACTATTATTATATTTGGGTCTATTTGACTCTCTAGCTCTTATAATATTTGCTTTTTATGTCTGGGTGCTCCAGTGTTGGATGCTTATATATTTGTAATTGTTATATGCTCCTGCTTAATTGACCCTTTGTCATTATATAATGACCTTCTTTATCTCTTTTTATAGTTTTTGTCTGGAAATCTATTTTGTCTGATATAAATATAGCTACTCCTGCTTTTTTGGTTTCCATTTGCATGGAATACCTTTTTCTATCCCTTTATTTTCAGTCTATGTGTGTCTTCTTAGGTGAAGTATGTTTCTTGTAGACCACAAATCATTGAGTCTTGTTTTTTTATCCATTCAGCCACTCTCTGTCTCTTGATTGGAGAGTTTAGTCCACTTACATTCAATGTTATTATTGATGAGTAAAGATTTACTCCTGCCATTTTGTTATTTGTTTTCTAGTTGTTTTGTGGTCTTCTCTCCCTTCTTTCTTTCCTTGTTGTCCTCTTTTTAGTGAAGGTGATTTTTTCTGGTGATGTATCTTAATTTTTTCTTTTTACTTTTTGTGTATGCATTGTGTGTATGTATTTTTAATTTAAGGTTACCACGAGGCTTGCAAGTAATGTCTTATAACCCATTATTTTAAACTAATGGCAACTTAAAACTAATTGTGGCCAGGCACAATGGTTCATGCCTGTAATCCCAGCACTTTGGGAGGCCGAGGCAGGCGGATCACCTGAGGTCGGGAGTTCCAGACCAGCCTGACCAACATGGAGAAACCCCATCTCTACTAAAAATACAAAATTAGCAAGGTGTGGTGGCGCATGCCTATAATCCCAGCTACTCAGGAGGCTGAAGCAGGAGAATCACTTGAATCTGGAAGGCGGAGTTTGCGGTGAGCTGAGATTGCACCATTGGACTCCAGCCTGGGCAACAAGAGCAAAACTCTGTCTCAAAAACAAAAACAAAAAAAAAACTAATTGTATAAACTAACCAACAAGCAAAGAGAAAACTAATAAAAACCTCTACACTTTTAATTTCTTCCCCCAACTTTTTAACTTTTTGTTATTTCTTTTTTTTTTTATTTCAGTTTTCAATATTCACTTTTTTTTTTTTTTTAATTGATCATTCTTGGGTGTTTCTCGCAGAGGGGGATTTGGCAGGGTCATAGGACAATAGTGGAGGGAAGGTCAGCAGATAAACAAGTGAACAAAGGCCTCTGGTTTTCCTAGGCAGAGGACCCTGCGGCCTTCCGCAGTGTTTGTATCCCTGGGTACTTGAGATTAGGGAGTGGTGATGACTCTTAACGAGCATGCTGCCTTCAAGCATCTGTTTAACAAAGCACATCTTGCACCGCCCTTAATCCATTTAACCCTGAGTGGACACAGCACATGTTTCAGAGAGCAGAGGGTTGGGGGTAAGGTCACAGATCAACAGGATCCCAAGGCAGAAGAATTTTTCTTAGTACAGAACAAAATGAAAAGTCTCCCATGTCTACCTCTTTCTACACAGACACGGCAACCATCCGATTTCTCAATCTCTTCCCCACCTTTCCCCCCTTTCTATTCCACAAAACCGCCATTGTCATCATGGCCCGTTCTCAGTGAGCTGTTGGGTACACCTCTCAGACGGGGCGGCTGGCCGGGCAGTGGGGCTCCTCACTTCCCAGTAGGGGTGGCCGGGCAGAGGCGCCCCTCACCTCCCGGACGGGGCGGCTGGCCGGGCGGGGGACTGACCCCCCCACCTCCCTCCGGGACGGGGCGGCTGGCCGGGCGGGGGACTGACCCCCCCACCTCCCTCCGGGACGGGGCGGCTGGCCTGGCGGGGGCTGACCCCCCACCTCCCTCCCGGACAGGGTGGCTGCCGGGCGGAAACGCTCCTCACTTCCCAGACGGGGTGGCTGCCGGGCGGAGGGGCTCCTCACTTCTCAGATGGGGTGGTTGCCAGGCAGAGGGTCTCCTCACTTCTCAGACGGGGCGGCCGGGCAGAGACGCTCCTCACTTCCTAGATAGGATGGCAGCCGGGCAGAGACGCTCCTCACTTTCCATACTGGGCAGCCAGGCAAAGGGGCTCCTCACATCCCAGACAATGGGCGGCCAGGCAGAGACGCTCCTCACTTCCCAGAAGGGGTGGCGGCCGGGCAGAGGCTGCAATCTCGGCACTTTGGGAGGCCAAGGCAGGCGGCTGGGAGGTGGAGGTTGTAGCGAGCCGAGATCACGCCACTGCACTCCAGCCTGGGCACCATTGAGCACTGAGTGAACGAGACTCCGTCTGCAATCCCGGCACCTCGGGAGGCCGAGGCTGGTGGATCACTCGCGGTTAGGAGCTGGAGACCAGCCCGGCCAACACAGCGAAACCCCGTCTCCACCAAAAAAAATATGAAAACCAGTCAGGCGTGGTGGCGCGCGCCTGCAATCGCAGGCACTCGGCAGGCTGAGGCAGGAGAATCAGGCAGGGAGGTTGCAGTGAGCCGAGATGGCAGCAGTACAGTCCAGCTTCGGCTCCGCATCAGAGGGAGACCGTAGAAAGAGAGGGAGAGGGAGACCGTGGGGAGAGGGAGATGGCAGCAGTACAGTCCAGCTTCGGCTCGGCATCAGACGGAGACCGTGGAAAGAGAGGGAGAGGGAGACCGTGGGGAGAGGGAGAGGGAGACCGTGGGGAGAGGGAGAGGGAGAGGGAGAGGGAGAGGAACTTTTTGTTATTTCTATTCATTTCTTTTTTGTGTCATTTTTTTTTTTTTTTTTTTGAGACAGTCTTGTTCTGTTGCCCAGGCTAGAGTACAGTGGTGCAATCTCGGCTCACTGCAACCTCTGCCTAACCAGGTTCAAGTAATTCTCGTGCCTTACCCTCCCATGAAGTTGGGATTACAGGTGCATGCCACCATGCCCAACTAATTTTTGTATTCTTAGTAGAGATGAGGTTTTGCCATGTTGTCCAGACTGGTCTCAAACTCCTGGGCTCAAGCAATCCAGCTGCCTTGGCCTCCCAAAGTGCTGGAATTACAGGCGTGAGCTACTGGGCCCAGCCTCTATTCATATCTTTTTTTTTTTTTTTTTTTTTGAGACGGAGTCTTGCCCTGTCGCCCAGGCTGGAGTGTAATGATGCGATCTCGGCTCACTGCAACCTCCGCCTCCTGGGTTTAAGCGATTCTCCTGCCTCAGCCTGCCAAGTAGCTAGGATTACAGGCACGCTGCCACCACGCCCAGCTAATTTTTTGTATCTTTAGTGGAGACCGGGTTTCATCATGTTGGCCAGGCTGGTCTCAAACTCCTGACCCTGTGATCCACCCGCCTCAGCCTCCCAAAGTGCTGGGTCTACAGACGTGAGCCACCACATCTGGCCCTCCTCTATTCATATCTTATTGTAATGTCTGTGTCTCGAAAAGTTGCTGTAATTTTTATTTTTGATTGGTTCATCTTTTCATCTTTCTACTTAAGATATGAGTAGCTTATACACTACAATTACAATGTTGCAATATTCTGTGTTTTTCTGCGTACTTACTATTACCGGTTAATTTTGTACCTTCAGATTATTTATTTATTTATTTATTTTTGAGGCGGAGTCTTGCTCCATCGCCCAGGCTGGAATGCAATGGCAGGATCTCGGCCTCACGGCAACCTCCGCCTCCCAGGTTCAAGCAATTCTCATACCTTAGCCTCCCAAGTAGCTGGGATTACAGGTGCATGCCACCACTCTCGGCTAATTTTCGTATTCTTAGTAGAGATAGGGTTTTGCCATGTTGCCCAATCTGGTCTTGAACTCATGACCTCAGGTGATCCACCTGCCTTGGCCTCCCAAAGTGCTGGGATTACAGGCCCTTCAGATGATTTCTTATTGTTCATTAACATCCTTTCCTTTCTAATTGAAGAACTCCCTTTAGCATTTCTCTCTTGTGGAACAGGTCTGCTGTTGATGAAATCCCTCAGCTTTCATTTGCCTGTAAAAGTCTTTATTTTTCCTTCATGTAAGCTAGTATTAGGCTACATTCTTAAATATGTTTTTTGAGGAATATATGTATATATTTGTGTTGGGTATCATAGGAGTAAAATTTTCTGTATTATGGAGTATGTATGTTCAACTTTATCAATACTTTCAGTTTGCAGTGCTATAAGCAATACACAGGAGTTCCAGTTTGTTCCACATCTTAGACAACACTTAGTATTGTCAGGCTTTTAAATTTTACTTGTTTTTGTAGTTGTGATATCACATTGTAGTTTTAGTTAGCATTTCTTGAATGTCTAATGAACTTGGACAATTTTTTAATATTTTTGCTGGCCATTAGGCTAGTTTCTCTGTAAAATGCCTATTCTTTTGCTCGTTTTTCTATTTTTCTATTGAGTGATTGAATTATATGTTTGTTTTCTTACTGATATGCGGGGTTTATTTATACACTTTGAATATGAGTCCTTTTGGGGGATTATGTGTTGTAAATATTTTGTCCTACTGTGAATTGCCTTTTCACCCTTTTAGTCATGCCCTTAAATGAATAAAAGTTTTTAATTCTAATATAGCCCAGTCTATCATCATTTTTTTTTTTTTTTTTGAGATAGAGATTTGCCCTTGTTGCCTAGCCTGGAATGCAATGGCATGATCTCGGCTCACTGCAAACTCCACCTGCTAGGTTCAAGCAATTCTCCTGCCTCAGCCTCCCGAGTAGCTGGGATTACAGGTGCCCGCCACCTGGCTAATTTTTTGTATTTTTAGTAGAGACTGGGTTTCACTATGTGGCCCAGGCTGGTCTCGAACTCCTGACCTCGTGATCCGCCCACCTCAGCATCCCAAAGTGCTGGGATTACAGGCGTGAGCCACCACGCCCGGCCTCCTATTTTTAACTTCTGAAAACTTACTTTGTTTTACATTTCAATTTAGATTGCAATCCTCTAGAATTTGTTTTAATTTAAGGAAATGGTTTATTACTTAAAATATCTTAGCAAAATAAAAGCATCAATTTTATGCCATAATTAAATTTTTTTAAATTGACATAACATTTTATGGTTGATTTTTTTTTTTTTTTTTTTAGGGGACAGAATTTTGCTCTGTCACCCAGGCTGGAGTGCAGTGGCACAATCTTGGCTCACTGAAACCTCTGCCTCCAGGGTTCAAGCGATTCTCATCTCTCAGCCTCCCAAGTAGCTGAGGGATTACAGGCACATGCCACCACACCTAGCTAATTTTTGTATTTTTAGTAGACACAGAGTTTCACTATGTTGGCCAGGCTATTCTCAAACTCCTGGCCTCAACTGATCCACCAGCCATAGCATCCCAAAGTGCTAGGATTACAGGCATGAGCGACCACCCCTGGCCATTCTATGTTTTATCATGTACAACATGATTAAAATTCTTTTTTAAGGTACGATGTAAGAGTAGGGATCAAGATTCTTTTTTTTCTTAAAGATTTATAATTGCTTCAAAGCAGCTTATATTTTTAAAAAACTTGTTTTCCACTTTGTCATAAGTTAAGTGATCATGCATATGTGATCAATTTCTGGACTCTCAATTTTATGCCTGTGGTCTGTTCATACATACACACACACACACACACACACACACATATATATATATATATATATATATTTTTTTTTTTTTTTTTTTGAGATGAAGTCTCACTCTGTCGCCCAGGCTGGAGTGCAGTGGCGTGATCTCAGCTCACTGCAACCTCCATCTCCCAGGTTTAAGCAATTCTGCCTCAGGCTCCTGAGTAGCTGGAATTACAAGCATGCACCACCATGCCTGGCTAACTGTTTTTGGTTTTTTGGGTGGTTTTTTTTTTGTATTTTTAGTAGAAATGGGGTTTTACCATTTTGGCCAGGCTTGTCTCGAACTCCTGACCTCAAGTGATCTGCCCACCTCAGCCTCCCAAAGTGCTGGGATTACAGGCGTGAGCCACCACACCTGGCCTGCATATATTCTTGTAATAATGCCACACTTGTAAATCTAACATTATAATAAGCATTGTGTCTTATAGTGTCAGTCCTATAGCTCTGTTCTTCTTCAAGATTGTTTTCGCTATGCTTGTCCTTTATATTTCCATACGCATTTTATTTTTTTCCGCTAATAGTCATTTATATAACTTTGTTAATCTTTGTTTAGCATCAGTATCAATCTATCAGAAACACCAAATAGCTTTATTTCCTCCTTGAAATGTTACTTCTAGCAGGACTATTCATGTGTTTTTTTCTAAGTCTCAATTTTCTATTTAATATTTCTCAGAATAAAGAACACAGCTCATTTTAAATAAGAAGTTTATTTAAACAAGACACTTGAAGAGAAAACTATCTAGAATTCTTTTTTTTTTAAGAGTAATTTATCCCTACTTAAAGACAGATTGCCCTATATGTAACCACTACACACAAAAAAGTTATAAAATTGTCCTTGGTTTTACAATAATAAATGAAAAATATTAAAATTCTTTGAACAAGGTATGCCAGGATTTTTTTTCTTTTTTCTCTCTTTTTTTTTTTTTTTTTTTTTTTTTTTGAGACAGAGTCTCGCTCTGTCGCCAGGCTGAAGTGCAGTGGCATGATCTCGGCTCACTGCAACCTCCGCCTCCCGGGTTCAAGCAATTCTCCTGCCTCAGCCTCCTAAGTAGCTGGGTTTACAGGCGCCCGCCACCATGCCCAGCTAATTTCTGTATTTTTAGTAAAGACGGGGTTTCGCATGTTGGCCAGGGTGGTCTCAATCTCTTGACCTCGTAATCCGCCCGCCTCAGCCTCCCAAAGTGCTGGGATTACAAGCATGAGTCACCGAGCCCGGCGAAAGGATTTTTATGTTGTTGTTTTTTTTGTTAAAATAGAGGAAAATAACTTACTGGAATATAAAGATAAGAACTGAATGAGCATGCCACTAATGGAGAAGGGATATTTTCACAGAATGAGTATTTTTCCCACCCCATTTCCACTTGATGTCAACCAAAACATACCATTGGCTGTTTAGTTTTTAAAAATGCGATATTCGCCGGGCGCGGTGGCTCATCCCTGTAATCTCAACATTTTGGGAGGCCGAGGAGGGCGGATCACGAGGTCAGGAGATCGAGACCATCCTGGCTAACACGGTGAAACTCCATCTCTACTAAAAATACAAAAAATTAGCCAGGCATGGTGGCAGGCGCCTGTAGTCCCAGCTACTCCGGAAGCTGAGGCAGGAGAATGGCGTAAACCCGGGAGGCGGAGTTTGCAGTGAGCCGAGATCGCGCCACTGCACTCCAGCCTGGGTGACAAAGCGAGACTCAGTCTCAAAAAAAAAAAAAAGCGATATGCTTGTGCATATATACCAGCTACTTTATGTACAATAAAGGAATAGGGAAGGGGGAAATGAAAGAACAGAGAAAACTATACTGTAGTAGTCAGGATGTGGTGGCAACAAATTGCAGTTTTGTAATTGAGAATGTAATCTTGATCTTTAAAGAACAGAGTTCTGGCCGGGCACGGTGGCTCACGCCTGTGATCCCAGCACTTTGGGAGGCCAAGGCGGGCGGATCACCTGAGGTCAGGAGTTCGAGACCAGCCTGACCAACATGGTGAAACCCCATCTCTATTCAAAATACAAAAATTAGCAGGGCGTGGTGGTGGGCACCTGTAATCCCAACTACTCGGGAGGCTGAGACAGGAGAATCGCTTGAACCCGGGAGGCAGAGGTTGCAGTGAGCCGAGATCACGCCACTGCACTCCAGCCTGGGCAACAGAGCAAGACTAACTCTGTCTCAAAAATAAATAAATAAAATAAAGAACAGAGTTCTGGAGTAAAGAAGCAGTTTCCTTTTTCAGTAGACACCTCCCGTCTGCTGTTGGAATGCATCAATTCTATTTTCATCCCACATTTCCAACTGTGCAGGTGTGTCTACTTCATTGATTGGTTGCCCGTCAAATCGGAATCTAATCTGCTTCATTGACAATACCTGTCATTCACAATAGGCTTTCATTAGTTTACTAAATGGTGTATGCCTCTTAATCTTAAACTGCACCACAGAACCATCCTGCCCCAACACCTTCAAATTAATATGTTCCTTGTTCTCATTCTTGACTCCTTCCTTGGGCTTTTTTTTCATCGGCCATAGCAAGCACCAGTCTCCTCAGCTGCTGCTTCACAAAAGAGGCACCAAGTCCACACCAAACGAGCACACAAGCAGCCCCAAGAGCAGCAGAAGAAGGAAGCAGCAGTGGTGGATGAGAGCTCCATATGCATTTTAGAGTCAGCTTATCAACATTCACCAAACACATATTCTCTTACAAAACTGCTGGAATTTTACCTTAGCTTTCATTGAATCCATATGTCAATTCAGGGGTTTGTCATCTTTATAACTGTGCTTTCCAATCCATGAAGATGGCATATCCCTCCATTTATTTAGGGTTGGTTTTGAAGTTTCATTTTTTGGTTTTTTGTGTGTGGGTTTTTTTTTTTTTTTTTCGTTAGTTTGTTTGTTTGTTTTTGAGACAGGGTCTTGCTCTGTCACCCAGGCTGGAGTGCAGTGGCATGATCTCAACTCACTGCAACCTCTACCTCCCAGGCAAAAGCAATCCTTCTGCTTCAGCCTTTTGAGTAGTTGGGACTACAGGTGTATGCCACCATGCACAGCTAATTTTTGTATTTTCTGTAGGTGGGTTTTCATCATGTTGCCCAGGCTGGTCTCAAACTCCTGGCCTCAAGCAATCCGCCTGCCTCAGCCTCCCAATGTGATGGAATTACAGGCGTAAGCCACCATGCCTAGCCTTATTTAGGTTTTGTATAATTTTGTCTCAATAGTGGATATTTTCTAGTTATATTTTTGTTTGTCTTTTTCATTTTTATTTTAGGTTCAGGGGTACATGTGCAGGTTTTTTATATAGGTAAATTCATGTCATGGGAGTTGGATGTACAGATTATTTCATCATCCAGGTACTAGGTCTCATACCCAATAGACATTTTTTCTGATCCTCTCCCTCCTTCCACCCTCCATCCTTAAGCAGGCCCCAGTGTCTGTTGTTCCCCTCTTCGTGTCTGCATCTTTTCGTTTTCTTAGTGGTATCCTTTGAAGCATAAGATTTAAATTTTGATGAAGTCTAATTTACCTATTTTTTCTCTTGTTGCTTGTACTTTCGATGTTATATCTAAGAAATCATTGCCTAATCTAAGGCCATAAATATTTATACCTATGTTTTCTTCTAACAGTTTTATGGTCGGTGTGGTTTGAATGTTTATGTTCCCCCGAAATTTATTTGTTGAAATCCTAATCTTCAAGGTATACACACATAGTCAGCCCTCTGTATCTGTGGGTTCCACATCTGTGGATTCAACCAACCGTGGATGAAAAATGTTTGGAAAAAAAATTGCCTCTGTACTGAACACGCACACTTTTTTTCTTGTCATTATGCCCTAGACAATACAGTATAACGACTATTTACAGAGCATTTACATTATATTAGGTGGTCTAAGTCATCCAGAAATGAATTAAAGTGTAAGGGGGGGTGTGCATAAATTACATGCAAATACTACACCACTTTATATCAGCGATTTAAGCATCCACGGATTTTGATATGCATGGGAGGTCCTGGAATCAATCCTCCTGCCAACAGGTACCAAAGGATGACTGTATATGTATATGTATAAATATATGTATATGTACATGTTCATGCACACATGTACACACACACATAGATGCAATGAGTACACCAGCAGCAATGAGCATACCAGACACTAAGACTTTGGTTTTAAATACTATTCTCCTCAAAAGGAACCAGAACTCCTTGAAGAAATGGCTGACTTCGGGTCTAAAGCAGAGAAAGCATATAATACACCTAGAACATATTGTACCATAAAGTATGGTAATTCTCAAAGGTTCATGGGGATGTGTCAAAATGACACAAGAGACAGCCAAGGGGCTCCCACTGGCTAACTCTGGGATAATTTGAGTGTCAAAATAATGACATAATTATAGCAATTTCTTATAACCCATTAAATAGGAACCTATGAGCCCATACTAATATCAATTAATAGATAAATATTCCTCAGAAGTATTGACAACATAAAATAGAAATTACAAACAAAATATATATTTTTTTTCCTGGATGACAGAGGGAGACTCCATCTCCAAAAATATAATGAAATAAACAAAAAAATTTTTTTAAGTCAAAAAATTAATAGACAAATAAATGAGAGCAGAGGGATGGGAAAGCTTTCCCTTACAATAGAAGGTCAACTAATAAATGTGGAAGAAATAATAGAAGGAATGATTATCTTTTTTTTTTTTTTTGAGGCAGGGTCTCACTCTGTCACCCAAACTGGAGTGCAGTGGCGCCATCATAGCTCACTGCAACCTCCAACTCCTGGGCTTAAGCAATCCTCCCACCTCAGCCTCCCAAGTAGCTGGGACTACAAGCACATGCCACTGCGCCCAGCTAATTTTTGTATTTTTTGTAGAGACAGGGTTTTGCCATATTGCCCAGGCTTGTCTCAAACTCCTGAGCTCAAGTGATCTGCCCTCCTCAGCCTCCCAAAGTGCTGGGATTACAGGTGTGAGCTACCATGCCCAGCCAATGATTATCATTTGATAACCTTTACAGTAATAATCGTTTTGGTGAAAGAACAAATAAAATGGTACTTATATAAATAGGTAAAGTCCAGGCAACATTGAGACCCCCATCTCTAAAAAAAAAATTAACTTAAATAATTAGCTGAGTGTGGTGTGGTGGCTGGCACCTGTAGTCCCAGCTACTTGGGAGACTGAGGCAAGAGAATCGCTTGAGCCCAGGAGTTCGAAGCTGTAGTGAGCTATGATCTCACCACTGAATTCCAGCCTGGGTGACACAGCAAGACCCTGTCTCAAAAAATAAATAAATAGGCCGGCCACGGTGGCTCACGCCTGTAATCCCAGCACTCTGGGAGGCCAAGGCGGGCAGATCACCTGAGGTCGGGAGTTCAAGACCAGCCTGACAAACATGGAGAAACCCCTACAAAAAATACAAAATTAGCCAGTCACGGTGGCACATGCCTGTAATCCCAGCTACTCGGGAGGCTGAGGCAGGAGAATCACTTGAACCCAGGAGATGGAGGTTGCGGTGAGCCAAGATTCGTCATTGCACTCCAGCCTGGGCAACAAGAGTGAAACTCCATCTCAAAAAAATAAAAAATAAATAAATAAAATAAATGCGTTATCAGTAACAATATTTTTACATAGTCTCAAAGTATCTCAAGACAAAAATACTTACTAACTTTACATTGCAAAATCTGGCAGACATCATCGTACCAAATGATGACAGTTAATTTCACCAGTGATGAGACAAATCAACATCATATGCCTTCTGAGATGATGCATTAAGAAGAACACAGCTGGCTGGGCTTGGTGGCTCATGCCTGTAATCCCAGCACTTCGGGAGGCCGAGGCAGGTGGATCACTTGAGGTCAGGAGTTAGAGACCAGCCTGGCCAACTGGTGAAACCTCGTCTCTACTAAAAATACAAAAATTAGCTGAGCATGGTGACACAAGCCTGTAATCCCATCTACTCGGGAGGCTGAGACAGGAGAATCACTTGAACCCAGGAGACGGAGGTTGCAGTGAGCTGAGATCGCGCCACTGCACTCTAGCCTGGGCAACAGTGTGGGACTCCGTCTCAAAAAAAAAAAAGAACACGACATCACTTCTGCAGTATTTCTGCCAAAATGATTATCCTAAATCTAATCATGGGGAAACATCAAACACAATCTGATGGACATTCTGCAAAATAATCGACCTGTCCTCTTCAAAATTCCAGGTCATGAAAGAAAGAAGAGACTAGGAACTGTTGCAGATAGAAGGAAACAAATGAGACACGGCAATTAAATGCAACACGTGATCCTGTATTGGATCCTGGATCTATAAATAACTTTATTGGGAAAAATCAGTAAAATTTGAATGAAGTTTGTGGATTAGAAGGTGCTATGGTGGCCGAGCACGGTGGCTCATGCCTGTAATCCCAGCACTTTGGCAGGCCGAGGCAGGTGGATCACCTGAGGTCAGAAGTTTGAGACCAGCCTGGCCAACATGGTGAAACCCAGTCTCTACTAAAAATACAAAAAATTAGCCAGGCATGGTGGCAGGCACCTGTAATCCCAGCTACTTGGGAGGCTGAGGCAGGAGAATTGCTTGAACCTGGGAGAAGGAGGTTGCAGTGAGCTGAGATCGTGCCATTGCACTCCAGCCTGGGCAACAAGAGTGAAACTCCATCTAAAAAAAAAAAAAAAAAAAGAAGGTGCTATGGTATCAATGATAATTTCCTGATTTTCATGGGCATTCTGTGATTACATAGAAGAGTATCCTTATTTTTATGAAACAGACACTAAAGTATTTAGGGGTGATTGGCATCATGTCTGTAACTTATTCTCAGATGGTTCTGGAAAAAGAAATAATCTTTATCTATACAGAGAGAAAAAGAATAATAAGGCAGATATGGTACGTTACTAACGATTAGGGAATCAGGTGGAGGGAACATAGGAGTTCTCTACAGTATTCTTGAAACTGCATTAAGGTTTTTAATTATGCCCACTTTAATAGCTGTAAAATATTTCTTATAACTCTATTTTATAAATCCCCGGCATCTATTTAATTCAAGATCAGAATACAATAAGAGCATGAAGGTAATGAGAAATAAGTCAGGCACAAAGAGAACTTATAAAGGTAAATAAGAGCTATTCACTAAATATACTAAGGCCTATGAATCTTAGGTTCAATTTTTTTTTCTTTTTTTTTTTTTTGAGATGGAGTCTTGCTCTGTTGCCCAGGCTGGAGTGCAGTGGTGAGATCTCAGCTCACTGCAACCTCTGCCTCTTGGGTTCAAGCGATTCTCCTGCCTCAGCCTCCTGGATAGCTGGGACTACAGGCACACGCCACCATGCCCAGCTAATTTTTGTATTTTTAGTAGAGACAGGGTTTCACCATATTGGCCAGGCTGGCCTCTTGGCCAGGCTGGTCTCGAACTCCTGTCCTCGTGATCCGCCTGCCTCAGCCTCCCAAAGTGCTGGGATTACAGGAGTGAGTCACCACGCCCAGCCCTTGGGTTCTATTTTTTAATTACATATGAAATTTTAGTATTAAAGAGCCAGAAGGAGCTTGAAAAGTCTAGTTCCTCAAGTCTTTTCGTCATACATGTTTACATTAGGATGAAGAATAGAAAGGGGCTGAGTACTGTGAGAAGCCAGGAAATGAGGTCCCATGAAGAGAGACATGTTTTCCAAGGAAAAGGACAAGGGAAGTCCACTCACCATGGAAGAAAGTGCCACAGGGCATGCTAGAAAGGCCAAGGACAGCAGAGGGATGGATGGAGGTGGGGGATACAGGTTGCTGCCAGGCAGTGGATGTGAGATGGGCCCCACCCTATTTTGCACCTCAGGCCTGCCAAGCCGGGATCCTTCTGCCCAGCCAGGCTCTGGGCAAGGAAGAGGGGTTCTGGGAGGAAGTCCCAAACTCGAAGGGTGAAGGAAGATGGCAGTGCCGAGGCTTTGGGAAGGGAGCCAGAGGCAGGAATTGGAATTGGGGCCTGGTTTCCCCATGGCAGATTTCATCCAGGTCCAGGATCTGCCCTCTCTTGGCATTGACTGGCCAAGCCATGGCTCAGGTATTCCACACCTGGGCCCGGAACCACATGCCAGAAAACCCAACACTGTTCGGCCCCAGCCGGCAACTTCCAGCAGCCAGGAGCAAACAGGACTTGTGAAGGAGGCAGTGGATCTCCAGAGCCCAGCAGCAGGGAGGCTACTTTCCGGGAGAGGGCAGCAGCACAGGAGAAGGCCCTGCCGCCTACAGGGGTCCTACTCCACTCCGGGACCCTGCCCATCTGTGGCCATCCTCCCACCAGCAGCCTGTCACCTCCCATCCCTCCCGCTGGTGACAGGCACCGGGGTACCGTGCCCAGCCCCCGGGCACCTCCACAGGGCTGCCATGTGGCAGAGGAAGCCGGTGAACTGACGCTTGGCTGCAGCCAGGCAGGCCTAAGCTCTGTTGCCCCGCCGCATCCCAGCTACACCCACAGGCCTGGATGCCAACCAGCTGGCGTCAGTGCCCGCGGTGCCTTCCAGCACCCGCCTGTCCTGGAGGAGCTGCACCTGTCCCCTAATATCTTCACCCGCCTCTTAGGGGCAGCCTTCTCGGCCCTGGCGTGCATGGTGCACCACCTCCACCTCTCTGAAAAGCTGGCCTGGGTGCCCGTGGAGGCCTTCGTGGGGCTGCAGATCCAAGTGAACCAATCCGCCAACCCGTGAAACTGGGACTGTGCCCTCCAGGGAGTGCTCAGGCTGGTGAGGCTGGCGCCGGGCACCAGGACAGGCATCGTGTGTGACCCCAGAACCCGACCAGACCTCGGTGGGGCAGGAGCTCCTGCCGCTGGCAGGGGAGGAAGAGCTGTGTGGGTCGGGGCAGGGCCCAGAGGAGCACCAAGGTGGCCCCTGCCGTTGAGGGGTGGCTGACCTGGTGCATTATGTATGGTAGAACCGAGATGAAACCTGGCGCACCCTCAAGCGGCCCCTGTTGCCAGTGCACCCAGAGGATGACTCCACCCTCAGCACAGTGGTCTAAGGGTGCTCCTGGGGCCACACCACACACTCCTCCTCCTACGCCCTCTCCCTTCCTCTGACCCCCCGCCTTCTCCCTTCCTCTGACCCCCTCGGCTTCCTGTGCAGCCTCACCCCAGCCCCCTAAATACCTGTCCTCTCTCCTCTCTGTCTCTCTCTGTCTCTCTCTCTCTCACACACACACACACACACACACACGCCATCTCTAGTGCCTGGATTTATCTGGTGCTCCAACTTACTTAAAGAATGGGAAGGACTTTGGACAGAAAAGAGGGAGGGACCCTAGATGAAAGGCTGTGGAGGCGGCAAGGAAAATGTACAACTTGAAATGTCTGGGCAGTGGCAAGACCAGCCTCAGGGCTGGAAGAGAGGATGCAAAGAGGGACGGGGAGATGGTGAGACCAAGCTGCAGGTGGGGTCCGAAGTCGGGGTGCGGCCAGATTTAAAAGGACACTGTAGGCTCCGCCTCTCTTCTCCCTTTGCCTCTACTGAGAGCCTCCTCCTTGCTTCTTGCCTCTCTCTTGCCCACAGGCCCCTCTTCCTGCAGTCTGTTGGAGACCTCCCATCTCAGACTCCCTGCTTCCTTCTCCAGACACTCCTTATCTCTCTGTGCCCTCCTTTATGCACTGACAGGGTTCCTGAGCTCCTTCCTGTGTGGAAAATGTGGTCTCTTCTATGACTGAGCTGGGGACGGGTAACTGGAGAGAGCTGGGGGAAGGGGGTAGACCCCAGAACATCACTGGAGAAATCAATAAAGTCACCTTTATGAAGGAGGAAAAAAGGATCAAGAATAAAGTACTATGGGCCAGGCGCGGTGGCTCACACCTGTAATCCCAGCACTTTAGGAGGCTGAGGCAGGCGGATCACCTGAGGCCAGGAGTTTGAGATCAGCCAGGCCAACATGGCAAAACTCCGTCTCTACTAAAAATACAAAAATTAATCAGGCTTAGGGGCACGCGCCTGTAATCCCAACTACTCAGGAGGCTGAGGCAGGAGAATCGCCTGAACCTGGGAGGCAGAGATTGCAGTGAGGCGAGACTGTGCCACTGCACTCCAGCCTGCGCAACAAAGAGAGAGTCTGTCTCAAAAAAAAAAAAAAAAAAAAAAAAAGAATAAAGTACTATGAGCCCAAGAGGATTATGTATCAGAGTTTTTCTGGAGTTCATGTATATAAGTTTCATTTTATTTCAATTCTTTATAAAACAAATCAAGGAAAAAAGTCTAGAAAAGACATTATGGGCCGGGCACCGTGGCTCATGCCTGTAATCCCAGCACTTTGGGAGGCCGAGACAGGTGGATCACCTGAGGTCAGGAGTTCAAGACCAGCCTGACCAAAATGGAGAAACCTGTCTTTACTAAAAATACAAAAAATTAGCCAGGCTTGGTTGTGCATGCCTGTAATCCCAGCTACTCGGGAGGCTGAGGCAGGAGAATCACTTGAACCTGGGAGACAGAGGTTGCGGTGAGCCGAGATCTCTCTATTGCACTCCAGCCTGGGTGAAAAGAGCGAAACTCCGTCTCATAGAAAAAGAAAGAAAGAAAATACATTAGGTAGGCCGGGCGCGGTGGCTCACGCCTGCAATCCCAGCACTTTGGGAGGCCGAGACGGGCAGATCACGAGGTCAGGAGATCGAGACCATCCTGGCTAACATGGTGAAACCCCATCGCTACTAAAAATACAAAAAATTAGCCAGGCGTGGTGGCGGGCACCTGTAGTCGCAGCTACTCGGGAGGCTGAGGCAGGAGAATGGCGTGCACCCGGGAGGCGGAGCTTGCAGTGAGCCGAGATTGAGCCACTGCACTCCAGCCTGGATGACAGAGCGAGACTCCATCTCAAAAAAAAAAAAAAAAAGAAAGAAAGAGAATACATTAGGTAATATAATGAACACCCACTCAGTCTAAAATAAAACATTTCTAAACACAACAGACTCCCCTCCCTATCACATTCCCAGTACAATATCTTTAATTTAGCATTTGTCATTCTCTTTTATGTATTTATACTTTTACTACACAAGTATCTACTTCTTAACAAAAGATAATATTGTTTGGCATGATTTTTGACTTTACAGAAGTTGTATAATACTGTATATGTCCTTCCAAGCTTATTTTTCCCACTCAAGTTTTCTTTGGCGGGAAGGGGGTGTTTGTGTGTTTGCTTTCTGAAAATTCCTAAGTCTTATCACTCAAGTTTAATATTTATTTAGCTTAATACACATAATTTTAATTCACTCATTTTATCTGCTATATAGTGTTCCACGATATGAATATGTAATTTTTCATTGTGTATCATACTGATGAGCATTTTTTTTTTTTTTGAGACAGAGTCTCGCTCTGTCACCCAGGCTGGAGTGCAGTAGTGAGATCTCAGCTCACTGCAAGCTCCGCCTCCCGGGTTCACGCCATTCTCCTGCCTCAGCCTCCCAAGTAGCTGGGACTACAGGCACCTGCCACCACACCCAGCTAATTTTTTGCATTTTTAGTAGAGACGGAGTTTCACCATGTTAGCCTGGACGGTCTTGATCTCCTGACCTCGTGATCCTTCCGCCTCGGCCTCCCAAAGTGCTGGGATTACAGGCGTGAGCCACCACACCCAGCCTTGATGAGCATTTAAATTGTTACCCCATCTGTTCTATTACCATCAATGCCAAAATGAACCCCAAATCTGACTCCTTGTGTTGATATGCAAGTATTTCTCTAGGCCAGTGGCCCTCAAATTTTAGAAAGCATCAGAATCACCTGAGAGTTTTATTAAACAATAGACCGTTGAATCCCACCCCCAGAGTTTCTAATTCATTTCTAACAAGTCCTTAAGCGATGTTGATGCTGTTGGCCTGAAGAACGCACTTTAGAACAACTGCCCTAGGATGTTCATCCTGGAGTAAAATTGCTATCAAATAATTGTGCATCTTCAACTTTACTAAATGATGCCAAATTGCTCTGCAAAGGAATTTTAATGATGTGCTCTCCCAAAGAAGTCAGTTCCCTTTCTCATGTCTGAAACCACCTTTGCACAATTGTGACTGAGACAGTGAAAGAGATCTAACTTAATCGACTTCATCTTGCTTCTAACCTCCAAGCTGTCCTTGTTCATTCCTGGGCATAAGCTGAACAAACTTTGGGAGAAACTTAGTTTATAGTTTATAGTTTGGAACAAGGACGATAACAGCCCTTTCCCAAAGCAGACCTCCTTCTTGCCTGGGGACTAGACTACCTCTGTAAGACTAACATTAGCCACAAGATTAGACATTATGGTTTTGGAGTCATGCAGCTGGAGGCTACAAGATTCTAAGATTCTGACCCTCCCTAAACTGCTCCTAAGATCAGTACTTGAG
Organism: Homo sapiens; assembly: GCF_000001405.40. NCBI lineage: Eukaryota > Metazoa > Chordata > Mammalia > Primates > Hominidae > Homo > Homo sapiens. Next base: position 69,079,009 of record NC_000005.10, read on the forward strand.
ATATTCTGCAGACCCTGCACTTGATGCATCAGCTGGCACCACCCAGATCAATAAACTGGCTCACCTGATCTTGTGGCCCCCACCCAGGAACTGACTCAGCTCCAGATGACAGCTTTGACTCCTTATGATTTCATCCTTGACCAATCAGCACTCCTGGCTTACTGGCTTCCCCCCACCAAGTTGTCCTTAAAAACTCTGCTCCTCAAATGCTCAGGAAGACAGATTTGAATTAATAATAAAACTCCAGTCTCTCGCACAACCAGTTCTGCCTAAATTACTCTTTCTCTATTGCAGTTGCCCTGTCTTGAGAAATCGGCTCTGTCTAGGCAGTGGGCAAGGTCCACACCACATTTGATGTCATAACACTTCAAAAGTGTTGCCAATCCAAAGAATACAGAATTGTATTTCACTGTGGTTTCCATTTGAAATTCCCTGTTACTAATAGGATTGAGCATCTTTTCATATGGCTGTAGCCATTCAGGCTAAATTATACTGTCTCTTATCTGTTCATTCCTTTGCCTATTTGCTATTAGGGTGTTTGACTTTAATTTATTTCAAAAGACAAAATTACAGGCTGGGCACAGTGGCTCAGGCCTGTAATCCTAGCACTTTGAGAGGCCGAGGCAGGTGGGTAACCTGAAGTCAGTTTGATACCAGGCTGGCCAACCTGGTGAAACCCCGTATCTACTAAAAATACAAAAATTAGCCGAGTGTGGTGGCAGGTGCCTATATTCCCAGCTACTTGGAAGGCTGAGGCAAGAGAATTGCTTGAACCTGGCAGGAGCAGAGGTTACAGTGAGCCGAGATCGCACTACTTCACTCCAGCCTGGGTGACAGAGTGAAACTCCGTCTCAGAACAAACCAAAAAAAAGACAAAATTACAACAAATTTAGTTTAAAAATCCAATTGGCTTTTATTTGTGATTGTAGAATCAGGCAACACCTCACTGTATGAAATAGAATGGGTGTTCTGGTAGACAGAGCAGAGGAGGTTGGCTTTGTAGGCCAAAAAGGGCCGAAGAAAACAGAAACAGAGACCAAAAGGTAAATTGGCCATTTCATAGTTACTTTCCTTCTAGGGTTAAAAACAGAGGGGACTGGCCGGGTGTGGTGGCTCACCCCTGTAATCCCAGCACTTTGGGAGGCCAAGGTGGGTGGATCACAATGTCAGGAGATCGAGACCAAACTGGCCAACATGGTGAAACTCCGTCTCTACTAAAAATACAAAAATTAGCTGGGCATGGTGGCACGCGCCTGTAGTCCCAGCTACTCGGGAGGCTGAGGCAGGAGAATCGCTTGAACCCAGAAGGTGGAGGTTGCAGTGAGCTGAGATCATGCCACTGCTGCCACTGCACTCCAGCCTGGGCAACAGAGCGAGACTCAGTCTCAAAAAAAAATTAAAAAAAAAAAAAAAAAAAAAAACCAGAGGGGACTTCCTTATTATGCTGACTTAGGTTGACTGGAATCCCCGTGTTTTAGAAAACTGGCCCATTTCAAAGTTTGGTTTGATTACGTGGCACTTAGCATAAGTGACTTCATTCTGCTTTGGGCTGCTGGGGCCTAGGGCAGGAGGCTATCCCAAAACAATGGCCTCCTATAAACCTTACTTAACACTTATATAGTTATAGTTACTAAACCATCATCTTTAGAACATAATGAGGAAAGGCTGGGTGCAGTGACTCACACCTGTAATCCCAGCACTTTGAGAGGCTGAGGTGCATGGATCACCTGAGGTCAAGAGTTCGAGACCAGCCTGGACAACATGGTGAAACCCCGTCTTTACTAAAAATACAAAAATTAGCCATGCGTGGTGGTACATGCCTGTAATCCCAGCTACTTGGGAGGCTGAGGCAGGAGGATTGCTTGAACCCAGGAGGCAGAGGTTGCAATGAGCCTAGATTGTGCCATTGCACTCCAGCCTGGGCTTCAGAGAGAGACTGTCTCAAAAAAAAAAAAAAAGAAAGAAAGAAAAAAGAAAAAAAGAACATAATGAGGAAAATGCATGTCTAGCACATTTTTCAGAAAATTCAAGATATACATTTATACTGAATTTACTATAATACAGAAATTTTTGTGTTCTGTTAACCTAAAAGGGCAAAGCTGAGGCAAACTTTAGAGAGTTAATTTGGGCCAAGGTTGAGGACTGCAGCATGGGACATACTTCCAGCTTGCTTTGGAGAGTACTCTGGGAAACAGAGAGGCTCAAACCCACGTATCAGGAGGGTGCAATTACTAAAGCTGTTTGTCGGGAAGTCTCCTTGGTTTACAGAAATAACATTGGTTAGCGATCGGCTATCCGTTGTTGAACTACAGTCTAGCGCCCCGCATAGCAAGTGGCTTCAAGAGGGGAGTGACTGCTGTTACAGTTTAAATGCCTCTCTGGGCCTGGATAATTTAAAGAGGCTTGCCTTCCTCAGATTAAAAGAGGTTTTTTTCTTTCTCAGTTATAGTAGGAGAAAAAAGAATACAAAATTATACATGTACCACAATATACAAACTAAAATTCCAAAACACTATCCTTAGAAAAGAGACTAAAAGGAAATATACTATTATTGCATGAGCAGTTTAGAGATAGATTTCTTATTTTATGGCTTTAAGTGTGTATACTTTCTTCCAATTTTCTATATTTTCAGTTCTTTTATAAAATAATGCAGTTTCATATTCCATGGAGATTCAGTGCCAAGCTAATACAAAAAACAAAAATCATGTATGCAATATTACCCCAAACATCCCTTAAATTGGGCCGTCTCAGCCAGGCACGGTGGCTCATGCCTGTAATCCCAGCACTTTGGGAGGCCAAGGCAGGCAGATCACCTGAGGTCAGGAGTTCTAGACCAGCCTGGACAAAATGGCAAAACCCCATGTCTACTAAAAATACAAAATTAGCCAGTGGTGCAGGCCTGTAATACCAGCTACTCGGGAGGCTGAGGCAGGAGAATCGCTTGAACCCAGGAGGCGGAGGTTGCAGTGAGCCCAGATCGTGCTACTACACTCCAGCCTGGGCAACAGAGCCAGACTCCATCTCAAAAAAAAAAAAAAAAATTGAGCCGTCTCTCAGAAAGTCCAATAGTGATTTAATAAATGTTCAGGGTAATTTTGCAACATGGCCTATTTTTTTCCCCTATCATTGGAATTGTTGCTATTTGTTTGATTGACCACCAGACAGAACAACAGAAAATCAACTATCTACATGTATTTCCTTTTAGAATCACACTTAACTCTGGTAAGATGATGTTATCAGAGGCACCCAGGAACTAGAACCAACAAACTAGGGACCAAGGAAAAGCAGATTTACACATCCCATCTCATGCTCAGCCTACGGTTCACTGAGAGGAATGTTAGGTAGAATCATGCACCATTTACATTGCCACTTTCTCCCTCTCTTATTTTTGTGGGGTTGAGTTAATATGGTTGAGTTTGCATATGGTAAATTTGTATGTGATGAGACTCCTTTGTACATAATTCATTTATAATAGAAAAAACCTCTTTTTTAGAAGGAACAGATTTCTTGAATATATAAAGATATACACACTTTCTGTTTTCATCATTCATTTACTCTTTCAACAAGTATTGTATCTGCAATTTTTTTTTTTTTTTTGAGATGGAGTCTCACTCTGTTGCCCAGGCTGGAATACAGTGGGGTGATTTCGGCTCACTGCAACTTCCACCTCCCAGGTTCAAGTGATTCTCCGGCCTCAGTCTCCCGAGCAGCTGGGATTAGAAGTCTGCACCACCACGCCGTGCTAATTTTGTATTTTTAGTAGAGATGGGGTTTCACCATGTTGGCCAGCCTGGTCTCAAACTCCTGACCTCCAGGGATCCGCCCACCTCAGCCTCCCAAAGTGCTGAGATTACAGGCGTGAGCTATCACGCCCAGCAATTTTTAATAGAGGAGATGGAAGGAAGAAGTAAAATAGTCTCTGTCTCTACTCTCATGGAGCATAATCAACTAATCTAACAGTAAAATAAATAAAAAACTACCCTGTGATAAAGAAGAAGTACACAGTAGCTTAATAACATATAATAGTAATATTTTATCTTCATTGAGGGTTTTAGAAAGGCTCCCTGAGAAAGTGGTTACTAAGCTGGGTGAGGAGTGTGGTGGATACTGTGTTGTGTGACCAGCAGTGGTGCTGGAGCTGGATCATACTGCCTCATGGGTGCCAATAGTTGAATTGTTAGGAATTTTGAGACAGGTTTTAAACAACCATTATTAAATATTATGTAAAGTTATATTAAAAACACAAATCAATAATACTCAAAACTCATCACTTCCTAATTATTTTTTACTACATTTTACTATTATCTGTGCTTTTGAGGTTATCTATCGTGCATCTTTTCCCAATTCCACATTCACCGATATCACAATTGGTAGCTTGAAAGTGGCCATGGTGGGGGTATGTACACCATGGAAATTGGCAAACACTATAAAATGGGGCTTTTTCTCCCATAGAGCTGGTTGTTAAATGTTTACCAACATACTACTGAGACAGCCAAGTGTAAAGAGGCTCCTGGAGAAACTCTGACCAGCCTGTGCACACTGGAGTAGAGCCACAGAAGTTCACACCCTTTACAGCAGGAGGAGCCTGGCCCCTCCTCTTCCTGGGTGGAACCTGGGATTCAATCTGTAAGGTGGGAAGCCTATATACTAGCAGGAGTCTCCCTCTGCTGACAGTCCCTGTTTCCCTTTTTTTTTCCTTTGTGACCAATAAATTCTACTTTTCTCACCCTTCAGAGTGTCTGCAAGCCTAACCTTTCATGGTCAGGTGACAAGAATCTTGTTTTTAGCTGAACTAAGAAGGAAGTCCTTCAACACTACTGTGCACAACCCAAATCCTCCTTCAAAGAAAGATCTCTTGCCCTGCGGGGAATGTGGTCAGCAGATGATCTTTAGCTATAGGTACCTTTAGGGATTCCTTACATGCAAAGAATCATCCTTCCAAGGTTGATGTACATCTCATGAATGACTGAAGTGGGAGTATAAAGGTCCAGTCATTTCAACCGAATGTAAGATACCTGAAAGATCATTTTAGCTCCAAAGGTCTCCATGAGGCTTTTGTTGGACTGTACTACTTCTTGACTTCTCCCTCTGCCAAAGTATGCTTTCTTTCCCTCTCTTTCCCAGTTGTTGGTCCCAAAAGCACCCTTTTCCGCACTAAACTCCATGTGAGTCTGCTTCTGGAGAACTCAAACTGCAAGAAAAAGGATAAGGAGGGTGTTAATGAGAAAATGTTCAGGTAGGGAGTGTTAAAAGAAAGGCTTTAGCCAAATTAAATTCAGAAGAATTTAATTGAGCAAAGAATGATTCATGAATTGTGCTGCCTCCCGAGCCAGAGTAGGCTCAGAGACTCCAGCACAGCCATGTGGTGGAAGATTTATGGACAGAAAACGGAAAGTGGCATACAGAAAATGGAAGTGAGGCACAGAAAAAGCCAAATTGGTTACAGCTCGGTGTTTGCCTAATTTGAACACAATTTGAATAGTTGGCCACCTTTGACTGGTCAAAACTTGGCACAAGAGTAGGCTACAATCTGTTTACAACTAACTCCATTTGGGTAATAGTTCATGATGTACAGAAAAACCTTTAGGCTGAACTTAAAATATGTAAGGAGGCAGCTTTAGGCTAAACTTGATTTAACAGGAGTGTTCTAGGGCATGGAAAACTATCTGAGCAATGTCTTGTATTGGAAGACAAAATAGCACAATTGAAGAAAGTACTAAAGGGCTAGTGGAACCCAGAGAGCAGGAAACAGCTTAATGTGAAATGAAACTGAAAAGGTAAGTTGGGGCAAAACCATGTAGGATGTTATTGGCCATGATAATGATTTGAGTTTGTCAAAAGGATAATGGAAAGCTACTGGAACGCAGGGGTGGAGTGTTATGCGGTGGGCAATGCATTGTGAGATTTGCATTTGGAAATATTACTATTACTATGGCAGAATGTGGAAAATAGATTAGATAAAAGGAAGTGTAAACTTGGAAGGTTAGCTAGGAGATGATTGTAGTGGTAAAGATGATGGCAGCCTAGACTTGATAGTGATGGAGATGAAAATTTTTGGATTGATTTGAGAAACATTTAGAAGGTAAAAAATGATGCAACCTGGTAATAGATTACAAGAAAGGGGAGGTGTTAAGGATGATAACTAAGTTTTTGATTTGCTAAACTGGATAAATGGCACCATCCAATGAGATAGAAGAGGATTAGGTTTGGGGGAAAGATCGTAAGTTTATTTTAGGACACAAAGAACTCGAGCTTCCTTTGAGACAATCAAATGCAGTATTCTGGAAGCCAAGGAAAGAGAATGTTTCAAGAAGAACAGAGAGATCAATTATGTTGAAAGCTGTATAGAAATGAGACAATATACAGCTGAAAGTATGTAGGCCCCTTATCTACAGTTTTGCTTTCCACAATTTCAGTTACCTGTGATCAACCACAGTCTGAAAATATTAAATGACAAATTCCAGAAATAAACAATTCATAAGAGTTTTTTTGTTTCTGTTTGTTTGTTTGTTTTTGAGACAGAGTCTTGCTCTGTCACCCAGGCTGGAGTACAACGGCAAGATCTTGGCTCACTGCAACCTCCACCTCCAGGGTTCAAGCAATTCTCCTGCCTCAGCCTCTCAAGTAGCTGGGATTACAGGTGCTTGCCACCATACCTGGCTAATTTTCTCTCTCTTTTTTTTTTTTTTTTGAGATGGAGTTTTGCCCTTGTTGCCCAGGCTGGATTGCAATGGCACGATCTCGGCTCACCACAACCTCAGCCTCCCGGGTTCAAGCAATTCTCCTGCCTCAGCCCCCTGAGTAGCTGGGATTACAGGCATGCACCACCACTCCCGGCTAATTTTGTATTTTTAGTAGAGACGGGGTTTCTCCATGTTGGTCAGGCTGGTCTTGAACTCCCAACTCAGGCGATCCACCCTTCTTGGCCTCCCAAAGTGCTGGGATTACAGGCGTGAGCCACTGTGCCTGGCCTGTTTTTTGTTTTTGTTTTTTTTTTAAGACAGAATCTTGTTCTGTCACCCAGGCTGGAGTGCAGTGTTATGATCTCAGCTCTCTGCAACCTCCACCTCCTGGACTCAGGTGATCCTCCCACCTCAGCCAGCCTCCCGCGTAACAGGGACTACAGGTGCACACCACCACCACCCCTGGCTAATTTTTGTATTTCTTGTAAAGACAAGGTTTTGCCATGTTGCCCAGGCTGGTCTCGAACTCCTGGGCTCAAGCGATCTGCCTGCCTAAGCCTCCAGGAGTGCTCGGATTATAAGCATAAGCCACCATGCCCAGGCAATTCATAAGTTTTAAATTGAGCACAATTCCAAGTAGCGTGATGAAATCTGACGCTGTCCCACTCCAGCCCAGCTGGGACATGAATTCTCCATTTGTCCAGCATAGCTGTACACAGTTCCTGTCCATGAGACACTTATTAGCCCTGTCCATTATCAGTTTGACTGTCACAGCATTGCAGTGCTTACATTCAAGTCACCCTTGCTTTACTTAAAAATGACCCCATTGCACCAGAGTAGTGGTGCTGGCAATTTGGAAATGCCAAAGAGAAGCCATAAAGTGCTTCCTTTAAGTGAAAAGTTGAAAGTTCTCAACTTAATAAGGAAAGAAAAAAATTGTATCCCAAGGTTGCTAAGATCTACAGTAAGAACAAATCTCTCTGTGAAATTGTGAATGGTATAACATTATAATTATTCCATTATTATTTATTGTTAATCTCTTACTTTGCCTAATTTATAAACTTTATCACAGATATTTACATATAGGAAAAAATATGGTATCTATAGGGTTTGGTACTCTCCGTGGTTTCAGACATCCACTGGGGGCTTGGAACATTTGCCCCACAGATAAGTGAGGACTACTGTGTCCTGCTGCTTCAGGGGAGTGATGAGTATAGAAGCCAGCTTGGAATGGGTTCAGAGTTGAACAGGAAGAAAGAAAAGAGAGGCACTTTTCCTTCTACCACAAAAACAACTGTAAGAAAAGTACTTATATTTGGCCTAAAAGAAAAATGTACCAGGCCCGGCCAGGCGCAGTAGCTCACGCCTGTAATCCCAGCACTTTGGGAGGCCAAGGCAGGTGGATCACCTGAGGTCAGGATTTCGAGACCAGCCTGACCCACATGGAGAAACTCTGTCTCTACTAAAAATACAAAATTAGCCAGGCTTGGCGGTGCATGCCTATAATCCCAGCTACTTGGGAAGGCTGAGACAGGAGAATCGCTTGAACCTGAGAGGTGGAGGTTGTGGTGAGCCAAGATTGCACCACTGCACTCCAGCCTGGGCAACAAGAGCAAAACTCCATTTCAAAAAAAAAAAAAAAAGTTTAAAAAAAGAAAAATGTACCAGGCCCAATGGCTCATGCCTATAATCCCAGGACTTTGGGAGGCCAAGACAGGAGGATTGCTTGAACCCAGGAGTTCAAGACCAGCCTGGCCAACATTGCAAGACTCCGTCTTTACAAAAAAAATACAAAAATTAGTCAGGCATGTGTAGCAGGACAAGCCACAGACAAAACCCCTCAGACACCAAGTTAAAGAAGGAAGGGCTTTATTCAGCCAGGAGCGTCGGCAAGACTCACATCTTAAAAACCGAGCTCAGGCCAGGCACGGTGGCTCACACCTGTAATCCCAGCACTTTGGGAGGCCAAGGCGTGCAGATCACGAGGTCAGGAGATGGAGACCATCCTGGCTAACACAGTGAAACCCCGTCTCTATTAAAAATACAAAAAAAATTAGCTGGGCGTGGTGGCGGGCACCTGTAGTCCCAGCTACTCGGGAGGCTGAGGCAGGAGAATGATGTGAACCCGGGAGGCATAGCTTGCAGTGAGCCGAGATCGCACCACTGCATTCCAGCCTCGGCAACAGAGCAGGACTCTGTCTCAAAAAAAAAAAAACAAAAAAAGAGCTCCCCAAGTGAGCAATTCCTGCCCCTTTTAAGGGCTTACAACTCTAAAGGGGTCCATGTGAGAGGGTTGTGATCGATTGAGCAAGCAGGGGGTACGTGACTGGGGGCTGTATGCACTGGTAATCAGAATGGAACAGATCAGGACAGGGATTTTCATGATGCTTTTCCATACAATGTCTGAAATCTATAGATAACATAACTGGTTAGGTCAGGGGTCGATCTTTAACCAGGCCCAGGGCGGGGCGCCGGGCTGTCTGCCTGTGGATTTCATTTCTGCCTTCTAGTTTTTACTTCTTTCTTTGGAGGCAGAAATTGGGCATAAGACAATATGAGGGGTGGTCTCCTCCCTTATTTCTCCCTTTGAGAACCTCACTCATTAGTGGGAGTTTTCACTTTTATCCTCACTACCCATGTCTTCTTGTAAGACAGATCGATAGTGATTCATATAGTACACTTGTGCTGAAGCATTTTGGTGAACTAAGGTAGCGATGAAGCTTTTTATCATTTGAAGAAGTACAGGTAGCAAACAAGGGAGCAGTAAGCAGGTTCCTACTACTATTATAACTCCCATTATAAGAGTTTTAAATCCTCCTAGTGCTGGGAACCATTTTCCAAACATGGCCCCAGGATCAAATCCATGCCACACTTGCATGGGCACATGTGCCAGTTTTGTCATATCTCTAACTATGTCTTTAACTACTTGCTCTTGGTCATCTATGTGTAGACAGCAATTAGTAAGGTTAAATTTCCTACAGACCCCTCCTTCAGCTGCTAGCAAGTAGTCGAGAGCCAATCTATTTTGATAGATTTCTCAATCTATCAAAATGCAATCTATTTGATAGCATTTCTCATCTGAGTTTCTTGCTGGGCCAGAATAGTCAAGGCTCTGCCGGTTTTGTTAGTGATTATTTCTAAGACAGCTTGTAACCGTATGATTCGGTTAAGCATGTAAATGGGGGTCTGGTATCCCCATGAGCCATCTTGTGCCCAAGTAGCAGGCCCATAATATTGTATGATTTTCTCAGGGGGCCATTTATCATCTTTTTAATTTCTTATAGCTATGCTTATCTTTTTGCAGGAAGCACAGATGGGGAAGCCCAGGAGTTCGCCTGTCTTTATGGGCAGTAGGAAGAAAGATGGTTTAATAGTGCCAATAACACAACTACCTGCCCACTCATCGGGTAATTTGGCATAAGCTCTATGCCTACATAACCAGTATAATCCAGTGGGGGCTGTCCAGTCCCAGTGGGACTCCAGGTGGGTCCACACAGTTTGCAACTTTGGGAATTTACAAAATGGATTCCTTTCTGTGTGATTTGAACTCCACCGAGTGACTTTTTGTGGTACCATTATACAGTTTCTGTCCCAGACAACTAAGTCGTCCTACGGGGTGAGTGAATTCTTTTCCTTTTCTAGCTCTACAATATTGTCCAATAATTGAGGTTTTTAGGACCCAGAAATTATCAGGGCGATTCTTTTGAGCCGGGAATTTATCAGGAACTGGGTCTGTAGGTACTAATTCTTGGGCTTCCCATGGCCATTGATCTCCCATTACAGTTTCTCTATATACATAACATGAAGTGACATTGAGAGACTGGGCTACATGCTCGGCTAATTGCAAAAACCAATTTCTTGTTTTTCCTGGAATTTCTGATACTGGCACATTTAGTTCATCATAGAAAGTTTGAAACAGTGGCTCAAGAGAGCGTTCGTAAACTTCTCCTCGAACTAAGATATTTACCTGAGGATCCAGTCTGACCCCATCAATTCCTAAGGTCACATGCTCCCCTTTTTTCCAGCACGGATCAAGGGGATTGGTTATTACTAGCTCTAAGGGGTTACATTGTCCCTCAGTAAAGTAAGGGCCATTTTTTCCTTTTTGAAGGTGGACTGGATCCTTTTTATTTTTTATCCAAGTGGCCCAAATGACACAAGACCAGTATCCACATTTATTTCCACACAGTCCTAATTCATGACAAATGTACTTATTTTCAGTCATATAGCCTTTTTCCCAATTAAAAGAGCCACATTCCCTTCCTAACTTATTGCTATTAATGACTTCTGGGTGGGGCCACAGAAGTGGTAGTTGGATCCAGGTGGAGCTATGGTCCATCTGGACCCATCAGTCTTCAGATATGCCACACAAAAAAAAAAAAAAAAAAAAAAAAACAGAAAAAAAACTGAAAAGATGTCTCAAAAGGCCAATCTTAGGTTCTACAAGAGTGATGTTATCTGCAGGAGTAATTAGGTAAGTTGTGACCTCTGGAATACTGTCTAGCGCTCCTTGATGTCTACGCCTTAGCAGAATTCAGGCTCCTCTCATTCTCCTAGCCTGATGGTCTCTCAATAGCTTTACAAAGGTAATTGAGTTTGGGGGAAGGGCCATTATCATTTAAACTATAAATGTCTCCCAAAGTTAGCTTGGCCCAAGCCCAAGAATGATTAAGGGCAGTTTGAAAGCTAAAGGCAAGACAGGGTTTGATTAGATCAGATCTCTTTTGCCATAATTTTCTCACTGTTATAATTTTGCAAAGGTGGTTTCAACAATAAAGTTCCAGTAGACAGACTGTGATACCTCGTTTTTTTTTATGCTACTAAAGGTCTTTGTGTGTATTCAAATTAGAGTATTGTAAATTAATTATAATTTATACTGCTCAAAACCCGATTTTCATCTCCAAATCATCCCCAAATTTCCCAGAGTAATAATAATATTTAACATCTATTGAGTGACATTTTATACTATTCATAGTGCTACAGGAAAGGGGTCCAGATCCAGACCTCAAGACAGGGTTCTTGGAGCTCATGAAAGAAAGAATTCAGGGCCAGGCTTGGTGGCTCACGCCTGTAATCCCAGCACTTTGGGAGGCCGAGGCAGGTGGATCACCCAAGATCAGGAGTTCGAGACCAGCCTGACCAACATGGAGAAACCCTGTCTCTACTAAAAATACAAAATTAGCTGGGTGTGGTGGCGCATGCCTGTAGTCCCAGCTACTGGGGAGGCTGAGGTAGGAGAATCGCTTGAACCTGGGAGGTGGAGGTTGCAGTGAGCCGAGATCATGCCATTGCACTCCAGCCTGGGCAACAAGAGCAAAACTCCGTGTCCAAATAAAAAAAAAATTCAGGGCAAGTCCATAAAGTGAAAGCAAGTTTATTAGGAAAGTAAAGGAATAAAGAATAAAGAATGGCTACCCCCATAGACATCTCTTAGAATGTCTTAACTGTCTGGGAATACAGCCCAGTAGGTCTCAGCCTTATTTTACCCAGCTCCTATTCAAGATGGAGTTGCCCCGGTTCAAACGCCTCTGACAACAGTTCTGTTAGTCCAAACTGCACCATTTTGTAAGCTCCCCACTAATTTTGCAGACCTTGGTCAAAGTGAAACATTTCACAGGGGTTCGGGGCTGTAAGAAACATCCTGTCTAACCACTTGACCACAAGGCAGACAAAGGCCCAAATAAAGAAACATCCCTATCATATCTTGCTGGGCAAAGTTCCAAGGAATACCATGATGACATCTGCCAGAACAAGGGCCAGAACTGCCTCATCACAGGAACATCTTATCAATATCCTGCCAGGCAGCAAGCCATACTGCCCAGACCCTTACCGCCCATACCTATAAATACCCCCAGCCTATAAGCAGTGGTGGGCTCTGGCATTAAGCTGGTCCCCCACATCTGTAGGTTTTATGCTGGACATAAAGCCTGCATTTACTGTCGAGCCGCCCTCTTTCTGTGTGTGTGTGTGTGTGTGTGTGTGTGTGTGTGTGTGTGTGTGTGTGTCTTTCTTTAACCCTCCTGTTCCCTTCAAAACCTAGCAAGTTCTAGAGACTTTTCACTTATTAACACATGTATAATCCTCCCAACAACCCTACAATATAAATATTACTATTCCTACTTTGCATATAAAAAAAAAACTGTGGCGCAGAAAGGCCAACTAACTGACCCAAGATCCCACAATTACTAAGTGGCAGAGTTGGGATTCAAACCAAGACTGACACAGGAACCCACATTCCTAAATTTTTAGCAACAGAAAAATAACCTTTATAATACCCAGTCCTACTTGTCAGAGGCGTTTGACCCAGAGTGCCTCCATCTTGAATAGGGGCTGGGTAAAACAAGGGGGAGACTTACTCGGCTGCATTCCCAGGAGGTTGGGCATTCTTATTACTATTATTATTTTTTTTTTTTTGAGACGGAGTTTCACTCTTGTTGCCCAGGCTGGAGTGCAATGGCGCGATCTTGGCTCACTGCAACCTCCATCTCCGGGTTCAAGCCATTCTCCTCCTCAGCCTCCCGAGTAGCTGGGAGTACAGGCATGCACCACCCCACCCGACTAATTTTGTATTTTTAGTAGAGACAGGGTTTCGCCATGTTGGTCAGGCTGGTCTCAAACTCCTGACCTCAGGTGATCCACCCGCCTCAGCCTCCCAACTGCTGGGATTACAGGCATGAGCCACTGTGCCCTCTGCCTATGGAGTAGCCATTCTTTTATTCCTTTACTTTTTTAATAAACTTGCTTTCACTTTACTGTATGGACTTGCCTCGAATTCTTTCTTGCGTGAGATCCAAGCTCTCCTGGGGTCTGGATGGGGACCCCCTTTTCAGGTAACACTACCTGACCTGTTTTTACAGATGTGCCTGGATTACACAGTTTCACAGGCAGAATTTAAAGAAAATCAACGCTTTCCTTTTCAAAAAGGAGACAAAACAGTTTGCAGCAACACTTAACAAAATCCTCTTCCTTCTCCTATGTTCTGTCCTCACACAGTTGGATTCCAGGGCCTCTAGCAACAACGGTTACCAGTACTCCAGGCCCCACACAAAAAGCCACAAAAGCAGTCACCTTCCTCCGTTACTTTATTTGATAGATGACCCCAGGCTCCCTGTGGCAAAGAAGAATCCTTTCTTTTTCTTTCTTTTTTTTTTTTTTTCCAGAGACGGTCTTGCTCTGTTGCCCAGGCTGGAGCACAGTAGCATGATCATGCCTTATTGCAACCTTGACCTCCCACGTTCAAGCGATCCTTCCGCCTCTCCCTCCTGAGTGGCTGGGACCACAGGCATATGCCACGCCTGGCTAATTGTTTTTGTATTTTTGATAGAGACAGGGTTTTGCCATGTTGCCCAGGATAAGAATGTTTCTTTAGAAATCTGGAAATTGCCTTTAGGTTCCCTTAGGAGTAGGAGAGAAGGCCATGAAGTTTCGCACGTGGTCACTCCTAGAAAATTGCCCTGGGATAGTTTGCTGAGGAGGCAAATTTTGGTCAATACTAGTTTCTCCTCTCCAAAGTCCATCAAAGGCATTGTTCAAAAGAAATGGCCGTACCACTATTTGTAATTGATTCTCTACAGCTTCAAAAATAGTTATCTCTGGTTGGGGGAAGGGCACGTGAACTTTTAAGACTTCGGGCCTTCTCATCACAAAAATGATCCATACTCACAAAAACTTAGAGGCAGAGGGTATGTTAACCTAGATTAAGAATCTCTAGGCCGAGTGCGGTGGCTCACTCCTGTAATCGCAGCACTTTGGGAGGCCGAGGTGGGTGGATCACCTGAGGTCAGGAGTTCGAGACCAGCCTGACCAACATGGAGAAACCCCGTCTCTACTAAAAATACAAAATTAGCCAGGTGTGGTGGCACATGCCTGTAATCCCAGCTACTTGGGAGACTGAGGCAGGAGAATCGCTTGAACCTGGGAGGTGGAAGTTGCCGTGAGCCGAGATCGCGCCATTGCACTCCAGCCTGGGCAACAGGAGCGAAACTCCATCTCAAAACAAAAAAAAAAAGAATCCCTAACGCAGAGGAAAAGATTGGTGAGCTTTGTTTAATCACACACGCTGTACATTTTCCACGCCCTCCCCCTCTGCCCTACAGGAATCCGCTGTACTTCTGACGGCCCATAGGTGGCACTGTAGGGACAGGTAAGTGCACAGGGAGCGCCACCCGGAGAGGCTGATAGGAGGCGGAGCTTCAATGCGACACAACGTGGCGGGAGGAGCCTAAGGGACGAGGAAAGGCGAGTGTTCTGCTTGCGCAGACGCAAGGCTGGGCACTCCCCCGGGAGTGAGGGTTGCTGGGCCTGATGACGTGGCTTGGCAACGTCCCTACCGCCGCTGCTTCCCGGGAACCTGGCGCCGCCGGAACTGATCGCGGCCTAGTCCCGACGCGTGTGTGCTAGTGAGCCGGAGCCGGCGACGGCGGCAGTGGCGGCCCGGCCTGCAGGAGCCCGACGGGGTCTCTGCCATGGGGGAGTGACGCGCCTGCACCCGCTGTTCCGCGGCAGCGGCGAGACATGAGGAGACCCCGCGACAGGGGCAGCGGCGGCGGCTCGTGAGCCCCGGGATGGAGGAGAAATACGGCGGGGACGTGCTGGCCGGCCCCGGCGGCGGCGGCGGCCTTGGGCCGGTGGACGTACCCAGCGCTCGGTAAGGGACCGATCCGGAAGGCAGCGACCGGCCGGGTCGCTCAGGATGCACTTTCTCCGGCCTCCCTCCGGTCTCCGCTGACAGCCCGGGACGTCCCGGGGTCGGCGCGCCCTCTCCCCCTGCCTGCCTCCCTGCGCGCAGGCTGCCTCCGGGCTCCCCGGGCTCTTCGGGTGCCTGCTGCAGAAGGAAGGCGCTAAAGCCAAAAAGCTTCTGCTTGAATTTCTGGGTTACAAGGCAGACAGTCAGTCTTAGAACTGCCCGCCAGTTCACGTGAGAGGTTTTTCTGATCTGTGAGAAGCCTTTCTCTTGGCTGTTTCTCCCTGAAATAGTCTGGCGACTACTTAACCTTTCTGACGTTTCCCTGCATAAATTAGGGGAAGGTGTCACCATCAGCTCTCTTCAGGCGACGAAACCAAAGTACATACGTGAACTTGGATGTTCAGGGGAACTTGGATGTTCAGATTAACTGAGCACATCGAGGGTCCAGCCCCGTTTTCTTTTTTTATTTTGTTCTTAAATAAGAAATGTGTCCTCGTTGTCAAAAAAAAATCTAAACAGCAAAGCAATTCATAGAGTAAAAAGTGAAAATTCCCACTTCCTCTCTTCAATTCTCCCACCAACCCGAAAAGTAAGGGACCAACAGGTGCAGCGACCACTTTCTAGTGTATCCTTCCTAAGTTCTGAGATAGTGTCGAAAATGCACAAAATACAGCCCTGCAATTTGGCTGGAACTGGTGTTCTTTGCCTCCATTTTTAACGAGTTCTTCCCATTCTGGAATAAATACTTCTTTGATATTTAAAGAAAGTGATAAATGTGATAAATTCTTTAGAACTGTAGTAATAGCATTATAACGTAACTTTTTTTTTTTTTTTTTTTTTTGAGACGGAGTTTCGCTCTTGTTCCCAGGCTGGAGTGCAATGGCGCGATCTCGGCTCACGACAACCTCCGCTTCCCGGGTTCAAAAGATTCTCCTGCCTCAGCCTCCCGAGGAGCTGGGATTATAGACATACTCCACCACGCCTGGCTAATGTTTTGTATTTTTAGTAGAGACGAGGTTTCTCCATGTTGGTGTGGCTGGTCTTGAGCTCCCGACCTCGTGATCGGCCTGCCTCGGTCTTCCAAAGTGCCGGGATTACAGGCATGAGCCACCGCGCCCGCCCAACATAAGCATTTGTTATGAAAAGGGAAGAACACCACATAGGACAGAACTTAAACCAACTGCATTTTTGTAGCATAAATTTAATTTTCTAATCTATTTTGAGCATCTCATTTTGTAAATAACAGCATATCAGATGTTAATTCTTGAGACATGACAACTAAATGCAATAGGCAATTCTGGTCTGATTTGGTAGTAGGGGAAAAGTGCTTTAAAGGATGTTACTGGGTCAATTGACAAAACTGGACTATGGACAGTAGATTAAATAAAAGTTTCATATCAGGCCGGTCGCAGTGGCTCACACCTGTAATCCCAACACTTTGGGAGGCCAAGGCAGGTGGATCATCTGAGGTCAGGGGTTCGAGACCAGCCTGGCCAACATGGTGAGACCCCATCTCTACTAAAAATACCAAAAAAAAAAAAAAAATTAGTTGGACGTGGTATGCGCCTGTAATCCCAGCCACTCAGGAAGTTGAGGCAGGAGAATGGCTTGAACCCAGGAGGCAGAGGTTGCAGTGAGCCGAGATCGCACCACTGCACTCCAGCCTGGGTGACAGAGCGAGACTCTGTCTCAAAAAAAAGCATATCACTTAAATTTCCTGAAGTAGACAGCTCTGCTGGTTTTATAAGAGAATGTCCACGTTCTTGGGAAAAACAAGTATTTAAGGATAAAGAAGCATGAAGTATGTAACTTACTCTCAAATAGTCCAGGGGAAAAAAATACCTCTGTGTGTGCATTCAGAGGGAGAGAGAATAATAAAACACAGGACGATACATTAACAATTACAGAGTCCAGGTAAAGGATATACTACTCTTGTAACTTTTACGTAAACTGGAAATTATTTTTAAATGAGTAGTTTAAAAGTGCTGTTTATTCAAGAGTGTAAAGAGTGTATTGTCTCAGGTAGGGAAATGTGGTAAACAATCCTTTGCTATTTTATTTGTACTACTTACTTAGCAGAGTTGCCCTTCTATTGTAGTTTATTGCAGAATCAAATTCAACTCCTGACTGGTTGAATTTTGATGGATTCCAGGTTGCAAGAGTAAAGGAAGGATGAGGTCCTGGACGGAAAATGTGGAAATTAAAAAGAAGTTTCCCCTCTTAACTCTGCTTACCATTCTCTCATTTAACTCCAATATCCCAAAAGCCAGGCTTCAACCTTCCAGAAGGACCCTTCTGGAAAACTTACCAAATCTCCAGCAATTGTCTAGGTATAAAGTAAACGTAGGCTAAAGCAGGAGGATCACTTGAGCCCTAGAGTTTGAGACCAGCCCTAGTAACACAGTGAGACCCCTGTCTCTACAAAATATAAAAATTAGCCAGGCACAGTGGCAGTGCCTATAGTTCCAGCTACTTGGGAGGCTAAGGCAGAAGGATCACTTGAGCCTGGGAGGTCAAGGCTGCAGTGAGCTATGATCCTATAAGTGCACTGCAGCCTGGGTGACAGTGCAAAACCCTGCCCCGCCTTTCCCCTCCAAAAAAAAACCCCAAAAAAACCCCCACAAAAAACCAACAACAACAAAAAAAAAGTAAATGTATATGTACTAGAAAAAAACAGAACACAAAAAACACCCTTAGAGATTTTAGTTGTTTCTTCCCTTCCTCTCTTTTTCTTTTTTTTTTTTTTTTTTTTTTTTGAGGCGGAGTCTCGCTATGTCGCCCAGGCTGGAGTGCAGTGGCGCGATCTCGGCTCACTGCAAGCTCCGCCTCCCGGATTCGCACCATTCTCCTGCCTCAGCCTCCCGAGTAGCTGGGACTACAGACGCCCACCACCGCGCCGGGCTAATTTTTTGTATTTTTAGTAGAGACGGGGTTTCACCGTGTTAGCCAGGATGGTCTCGATCTCCTGACCTCGTGATCCGCCCGCCTGGGCCTCCCAAAGTGTTGGGATTACAGGCGTGAGCCACTGCGCCCTGCTCTTTCTTCTCTTTTTCTTTCCTTCCCTTCCTTCATTCCTTCCTTTCTTCCCCTTCCCTTTCTTTTCTTTCTGACAAGTTCAGTTCCTCTGTTGCCCAGGATGGAGTGCAGTAAAATAATCATGGCTCACTGCAATCTCAAACTCCTGGGCTTAAGCAATCCTTCCACCTCAGCCTCCCCAGTATGTGAGATTGCAGATGTGCACCATCATGCCCAGTTCATTCTTTAATTTTTAGTAGAGATGAGGTCCCAGTATGTGAGATTGCAGATGTGCACCATCATGCCCAGTTCATTCTTTAATTTTTAGTAGAGATGAGGTCTTGCTATGTTGCCCAGGTTGATCTCGAACTTCTGGGCTCAAGCAGTCGTCCCACCTCAGCCTCCCAAAGTGCTGGGATTACAGGCATGAGCTACCATGCCTGGCCTGGATTCTTTGATTTTTAAAGTTCCAATTAATGAACTGTTGGGCTAAAGATGAAAAACCAGGCTAAGTAACCTATATTGATAAGCAGACATTCCTAGTTCATGTTATGAAGGAAAAACAATGGCGTCGATTTATCAGGACGTGGAGACGGGAGAGGAGAGGAGAGGGAGGCTAATTTTTAAAAACTTTTTGGAGAGACGGGGTCTCGCTGTATTGCCCAGGTTGGTCTTGAACTCCTGGACTCAAGTAATCATTCTGCCTAGGCTTCCCAGGCATGAGCCACCATGCCTGGCCCATCCCCCCACACCCCCAATTTATAAACCATTATTTCCCATTAACTAGTCTTGTCAAAGGTTATCACTGGACTTTTCTGTGAAGGTTTAGAAAATTCCCTGGTTCTCGCCAGGCGCGGTGGCTCATGCCTGTAATCCTAGCACTTTGTTTGGGAGGCCAAGGTGGGTGGATCACCTGAGGTCAGAAGTATGAGACCAGCCTGGCCAACCAGCATGGCAAAAACCCATCTACTAAAAATACAAAAATTAGCCTGACATGGTGGCAGGCACCTGTAATCCCAGCTACTCAGGAGGCTGAGGCAGGAGAATTGCTTGAACCCGGGGGTTCAATCAAAGAAAATTCCCTGGTTCTCTAAACATGGAATTACTGAAATCTGGATTTAGGTTCAAACCTGCCTCTTGGGCTTTGCCTACTGCAGTAGCTCAACAGTTCTCTGGCTAAAAAATAAAAATCAGTGTGTAATTCAAGTTCAATTCATTTAATAAATACTCAAGTATCTACTATGTAGAAGGCACTATACATGGGGTTTTAAACAACTCGGACTACCAGCTTATTTATTAGTTGTGTGACCTTGGGCAAATTACTTTTCTACGACTCAGTTTTGTGAAACAAGGATACCACTTCTTAGTTTGTAGGACTGTTGTAAGAATTAAATGAAATGATATATTCAAAGCACTTGGAACATAGCAGGTGCTCAACAAATGTTAACTGTGACCCTCTGCCCTTCCCCGCAAAGAGGACTTAAACCAAAATAAACCTTTGTTTAAAATAATCCATATTTGTGAATTTAGGCATAAAAATACCCACAATTAAAGGACTTGTCAACTAGTTTTTGTTGCAGATTATAACTAGTATTTGATTTTTGGTCTGTATAAAGTAAAACTCTTGCAACCTGGAATCCATCAAAATTCAACCAGTCCTGAGTTGCATTTGATTGATTCTGCAATAAACTACAATAGAAGGGTAACTCTGCTAAGTAAATAGTACAAATAAAATAGCAAAGGATTGTTTACCACATTTCCCTACCTGAGACAATACACTCTTGAATAAATAACACTTTTAAACTACTCATTTAAAAATAATTTCCTGTTTACCTAAAAGTCACAAGAGTAGTATATTCTTTACCTGGACTCCGTAATTGTTAATGTATCGTCCTGTGTAATTTATTATTCTCTCTGAATGCACACACACAGGTATTTTTTTCCCCTGGACTATTTGAGAATAAGTTACATAATTCATGCTTCTTTATCCTTAAATCCTTGTTTTTCCTAAAAACATGGACATTCTCTTATAAAGCCAGCAGAGTTGTCTACTTCAGGAAATTTAAGTGACCTCGCCAGAGGCTAAGACTCGTGACTCCTATAGTGGTTGAGGAGAGATAGTTGCCTGCCTGCTGGGTGGGAACCTGGGGATCTGATTACTTGGAAGACTTCCTAGAGATCCTCGTCTTTTCAGCTTCTCATTCCCCTCCTGAGGTGTTTCCAATTCCTGAGCCTTTTTAGGACTCTAGGTCCAGTCAATTGACCTTTCAACCACAACTCTCACTGTAGTCACTTAACAAGGCCAAGGAGGCGCAAACCAAAGGCATTTACCATTCTTCCGTTTCTTCCTATATTGTGGTCTTTTCATTTCATAACAGAATTTAGTTTTTATTTTGTTCTCCTTATTTGTTTGGAGGAGTTATTAAGTTAGAAAGCAGATAACAAAATAGTCCAGCAACTCGATCAACAAAATTTTCATTTTTCATTGGGCATCTTTTGTTAAAGTAAACTGTATCTATACATAATCATTCATATACATTGAAAAGAAACCAGAAGTATGTATACCAAAATGTTGTGGTTGGTTGGTTCGTTTTGAGACAGAGTCTCGCTCTGTTACCTAGGCTGAAGTGCAGTGGTGCAATTTCGACTCACTGCAACCTCTGCCTCCCGGGTTCAAGCGATTCTCTTGCCTCAGCCTCCCAGGTGGCTGGAATTACAGGCACCCGCCACCACGCCCAGCTAATTTTTGTATTTTAGTAGAGGTGAGTTTTCGCCATGTTGGCCAGGCTGGTCTTGAGTTCCAGACTTCAGGTGATCCACCCACTTCAGCCTCCCAAAGTGCTGGGATTACAGGCATGAGCGCCCAGCCTGTTTGTATTTTGAGACAGGGTCTCACTCTGTCGCCCAGGCTGGAGTGCAGTGACACGAACACAGCTCACTGCAACCTCAACCTCCCACCTTAGCCTCCCGAGTGGCTGAGACTGCTACCACGCACCATAATGCCTGGCTAATTCTTTGTATTTTTTGTAGAGATAGGCTTTTGCCACGTTGCGGAGGCTGGTCTCAAGCTACTGCACCTGGCCTCAAAATGTTAACAGTAGGGCGCGGTGGCTCACACCTGTAATCCTAGCACTTTGGGAGACCAAGGCTGGAGGATCGCTTGACCAAAGGAGTTCGAGACCAGCCTGGGCAACACATTGAGACCCCGTCTCTATGAGTTAAAAAAAAAAAAAAAAAAAAGTCAACAGTAGTTATCACGTGGATGGTGAGTTGTTTGGGGACTCTGTTTTGTTTCATTTTGTGTTTATGTATATTTCTGTGGTTTCTGTAATGACCTCTTGTTTAAAAAACCAGATTGATGAGCTGCTTGTAATTTCAGTGATACTAAAAATTGTTTCTGCTTTTATTTTTCAGATTAACAAAATATATTGTGTTACTATGTTTCACTAAATTTTTGAAGGCTGTGGGACTTTTCGAATCATATGATCTCCTAAAAGCTGTTCACATTGTTCAGTTCATTTTTATATTAAAACTTGGGTGAGTGTGGGGGGGGGTTTTTTCTTGATATTTTTTATTTCTTTGAAAATCCTGTTTTAACAGAGTATCTTTAAGAAACTTTACATACAATATTTTGTTTGTTCCTCCTGACAAGTATTTGATAAACTTTTTTAACTGGGAGTATACTTAAGATTAGAGGTACAAAGAGACTGAAAAGAAAACGGATTGTTGTGCTCTAATCACTTGCCTAAACACAAACTTTGATGAGATTTTTGCAAATTTAGTTTTTGGGCTATTTATTATTATTATTATTCACTGCATAATCCTTTCTTAGTACAGAGTCCTCATGTAGTGTGAACATTAATTTATTCTACTTATACGAAATGCTTTTTTTTTTTCTTTTTTGAGACACAGTCTCACTCTGTCACCAGGCTGGAGTGCAGTGGCGTGATCTTGGCTCACTGCAAGATCACTGCCTCCTATGTTCAAGCGATTCTCCTGCCTCAGCCTCCCGAGTAGCTGGGACTACAGGCGCTCACCACCATGCCCAGCTAATTTTTGTATTTTTAATAGAGACAGGGTTTCACCATGTTGGCCAGGATGGTCTCAATCTCTTGACCTTGTGATCTGCCCGCCTCAGCCTCCCAAAGTGCTGGGATTACAGGCATGAGCCACCACGCCTGGCCTACATATAAGAAATTCTAAATAAAGATTTCTTGGACCTTGAGATTGATAGTGACCACCCTCTGTGTTAATAAAAACCTGTTAAAGACTCTTGGGAGTCAGCTGGGCACGGTGGCTCATGCCTGTAATCCCAGCACTTTGGGAGGCGGAGGCAGGTGGATCGCCTGAGGTCAGGAGTTGGAGACCAGCCTGGCCAACATGTCGAAAGCCTGTCTCTACTAAAGATACAAAAATTAGCCAAGCGTGGTGGCATGTGCCTGTAATCCCAGCTACAAGGGGTGCTGAGGCAGGAGGATTGCTTGAACCTGGGAGGCAGCGGTTGCAGTGAGCTGAGATCATGCCACTGCACTCCAGCCTGGGCAACAGAGCGAGACTCCATTTAAAAAAAAAAACAAAAACAACACTCTTCGAAGTATAATTTTGGTAAGTTGGGAAAGAGATTATTGACTAGGAAATATTAAGCACCAGTGACGTGCTTTTTTTTTTTTTTTTTTTTTTTGAGACAGTCTGGCTAGGTTGCGCAGGCTGGAGTGCAGTGGCTCAATCTCAACTCACTGCAGCCTCTGCCTCCAGGGTTCAAGCAATTCTGTCTCAGCCTCCTGAGTAGCTAGGATTACAGGTGTGTCCCACCATGGCCAGCTAATTTTTGTATTTTTTTTAGTAGACACGGGGTTTTGCCATGTTGGCCAGGCTGGTCTCCAACTCCTGACCTCAGGTGATCCGCCCACCTCGGCCACCCAAAGTGCTGGGATTACAAGCTTGAGCCACTGTGCCTGGCCAAGTTGTGTGCATTTTTATATAACTATTTTGGCAATGTGAAAGGTAGGGATATATAATTAGTAATTTCTTCATTTTCATTATACTATTTCAAGATTTATTACTGAATTTTAGAGAAAATAGGAATTCTCTTCTTTGATATTTTAAGATATAAAAAAAATTGTGACTCCTTTATTTTTGTGGCTTGTTAGCTGGTTCTGAAGACAGTTAGAAAATAAGAGTTCTCGGCCAGGTGTGATAGCTCATGCCTGTTTTCCCAGCAGTTTGGGAGGCCGAGGCAGGCGGATCACCTGAAGTCAGGAGTTCGAGACCAGCCTGGCCAACGTGTTGAAACACCATCTCTACTAAAAATACGAAAAATTGGCTGGGCGTGGTGGCGCACACCTGTAATCCCTGCTACTCAGGAGGCTGAGGCAGGAGAATTGCTTGAACCCGGGAGGCAGAGGTTGCAGTGAGCCAAGATCGTGCCACTGCACTCCAGCCTGGTGACAGAGCAAGACTCCATCTCAAAAAAAAAAAAAAAAAAGTTATCAAAATATTGCAATAGGAGTTTTACTAAAATAAGTATAATTAATTCTCCAGTATGATTTATTCAGAGGATAACACTTCAAGTTCTGGCATATTTGTTTAAAATAAGTGTCTTTACTTAAAACTGTATCTTGTGTTTAATATGGATTAATATTAATATATTAATGTTTCAATATTTACAGGACTGCATTTTTTATGGTTTTGTTTCAAAAGCCATTTTCTTCTGGGAAAACTATTACCAAACACCAGGTAAGATTTTTGCAGAATCTTTTATTCCTAGCAGCTTCTCGTTTAGTGGGCCAGGAGGCAATGCTTATTTTTTATAATGGGTACTTAATGAATGATTTAAGTATGCCACAGAACAATTTTAGAGTTAACTTGCTCTTGTCTTTTCAGAATGGAGACTTTAAATCATAAAGTACTAAGATCATGGAATGTTTTTAAAAAAAACAAGAGGGTAAAAAAAATTATAAAGCATTCATGTAATTGTTTTCTTCAGTACACACTTCTTATTCTGAAAGATTTACAAATTGGACATGAAAGCATGCCCAAGAGCCTAGTACAAATGTCACTGGAAAGCTGACAAAGCATAGGGGTTAAGAGTGTGATTTCTGGAGTCAGACAAAGTCATGTTCTGTCTGTCCTCCTTACTGACCCTTACTTTGGGCAAGTTACTTGATTTCTCTCTACCTTAATTTGCTCACTGTAAAATGGAGATAACAGTAACTTCCTAACAGAACTGTGAGGAAAAATGAATTAATACTTATGAAGTTCTTAGAATGATGCCTCATCATCATTGTGACAATGTGACACCCTCATGATCATTGTCACTGTTCTCTTTAGGCAGCTGTGATTCAAACTAGAAATGTCCTACATTTTGCATAATCATCTCACATCGTCACTTCTTTGGGCAGCAGTTATACCATAGTACATGTTTGCTTTATGCCATGACTTACAAACCTGCGTCATAATTTTTTTATTAGAAAGACGAATTTAAGTACTTCTGTTTCAGAGACCAAGAACATTTTTTAAAATATGATTAATAGTCTAAACCCCATTTTAACTTTTTTCTCTCCTTTCAGATAATTGGATCACTAAAAATTCCTGGTAGAAAAGAATTTAAAGACAAAAAGTTAAATGATCCTAGGAAACTAGTGGGAAACTGAGAAATCATAAAATTGTACTCTGAAGAAAAAGATTTCAAAATCTACCAGCAGACAAGAATATAGATAATGGAAAACAGAATACTGTCCTTTTTTTTTTTCTTTCTTTTTTTGAGAAAGAGTCTTGCTCCATCGCCCAGGCTGCAGTGCAGTGACACGATCTTGTCTCACTGCAACCTCTGCCTCCCGGGTTCAAGCGATTCTCCTGCCTCAGCCTCCTGAGTAGCTGGAATTACAGGCACCCACCACCACACCCAGCTCATTTTTGTATTTTTAGTAGAGACGGGGCTTCATTCACCACATTGGCCAGCCTGGTCTTGAACTCCTGACCTCAGGTGATCTGCCTGCCTCGGCCTCACAAAGTGCTAGGATTACAGGCATGAGCCACAGCACCCGGCCCAGAATAAGAATACTGTCTTGGAAATCTAGACTTAGTCAAGGGATCTTATGTTTTCTATTTACAAAATATGTAATGATTTCACCTTTAAAATATTTGTTATTATTATCTTTCTGTATTTTATTTAAAATTTGGATATATAGCAAAATATATGTGACTGAAATTTTTAATTTTTTTGTTTCCATTTATAGTGGATCAAAATATTTAAACATGCAGTTGCTGGGTGTATTATTTCACTCTTGTGGTTTTTTGGCCTCACTCTTTGTGGACCACTAAGGTAAATAAAAATGCATATTTTGAATGTGTGTTTGTATTTCTTCATTTTGAATATTATTTTTGTTCCACTGTGTTTTACGTCAAATATTTATCTGTACAAATGTGTCTAGCACTTTTATAGCATCAGAGAGAATTCAACAGATAGAACAAACCTGTTTAGTTTCTGGACTAGTTCTTTAGTGAATACCATTAATATATTTATTCATGATTTGTCATAGATATTTTACTAGTTAGAATTCCAAGTTTCAGAAAATTTTTAGCATAAACGGCTTTTTAATCATTTATTCATGATCCCTGTTAACAGCTTAGAAGCTATAATAAAAGGTCTGAAGTGGTAAATAAAATTAGCCAATAAGAAGGAGAACAAAAATCTCTAAAAGCACTCATTTTTTGCACAATTTTGCAAATACTCTCATAAATAAATGTCTCAGAAGTAGTATATCAATTATCAGATTAAATGCGTGGTGGATAAAGTAAACTACTCCCATTTCATATTTCCCTAGATCTATATAGATTAGTCTTTTTCTGCAAGTGGACTGGTTTAAGGAGGAAATGCTTAGGGACCATTGATAGGAATTGTATCATGCAGCTGTGTATGAGCATTCTTTTAACATTTCCCCATCTGTAAAGGATTTTACTTAGTGAATAAGTGTAAGAAAAAATGCCTTGCCGTGAGAATGAGAGGTAAGGAGTGAAATGAAGAATGTTCTTGGCCAGCACTGTGGCTCACGCCTGTAATGCTAGCACTTTGGGAGGCCAAGGGGTGGATCATTTGAAGTTACGAGTTGGAGACCACCCTAGCCAACATAGCAAAACCCCGCCTTTATTAAAAAATATACAAAAATTAGCCAGAAATCACTTGAACTCAGGAGGCGAAGGTTGCAGTGAGCCGAGATCACGCCACTGCACTGCAGGCTGGGCAACAGAGCGAGACTCCGTCTCAAAAAAAAAAAGAATGTTCTAAAGCAGAGAGATCCCCCACCCCCTGGCTATAGACCAGTATGGGTTCATAACTCATTAGGAACCAGGCCACAGAGCAGGAGGTGAGCCACGGGGGAGCAAGCATTACTGCGTGAGCTCTACCTCCTGTCAGATCAGCAATGGCATTAGATTCTCATGGGAGCAGGAACCCTGTTGTGAACTGTGCATGGGAGGGATATCTAGGTTGCATGCTCCTTATGAGAATCTAATGTCTGATGATCTGAGGTGGAACAGTTATGTCCTAAAACATCCCCCCACCACTGCTGTCTGGAAAAATTGTCTTCCAGGAAACCAGACCCTGGTGCCAAAAAGGTTGGGGACCACTGTTCTAAAGGATCTCACTCAGAATAGTGGGGTAGACAGAGTGGAAAGTGAAGGGTGAGAAATGTGGAAATGCTTTGTGAAAAGTCCTTTCCCCTCTCATGGCCAATAGAATAGCTTCTGGATTGGGATCCCTTTGACTTGTTTGTCATGTACTTTGTCAGATGCAGAGTAGGTATAATTGGAAATGTCATATCTCTAGCCACAGTAGCAGCTGCAGCTTGGAGGGCTGAGAAAGCTAGCTGAATTTCCTAGCTTGGGAAGAGGTTTTTCACCGTATGCTTGAATATGATTGAGTGCTGCTATTGCTTATCATCTGTAATATTTTAAATTTGTTATTCATGAAATTATGTTTTGGTTCCTGTGTTACTATATCACTGTCCTTTTGTGTTACAATAAGGAGGGAAAGAGGAAGTACTTACATCTTTACTTGGTTCCCTATTTAGTCATCTAGCTCCTGACCTTATCACTACCAACACTGCCCTCTCATTCTTCTACTAAAACCATTATGCAGTTTCTCAATTGCAAAAATTTTAATCCCAGCACTTTGGGAAGCCGAGGTGGGCAGATAGCTTGAGCCCAGAAGTTCGAGACCAGCCTGGACAACATGGCAAAATCCCATCTCTACAAAAAATTAGCCAGGCATGGTGCTGCGTGCCTGTAATCCCAGCTACCTAGAAGGCTGAGGTGGAAGAGATCACCTGACCTCAGGAGGTAGAAGCTTAACCTTAGCATACTTTACTCTTTTGTAAAAACAGCTTAAAACATAAACACATTGTACAACTGTACAAAAATATTTTTTCTTTATATCCTTATTCTGTAAGCTTTTTTTCTGTTTTTAATTTTTTTTCAACTTTTTTTTTTTGGAGACAGGATCTTGCTCTGTCATTCAGACTAGAGTATATGGCACAGTCTTGGCTCACTGCAACCTCCATCTCCTTGGCTCAAGGGATCCTCCCACCTCAGCCTCACCAGTAGCTGGGACTACAGGTGCCTACCACCACACCTGGCTAACTTTTGTATCTTTTTTGATAGCAGGTTTTGCCATGTGGCCCAGGCTGGTCTCAAACTCCTGGGCTCAAGGATCCACCCTTCTCACCCTCCCAAAGTGCTGGGATTACAGGCATGAGCCACTGCTCCTGGCACTTTTTTGTTAAAAACTAAGACATGCACACATTAGCCTATACCTACACAGGGTCAGGATTATCAATATTACTGTCTTCTACCTCCACATCTTGTCCCACTAGAAAGTTTTCAGGGGCAGTAACATGCAAGGAATTGTCATCTCCTATAACAATGCCTTCTTCTGGGGTACCTCCTGAAGGACCTGTCTGAAGCTATTTTACAGTTAACTTTTTTTTTGTTTTTGACACCACTATTTGAAGTCAAAGGATATAGTTACTTTTATTTTTAACAAGCAAAAGTACATTCTAAAATAATTTATAGTATAGTAAATACATAAACCAGTAGCATAGTCATTTATTATCATTATCAAGTCTTATGTTCTGTATATAATTGTATGTACTGTATTATATGACTGGCAGTGCAGTAGGCTTGTTTACACCAGCATCACCAGAAACACATGAGTAATGCATTAACACTAGGTGACTGGAATTTCTCAGCTCCATTATAATCTTATGGCACCACCATCGTATATATGTGGTCTACCATTGACCAAAATAATGTTATGCAGCACATGGGTATATGTTGCCTGTACTTTTTTTTTTTTTTTTTGAGATGGAGTCTCACTGTGTCACCAGGCTGGCATGCAGTGGCCCGATCTTGGCTTACTGCAACCTCCACCTCCCGAGTTCAAGTGATTCTCCTGCCTCAGCCTCCCGAGTAGCTGGGATTACAGGCATGTGCCACCACGCCCAGCCAATTTTTGTATTTTTAGTAGAGATGGGGTTTCACCATGTTGGCCAGAGTGGTCTCGATCTTTTGACCTCGTGATCCCCCTGCCTTGGGCTCCCAAAGTGCTGGATTATAGGTGTGAGCCACCATACCCAGCCACATTGCCTGTATTTTTTTGGATTACTGCAAACAGTGCTGGTATGAGCAACCTGGTAAGTGTTACCTGATACATACCTATACAAGAATAAGAAATCTGTATGACATAATTCTATGAGTGGTATGATTAGGTATTTGTAGCTTCAATCTTTCTAAGGTAGATAATGCCAAACCATTTTCTAAAGCAGTTGTACCTATTTATTTTTCTTATGTTTTGTGAAATCAAGGGGAAATGTTTTTCTTTCTCTAACTCTAGTTGAATTCATGCGTCTTGATAAAGATAAATTACATTTCATAAATGATAATGTTTTATTTTTGTAGGACTTTGCTGCTATTTGAGCACAGTGATATTGTTGTCATTTCACTACTCAGTGTTTTGTTCACCAGTTCTGGAGGAGGACCAGCAAAGGTAGAATTTTCCATTATCAGTTACTTGGAAATGGAAAGTATGTATGTCACATATTATCCAAAGGAATAAAATCTTATCTTTCACCATTTAAAAGAATGCAGGAGGCTGAGCGCGATGGCTCACGCCTGTAATCCCAACACTGTGGGAGGCTGAGGTGGGCGGATTACATGAGGTCAGGAGCTTGAGACCAGCCTAGCCAACGTGGTGAAATTCCATCTCCACTAAAAATACAAAAATTAGCTGGGCATGGTGGTGGGCACCTGTAATCCCGGCTACTCTGGAGGCTGAGGCATGAGAATTGCTTGAACCTGGGAGGCGGAGGTTACAGTGAGCTGAGATCATGCCACTGCACTCCAACCTGGGCAATAGAGTGAGACTCAGCCTCAAAAAAAAAAAAAAAAAAAAATTCCAGGGGCTTTTTCCGCTAGTTTTACATTTTTCTTACAATTTTTTTGTTTTTGAAGAATTCTATAAGTTTACAAAAATAGATATTTGTGAAAATATAATCCGTAGTTGGAGAAATTTCTTAACATGGAAACAGTGGAAAATGATTTTGAAATGATTATAGATTCCTAGGAAGTTGCTAAAATAGTACATAGAGGACCCTCACCCTTCATTTAGTTTCCCCCAAAGGTAACTTCTTAACCAACTCAAGTACACTATCAAAACCAGTCAATTAGACCTAGTATTTCATATCACAATAGGGTGACTATAATCAACAATAATTTAATCATACATTTAAAATAACTAAAAGAGTATAATTGAATTATTTGTAACACAAAGGCTAAATGCTCGAGGGGATGGATACCCCAATTTACCTGATGTGATTATATACATTGCATGCCTATATCAAAACATCTCGTATACCCCATAAATACATATACCTACTATGTACCCACAAAAATTAAAATCAAAAATTAAAAAAAAAAACAGGAAATTGACATTGGTGCAATCCATAGACCTTACTCAGATTTTACCAATTTTACATACGATCGTGTGTGTGTGTATGTATGTATGTATGCATGTAGGTCTATGAAATTTTGTCATGTGTAGATTTGTGTAACCATCATTACAAGCAAGATATAGAACTGATGCATCACCACAATGATCTCTTTCATGTTGTACTCATGCACCTTTCCCCCAAACCCCCTACTCATTCTTAACCCTGTAAATCATTTTTGAAAAATAACTAAAAACTTGTTAAATTTAAATTATGATGAACATTTATCCAACATTTTGCCACCTAAGCACTCCTATTCATCCTAAGTGATTCAAGTATTATCCTTTTGTTAAATGAGTTACCAATCTACAATTCCAAACTGTTAGAACTATATAGTGTTTCTGTTTTACCAAATTAAACACTTCCTTGCTGGGTCCTACTTGCAGACCCTGGCTGAACAACAAATGCACTCAGACACAGGTATTTAGTGAAGGAGTGGGCTAGGGAACCAGGCCGCTTACAGACCCTAAGGAGGGTGCTGTAAAGAGTCAGCAGCTGCGGCCCTGACAAGCTGGCACTGCGGGCATTTATTCAGTATAGATTTAATGACAAAGGCCTTGAATCAACACGCTTTGTGGGTAAATAACATTGCTGACCCCCTACATAGAGAGCAGTCTTGAGCGCAAATGATCAAAGGTCGGTTTTAGGACAACATGAGTAAACGAGCTATTTAGATAAACTCCTCTACACTCCCTTGTATCTACGCCTTAAGCTTTTAGGCTTCTGATAAGAGAATCTGGCTGCCTTCAGCCAAAATATCCTTCAAAACTTGCAAAACCCCCAGCCTTCCAAGAAGGTTTGCTTCTATTCCTATAATTTCTCCCACCACTGTGACTGATCTCCCACACTTCCTGTGCATGGTGCATTTTCCTAGACATAAAGGAAAGGATAGATAAAGACAAATAAGGTATAATAGTCCCTATTCTGAAAGGGACTTTCAAGCAAAGTAATGAAGGGAGATGAATGAAGTAATGAAGTGAACAAAGTAACATGCCAAGTAGAGCAGAGTAAAAGAATACTCTGCCTGTAGATTTCAAACTGGGTCATTAGTATTAAAGCATGGGCCACTATTTAATCCTTCCCCCTCACTAATAGAGTACTCCAAAATAAATTTCAAGTGGATTGAAGAGCTTTGTGAGTTTACAAAATAGACATTTGTAAAAACATAGAATAAAATACGTAGATGGAGAAAATTCTGAGCATAAAAGCAGTGGAAAAAATCACAAAGGGAAAACTCACTATATTTGGCTTCATAATGATTATAAACTTAACGTATAACAGAAATCAGTGTGTATACAAAAAACTAACAACAAAAATTGCCAGAAATAAGTTTTACATTCCTTTCAAAGTATAAATCACCCATTTCAGTTTAAAAAATGCTTAAGATCCTTGGCAGGAAATCAGCAAAAAACTGGGAATGACAACTCACAAAAGAAATAAAAATGACTTGAAAACATTTAAAAAAAAAGTTTTCCTCCTTAAGTAACTAGAAGTGAGAGTGTTCTCATTAGTGTGAGAAATGGATCAGGGCATCAGTCCAGGACTTGATGATTGTTTTTTCTTTTTTTTTTTTTTGAGATGGAGTCTCACTGGGTTGCCCAGGCTGGAGTGCAGTGGCACCATCTTGGCTCACTGCAACCTCCACCTCCCAGGTTCAAGCAATTCTCCTGCTTCAGCCTCCCGAGTAGCTGAGATTACAGGCACATGCCACTACACTTGGCTAATTTTTGTATTTTTAGTAGAGACAAGGTTTCACTATGTTGGCCAGGCTGGTGTTGAACTCCTGACCTTGTGATCTGTCCGCCTTGGCCTCCCAAAGTGCTGAGATTACAGGTGTGAACCACCACGCCCGGACTTTTTTTTTCTTTTTCTTTTTTTTTTTTTTTGAGACAGAGTTTCACTCTGTCACCCAGGCTGGTGTGCAGTGGCACAATCTCAGCTCACTGCAACCTCTGCTGCCCAGGTTCAAGCAATTCTCCTGCCTCAGCCTCCTGAGTAGCTGGAATTACAGGCACCTGCCACTGCGCCTGGCCTAATTTTTGTACTTTTAGTAGAGACAGGGTTTCACCATATTGGTCAGGCTGGTCTTGAACTCCTGACCTCATGATCCACCCGCCTCGGCCTCCCAAAGTGCTGGGATTACAGGCGTGAGCCACCACGCCTGGCCTTTTTTTCTTAATTATGAGACTGAAGCATTACAAAATTCTCAGTTGCCTTCTTTGTTAACAAAAAGATTAAGTTATGTTCTCTGTATTTGATTGTTGTTGATGTTGCCATATCCTAACTCAGTGAAAACTTAAGAAATTTAAAAGTACATGGTTTTTCTCATGTGTAGTGTACTGAATTTTGTTGTAATACCACACTAACAGAATTTATCCATTATAGTGGTAATCATAGAATGAAGAGTATCCTCACTTTGCATTGTAAACTTTAATAGAAGTATTGTATTATACTTCCATTATAGGTATATATAATACACTTAATGTATCTATATATAATAGGTATTCTACAAGTATATGTATCATACAAGACATGTTATACCTGTAAATTTGTAAATATAGAATGTATAGTAATGCTGTTTAGCCAGGCACAGTGGCTCATGCCTGTAATCCTAGGACTTTGGGAGACCGAGGCGGGTGGATCACGAGGTCAAGAGATCAAGACCACCCTGACCAACATGGTGAAACCCGTCTGTACTAAAAATGCAAAAATTAGCCAAGCATGGTGATGTGCACCTGTAATCCCAGCTACTCAGGAGGCTGAGGCAGGAGAATCACTTGAACCCGGGAGATGGAGGTTGCAGTGAGCCGAGATCGTGCCATTGCACTCCAGCCTGGGCAACAGAGACTCTCCTCAAAAAAAAAAAAGGAATGTATAGTAATGCTATTTAGATTGCTCTTGAAGCTACCATTCTGAAATATTTACATAAACCGAGCTAATATGTCCTTTCTATAATTTTCTTTTATGAAAACCTTTTTCCTCAGCCTGAACAACATGGCTAGACCTGGTCTCTACAAATAAAAAATTAACCAGGCATGGTGGCACATGCCTGTGGTCCCAGCTATTTGGTAGGCTGAGGCAAGAGGATCACTTGAGCCCAGGAATTGGAGGCTGCAGTGAGCTGTGTTCACGCCACTGTACTCCAGCCTGGGCGACAGCGAGATCTGTCTGAAAAAAAAAAAAAAATTTTCCCTGGAATGAGAACATAAATTTTATCAGCTTTTTAAGTACTTTGTACTTTACTAGATCTTAGAAATGACTTTGCTGGTTTTACCGTGCCCTCTGGATTATTTTTCTCTAGAGGAGTAGTATCTAGAATATTCTCTATTCCTTGCATATTGTAGAGTAAAATAAGTTCCTACTAGTTATTCTTTAGCTACGTGGGCTTTTCAACCAGAAGTAAAGTAGCATTTAGGAAGGCTGATTCTGTAAACAGTACCAATTTGTACATAGTAATATGCCCAGCCATGTTAGCAAAGAGATAATCAATGTTATCATTAGTTTATATCTCTTTGATATCTTACTGCCAATACTGTAAGCTTATAATATGTAAGAGCTTTAATGTCAGATTTTTTTCTGTTTTTTAATGCATTTTTGTAAATGCTTACTTGAGAAAATGTTTTTCTTTAGTATTTATGTAGTTACGGTCTTAAAAATCAACCCTTGAAAAAGTCATCCTTGATGTTGTTTTCTTTATTTTCAGACAAGGGGAGCTGCTTTTTTCATTATTGCTGTGATCTGTTTATTGCTTTTTGACAATGATGATCTCATGGCTAAAATGGCTGAACACCGTATCCTTTTGGAATAGATCAGAGTTGTTTCAAGTCTTGAGGAAAACTAGAAGCCTGGAACAATGGAAAAAGAAAGGATAAGTGAATTAAACTGATCAATGATGAATGAAACTTTCATAGATTAATGTAGATATTCTAAATCAGTATTCAAATAATGAACAAACTCATTATAAGTTAAATATTTTATAGCATCTCTGTATCACCTACAGTACCCTAAATTTTCAGAAATGTAGGGACATTGAAAGAATATTTTGGAATGTCCTGGTGCTGGAAAAAAAAAAGGTGATTTGCCACTCAACATGTTTGCTCCCTTATAATTTAACAATTAAAAGGCTGATAAATGAAAAACCTTTAGTATCTTCTTGCCTGAAAGAAAAAGTTCAAATTCCCTTACCTAGTATTCATTGTCTTGCTCTAAATTATTATCTCTAGCTCAGCCCCAACTCTTCTCTTACAGAAACCCAACTTTCTAGTCAAATATATCTACTCATTTTACTCTACAAACATGCCTTTTTTTCTATTTTCTATTCATACATCCTTACCCACTCCATCCAGCAGAACTCCAAGCACCAGTTTTTATTCTTCTATTACTGATACTCACTGCCCTAAAACTTATTAGTAAACTAATAATAATTTTCTTTGTTACAGTGAGGGAGAAGAGTGTGACTTTGGAAAAGCTCCAGGTTGCTTGTGATACAACCTCTATTCCCCACCCTCTTTTGCTTGCCACTTAATTTGCTAAGACTTATGTGGTCAGTGACTTAGAAGACAGATTTAGGACTCATTTTACATGTCAGTCTTAAAGGGCAACCTTAATTCCACTGGACAGGAGTGGTCCAGGGAGATTCCTTGCTCTTGTACCTTTGTCGTTCTTAAAGTATGTATGCAATGTGTCTTTTAGAGGTTAACTACTAAAATCTGGCAAGTTTATCTTAAGCACTATTATAATTGTTTTGGAGACAACAAAAGAAATACAGGCATTCCAGTTTATAAATGAGGTCCTGGAATTAAATGTTAGATTGTTTTATTTTGTTTTGTTTTTAAGTGAAACATGTTATTGAAAGTAATTAAGTTTGAGGCCTCCAGATCAGTCTATATGCAATCCAAAATAATGTAACTAAAATTTCAGGAGAACTTCAGGTGTCAAAGAGTGACTTTTTGGAATTTTTTTCCTTTACTTCAACTCACTTAGCTGAAGGACATCATGACAGTGCTCTAACTCATATGCTTTACACAGCCATTGCCTTCTTAGGTGTGGCAGATCACAAGGTATGATTTCTTTGTTCCTAACAGGATCAAAAGATTCTGAAAAGTTGTAGCAACTATAACTATAAAGGTACATTTAAAATAAATTATCAGCTGGGCCCAGTGGCTCACGCCTGAAATCCCAGCACTTTGGGGGCCAAGGCAGGTGGATCACCTGAGGTCGGGAGTTCAAGACCAGCCTGACTGACATAGAAAAACCCCATCTCTACTAAAAATACAAAATTAGCCAGGCATGGTGGCACATGCCTGTAATCCCAGCTCCTCTGGAGGCTGAGGCAGGAGAATCACTTGAACCCGGGAGGCCGAGGTTGCAGTGAGCCAAGGTCGCGCTATTGCACTCCAGCCTGGGCAACAAAAGCGAAACTCTGTCTCAAAAAAAATAAAATAAAATAATTATCAGTAAGTTATAACATTGCCGGCCATTTAAGTAGTTACGTAATTGAGTATATGGGAAAAATATACTAGTTCCATTTCCTTAAATATTATGTTAGCATGGTGTGGTGGTGTGTGCCAGTAGTCCCGGCTACTTGGGAGGCTGAGACAGGAGGATCTCTTTGATCACAGGAGTTTGAGGCTGCAGTGAGCTGTGATCATGCCACTATACTTCAGCCTGGGTGGCAGAGCAAGACCCTGTCTCTGGGGAAAAAAAAAAAAAAAAAAAAAAAAAAAAAAGATCATGTATTTAACGACTGACTGTTGAACTGTGTGTGTTTCTAATGAGACTTATCTAATTTTACTCACAGGGTGGAGTATTATTGCTAGTACTGGCTTTGTGTTGTAAAGTTGGTTTTCATACAGCTTCCAGAAAGCTCTCTGTCGACGTTGGTGGAGCTAAACGTCTTCAAGCTTTATCTCATCTTGTTTCTGTGCTTCTCTTGTGCCCATGGGTCATTGTTCTTTCTGTGACAACTGAGGTAAGATAAGAGCAAGAATTTATTGGTATTAAATTGCTAGTAAAATGAATTGCTATTAAATTTTTAGTTCACTGTATTCAATAAATTATATTTTAATTTGAGGTTGAAAGTGGCTTAAATTGTCTTTGCTTTTTCTTTGTAGTTTTTTAAAAAAAATTTGGAGTTAATTTTATTGTTTATAGAAAATACAAATCAAATGCTATTACATTTACATATCCCTCACATTGCTATGGCCCAAAGGAATCATTTGAAGAAGGAGCAATTAACCATGTGTTAGGCTTAAAGATTGTGTGTCGCCTAGTGTTCATCGAATGATTACACAATAGTGCTTTTGTTTTTTAAAACTTTGGAGAATACTGAGAAAATGTACCAATATCTTATAGCTTTTATATGTTGGCATATTATGAATCATATTGAATCATGCGATTTTTATTTTTTTAAAAGATTAACAGAAACATCTTGTAAGATGTGAACTTTATACATGTATAGTCTTGACAATTCTTTTTTTTAATTTCTAGAGTAAAGTGGAGTCTTGGTTTTCTCTCATTATGCCTTTTGCAACGGTTATCTTTTTTGTCATGATCCTGGATTTCTACGTGGATTCCATTTGTTCAGTCAAAATGGAAGTTTCCAAATGTGCTCGTTATGGATCCTTTCCCATTTTTATTAGTGCTCTCCTTTTTGGAAATTTTTGGACACATCCAATAACAGACCAGCTTCGGGCTATGAACAAAGCAGCACACCAGGAGAGCACTGAACACGTCCTGTCTGGAGGAGTGGTAGTGAGTGCTATATTCTTCATTTTGTGTAAGCATTCCCCCCTTTTTTTTATTTTAACAAATTTCTATTTATGGATTTTGATGGTCACATCATTTACTTATTTTGGGAAATTCTTCAGTGCTTGCATTTAGTGCCGACAGTTACTGTGTTGGTTTTGGTAGCTTAAACTTCGAAAATTTAAACAATATTGTTTTTTCTCTTTGTAGCTGCCAATATCTTATCATCTCCCTCTAAGAGAGGACAAAAAGGTACCCTTATTGGATATTCTCCTGAAGGAACACCTCTTTATAACTTCATGGGTGATGCTTTTCAGCATAGCTCTCAATCGATCCCTAGGTTTATTAAGGAATCACTAAAACAAATTCTTGAGGAGAGTGACTCTAGGCAGATCTTTTACTTCTTGTGCTTGAATCTGGTAAGATTTTTAAATGTTAATTGACATATCCTAAAAGCATAATATTTTAATTTTGACAGTTCTGGTATAAGTTTAGTACTTCCCAAATTTCTGATAATAAGATGAGCTAAAATTTAAATTTTTTCTAAGTATAATAGCAAGATTACGAGATCATATTCAGATTCCTTAGGCAATCCTTAAGGCATGTGCCACCGTGCCCAGCCACTTAAGCAAACAATTTGTGAGGCATTTTAGAAGCATTGATTTAGTATGTTCCTTCAAATCAGTAAATATAGTAGCATTTAAAGAGTTCTAATAACTTACAGGATCTCACTATTAGCAATCAGTGTTATAAATCACCTATTGCTAACATTTTATAACCTAGTTTATTATTTTTATAGACATATAAACAAAACCATTTTTAAATAGTTTCTAAAATGGATTTATCTTAGTTTTTTACAATTTAATAGTTTGTAAAATGGGTTTATCTTAGTTTTTACAATTTGTGTGAAATAGGGTTTCTAATGTAAGTGGCAGTTAAATAACTAAACAATTATAGCAGATCTTCAAGTAAATTTGGATAATTAAGGGTTAAAATCCTCCTAATTGAAACAGTGCCCAACATACTCCTCCCTTTTTTTTTGGTGACATTTTTAGCTTTTTACCTTTGTGGAATTATTCTATGGCGTGCTGACCAATAGTCTGGGCCTGATCTCGGATGGATTCCACATGCTTTTTGACTGCTCTGCTTTAGTCATGGGACTTTTTGCTGCCCTGATGAGTAGGTGGAAAGCCACTCGGATTTTCTCCTATGGGTAGGTACATTGACTGTCGAGGTGGTATATCTTAAGTGCAAATTCCATCTTAAGGAACAGAATTATATTACTTATATTACTTTTAATACAAATAATTTCCAAATCTTCATTTTTAAAAAATGTGAAGTAAATAAGGGGATGTGAATCGGGCATTTGATAAATACTGAATGGAATTAAGCTCAAAGATTATGCTCCCTTGGCCGAGCACAGTGGCTCACGCCTGTAATCCTAGCACTTTGGGAGGCCAAGGCAGGCGGATCACCTGAGGTCAGGAGTTCGAGACCAGCCTGGCCAACATGGTGAAACCTCGTCTCTACTAAAAATACAAAAATTAGCCGGGTATGGTGGCACGCACCTGTAGCCCCAGCTACTCGGGAGGTTGAGGCAGGAGAATCGCTTGAACCCAGAAGGCAGAGGTTGCAGTGAGCCAAGATCGTG
Source organism: Homo sapiens (assembly GCF_000001405.40). NCBI lineage: Eukaryota > Metazoa > Chordata > Mammalia > Primates > Hominidae > Homo > Homo sapiens. The sequence continues at coordinate 69,117,835 of NC_000005.10, forward strand.
CCACTGCACTCCAGCCTGGGCAACAGAGTGAGACTATGTCTCAAAAAAAAAAAAGACAGGGCCAGGTGCGGTGGCTCACGCCTGTAATCCCAGCACTTTGGGAGGCCGAGGCGGGCGGATCACAGGGTCAGGAGATCGAGACCATCCTGGCTAACACGGTGAAACCCCGTCTCTACTAAAAATACAAAAAAAATTAGCCGGGCGTAGTGGCAGGCACCTGTAGTCCCAGCTACTCGGGAGGCTGAAGCAGGAGAATGGTGTGAACCCAGGAGGCGGAGCTTTCAGTGAGCCAAGATCGTGCCACTGCACTCCAGCCTGGGTGACAGAGCAAGACTCTGTCTCAAAAAAAAAAAAAAAAGAGAGTAAAGAAGGACTTTGATGAATATATAACATTTTAACAAATGTATATATTCGTTAAAATGTTATATATTCATATATAACGTATATATATTCATATATAACGTGTATATATATGTGTATATATATATATGTATATATATATGAAGGACCTTCCAGGCATTAATATGATATTTAAAATATTGCTAATTTTCTATTATTAATTACTTAGTAGTATGAAAATTTGGACTTGTTTCCTCATTTATAAAGTTTATACTTTAAAAATATTTGTCCTTTTCCTTTTCTGAAAAATGTTCTATGTTTTTAGGTACGGCCGAATAGAAATTCTGTCTGGATTTATTAATGGACTTTTTCTAATAGTAATAGCGTTTTTTGTGTTTATGGAGTCAGTGGCTAGATTGATTGATCCTCCAGAATTAGACACTCACATGTTAACAGTAAGTCTTTTTATTTTCCTATTTGGATTTCTAGTCATACTTACATAGTTTTTTCTATCCTAAAGTTTAATTGTTTGCAGTTATTGCTCTAAGAAGGTTTTATTTTTTACTTATATCAACATAACTTCCTATCTTGCTGTTTACATTTATACTGCTCCCTCTTAGAAATTCTCTTTTTTTTTTTTTTTTTTTTTGAGACAGAGTCTCTGTTTTCCAGGCTGGAGTGCAGTGGCATGATCTCAGCTCACTGCAGCCTCCACCTCTCAGGCTCAAGCGATTCTCGTGCCTCAGCCTCCTGAGTAGCTGGGATTACAGGCATGTGCCACCACCCCCTGCTAAATTTTGTATATTTTGTATAGATAGAGTTTCGCCATGTTGGCCAGGCTGGTCTCGAACTACTGACCTCAAGCAATCCTCCCACCTTGGCATCCCAAAGTGCTGGGATTACAGGCATGAGCCACTGTGCCCGGCCAGCTATAGCAACTTTTAATGTTCTCCCTGTACCACCAAAGCTTTACATGTGCTGTTTCTTGTAGTTGGCATGTCCTTTCCTTACTTCTGCCCTTCAGCCTCCATCAAGATTTTGCTTATGTGAAATACTTTTTTTCTTTTCTTTTTTTCTTTTTTTTCAAGCAATTCTCCTGTCTCAGCTTCCCGAGTAGCTGGGACTACAGGCGCCTGCCACCACGCCTGCCTAATTTTTGGAAATACTTTCTTTTAATCCCCCTCTTCTCTCCACAAAGTTTGTTAGATTCCTTTTCTCAGTATTCTCATTATGTTTTGTGCATTCTTCTTTTAGCAACATTGAGTTGCAGTTGTTTAATTTGTCATTCTTCCACAATTAAGATATGTAAGTATCTTCAGGACCTGAATTACATATTATTAACTCTTAAGTTCAGTTCTAGCACCTGGCTTGTCGTAGGAAATCAGTTGTTAAATGACAAAAAGCAGCTCTGGCTCTTGCTGGTGGAAGCATACATGAGTAAAATGTTTCTATAATACAGTTTGGAAAAATAGACTTTTTTGGATTTTTTAGTGCCTGTATCCTTTGATATTGACTATTTATCATACATAAACATTCACACAAACATATAGAAGTACATGACTCTGGCCGGGTGCAGTGGCTCACGCCTGTAATCCCAGCACTTTGGGAGGCCGAGGTGGTTGGATCACCTGAGGTCAGGAGTTTGAGACCAGTCTGGTCAACATAGTGAAACCCCATCTCTACTAAAAATACAAAAATTAGCCGGGCATGATGGCGCACACCTGTAATCCCAGCTAGTTGGGAGGCTGAGGCAGGAGAATCACTTCAACCACGAGGCAGAGGCTTCAGTGAGCCCAGGTTGCACCAACTGTACTCCAGCCTGGGTGATAGAGAGACTCTGCCTCAAAAAAAAAAAAAAAAAAAAGTAGTACATGATTCATTGTACCCTTATTTATAATAGTGAAAAAATGGAAACAATTCACTGTCCACCAGTGAAAAAAGTAATTAAATAAATTTGTTATCTATATAATAGAATATTACAGAGCTATTGAAAAGAATGAGATATATCTGTATATACTGGCCTGAAAATATTTACGAGATGTACTAGTGAAAAACAAATTGCAGGCCATGCATGGTGGCGGGCGCCTGTAATCCCAGCTGCTTGGGTGGCTGAGGTAGGAGAATTGCTTGAACCTGGGAGGCAGAGGTTGCAATAAGCCGAGATCATGCCACTGCACTCCAGCCTGGTTGACAGAGCAAAACTCTGTCTCAAAATGAAAAAAAAAAAATTGTAAAATAGTATTATGATTACATTGTTGGTTTTAAAGGGTGTTATGTGTATGTATGTTAGTACACAGATGGAAAATACACCATTTTAAGCGTGACTAACCCTTGGTGGTAGAATTATAGGGGACTTTCATCTTCTACATTTTTATTTTCCTGATAAAATACACAATGATGAAGTATTTTTCAGTAGGGGAGAAGGAGTACTTATGAGATGATGGAGTCTCTGTAAGCAGTACTTGGTTTCATTCAAAGTCATTAACCATCTACCAGCTTATAAAGCCTAATGAAATTTTAAAATCTGGAGTCAAATGGTCCGAATCAGGAAGAAGTAAATAACCTCCCTACACATTTAATAAAGTAAATCTCTTACTACTTTTGAAAAGTAATTAAAAGTATTTGTCCTTCTCATATTTATATTTTCCTTTTATAAAACAAATGGATTGCTTTAAATTGTAGATGTAGGCAAATTAACACCCTGAGCTACTACTATTCAAGATCATTTTGTAAGAGCAGATAATCAAGGATAAGTAACTTTGTTTATCCTTTGGAGTATTATTGTGGCACCATTAAATTAAAGTAATTTCATTCACTTTGTTAAGAAAAAAATGAGAGGCCAGGCATAGTGGCTCATGCCTGTAATCCCATAATCCCAACACTTTTGGAGGCCAAGGTGAGAAGATCGCTTGAGCCCAGGAGTTTGAGGACAGCCTGGGCAACATAGACCCTGTCTCTACCAAAGAAAAAAATTTGTTTTTAATTTAAATAAATGCGAGATTACTATTGTATGTTTCCTTTTTATTATACTTGTTTTACTTTGGAAAATTTTACTGTGTTTAAGACATAATAAGACCATATTTGGAATCTGCTCATTAATAAATTATAATTGTTGGCATATAAACTGTTCAAATTTACCTAGCAATATAAAGATTTCAGGTACAGTGTATACTTGCCCTAGTAAGCAGTACTTTCAAACTCTTCAATAAACAAAACAAAACTTTGCATCATTTATTTATACATAAACCATAAACCAAGTACATACCATTCTTAATTGAAATAAGTCCAAATTCCTCTACTTACCAATTCTGCTTGATATTTGAAAGTTAAAATGTTTCTTCTAAAATGTTCTAAAATTCACATTTTTAAAATTTTGGACTTACTGAAACTTAGTAAGGTTTTACTGTGAATACTTTCAAAACTGTAAACAGAAAAACATATATAGCTATATAATAACTTTTAAATAACAAGTCTATTTTTAAATTACTAATTTAAAGGTTTTTTTTCTCCCTTTTGCTAGCCAGTCTCAGTTGGAGGGCTGATAGTAAACCTTATTGGTATCTGTGCCTTTAGCCATGCCCATAGCCATGCCCATGGAGCTTCTCAAGGAAGCTGTCACTCATCTGATCACAGCCATTCACACCATATGCATGGACACAGTGACCATGGGCATGGTCACAGCCACGGATCTGCGGGTGGAGGCATGAATGCTAACATGAGGGGTGAGTCCTTGCAAAATATTATCCTACTTTTCAACTGTGTTCTAAATCAACCCTCTGTGTTTATTTGTATTAAGTTTTGGGCTTCTGGTATGATATGATTTTTAAAAAGCAATCTGTGACTAAAAGAAAGGTCTGAAGCTATCACTATAGAAAATATTCTTACCTGAATACACATAAAATTAAATATTATTCAGCCTTTAAAAAGAGGGACATTCTGGCTGGGAGCATGGTGGTTCACGCCTGTTAATCCCAGCAATTTGGGAGGCTGAGGCGGGAGTACCACCTGAGGACAGGAGTTCAAGACCAGCCTGGCCAATATGGTGAAACCCTGTGCCTACTAAAAATACAAAAATTAGCCGGACATGGTGGCAGGTGCTTGTAATCCCAGCTACTCAGGAGGCCGAGGCAGAAGAATCGCTTACAGGTGTGAGCCACCATGCCTGGCCGTCACAGAAAATTTTTTAAAAAGAAAATGAGGCTGGGAACAGTGGCTCACATCTGTAATCCTAGCACTTTGGGAGGCCAAGGTGGGTGGATCACCTGAGGTCAGGAGTTCGAGACCAGTCTCTCCAACATGGTGAAACCCTGTCTCTACTAAAAATACATAACTTAGCCAGGTGTGGTGGCAGGCGCCTGTAGTCTCAGCTACTCAGGAGGCTGAGACACGAGAATCACTTGAACCTGGGAGATGGAGGTTGCAGTGAGCCAAGATTACGCCACTTTACTCCAGCCTGGGCAACAGAGTGAGACTCTATCCAAAACAAAAAGAAAATGAAAATATATTTGTTCTTAAATGTTAGTTTTTAAATGATTATAATTATATAGTCCTTTTCATAGTGACAGCTGAATAGATATTAGTTGCAAGGTAAACACAGTGTGCTATTATGAACCTTCATTACAAAAAGGAAATTCTTACTCCTTTTTTAGAAATTTTTATTGCACTATAAAAAAAATGGAGGAAGTACTAATCATTTATTTTGCTGAATTGTTTATTCTGATTGCTTAATATAAGTAATGTGGGTAATGTCAAAACTTGCCTCAAGTATGATTTTTGGGAAGCCTTTCCAGACAAAGTACACCATAAAATTTGGCACGCTGTGTCATGAGTGCCTATGTCCTTATATTTTTACCACTGTATTCTGAATTCCTTGAGGGCAGTGACCATGTTTTAGGCATTTTGAAGTACTAGCCAGTAGCAGAGTATGTGGTGCACAGTAGGTATCCAGTAATATTAGTAGAATGTATTAAAAAACTAAATTAGATGTGCCTTAATTTTTAATGTCCTTATATATTTTATTTGTAGGTGTATTTCTACATGTTTTGGCAGATACACTTGGCAGCATTGGTGTGATCGTATCCACAGTTCTTATAGAGCAGTTTGGATGGTTCATCGCTGACCCACTCTGTTCTCTTTTTATTGCTATATTAATATTTCTCAGTGTTGTTCCACTGATTAAAGATGCCTGCCAGGTTCTACTCCTGAGATTGCCACCAGAATATGAAAAAGAACTACATATTGCTTTAGAAAAGGTACTGTATGTAATTTCTTCACTACTTTCTTCCTTGAAAATCACATTTTTGAAGTCTTTGCTGGAAGTAAAACAGACAACCAAATAAATAATAAAACAAAACGAGGCCAAAAAAGAAATATAAAGTAGCATTTAAAATTTAATAAGTTGACCTAACAAGAAATATGCAAGATATAAATGAGAAAAATACAGTTTTACTTAAAGGATATAAAACAGGGACCGAATAGATGGATGAGATTTTCTTGGATGAGAAGACTCTTTATTATAATGATGTTGATTTTATTTTATTTAGATTTCAATTTAGTTGCCTTCATTGGATATTTTTGTTTATGGTTTGGGATGTTCTAAAATTATTTGGAACTTACTTGGAAGAGTTAGCGCTTGAGAATAAGAAAACATACATAAACTTACAGAATTAATTAATAGGATCCTACTTTGCAATTATAAAGTAGCAGAATTAAGTGACAAAACTAACAGTTTAGATCGAGACCATCCTGGCTAACAAGGTGAAACCCCGTCTCTACTAAAAATACAAAAAATTAGCCGGGCGTGGTGGCGGGCACCTGTAGTCCCAGCTACTCGGGAGGCTGAGGCAGGAGAATGGCGTGAACCCGGGAGGCAGAGCTTGCAGTGAGCCGAGACCACGCCACTACACTTCAGCCTGGGTGACAGAGCGAGACTCCACCTCAAAAAAAAAAAAAAAAAACCTAACAGTTTGGTCCTTGCACAAGAATAAAGACATAAATCAACTTTTAAAAAAATAATAAGTTCCCATTCTTGTGACCTGGGATTGTTTCCTGGACAGCACAAAAAAAAAAATAGTAACAATAATAATAGGTTGTCTGTAAAAGAAGAAATAATAAAAAATGAAAATAAATGAAGAATTATGGTATGTAATGTAAAAGAAGAAATAAAAATAGGTTGTCCAGAAACAGACCCAGGAGTTTATGGAATTCAGTATATAGCAAAGATGGTATTTTAGATCACTGGGGAGAAATAGTTGACCTAAATAACCAGCTTTTGGTTAATTACTTCTTTACTTTGTGGGGAAAAAAAAGCTATATCTCTATACCATATTATATAAAAATACATTTCCAGTGGATTAAATATGTAAATGACAAAAAAATTATGAAACTACTAAATAGAGAAATATTTTTGTTTGTTTGTTTTTTGAGACAGTCTTGCTCTGTTGCCAGGCTGGAGTGGAGGGGCGCAATCCCAGCTCACTGCAACCTCCACCTCCCGGGTTCAAGCGATTCTCCTGCCTCAGCCTCCCAAGTTGCTGGGATTACAGGCCTACCACACCCAGCTAATTTTTGTATTTTAGTAGAGATGGGGTTTCGCCATGTTGGCCAGGCTGGTCTTGAACTCCTGACCTCAAGCTATCCACCCACCTTGGCCTCCCAAAGTGCTGGGATTACAGGTGTGAGCCACTGCACCCCGCCAGAAAAATATGTTTATAATCACAAAGATAGGGAAAGACTTTTTAATATACTTGAAACCAGAGGCCAAAAAGGGAGGATAAAATTTACAAATTTGACCAGTTGAAAATTGCCAGTTGGTGGAAGATTTCATTAACAAGTATAAAACATAAAAGGCAGACCAGGAAAAAACATTTGCAGCACATATAAACAGGCAAAGGTTTACTGTCCATAATTCTTTAAGTCAAGAAAAAGACAATCTTAGCTGTGCATGGTGGCTCATGCCTGTAATCCAGCACTTTGGGAGGCTGAGGTGAGCAGATCACCTGAGGCCAGGAGTTCAAGGTCAGCCTGGCCAACATGGTGAAAGTCCATCTCTACTAAAAATACAAAAATTAGGGTCGGGCACGGTGGCTCACGCCTGTAATCCCAGCACTTTGGGAGGCTGAGGCAGGCAGATCACGAGGTCAGGTGATTGAGACCATCCTGGCTAACATGATGAAACCCCATCTCTACTAAAAATATAAAAAATTAGCCGGGCATGGTGGCGGGCACCTGTAATCCAAGCTACTCAGGAGGCTGAGTCAGTAGAATCGCTTGAACCCAGGAGGTGGAGGTTGCAGTGAGCTGAGATCACGCCATGGCAACAGAGCGAGACTGGCAACAGAGCGAGACTCTGTCCTTCCCCACACACAAAAAAAAAAATTAGGCCTGGCACGGTGGCTCAGGCCTGTAATCCCAGCACTTTGGGAGGCCAAGGCTGGCGGATCACAAGGTCAGGAGATTGAGACCATCCTGGCTAACATGGTGAAACCCCGTCTCTACTAAAAAAAAATACAAAAAATTAGCCAGGCACCGTGGTGGGCACCTGTAGTCCCAGCTCCTCGGGAGGCTGAGGCAGGAGAATGGCATGAACCTGGGAGGCGGAGCTTGCAGTGAGCCATGAACCTGGGAGGCGGAGCTTGCAGTGAGCCGAGATCACGCCACTGCACTCCAGCCCGGGCCACAGAGCGAGACTCCGTCTCAAAAAAAAAAAAAAAAAAAAAAAAAATTAGCTGGGTGTAGTAGTATCGCACACCTGTAATCCCAACTACCTGAGTGGCTGAAGCATGAGAATCACTTCAACCCAGGAGGCAGAGGTTGCAGTGAGCCAAAAATCACACCACTGTACTCCAGCCTGGGCAACAGAGCAAGACTGTCTCAAAGGAAAAACAGTCATGTAGAAAAATAAGATGAGAATATAAACCAGCAATTCCTAGAAATAAACAAATATAAAATAGACTCTCTTTCACCTCGTGGTTTACTACATCATATTAAAGTAATTGGGATCTGCTGATGAAAAGATAGCATCTTGAATATTTAAGTTCTATCATCTTAACCCATTGTTTTCATAAATAAAATTAGTAAAGTTATCTCACCTCATAGTTATTGGATAGTAGTACATCATGGGGTTTTTTTAAGTTTTTGTTTGTTTGTTTTGTTTTTAAATAGAGCTGGGGTTTCTCAATGTTGCCCGGGCTGGTCTTGAAATCCTGAGCTCAAGCTTTGGCCTTCCAAAGTGAGGGATTATGGGCGTGAGCCACCGCGCCTGGCCTAAAGTATTTTTTATTTCAATAATAATATATGTCTGTTGTAGGCCAGGCGTGGCGGCTCACACCTGTAATCCCAGAACTTTGGGAGGCCGAGGCGGGCGGATCACAAGGTCAGGAGTTTGAGACCAGCCTGGTCAATATGGTGAAACCCCATCTCTACTAAAACTACAAAAAATACAAAAATTAGCTGGGTGTGGTGGCACGTGCCTGTAGTCCCAGCTATTCGGGAGGCTGAGGCAGAAGAATCGCTTGAACCCAGGAGGCAGAGGTTGCAGTGAGCCGAGATCACACCACTGCACTCCAGCCTGGGCGACAGAGTGAGACTCTGTCTTAAAAAAACAAACAAACAAACAACAACAACAACAACAACAAAATATATATATATATGTATATATATCCATTGCAGAAAACTTCAAAATATAGAAAAGTGCAAAAAAGAAAAAAAAAAATCACATAATTTTACCACCTGGAAAGAAATACTTTTTGTTTCCTTCCCATTCTACAAAAAGCCATGTAAAGAAACATTTTTACAAGTTGTTTCCATATTAAAATTTTGAAAATAAAAATGGCAAAAAACTTTCGTAATGTTTTATAAATTTTCTCCCCACTTAATAATGTCATGTTGATTAATATTCTAATACATTGTTAATGACTGCATTATTACATTGTATGGGCAGTCAATCATTTATTTAACCAATCCTCTGTTGTTGAACATTGAGGATATCTTTTGAATGTGTTATCTCTATATAACAAATAATGTGCATATGAATGTGTCCGTGTAAAGGAGAACTTGTAGTTCATTGAATGTGTCTAGGTCATGATTAGAATAGGCAGAGTTGTGCTGTATCAGGGAAAATAAGGGTACTGCTATTGATAAGAGCCCATTTTAGGTATAAAGATAACTGTAACAGCTGGGCACGGTGGTCCACACCTATAATCCTAGCACTTCGGGAGGCTGAGGTGGGTGGATTGCCTGAACTCAGGAGTTCGAGACCAGCCTGGGCAACATGGTGAAACCCCATCTGTACTAAAATACAAAAAAAAAAAAAAAAAAAAAATTTAGCCAGGCGTGGTGGCGTGCACCCGTAGTCAGCTACTTGGGAGGCTGAGGCAGGAGAATTGCCTGAACCTGGGAGGCTGAGGTTGCAGTGAGCCAAGATGGTGCCACTGCACTCCAGCCTGCGACAGAGCAAGACTGTCTCAAAAAAAACAAAAACGAACAAAATAAAGATACCTGTAACACCCATTTGCCTTCCTACTCAGAGCTGCCATACTAGCATCATTCCTAGGTGAGATTTTTTTTCCCCCACACATCTGTAGCCTCCAGAAATAGATCAGAATATTTTAGGCACCTTTACTTTAAGCTATTTTCCCATCTCCTATTCCTTCCTGCTTCTGGCTTCTCATTATGGCTGGTTTTTTGTTTGTTTTGTTTTGTATTTTAAAGAGCTTAATAGTGATCCTGGACCAAGGAATCTGTGTGTTTACTTTCTGTCAGAAAGCATCTCCATTGTGTTGTGTAAAGTAGCCTGTATGACCATTTATATCACCTCTTTTATTTGACAGATACAGAAAATTGAAGGATTAATATCATACCGAGACCCTCATTTTTGGCGTCATTCTGCTAGTATTGTGGCAGGAACAATTCATATACAGGTGACATCTGATGTGCTAGAACAAAGAATAGTACAGCAGGTAATCTTTTGTTTTTAAAGTAATTTTAATTGAGGTCATTCATACCCAAAATTGTACACCTCATAAGTTATATGGCTCAGTAGTCATTTACTATTCAGAAATATCAATCTTCCAACTCTTTTTTTTTTTTTTTTTTTGAGACAGGGTCTCACTCTGTTGCCCAGGCTGGAGTGCAGTGGCGTGATCTCGGCCCACTGCAACCTCCGCCTCCTGGGTTCAAGCAGTCTCCCTGCCTCAGCCTCCCAAGTCGCTGGGATTATAGGCACCCGTCACCATGCCCGCCTATTTTTGTTTGTTTGTTTGTATTTTTAGTAGAGATGGGGTTTCGCCATGTTGGCCAGTCTAGTCTCAAACTCCTGACCTCAGGTGATCCGCCTGCCTCGACCTCCCAAAGTGCTGGGTTTATAGGCAAGCCATCATGCCCGGCCTAATCTTCCAAATCTGTAACGGTAATATAGCTTACTTTTTACATCTAGATTTGTTTTATATCTAAAAATTGCTAAAATAAATGAAGTTTTGTGTTTAGAGGATAAGCTTTAATTAATATAAAAAAATTCATTTATGAGTTTGATTAATCTTGGTTTCCAGTAGATTATCAAAAAATAAGTTATTATAAATATATTCCTAAATTAGTAATAATCAACTTGGCAGGGTATATGCTATGTTTGGAGATAGAGGTCAGAATAGTTACTAAAGCCCTGTTCTAGATGTGCCAAATTGGAAACAATGGCTGTTTTCCTTTTCTACTGTGAATGTCAAATCAGTAATTTACTGACCTAAAAGAGTCTAATATTTTAACTAACTAAATGATGAATATTACTTCGAAGATTTATCTTGGACTACTGTAACTGTTTGTTTGTTTGTTTACTCATTCATTTTAGAGACAAGATCTCACTATGTTGCCCAGGCTGGTCTCAAACTCCTGGGCTCAAGCGATCCTCCTGCCTCAGCCTCCCTGGGCCACTGTGCCTGGCCTGTAACTATTTTAAAAATGTGACACAGGTTTAATATTCCTTATCTAAAATGCTTGGAACCAGAAGTGTTTTCGATTTGCGATTTTATTTTTTTTAATACTCGCATTACGCTTACCAGTTGAGCATCCCTAATCTGAAAATCCAAATCCAAAATGCTCCAATGAGCATTTCCTTTTAACACCATCTTGGCACTCAAAAAGTTTCAGATTTTAGAGCGTCTCAGATTTCGTATTTTCAGATTAAAGATACTCAACCCGTATCAACTATGTACAGCATATTAAGACGTGTGTACTAAATGCATTACTCTAAATGCTTCAAAATATCTGGATTTTTATAACAGGTTACAGGAATACTTAAAGATGCTGGAGTAAACAATTTAACAATTCAAGTGGAAAAGGAGGCATACTTTCAACATATGTCTGGCCTAAGTACTGGATTTCATGATGTTCTGGCTATGACAAAACAAATGGAATCCATGAAATACTGCAAAGATGGTACTTACATCATGTGAGATAACTCAAGAATTACCCCTGGAGAATAAACAATGAAGATTAAATGACTCAGTATTTGTAATATTGCCAGAAGGATAAAAATTACACATTAACTGTACAGAAACAGAGTTCCCTACTACTGGATCAAGGAATCTTTCTTGAAGGAAATTTAAATACAGAATGAAACATTAATGGTAAAAGTGGAGTAATTATTTAAATTATGTGTATAAAAGGAATCAAATTTTGAGTAAACATGATGTATTACATCATCTTCAAAAATAGATATGATGGATTCTAGTGAAGACCAAAATTACTTCTGTTTACTTTCTATCAGGAAGCATCTCCATTGTAAATATGTATTTACATGTTTATTACAAAGACCCAAATGAAAAATTTTTAGTCCATTTTTTGCATAGCCTAAAGATAAAATAGGAATAAAAGTTCTATATTTATGGATTTTCTGTATATAAAACTGGTTTCTAATTATAACTTAAGTCCATTAAGTAAAATCTGTATTGCCACTTTAAATGTAAACTAAATTATTTGGGAGAAACTTCAACCACTGATATGAGATAAGCAATGAGAATAGGGAAGTGTATAACATCACAGTTTTTGATGTATTACAAAAATCAACCACTCTATAAAATAAATTTTTTTTACTTTTGGTAATATTTGCAAATGAATAATTAATTTATTAGGGTAAAGAACTTATACTAAGTTGTGTCCATGTTATTCATTTACTTACCATGTTCCTTTAAAGTAGAATATTTCCTTTCTTGTTATATATTTGACATTCCAAGCTGCTTATCAAGCTGGTATCCAAGCAGTGGTAAGCTTTCATCCTTTCTTAGCTCCATAACGTTGTGAAACAGCCAGTTAAGAGAATCGTAAATAATTGTCAACTCACAGTTGAATTCTCTGCCTATGTAGGTAACTTTTTTCTAATTTCTGGAACATATAGATATATAAGAAATATCAAAGAATAGGTAGTTATTTCAAAGTTTAATAAGTAAAACTTGTTCATAAACATTTGAGCACCATGAAATCAAAATACCCTATAACTACTTTCTATAGTCATATCTAATTTATATTTTTTTCATTTCCAGTTGTAACTAGATATGTAGTAAAGTCTGAAAAGACTTTACCATAGACAATAACATGCAGTTTTATCAGCACCAAAGAATGTTGTCCAAAAGAAACTTTTTAATACCTGTCTTTCTATTTATAACATCTGAATATTTTCATTCTTATATTAAGAATTTTGATAAGTAGATTGAATTTAGTATGAGTACTATTTTCTTATATATACCACAATGGCAAACATGTATTATAAATCATATTTTTGTCTTACCAATTTTAATATATGAGGGGTTTTAGAAATTTGTTGTAAGTTATTTTTATATTCCTTGTCTTTTGCATATTTTTTGGCCAAAATCTTCAATACATATTAAAATTTTTGAGTGGTGGGAAAATAATTGCATATTGATGTTTTAATGCAATTTTTATACATTAAAAAATTAAGTAGATAGGTGCAATAAATATTACACCAAAGTTAAAATTGTCATTTCCCTTAGAAGACATATAAACAGCAAAAAAATTAATGTGATTGTGAGATATTAGAGTGAGAGAGAGCAGGGGCTGAAGGTTGGGGAGGTACAATTATAAAGTATGGAAACTCTAATATTGAAAGCACCAGGGTACTGTATTTCAGCTCATGCAAATCATGCAACTAGGCCAGGTGCAGTGTCTCTTGCCTGAAATCCTGGCACTTTGGGAGGCTAAAGCAAAAGGATAGCTTGAGCCCAGGAGTTTGAGAACAGCCTGAGCAACATAGCAAGATTCCATCTCTACAAAAATTTTTAAAAATTAGCTGGGGCATGGTGGCACATACCTCTTGGGAGGCTGAGGCAGGAGGATTGCTTGAACCTAGGAGGCCAAGGCTGCAGTGAGCCATGATGGCACCACTGCTCTCCAGCCTGGGTGACACAGAAAGATTTTATCTCAAAAAAAAAAAAAAAATTCATGCAACTTTAGGCAAATCAGCCTTTCTGAGGTATCTTTTTTTTTTCCTCATATATAAACTATATAAAACCTGCTCAAATTTACAGCACAGGATATGGGAACAAAAGGTATAATGTATGTGAAAATGCAGTGGAAGTTGAAAAAGGCTAAATAGGCCGGGTGCGGTGGCTCACGCCTGTAATCCCAGCACTTTGGGAGGCCGAGGTGGGCGGATCACGAGGTCAGGAGATCGAGACCATCCTGGCTAACATGGTGAAACCCTGTCTCTACTAAAAATGCAAAAAATTAGCCAGATGTGGTGGCAGGCGCCTGTAGTCCCAGCTACTCGGCAGGCTAAGGCAGGAGAATGGCGTTAACCTGGGAGGCGGAGCTGGCAGGCAGCCGAGATAGCACCACTGCACTCTAGCCTGGGTGACAGAGCAAGACTCCATCTCAAAAACAAAAAAGAAAAAGGCTAAATACGAAGAATTGTTACTTTTTAAGCCTGACTTCAAAGGTAGCCGTCATTAACTTGTCTCTTTTTTTCTATAAATTAGCATCTCAAGAGATTAATTAGATGTTTAACATATAAATAAGTTAAAAATAATGCCCAAAATAGAAGCCTGTTTTGAGGGAGGGGAGTTTGGATTTTTTTTTCAGAGACAAGGTCTCACTCTGTTGCCCAGGCTGGAGTGCAATGACATGATCATTGCTCACTGCAGCCTTGAACTCCTGAGCTCAAGCAATCCTCCCACCTCAGCCTCTCCAGTAGGTAGGACTGCAGGTGCACATTACCATGCCCAGCTAATTTATTGTTTGTAGAGACAGGGTCTCACCATGTTGCCCATGCAAGTCTCGGAACTCCTGGGCTCAAGTGATCCTCCCACCTCTTCTTCCCAAAGTATGAGGATTATAGCCATCCTGGCTAACACGGTGAAACCCCATCTCTACTAAAAATACAAAAAATTAGCGGGGCGTGGTGGCGGGCGCCTGTAGTCCCAGCTCCTCGGGAGGCTGAGGCAGGAGAATGGTGTGAACCCGGGAGGCGGAGGTTGCAGTGAGCCGAGATCGTGCCACTGCACTCCAGCCTGGGTGACAGAGTGAGACTCCGTCTCAAAAAAAAAAAAAAAAGAAAGAAAATAATACAATCATTTATGGCTTTTTGTGTTTTATTTATGTTTTTATTTATTAGTTTTTAGAGTCTCGCTCTGTCGCCAGGCTTGAGTGCAGTGGTGCAATCTGGCTCACTGTAACCTCCACCTCCTGGGTTCAAACGATTCTCCTGCCTCAGCCTCCTGAGTAGCTGGGACTACAGGTGCACGCCACTACGCCCAGCTAATTTTTGTATTTTTTTTTTAGTAGAGACAGAGTTTCACCATGTTGGCCAGGATGGTCTCGACCTCGACCTTGTGATCCATCCGCCCACCTCGGCCTCCCAAAGTGTGGGATTACAGGCATCAGCCACCGTGCCCGGCCTGTGTTTTATTTTTAATTATAATTCTTTTCTTCTGTTATAGCAATTTATGGCGTTTTAAACATTCAGTAAATTAACTCATAACAAATACTGAAGGCCTTTATACTAAATACACTGCACTAGGAGCTAGGGATAAAGTCCTCAGTAATACAAAGTCCTGCCCTAATGGAGCTTACTTCTAATGTAGAAGACAAGACCAGTATGTAATAAAATGTAGTAAGTGCTGTGAAGAAAAGCAATAACTTACTGAACTTTTGCCATGTTCCAGATGGACACTGTTCTAAACAATAAATATGTGTAATTATTATTTCCATTTTACTGATGCAGAAACTGAGGCAGGAAAAGGTTAATTAACCTGCCCCAAATCATACACGTTATAAGTGGGAAAGCCAATTTTCTCAACTAGGCACTCTGGATTCAGGGTTGAGACTCAACTAAAGCAGCGTTCAAGGACAGAGTTATAGAGGTGCCAGAGAGTGGTTGAAGAGGATTTCTATGGAAGAAGACTTCAGCACTGCATTGAAGTCAGGAGGCAAACAATCTCCAGGATTCTAAACCATCTTCTACTAACAGCTACTATTCTAGACTGAGAGAACATCAAATGAAATGCAAGGACATTTGAGACAGGAGGTGCTTAGCATGATTAAAAAAAAAAGAAGCAAGAGGCCGGTGATCGCAGCAAACTTAGACAGACAGCATGTTGAGAACTTGGAAAGTCTGTGGATGGCTCCAAATAAGGTACTGACTTGAGCCAATGTGTTTCAAAAGAATCAGGGTAGGAGAGCAAGAGTGGAATCTAGGGGACAGTTGGAAGGCTTTTGCTGAAGCTGAAATGAGAGAGGATGGTGACTTGAACTAAGTAACATATTCATGGCCCCTTATTTGTAAACTTGAAAGATGAATCAGATACAAACCCTACCTTCAATATGCTTGTTACAGTAGGGAAGAGAAGACATAAGTAACTGAGAGATTAGAGAGATTTGATGCCACAAGCAAATAGCAAACTTCAGAATGTGGAGGTTACTTTTATTTTATGAGTTGGGTCTTGCTCTGTTGCCAGGCTGGAGTACAGTGGCATCATTATGGCTCACTGCAGCCTTGAACTCTTGGGCTCAAGTGATCCTCCCACCTCAGCCTCCCTATCGTAGCTGGGACTACAGGTGCATGCCACCACGCCTGGCTAATTTTTTATTTTTTGTTGAAACAGGTTCTATGTTGTCCAGATTGGTCTCAAACTCCTGGGCTCCAGCGATCCTCCCACCTCAGCCTCCCGCGATCCTCCCACCTCAGCCTCCCGCGATCCTCCCACCTCAGCCTCCCAAAAAGCTGGGATTACAGGAATGAGCCATTAAGCCAGGCAGAGGTTAATTTTAGCTGAAGGGAAGAGGGCAAGGCTTCAAAGAGGAAGTGGCATTTGATAGACCTAGGGGACTGGTAAACTTACCATGGAAGTATGATGGTAAAGGGATTCATTCCACCTGGAGTGAACCATGTAAACCCATTGGCACTTCAGTTTTGCATAATCTTGGCCTTCAGACATGGGATAAATAGGCCTACAGTTAGGAAGCTTAGGAGCAGGGATTTGAGGGTATTTGAATACCAGTTTAAAGATCTATTACTCTCTGGCCCAGCATGGCGACTCATGCCTGTAATCCCAGCACTACGGAAGGCCGAGGTGGGCGGATCACCTGAGGTGAGGAGTTCAAGAGCAGCCTGGCCAACATGGTGAAACCCCGTCTCCACTAAAAATACAAAAATTAGCCAGACATGATGGCAGGATTACAGGATCTAGGGGATAGCTACTCGGGGTGGGTTGGGGGAAGAGGGGAGGGGGAATGAGGCAGGAGAATCGCTTGAACACGGGAGGTGGAGGTTGCAGTGAGCCGAGAAGCGAGACTTGTGTCTCAAAAAAAAAAAAAACTATTACTCTCACAGAGGTTGCTGTGAGCCAAGATTGTGCCACTGTACTCTAGCCTGGGCAAAGAGTGAAACTCCATCTGAAAAAATAAAATAAAATAAAATAAAATAAAAATAAGATCTATTATTCTTCCTCTATTGTTTGATACAAGTTAACCATAGACATGTTAGGTAACCATAAGGGGGTTAGTTGTCTAACCCTGTAAAAAAGCATCAGGTAAATTATACTAACTTACACTTTACAAATGCCTTACTTCAAGTAGACTCTCCTGTTGTTGGTTGCCTCGATTTTCCTTAAGAACAGGATAGGCTTGCCTAATATGAAAGACTGCAATTGATACAGTGGGATGGGCTGGCCTAGGAATAAGACTCCCCACCATAGTAGTGATCTACCTGCCAGTGTCTTATTCCCTCATTTTAAGTCATGGGGTTTGGATTCAGTAAATATAAGGTAGATCCCTTGTAGTCCCATGAAATCAAGGGAATAGTCCCAAATTAATCTATGGGAACTGTTTTGTTAAAGGTATCCATTTAGTCAACGGATGCGTTAAAGGCCTAATATATGTAAAGCAGTGTGTATGATGCAAAAGAGGTATGATATGGTTTGACCCTCACACGAAAGCACTGTTTATTAAGCATATACAAATATGTAAAAATAGAGGGCATGAAGAGATGCATGCTGGAAGAAAGGCAAAAGTAATATTGTTTTGTGTTCAGAAGAGGACAAGAACCCCTTCTCCTGGGAGATTAGAAAAAAGCTTTATGGAGGAGACGGCATACATTGTTGATAATCAGAAAAAAGCAATGGATTAAGCTACGATTATGAAGATTGACTCAACCATATCCTGGCTCCATGGCAAATTCAACTTAAACTCAGAGCTTCAAGTTCCCCAACTATGCACACTAGTTTTTGGATCAATGGCACCATTCACCTCTTCCCACCCTTGACCCCACCAAATAGCAGATTGTAAAGCACAGGTGAGCACCAGTGTAAGGCTATTAAATTGTGCTTGCAAGTCTCCTCTGTTACTGAATCCCATGTGACTCAGCCCCAGCGTTGGAACCTCGGACTACTGTACCTTCCATGAAGACTAACTACTCTCTGTGCGAACAGAGTAGCATCAGATACACTAGGAGCGGACTGTGGAAGAGAACCCTTACTTCAATTTCCAGGTCCAGTAAAAGGCCCTCAATCTCCGCCACTTTTCTTTCAGGCCTTCTCTTTTATTACTTGCCCTCTCTCTTCATTTCCTTTTAGCTGCCTCTGTCTTCTTGTCATCACTTAACTAAGCAAATTGAAGGCCCTACAAGGATTAAACTTAAGCCTTGTAATGGAAGATTTCTCAAATATGTAAGATATTTACTTGTGAAATACTTCACCTCAGGGGACATAACTTATGTCCCAGAGCAGTCTCTGTAGAAAGAGAAACAAGTTCCCCTTGCTGGAGCACTATAATTAACCACAATAAACAGAGCCTCCATGCAAAGGAGGCTTTTTTGCGTAAGAATCAATTCAAGAAAAATTTAAATACATACAGACCACATTCTAAATATAACAAAAACAGCTTTCACTACCTTCTCAAGTGCTGATTCCAAAACACTCTTACCTCTAAGCCAATTTGCATATTCTCCATGCCCACACACACGCGTACACTGGGATGGCAGTAGGGTCATATATGTCTTGAAACTTCATGCCTCAATACGATATTCTGTTACTTGATTTTTTCTCTAAAGATTTAGAGATTCTTGGCCAAGCTTGGTGGCTAATGCCTTTAATCCCAACATTTTGGAAGACCGAGGAAGGAGGATCCCTTGTTTCTAGGAGTTCAAGACCAGCCTGGGCAACATATTGAGATCTCCAACTCTATTAAAAAATAAAAATATATATACATTTTTTTTTTGAGACAGAGTCTTGCTCTGTCACCCAGGCTGGAGTGCAGTGGCGCAATCTTGGCTCACTGCAACCTCTGCCTCCCAGGTTCAAGCAATTCTCCTGCCTCAGCCTCCCAAGTAGCTGGGATTACAGGCATGTGCCACCACGTCTGGCTAATTTTTCTATTTTTAGTAGAGACAGGGTTTCATTATGTTGACCAGGCTGGTCTTGAACTCCTGACCTCAGGTGATCCGCCGGTATCGGCCTCCCAAAGTGCTAGAATTACAAGCATGAGCCACCGGGCCCGGCCAAAAATAATTTTTTTAAAAGTTAAAAAAATGATTTAAAGACTCTTTTAGAATCTATGTACTCTCACATTTTCATAGAATATTCTTATTTATTTAAAAATTAATTTTTTTTGTAATAGAGATGGGGTCTCACTATGTTGCCCAGGCTGGTCTCAAACTCCTGAGCTCGAGTGATCCTCCCACCTTGGCCTCCCAAAGTGCTAGGATTACAGGCATGGGCCACTGCTTCCAGCCCACAGAATATTCTTAAATGATACTCAGGAAACTTTTTTCTTTTTTTGACTAAAACAGAGACAGGGTCTCACTATGTTGCCCAGGCTGGTCTGGAACTCCTGGCCTCAACTGATCCTCCTACCTCAGCCTCCTAAAGTGCTGGGATTACAGGCATGAGCCACTGTGCCCAGCTCCCAAGAAACTTTTAATATATTTTCCTTTGTGGAGGAGGACTTTTTATTGTACAACCTCCTCGATCATTATAAACAGCATCTAAAACCTAAATTTTTTAAAATTTCAACTTTTATAATAGATTAAAGGGTACGTGTGCAGGTTGGTTACATGGGTAAATTGTGTGATGCTGAGGCTTGGGGTCCCAACTATCCCATCACTCAGGCAGTAAGCATAGTGCCCAACAGGTGGTTCTTCAGCCCACATCCCACTCCCTCCCCATCTAGTGATCCCCGGTGTCTGTTTTTCTTTACGTTCACTTGTATTCATTGTTTAGCTCCCACTTAGAAGTGAGAACATGCAGTATTTGGTTTTCTATTCTTGCATTAGATCACTTAGGATAATGGCCTTCAACTCCATCCATGTTGCTCAAAGGATATTATTCTTCTTTTTTATGGCTGCATAGTATTTCATGGTATATATGTACCACATTTTCTTTATTCAATCCACTGTTGATGGGCACCTAGATTGATTCCATGACTTTGCTATAGTAAACAGTGCTGCGATAAACGTATGAGTTCAGGTGTCTTCTTTTTTTAAGTTTTTTGTTTGTTGGTTTTTTTTTGAGACAGTCTCTCTCTGTCGCACAGGCTGTAATGCAGTGGCATGATCTCGGCTCACAGCAACCTCTGCCTCTCGGGTTCAAGAGATTCTCCTGCCTCAGCCTCCCAAGTAGCTGGAATTACAGGCACCATGCCTGGCTAATTTTTTTGTTTTGTTTTGTTTTGTTTTGTTTTTATTTTTAGTAGAGACGGGGTTTCACCATGTCGGTCAGGCTGGTCTCGAGCTCTTGACCTCAAATGATCTGCCCACCTCGCCCTCCCAAAGTGCTGGGATTACAGGCATGAGCCAGATGTCTTCTTTTTTCTTTTTTTTTTTTTTTTTGGAGACAGAGTCTCGTTCTGTAGCCCAGGCTGGAATGCAATAGCGCAATCTCAGCTCACTGCAAACTCTGCCTCCCAGGTTCAAGCGATTCTTTTGCCTCAGCCTTCCAAAGAACTGGGATTACAGGCGTGCACCACCATATCCAGCTAATTTTTTTATTTTTAGTAGAGACGAGGTTTCACCATGTTGGCCAGGCTAGTCTCGAACTCCTGACCTCAAGTGATCCACCCACCTCGGCCTCCCAAAGTGCTTGGATTATAGGCGTGAGCCACCTCGCCCAGCCAAGCCAGGCATCTTTTTGATAAAACAACTTCTGTTCCTTTGGGTAGACACCCAGTAGTAGGATTCCAGGGTAGAATGATAGTTTTATTTTTAGTTATTTGAGAAATCTCCATACTGTTTTCCACAGGATTTAACAAATTTACATTCCTATCAACAGTGTATAAGCATTCAATTTTCTCTGCATCCTTGCCAACAGCTGTTATTTTTTGACTTTTTAATAATAGCCATTCTGACCAGTGTGAGATAGTATCTCCATTTGGTTTTAATTTGCATTTCTCTGATGTAAATCATAACCTTTTGTAAAACCAATATTCAGTGTTTCCAACATTATGACTATAAATTGCCACAATGCCCTATGTAACATATTATGATTATATTTCCATTTTCCATATTAACTTCTAGTTTGTTCCAGGTTTAATATGGCCTTGTTTTTTTTGTTTGTTTGTTTGGTTTTGGTTTTTTGTTTGTTTTGTTTTGTTTTTTTTTGAGACAGAGTCTCACTCTGTTGCCAGGCTGGAGTGCAGTGGCGCGATCCCAGCTCACTGCAACCTCAGCCTCCTGGGTTCAAGCGATTATCCTGCCTCAGCCTCCTGAGTAGCTAGGAATACAGGCATGCACCACCACGCCCAGCTAATTTTTGTATTTTTAGTAGAGACAGCGTTTCACCATGTTGGCCAGGATGGTCTCGATCTCCTGACCTCGTGATCCGCCCACCTGGGCCTCCCAAAGTGCTGGGATTACAGGCGTGAGCCACCGCGCCCGGCCATGGCCTTGTTTTTTATCATTTGCCTAGTTTTATAAATTTCTTCTCAGCCTGTTCCAATACATCAGCTACCAATTTTATTTATTTATTTTTTGCTTGGCGACGTCCCTCTTAGAGCCTACCGTCCTTGTCATTCTACTTCAGCCTTCACTGATTGCTCTCTGGGTCTGTTGATGGACACTTACGTTGCTTCCAAATCTTGGTTATTGTAAATAGTGCTACAATAAACATGAGAGTGAAGATATCTCTTCAATATACTGACAGCCTTTCTTTTGGGTATATACCTAGCAGGGGAATTGCTGGATCATATGGGAGCTCTATTTTTAGTTTTTTGATGAACCTCCAAACTGTTCTCCATAGTGGTTGTACTAATTCACATTCACATCTACAGTGGACAAGGGTTCCCTTTTCTCCACATCCTCGCCAGTGTTTGTTATTGCCTGTCTTCTGGCTATAAGCCTTTTTTTTCTTTTCTTTTCTTTTCTTTTCTTTTTGAGACAGGGTCTCGCTCTGTCACCCAAGCTGGAGTGCAGTGGCATGATCTGAACTCACTGCAGCCACTGCCTCCTGGGTTCCAGCAATTCTCCTGCCTCAGCCTCTCAAGTAGCTGGGATTACAGGTGCGTGCCACCACGCCTGGCTAATTTTTGTATTACTAGTAGAGACAGGGTTTTGACATGTTGGCCAGACTGGTCTCGATCTCCTCAACACAAGTGATCCGCCTGCCTCAGCCTTCCCAAGTGCTGGGATTACAGGCATGAGTCTGGCCAATAGAAGCCATTTTAACTGAAGTGAGATGATATCTCATTGCAGTTTTGATTTGCATTTCTCTGATGCTCAATGCTGTTGAGCTCCTTTCCTAAATGTGTTTGCCATTTGTATGTCTTTTGAGAAATGTCTATTCAGCTCTTTTGCCCATTTTTAAATCGGATTATTAGATTTTTTACTATAGAGTTGTTTGAGCTCCTTACATATTCTGGTTATTAATCCTTTGTCAAATGGATAGTTTGCAAATATTTTCTCCCATTCTGTGGGTTTCTCTTCACTTTGTTGATTGTTTCTTTTGCTCGGCAGAAGCTTTTTAACTTGATGTAATCCTACTTGTACATTTTGGCTTTGGCTGCCTGTGTTTGTGGTATGTTACTCAAGAACTCTGCCCAGTCCAATGATCCTAGAGAGTTTCCCCAGTGTGTTCTTTTAGTAGTTTCACAGTTTAGAAGTCTTAGATTTAAATCCTTAATACATTTTTATTTGATTTCATAGATGGCAAGAGATAGGGGTCTAGTTTCACTCTTATGCATATGGATATCCAGTTTTCCTACCACCATTTATTGCAGAGACTGTCCTTTCCCCATTGTATGTTATTGGCACCTCTGTTGAATATAAGTTCACTGTAGATGTACGGATTTGTTTCTGGGTTCTCTATTCTGTTCATTGGTCTATGTGTCTGTTTTTATGCCAGTGCCATGCTGTTTTGGTTATTGTAGCTCTGTAGTATATTTTGAAGTCAGGTAATGTGATTCTTCCACTTTTGTTCTTTTTGCTCACAATAGCTTTGGCTATTCTGAGTCTTTTGTGATTCCACATAAATTTTAGGATTCATTTTTTTCTACTCTGTGAAGAATGTCATTGGTATATTGATAGGGATTGCACTGAATCTGTAGATTGTTTTAGGTTGTATGGGCATTTTAACAATACTGATTCTTGCAATCCATGAACATGAAATATTTTTCCATTTTTTTGTGTCTTCTTTAATTTCTTTCACCAATGATTATAGTTTTCATTGTAGAGAGCTTTCACTTCTTTGGTTAATTTCTGGGTTTTAAATTTTATTTGTAGCTAATGTGAATGGAATTATGTTCTCAATTTCTTTTTCAGTTAGTTCACTGTTGGCATATAAAAATACTACTGATTTTCAGCTGGGCGCAGTGGCTCACGCCTGTACTTCTAGCACTTTGGGAGGCCGAGGCAGGCAGATCACATGAGGCCAGGAGTTCGAGACCAGACTAGCTAACATGGTGAAACCCTGTCTCTACTAAAAATACAAAAATTAGCTGGCCATGCATATCTGTAGTCCCAGCTACTTGGGAGACTGAGGCAGGAGAATTTCTTGAACCCAGGAGGCAGAGGCTGCAGTGAGCTGAGATTGGGCCACTGCACTTCAGCCTGGGGAACAAAGCAAGACTCTGTCTCAAAAAAAAAAAAAAAAAATAGGCTGGGCGCAGTGGCTCACACCTGTAATTCCAGCACTTTGGGAGGCCAAGGTGGGCGAATTACCTGAGGTCAGGAGTTTGAGACCAGCCTGGCCAAAATGGTGAAACCCAGTCTCTACTAAAAATACAAAAATTAGCCGGGTGTGGTGGCACACATCTGTAATCCCAGCTATTCAGGAGGCTAAGGCACAAGAATCACTTTAACCCAGGAGATGGAGGTTGCAGTGAGCCGAGATTGTGCCACTGCACTCCAGCCTGGATGATAGAGTGAGACTGTGTCTCAAAAAAAAAAAAAAAAAACTACTGATTTTTGTATAATTTTTTTTTAAATATTTATAAAAGACAGGGGTTTCTCCATATTGGCCAGGCTGGTCTCAAACTCCTGGACTCATGCAATCCTCCAGTCTTAGCCTCCCAAATTGCTGGGATTACAAGTGTGAGCTACCATGCCTGGCCTCATATGATAATTTTGTATCCTGCAGCTTTACTTAATTTATTGATCAGTTCTAATAGTTTTTTCGTGGAGTCTTTAGGTTTTTCCAAATATAAGATCATATCATCTACAAACAACAATAATTCAACTTCTCCCTTTCCAATTTGAATGCCCTTTATTTCTTTCTCTTGTCTGATTGTTGTGCCTACGACTCTCAGTACTATGTTGAATAACAGTGGTGAAAGTGGAAATCCTTGGTGTGTTCCAGATCTAAAGAAAGGCTTTCAGTTTTTCCCCATTCAGTATGATACTAGCTGTGGGTCTGTCATATATGGCTTTTTTTTTTTTTTTTGAGATGGAGTTTCACACTTGTTGCCCAGACTGGAGTACAATGGCACGATCTCAGCTCACTGCAACCTTGGCCTCCCGGATTCAAGCGATTCTCCTGCCTCAGCCTCCTGAGTAGCTGGGATTACAGGTATGCACCACCACGCCTGGCTAATTTTTTGTATTTTTAGTAGAAACGGGGTTTCACTATGTTGGCCAGGCTGGTCTCAAACTCCTGACCTCAGATGTGATCCGCCTGCCTTGGCCTCCCAAAGTGCTGAGATTACAGGCATGAGCCACTGCACCAGGCCCATATATGGCTTTTATTATGTTGAGGTATGTTCTTTCTATACCCAGTTTTTTAAGATTTTTTATCATGAAGGGATGTTGAATTTTTTTTTTTTTTTTTTTTTGAGACAGAGTCTTGCTTTGTTGCCCAGGCTAGAGTGCAGTGGCGCAATCTCGGCTCACTGCCAGCTTTACCTCCCAGGTTCACACCATTCTCCTGCCTCAGCCTCCCGAGTAGCTGGGACTACAGGCGCCCGCCACCACGCTCAGCTAATTTTTTGTATTTTTAGTAGAGATGGGGTTTCAGCATGTTAGCAAGGATGGTCTCAATCTCCTGACCTCATGATCCGCCCACCTCGGCCTCCCAAAATGCTGGGATTACAGGCGTGAGCCACTGCGCCCAGCCAGGATGCTGAATTTTATCAAATGCTTTTTCAGCATCAATAAAAATAATCATGTGGTTTTTGTGGCTCATTCTGTTGATATAATGTAGCACATTCATTGATTTGCATATGTTGAGCCATCCTTGCATCCCTGAGATAAATCCTACTTGGTCATGATGATTGATCTTTTTAATGTATTGTTGAATTCAGTTTGCTAGTATTTTGTTTAGGATTTTTACATCAATGTTCATCAGATATATTGGCCTGTAGTTTTCTTTTTTGATGTGTCTTTGCCTGGTTTTAGTATGAGTGCAATACTTGGCCTCGAAGAATGAGTTTGGAAGTTTCCTTGCTTCCTTACTTTGCAGAATAGTTTGAATAAAATTGAAATTAGTTCTTCTTTAAATGTTTGGTTAAATTCAGCAGTGAAGCCATCGGGTCCCAGGCTTTTTTGACTGGGAGACTTTTTGTTATAGCTTCAATCTCGTTACTTGTTATTAGTCTCTTCAGGTTTTGAATTTCTTCATGGTTCAATTTTGGTAGGTTGCATGAGTGTCTAGGAATGTATCCATTTCTTCTAGATTTTCCAATTTATTGGTATATAGTTGCTCACAGCATATAGTTGCTCTAACGGTCCTTTGAATTTCTGCAGTATTGGTTGTAATGTCTCGCTTTTCAACTCTGATTTTATTTATTTGGGTCTTCTGTCTTTTTTTTGTAGTCTGGCTAATGGTTTTTCATTTTTCTTTATCTTTTAAAAAACAATTTTTGTTTCATTGATCTTTTGTATTTTCTTGCTTTCAACTTCATTTATTTCTGCTCTGATCTTTATTGATTCTTTTCTTCTACTAACTTTGGGTTTGGTTTCCTCTTGCTTTTCTAATTCTTCAAGCTTCATCATTAGGTTATTTATTTGAAGTTTTTCTTCTTTTATATATATATATATATATATATATATGTAATGCTTCACGAATTTGCATGTCATTCTTCTTTTTTTTTTTTTTGAGACGGAGTCTAGCTCTGTTGCCAGGCTGGAGTTCAGTGGCACGATCTTGTCTCACTGCAACCTCCACCTCCTGGGTTCAAGCGATTCTCCCACCTCAGCCTCCCAAGTAGCTGGGATTACAAGGACGTGCCACCACACCCAGCTAATTTTTGTATTTTTAGTAGACACAGGGTTTCATCATGTTGGCCAGGATGGTCTTGATCTCCTGACCTCATGATCCGCCCACCTCAGCCTCCCAAAGTGCTGGGATTACAGGTGTGGGCCACCGCACCCGGCCTTTTCTTCTTTTTTGATATAGGTACTTACAGCTACAAACTTCCCTCTTAGTACTGCTTTTGCTGTATCCAATAGGTTTTAGTATGTTCTGTTTCCATTATCAATTCTTTCAAGAAATTTCTCAATTTCTTTCTTAATATCTTCATTGACCCACTGGTCATTTAGGAGCATATTGCTTAACTTTTTTTTTTTTTTTTTTTTTTTTGAGACAGAGTTTTGCTCTTGTTGCCCAGGCTGGAGTACAATGGTGCAATCTCAGCTCACTGCAACCTCCACCTCCTGGGTTCAAGCAATTCTCATGCCTCAGCCTCCCAAGCAGCTGGGATTACAGGCGCCTGCCACCACGCCCGGTTAATTTTTGTATTTTTAGTAGAGACAGAGTTTCACCATGTTGGCCAGAATGGTCTCGAACTCCTGACCTCAGGTGATCCGCCTGCCTTGGCCTCCCAAATTGCCGGGATTACAGGCATGAGCCACCACGCCCGGCAATATTGCTTAACTTTCATGTATTTGTATAGTTTCCAAAAATCCTTATTACTGATTTCTAGTTTTACTCCAGTGTGGTCAGAGAAGATACTTGATATTACGTCAGTTTTTTGAATGTTTTAAGATTTGTTTTGTGGCCTAACATATGGTCTGTCCTTGAAAAGATGCATGTGCTGAGGAGAAGAATGTATATTCTGCAGCTGTTAGATGAAATGTTAGGTAAATATTATTACGTCCACTGTCTATGGTGCAGATTCAGTCCAAAGTTTCTTTGTTGTATTTTTGTCTGGATGATCTGTCAAATGCTGAAAGTGGGGTGCTGACATCTCCAGCTACTATTGTATTGGGGTCTATCTCTCTTTTCAGTTCTAATAAAATTTGCTTTATATATATATATGGGTGCTCCAGTGTTGGGTACATATATATTTACAATTATTATATCATTTGCTGAATTGACCCCTTTATCATTATATAATGTCCTTCTTTGTCTCTTTTTATTATTTTTATTTTACTTTATTTTATTTTTTTTGAGACAGAGTCTCACTATGTCGCCCATGCTGGAGTGCAGTGGTGCGATCTCAGCTCACTGAAACATCTGCCTCCCAGGTTCAAGTGATTCTCCTGCCTCAGCCTCCTGAGTAACTGGGATTACAGGCGCCCACCACCACGCCTGGCTAATTTTTGCATTTTTTTTAGTAGAGACGGGGTTTCGCCATGTTGGCCAGGCTGGTCTCAAACTCCTGATCTCAGGTGATCCACCCACCTTGGCCTCCAAAAGTGTTGGGATTACAGGCATGAGCCACCGTGCCTGGCCCTTTGTCTTTTCATAGTTTTTGCCTTGAAATCTGTTATGTCTAATATTAGTATAGCTACTCCTACCCTTTCTTGGTTTCCATTAGCATGGAATATCTTTTTCCCTCCATTTATTTTCGGTCTGTGGGTGTCTTTATAGGTGAATTGTGTTTCTTGGAGGCAATAGATCTTTGGGTCTTGTTTTTTTAATCCATTCAGCCACTCTGGGTCTTGACTAGAGAGTCTAGTCCATTTGCATTCAATGTTATTTGTAAGTAAGAACTTATTCCTCCATTTTGTTATTTTCTGAATCTTTTGTGGTCTTCTTTTCCTTCTTCCTTCCTGTCTTCCTCTTAGTGAAGGTGATTTTCTCTAGTCATATGTTGAATTTCTTGCTTTTTACTTTTCATGTTTGTGTTGTATGCTTTTAGATTTGAGGTTAGCATCAGGCATGCTAATAATACCTTAAAAACCCATTATTTTAAACTGATTATAACACAGAACATAAACAAACTAACAAGCAAAAAGAAAACTAGGGCCGGGCGCGGTGGCTCACGCCTGTAATCCCAGCGCTTTGGGAAGCCAAGGCGGGCAGATCACGAGGTCAGGAGATCGAGACCATCCTGACTAACACGGTGAAACCCTGTCTTTACTAAAAATACAAAAAATTAGCCAGGCGTGGTGGCACACGCCTGTAGTCCCAGCTATTCAGGAGGCTGAGGCAGGAGAATGGCATGAACCCAGGAGGCGGAGCTTGCAGTGAGCCGAGATGGCGCCACTGCACTCCAGCATGGGCGACAGAGCAAGACTGTGTCTCAAAAAAAAAAAAAGAAAGAAAGAAAACTCTATACTTTAGCTTTGTCTCCTCACTTTTTAACTTTTTGCTATTTCTAGTCATATCTTACTGTACTATGTCTTGAAAATTTGTTGCAGTTATTATTTTTGATCAGTCTATCTTTTCATCTTTCTACTTGAGAAATGAGAAGTTTACATACCACAATTGCAGTGTTATATTATTCTGTATTTTTCCGTGTACTTACTATTACCAGTGAGTTTTGTAACTTCAGATGATTTCTTTTGTTGTTGTTGCTGTTGCTGAGACAGGGTCTTGCTTTGTCAGCCAGGCTGTAGAGCAGTGGCACAATCATAGCTCACTGCAGCCTTGAACTCTCAGGTTCAAGCATTCTTCCCACCTCAGCCTCCCAAGTAGCTGGGACTACAGGTATGCGCCACCACGCCCAGCTAACTCTTTTAACTTTTTTGTACAGATGAGGTCTCACTATGTTGCCCAGGCTGGTCTCAAACTCTTGAGCTCAAGTGATCCTCTCTCTTCAGCCTCTCACAGTGCTGGGATTACAGGCATGAGCCACTGCACCCAGTTCCTTCAAATGATTTCTTATTGCTCATTAACATCTTTTTCTTTTAGACTGAAGAACTCCCTTTAGCATTTCTTGTAGGATAGGTGTGGTGTTGATGAAATC
Organism: Homo sapiens; assembly: GCF_000001405.40. Lineage (NCBI taxonomy): Eukaryota > Metazoa > Chordata > Mammalia > Primates > Hominidae > Homo > Homo sapiens. Next base: position 69,147,229 of record NC_000005.10, read on the forward strand.
CCTCAGCTTTTGTTTATTTGGGAAAGGCTATTTCTATTTCATGTCTGAAGGATGTCTTTTGCTGGATATACTATTTCTAGAGTAAAAGGTTTTTTTCCTTCTGCACTTAAATATGTCATGCCACTCTCTCCTGACCTACAAATTTTCCACTGAAAATTCTGCTGCCAGATGAACTGGAGCTCCATTGTATGTTATTAATATTTGTTTCTTTTCTCTTGCTGCTTTTAGGATTCTTTCTTTATCCTTGACCTTTCAAAGTTTATTAAATGCCTTGAGGTAGTCTTTGGGTTAAATTCTTAGGGTTCTACAACCTTCGTTTTTGTTTGTTTGTTTTTTGGGTTTTTTTTTTTCTTTTTTTTCTTTTTTCTACAATCTTCTTTCTTTTTTTTTGAGATGAAGTCTCACTCTTGTCCCCCAGGCTGGAGTGCAATGGCACGATCTCAGCTCACTGCAACCTCTGCCTCCCAGGTTCAAGTGATTCTCCTGCCTCAGCCTCCCGAATAGCTGGGATTACAGGCGCCTGCCACCAGGCCCAGCTAATCTTTGTATTTTTAATAGAGACAGGGTTTCACCATGTTGGCCAGGCTGGTCTTGAACTCCTGACCTTAGGTGATCTGCCCGCCTCGGCCTCCCAAAGTGCTGGGATTACAGGCATGAGCCACCACGCCCGGCCTTACAATCTTCTTATACTTGAATATTGATATCTCTCTCTAGGTTTGGGAAGTTCTCTGTTATTATCCCTTTGAATAAACTTTCTACCCCTATCTCTCTCTCTCTCTACCTCCTAAGGCCAAAAACTCTTAGATTTGCCCTTTTGAGACTTTCTTCTAGATCTCTTTTTTGTTTTTTTTGTTTTTTTTGTTTTTTGAGATGGAGTCTCGCTCTGTCACCCAGGCTGGAGTGCAGTGGCGCAATCTCAGCTCACTGAAAGCTCCGCCTCCCGGGTTCACGCCATTCTCCAGCCTCAGCCTCCCGAGTAGCTGGGACTACAGGCACCCGCCACCGTGCCCGGCTAATTTTTTGTATTTTTAGTAGAGACGGGGTTTCACCTTGTTAGCCAGGATGGTCTCAATCTCCTGACCTTGTGATCCACCCGTCTTGGCCTCTCAAAGTGCTAGGATTACAGGCATGAGCCACCGCGCCCGGCCTGTCTTCTAGATCTTGTAGGCATGCTTTACTTTTTAAAATTCCTTTTTCTTTTGTCTCCTCTGTGTATTTTCAAATAACCTGTCTTCAATCTCACTAATTCTTTCTTCTGTTTAATCAATTCTGCTGCAGCAACTCTGACACATTCCTAAGTATGTCAATTGCATTTTTCAACTCCAGAATTTCTGCTTGATTCTTTTTAATTATTTCAATCTCTTTGTTAAATTTATCTAATAGGGCCAGGCATGGTGGTTCACGCCTGTAATCCCAGCAATTTGGGAGGCTGAGGCGGGTGGCAGATCACCTGAGGTCAGGAGTTTGAGACCAGTGTGGCCAACATGGCGAAACCCTGTCTCTACTAAAAATACAAGAATTAGCCAGGCGTGGTGGCAGGTGACTGTAATTCCAGCTGCTTGGTGGGAGCCCGAGGCATGAGACTCACTTGAATCTGGGAGGCGGAGGTTGCAATGAACTGAGATCACGCCACTGCACTCCAGCCTGGGGGATAGAGCAAGAGACTCTGTCTCCAAAAAATAAAAATAAATAAATAAATTTACCTAATAGGATTATGAATTCCTTTCCTGTGTTATCTTGAGTTTCTTTGAATTTCCTCAAAACAGCTACTTTGGATTCTGTCTGAAAGGTCACTTATCTCTGTCTCTCTGGGACTGGCTCCCAGTGCCTTATTTAGTTAATTTGGTGAGGGTATGTTTTCCTAAATGGTCTAGAAGCTTGTGGATGTTTGTCAGTGTCTGTGTATTGAAGACTTAGGTATTTTTTGCAGTCTTCACAGTCTGGGCTTGTTTGTACCTGCCCTTCTAGGAAAGGCTTCCCAAAGGGCCTTGGGTGTTGTGATCTAAGTTTTTGGTTACTGCAACCGTATCTGCATTAGAGGACACCCCAAGCCCAGTGAAGCTGTAGATCTTGCAGATTCATGAAGGTACCACCTTAGTGGTCTTGGTTAAAATCCAGAAGAATTCTCTGCATTACCAGGAGGAGATTCTTGTTCTCTTTCCTTACTTTCTCCCAAATAAATGGAGTCTCTCTCTCTCTCTGCTGAGCTGCCTGGAGTTGGGGGAATAGGTGACACAAGCATCCCTGTGGCCACCACCACTAGGACTGCTCTGGGTCACATCTGAAGCCAGCACAATACTAGGTCTTGCCCAAAGCCTGCTGCAACCACTACCTGACTTCTGCCTATGTTTGCTCAAGGCCCGAGGCCTCTACAATCATCAGGTGGTGAAGCCAGCCAGGCTTGTGTCCTTCTCTTCAGGGCAATGAGTTACCCCAGACCCCAGGCAGGTCCAGAGATGTTGTCTGGTAGCAGGGCCTGGAGTTGGAAACCTTCGAAATCTACCTGGTTCTCTATTCTACTACAGCTAAGCTGGCACTGAAACCACGAAACAAAGCTCTTCTCACTCTTCCCTCCCTTTCCCCAGGCAGAGGAGTCTCTCCCCATGTCCACCACCACAGGCCCACAGAGAGTACTGCCAGGGTACTGACGAAGTTCACTTAAGGCCCAAGGACGCTTCAATCAGCTTGTGGTGAATGCTGCCAGGCCTGGGACTCATGCTTTAGGGCAGTGGGCTCCCTTCTGGCCCGGGGTAGGTCCAAAAATGCTGTTCAAGAGCCAAGGCCTGGAATCAAGGACCTCAAAAGCCCACTCAGTGCTCTTCCCCACTGTGGCTAAGCTGGTACCTAAACTGATTTTTGGTTCTTATGAAGGTGTTTTTTTGTGTAAGACAGTTGTCAAATTTGGCGTTCCTTCGGGGAGGACAATAGGTGGAGGCTTCTATTCAGTCATCTTGTTCCTCCTCCTATCCCAAGGCATTAAAATATTGATTAGGGCCAGGCACGGTGGCTCACGCCTGTAATCCCAACACTTTGGGAGGCTTAGGCAGGCGGATCACCTGAGGTCAGGAGTTTGAGACCAGCCTGTCCAACAAAGCAAAACTTCGTCTCTACTAAAAATAGAAAAATTAGCCAAGCGTGATGGCGCAGGCCTGTAATCCCAGCTACTTAGGAGGCTGAGGCAGGAGAATCACTTGAACCCAGGAGGCGGAGGTTGTAGTTAGCTGAGATCGTGCCACTGCACTCCAGCCTAGACGACAGCAAGACTCTGTCTCAAAAATAAAATAAAATAAATGATAATATAAAATAAAATATTGAGCCCAGGTGCGGCAGCTCATACCTGTAATCCCAGCACTTTGGGAGGCTGAAGCGGGTGGATCACGAGGTCAGGAGTTCGAGACCAGCCTGGCCAACATGGTGAAAACCCATCTCTACGAAAATACAAAAATCAGCCAGGCGTGGTGGCAGGCTCCTGTAGTCCCAGCTACTCAAGAGGCTGAGGCAGGAGGATTGCTTGAACCCAGGAGGCAGAGGTTGCAGTGAGCCCAAAGATCACACTATTGCCTGGTCAACAGAGTGAGACTCGGTCTCAAAAAATAATAATATATTGATTAAGGCTGGGTATGGTGGTTCACACCTGTAACCCCAGCACATCGGGAAGCTGAGGCAGGATTGCTTGAACCTAAGAGTTCCAAAGCAGCCTGGGAAACATATTGAGAACTCATCTCTACAAAAAATTAAAAAGTTAGATGTGGTGACTCACGCCTATAGTCCCACCTACTTGGGAGGCTGAGATGGGAGGACTGCTTGAGCCCAGGAGGTCAAGGCTGCAGTGAGCCATGACTGTACCACTGCACTCCAGCCTGTGTGATAGAGTAAGACCCTGTCTAAAAAAAAAAAAAAAAAAAACAGGCCAGGCTCACACCTGTAATCCCAGCACTTTGGGAGGCTGAGGTGGGCAGATCATGGGATCATGAGGTCAGGAGATGGAGACTATCCTGGCTAACACAGTGAAACCCCATCTCCACTAAAAATACAAAAAAATTAGCTGGGCGTGGTGGCGGGAGCCTGTAGTCCCAGCTACTTGGGAGGCTGAGGCAGGAGAATGGCATGAACCCGGAAGGCAGAGCTTGCAGTGAGCTGAGATTGTGCCCACTGCACTCCAGCCTAGGCAACAGAGCAAGACTCCATCTCAAAAAAAAAAAAAACACACATATTGGCCAGGCATAGTGGCTCACACCTGTAATCTCAGCACTTTGGGAGGCCAAGGCAGGTAGATCACTTGAGCTCAGGAATTTGAGACCAGCCTGGGCAACATGGTGAAACACCATCTCTACAAAAAATACAAAAATGAGTGGGGTGTGGTAGTGCTTGCCTGTAGTCCAAGCTACTTGGGGGGCTGAGGTGAGAGGATGGCTTGAGACCGGCAGGTCGAGGCTGCAAAGAAGCCATGTTCGCACCTCTGCACTCTAGCTTGGGCCAGAGAGTGAGACTCTGTCTGCCTCTCTCTCTTTATCTCTCCAGGGGACACCCCAAGCCCAGTAATGCTGTAGATCTATATATATCTGTATATATAGATTAGGCCAGGTATACTGACTTGTGCCTGTAATCCCAGCTATTTGAGAGGCTAAGATATACATACATATAGATTAGGCCAAGCATAGTAACTCATGCCTGTAATCCCAGCTATTCAGGAGGCTAAGACAGGAGCATCACTTAAACCCAGGAGTTTAAGACTAACCTGGGCAGTATAGCAAGATCCTCTCTCTCTCTCTCTCTCTCTCTCTCCATATATATGTATTAGAAGCTCTGTGTCAGTGTGCAAGCATGTCAAGTGGTGAGCTTCAGTATAAGGGTAACCAAGCGGTGGCCCAGTCATTTCATGGGGACCTTTCCTAACCATCAATATTTTTAGAACTTTTTCTGTTGGGCTGATCCATTCCCCAGAAACCATTCTCTTACTTCACTTAGAAGGGTATAAGTCCAGCTGCCAGCCTTTTGGGGACTGGGTAGGAGAAGGCGACTGGAGGTCTTACCATTTGGTATGCACAATTTTACTTAAAGCCCCTCTCAGCTTGCCTGGTCTCCTGAAATCCAGAACCCCTTTAGTTCAGCCACTCCAGAACATAAACCTCTAGTCGTCTGCCAGGACCAAGGAGAGGTTGTGCTCTTACTGCACTCAGCTGAGCAGGATGGAATCAACCAATTCTTTTCTTTTTTAAATTCTTTTTTATATTTTAAAAATATTTTCATCCAGCTAAAAATATCAACAACCAATTCTTTTTTGTTGTTTTTGTTTTTTCGGTTTTTTTTTTTTGAGACAGGGTCTCACTCTGTCACCCAGGCTGGGGTACAGTGGCATGATCATAGCTCACTGCAGCCTCAACCTCCCAGGCTCAAGTAATCCTCCCGCATCAGCCTCCTGAATAGCTGGGACTACAGGCGCCCACCACCATGCTCGGCTAATTTTTTTTTTGAAACAGGGTCTCACTATGTTGCCTAGGTCTCAAACCTTTGGGCTCAAGTGATCCTCCACAGCCTCCCAAAGTTCTGGGATTACAGGTGTGAGCCACCGTGCCTGGCCATCATGCATCTTTTAAAAACCATTGTTTTGGCAGAGCTTGAGGAAGTAACCAAGATACGTGTGTATTAGTCTGTCATGTTAGATCACTACTCCCTCTGTGAAACACTGACTTCTCTTTTCTGAGATACCACAATCAGTTCTCCTGCCTCTCTGGTGTTCTTGCCCAATATTCTTAGATGGCTTTTCTTCCTCCGCTCCATCTTTAAATATGGAAGGCCCAGACCTTGCTTCTGGGCATCTACTCTTCTGTATGTTCCTTCCCTAGATGATCTCATCTGTGTCAGGCATAAAAGGCCCTCTACAGCAAAAAGGGATTATATCTCCCATCCTGACCTCTGTCTAGTAGACTAGTAGACCTCGCCTCTTGTATATCTTTTTTTTGAGACAGGGTCTCACTCTGTCGCTCAGGCTGGAGTACAGTGGTGTGATCATGGCTCACTGCAGCCCCAACCACCTTAGCTCAAATGATCCTCCTGCCTCAGCTTCCCAAGTAGCTAGCATCACAGGTGCATGCCTCCACACCAGGCTAATTTTTTAAAGAGTTTTTTGTAGAGATGAGGTCTCACTATGTTGCCCTGGCTGGGTCCTGTATATCTCTAAGCGTTCCAAATACAGCAGAATTCTTTCTTTCTTTTTTTTTTTTTTTTGAGAGGGAGTCTCACTCTGTCACCCAGGCTGGAATGCAGTGGCACGATCTCAGCTCACTGCAACCTCTGCCTCCCAGATTCAAGCGATTCTCTTGCCTCAGCCTCCCAAGTACCTGGGATTACAGGCGCCCACCACCACGCCTGGCTAATTTTTGTTTTTTTAGTAGAGATGGAGTTTCACCATGTTGGCCAGGCTGGTCTCGAACTCCTGACCTCAGGTGATCCACCCACCTCGGCCTCCCAAAGTGCTGGGATTATAGGCGTGAGCCACCATGCCTGGCCTCAGAATTCATAATATCCTATCCAAAACCTGCTACCCTCTAAAAGGTGGTCCTCTCTTGGTCTTTTCTATTTCAGTTACTCAAGCCAAAACCCAGGAGTCATCCTTGATTCCTATTTCTCTCACTCAAGCATGCAAACCATTAAGACCTAGCAACTCCACTTCCATAACATATGCTGGCCCATCCCTTTCTGTCCACCTCTAATAGTCCATCCAAGCCATCATCTTTCCTGGTCTCTTGCAATAGCCTCTTTCTGGCCCCCTTGCTTCTCTTCTCCTCCCACCTCTCCTTCATCCTCCCCTTACCCCATATATTCTCCCCATAGTGGCTAAGGTAATATTTTTGTTCATTTGTTATTATTTTTACCTTATTTTCATATAATTTGCCCTTTGCCATTCTTTTTTTTTTTTTTTTTTTTTAACAGGGTCTTGTTCCGTCACCCAAGCTGGAGTATTGGCGTGCAGGGGTGTGATCATGGCTCACTGCAGCCTTGACCTCCCAGGCTCAAGCAATCCTCCCACTTCAGCCTCCTAAGTAGCTGGGATTACAGGTGTGCACTACCACACCTGGCTAATTTTTGTATTTTTCATAGAGACAGGGTTTCACCATGTTGCCCAGGCTAACCTTGAACTCCTGGGCTCAAGACATCCACCTGCCTCAACCTCCCAAAGTGCTGTAATTACAGGCGTGAGCCACTGCACCCAGCTTTACTTTATCATTCTTATATTACTTCTAACTGTTCTTTTCTTTCTTTTTTTTTCATATTTACCCTATTTTTTTTTCTTTTTCAACTTTTATTTTAGAATTGGGGATACATGTGCAGATTTGTTACAAAGGTATATTGCATGATGCTTAAGTTTCTGATTGAAAGATAAACCAGATCATGTCCCACCTTGGCTTAAACCCTGCAAAGGCTTCCAGTGCACTTATCATAGCCCAGACTCCTTACCTTGGTTTACAGTACCTGTATAATCCTACCCTTTCCAACATCTTCAACCGCATCTCTACTACTTCCCCTCTATACTCTAGCCACACTGGCTTTTCTGAATATGACAAGCTCATTTCTATCTTTGTGTTTTTCACGGACTACTTCCTTTATCTGGGATGTTCTCCTTATTGTCATTTAAGCCTCAGTTTAAATGTCACCTCCTCAAGAGAGACAATTCCTGACCAAAGTCTAAAGTAGCTACCAAACCAGTCTATTTGTGTCACTTTCTTTTAATTTTCTGCCTACCACTTAGTTTTACCTGGTTTGTTCCCTCTACTTATTTATTCATTTGTTTAGCCTCTCCGACTAGAGTGTAAGCTTCATGAGAGCGGGGATCTGATCTGTTATATTCAGAGCAATATCCTTAGCATCTAGAGCAGTAACTGGTATGAAGTTGACATTATTAACTTGGTCAGGAGAGGGAACATTGAATATTAATAGTTCCCTGAGGAGAAATGCAGGAGTTTTTGTTTGTTTGTTTGGTTGTTGTCACTGTTGTTGTTGTTGTTGTTTGAGACAGAGTCTTGCTCTGTTGCCCAGGCTGGAGTGCAGTGGCACGATCTTGGCTCATTGCAACCTCCACCTCCCGGATTCAAGCGATTCTCCTGCCTCAGCCTCCCGAGTAGCTAGGATTACAGGCGTGCACCACCACACCCAGCTTATTTTTGTATTTTAGTAGAGACGGGGTTTAACCATGTTGGCCAGGCTGGTCTCAAACTCTTGACCTCAAGTGATCCACCTGCCTTGGCCTCTCAAAGTGCTGGGATTACAGGCGTGAGGCACAGCACCTGGCCAGAAGTTTTAAGTGTTATAAAGAGAGCAGGTAATCCACAGTGGTTATGCTAATTAAGCACTGATAATTAGCATTCTGAGTAGAAATGAGTCTGTGTATGAGTATGTACATAGTTGACGGTATTTCTCAAGCTCGGCACTATTGGCACTATTGACATCTTGGGCTGGATAATTCTTTGTGTATGGTGGGTGGCCGTGAGGGATGTCCTGTGCATCACAAGGTGTTTAGCAGCATCTCTAGTTTCTACCCACTAGATGCCATCCCAGTTGGGAAAACTCAGAATGTCTCTAGACATAACCAAATGTCCCTCATGGGACAAAACATTCCCCAGTTGAGAACTACTTGATTAAAAGATGTTCCGGCTGGGCACAGTGACTCATGTCTGTAATCCCAGCACTTTGGGAGGCCAAGGTGGGCAGATCACCAGAGGTCAGGAGTTTGAGACCAGCCTGGCCAACATGGCGAAACCCCGTCTCTACTAAAAATACAAAAATTAGCCGGGCATGGTGGCGGGCACCTGTAATCCCACCTACTCGGGAGGCTGAGGCAGCAGAATCACTTGAGCCTGGGAGGCGGTGGTTGCAGTGAGCCAAGATTGCGCCACTGTACTCCAGGGTAGGCGACAGAGTGAGACTCCATCTCAAAAAAAAATAAAAAATAAAAAATAAAGGATAAAAGATGTTCCATTTTGCATTAGTCAAAAATGAGTCTTCACTTTGGTCTAGTAAAAGCCTGGCGTCCGAGGGTCATTCAAAGTTCATGGTATTTTATCAGCTTCAGTAGTTAGATCCTATGGCAATGAAGCAATAGTTTCGATAATTCCTAAGCAAATGCTATTGTAAGTGAAAAATTAATTTTTATAGTCCCTCTTCCTGAGACAACAGGATGACCTCACAAAGGGTCAACACATGATCAGGTTCTGAAATCTTAGCTACCATCTTAGTTTCTTTCAGATGTCATTCTCACAAGATTCCATCTTGTTTATCAGAATAATCTTAATTTTTTGTTGTAGAATTCCTGAATGCGTAAAACAGGATGGTGGCTGCACAACAACTGGCACTTCAAAACCTGTGTACAAGCCGGGCGCAGTGGCCCACGCCTTAATCCCAGCACTTTGGGAGGCCGAGGTGGGTGGATCACTTGAGGCCAGGAGTCAGACCAGCCTGGGCAACATGGTGAAACCCTGTCTCTACTAAAAACACAAAAATTAGTTGGGTGTGGTGGCGCCCGCCTGTAATTCCAGTTACTCAGGTGGCTGAGGCACGAAAATCGCTTGAACCCGGAAGGCGGAGGTTGCAGTGAGCTGAGATCACATTACTGTACTCTGGTCTGGGCAACAGAGGGAGACTGTCTCAAAAAAATAAACTAAAATACATTTTAAAAACTACAACGTGCTAACAAAAAATAAACAAGCAAATAAGTAAAATAAAATTTCACGGCCGGGTGCTATGGCTCACGTCTGTAATCCCAGCACTTTGGGAGGCCGAGGCAGGTGGATCACCTGAGGTCAGGAGTTCAAGACCAGCTTTGCCAACATGGCAAAACGCCATCTCTACCAAAAATACACAAATTAGCCAGGCGTGGTGGGACATGCCTATAATCCCCGCTGCTGGGGAGGCTGAGGCATGAGAATCACTTGAACCTGGGAAGCAGAGGTTGCAGTGAGCTGAAGTTGTGCCACTGCACTCCAGCCTGGGCAACAGAATGAGACTCTGTCTCAAAGAAAAAAAAAAATTCAGCAGATGAAGGGTGGGCAAGTATTTAAAAAATAAAATAAAAAAACCTGCTAACAGCCGGGCACAGTGACTCACGCCTGTAATCCCAGCACTTTGGGAGGCCAAGGCGGGCAGATCGCCTGAGGTCAGGAGTTCGAGACCAGCCTGCCCAACATGGTGAAACCCCATCTCTACTACAAATACAAAAATTAGCTGGCTGTGGCTGCAGACGCCTATAATCCCAGCTACTCAGGAGGCTGAGGCAGGAGAATCGCTTGAACCGGGAAGTGAAGGTTGCAGTGAGCTGAGATCGCACCATTGCACTCCAGCCTGGGCCACAAGAATGAGACTTCATCTCAAAAAAAAATACCTGCTAACAATAACTTGACAACAGCAACCATTAGTAACAACTTAAATAATGTTTACAGTATATCCGAAATCAGCAAAAGCCCAAATCCTGCTAAAAGATTCCACAGATTAGTCTGGGCAACATGGCGAGAACCTGTCTCCACAAAAAGTTTAAAAATTAGCTGGGCATGGTGTTGCACACCTGCAGTGCCGGCTACTTCGGAGGCTGAGGCAGGAGGATTGCTTAAGCCTGGGAGGTCCAGGCTTCAGTGTGCTGTGGTTGCACCACTGCCCTCCAGCCTGGGTGACAGAGAGAGACCCTGCCTCAAAAAAAGAAAAAAGAAAGAAAAGAAAAAAGAATTCCACAGATTGGTTTTCCCCACCTTGACTTGGATTGGCTTAGCTCTTCGATTTTATTTAATTTAATCCTCCCACCTCAGCCTCCTGATTAGCTGAGACTACTCAGGCATTGTATCACCATGCCCAGCTAATTTTTATTTTTTGTAGAGACAGGGTCTCACTACATTGCCCAGGCTGGTCTGGAACTCCTGGGCTCAAGCAATCCTCCCACCTCGGCCTACCAAAGTGCTGAGATTACAGGCATGAAGCACCGCGCCCAGCCTATTCTTGGATTTTACACTGAGATCTATTGATTTAGTCTGAAGCACTTCTCCAAATGCAACAGTTGTTAGTAGTTGGTATTAAGCACTGCCTTGTTTAGTCAGTAAATAACCTGAAGTGATTCTGTTGTCTAGCATGATTGCAGCAAATGAATTAAAGCTTTTTTTTGTTCAGCAAGTATAGCAGACAATCTTGTCTACACAATTTCATTTGCCAATTCCACTGTAAAGGGCAGTTTCTAACACAGCATTCTAAACTAGGCACCTCCAATGCAAGGCTGAGACTAGTACATGAAGGAATGGAAACCATTGTGTCTGACTGCTAATTGAAGATTTGTATTTCAACAGGCATAGGGTTGACAGAACATTCAGTCATCTGAAAGACTAGCAATATGATTAAATTCCCAAAATGGCATATAAACCACTTCCAGAGGCCTCATTCCTTCTTCTGGTCAAGACCTACATTAATAGTAACATTACTGACCGGGCTGGGTGGCTCACGCCTGTAATCCTATCACTTCAGGAGGCCGAGGCAGGTGGATCACAAGGTCAAGAGATCGAGACCATCCTGGCCAACATGGTGAAACCCCGTCTCTACTAAAAATACAAAAATTAGCCGGGTGTGGTGGCGTGCGCCTGCAGTCCCAGCTACTCAGGAGGCTGAGGCAGGAGAATCGCTTGAACTCGGGAGGCGGAGGTTGCAGTGAGCTGAGATTGCACCATTGCACTCCAGCCTGGCAATAGAGTAAGACTCCATCTCAAAACAAACAAACAAACAAAAAACCAGTAACATTACATTAGCATAAGGGACACAACCCGTAATTTTGGTAAATTTTGTAGGTATGCTTCCAAGTGTCTAAGAGTCATTTAAACCAAATATGCAGTTAATCCAATCAAACTGAATGTAAACCTGTAGCCCAATTTCATAAGCACCAATCTTGATTGGAATGTCTTGAATTAAGCAATCTGCTTCCACAAACTCATCTACTCCTAGAACCAAAAAGTTCCTGGGATTCCTGACTCAATTACCTGAGTTCTGACATGCATGTATACAATGGGTAACAACGTGAGCTAAAACTGAGAAGCCTGCACCCATAGCTGTATTCTCAGTAATAGCAACAACTAAGACTAACTAACCCTTTGAAGCTTTTTAATTTCCTTTCTTTTTTTCCTTTTTCTTGCTCTTCAAGAGTTTGACAACATACCTTTGAAGTTTTGTGATGTTTCTTCCAGAAGACAATTTTGGATCTATCATTTGTAACTGGAGCATCTAGGCAAATACAAGGAGAAAAAAGTCAGAGGTCTCTTGTGGTTAATAAAACTTAATGGCTGTAGTTGATTTACTACAATAATAATAATAGAATGGAAAAAAGCTAGAATCCTCTGTTAAAGTATACTACACATCAATTTATAAGTATTTAGTCAATAAGAACATAATACGGGCCCAGTGCAGTGGCTCATGCCTGTAATCCCAACACTTTGGGAGGCCAAGGCAAGAGGCTTGCTTGAGGCCCAGAATTTAAGACCAGCATGGGCAACATAGCAAGACCTCATCCTACAAAAAAAGGAACACAATATGGATCAACTGTGAGAGTATTGACAACTGCTAGTTTACTTAATTTTTTTTTTTTTTTTTAAGATGGAGTCTAAGGCCGGGCGCGGTGGCTCACAGCTGTAATACCAGCGCTTTGGGAGGCTGAGGCGGGCAGATCACAAGGTCAGGAGTTCGACACCAGCCTCGTCAACATAGTGAAACCCTATCTCTACTAAAAATACAAAAAAATTAGCTGGGTGTGGTGGTGGGCGCCTGTAATCCCAGCTACTCGGGAGGCTGAGGCAAGAGAATCGCTTGAACCCAGGAGTCGGAGGTTGCAGTGAGCCGAGATCACACTATTGCACTCCACTCTGGGCGACAGAACAGGACTCCGTCTCAAAAAAAAAAAAAATCGAGATTGAGTCTAGCTATCGCACCCAGGCTGGAGTGTAGTGGCACCATCTCAACTCACTGCAACCTCTGCCTCCCGGGTTCAAGCAATTCTCCCTGCCTCAGCCTCCCTAGTAGCTGGGATTACAGGCGCCCGCCACCAAGCCCGGCTAATTTTTGTATTTTTTAGTAGAGATGGGGTTTCGCCATGTTGGCCAGGCTGGTCTTGAACTCCTGACCTCAGGAGATCCGCACGCCTCGGCCTCCTAAAGTGCTGGGATTACAGGCGTGAACCACTGCGCCCAGACGAGTTTCCTTAATTTATACCACAAAGTATATTATGATATCAATTCACAAGGTTATTTAATCATAAAAACAAAAATTTTTCTTAAAACCAATTGAGGCTCACACCTGTAATCCCAGCACTTTGGGAGGCCGAGGGGGGTGGATCACTTTGAGGTCAGGAGATCGAGACCAGCCTAGCCAACATAGCGAAACCTCGTCTCTACTAAAAATTAGCCGGGCATGGTGTATGTGACTATAATCCCAGCTACTCTGGAGGCTGAGACAGGAGAATCGCTTGAACCCGGGAGGTGGAGGTTGCAGTGAGCCGAGATCATGCCACTTCACTCCTGCCTGGGCGACAGAGTGAAACTCCGTGCAGGAAAAAAAAAAAAAAAAAGCGCTGCCTTTGTACCCCACCGTGCCTCCGCCTGGTGTCTGGGGTCAGGTTGCAGTGCCAGAGCACGTGCTTGCGCATAAATGGGGCAGCCTGGCCCCCTGCGGATGGTCCTTTTAACCGCGAGCAACAAGGAGGCGAAAAAAAAATTGATAGTTAATGTGTCCGCCTTTTTTTTTTTTTTTTTTTTGAGACTGAGCCTGGCTCTGTCGCCCAGGCTGGAGTGCAGTGGCACTATCTCCACTCACTGGACAACCTCTGCCTCCCAGGTTCAAGCAATTCTCCTGCCTCAGCTTCCCAAGTAGCTGGAACTACAGGCGTGCACTAGAATGCCCGGCTAATTTTTTTGTATTTTTAGTAGACAGGGGTCTTGCCATGTTGGCCAGGCTGGTTTCGAACTGCTGACCTCAGGTGATCCGCCCACCTCAGCCTCCCAAAGTGCTGGGATTGCAGGCCTGAGCCACCACACCTGGCCTATAGTTAATGTGTCAACTTTTATAAATGAATATAAATATGTCTCTCAAACTTAAAGTATATTTTCACTAAAAAAATAGCAAAATAGAGCTGGGTGTGATGGCTCATGCCTGTAATCCCCGGCACTTTGGTAGGCCAAAATGGGAGGATCACTTGAGGCCAGTTCAAGACCAGCCTGGTCAATATAGTGAGCCCCTATCTCCATTAAAAAAAACAAATTAAATAAATAAAAGAGAAAAGCAAAATAGAGCTCTTGAATTGTCCATTTAAAAAAATATTCCGGGTTTGGCAGATAAAATAGCTCTGACAAAAGTTTTGGATTAGTTAAAATCTAGAAAATGCCAAGCAAATCTAATTATTGTCATTATCTCTTATAAGATGAAGTAGTAAATTTTTGTAGTTTCCTTGAAATACAATGGAAACCCAGGAAACGCCTAAGGCATTTAAAGGGTGTAAAAGTCATCTTAATTATTTCATAATTCCAAATATACAGCCTGAATTTGAAGAAAGGAATATCAAAAAGACTTGTCAGAACAGAAATTCACAATAGGAAAGACTTGGAACCAAGCCAAATGTCCATCAGTGATAGCCTGGATTAAGAAAATGTGGCACCGGGCATGGTGGCTCACGCCTGTAAACCCAGCACTTTGGGAGGCCGAGGTGGGTGGATCACATAAGCTCTGGAGTTCGAGACCGGCCTGACCAACATGGAGAAACCCTATCTCTACTAAAAAAAAAAATACAAAGCTAGCCAGGGGTGGTAGCACATGGCTGTAATCCCAGCTACTTGGGAAGCTGAGGCAGGAGAATCACTTGCCATTGCACTCCAGTCTGGGCAGCAATAGTGAAACTCCATCTAAAAAAAAAAAAAAAAAAGTGGCACATATACACTATGGAATATTATGCAGCCATAAAAAGGATGAGTTCATGTCCTTTGCAGGGACATGGATGAAGCTGTAAACTATCATTCTCAGCAAATTATCACATGGACGGAAAACCAAACACCACACGGTCTCACTCATAGGTGGGAATTGAACCATGAGAACACTTGGACGCAGGGTGGGGAACATCACACACCAGGGCCTGTCAGTGGGGTTGGAGGGCTGAAGGAGGGATAGCATTAGGAGAAACACCTAATGTAAATGACGAGTTGATGGGTGCAGCAAACCAACATGGCACATGCATACCTATGTAACAAACCTACACATTATGCACATGTACCCTAGAACTTAAAGTATAATACAAAAATTTTAAAATTTTAAAAAAAGATCACAGTGAATGGGTACAAAAGTACTATTAGATAGAAGGAATAAGATCTAGTGTTCCGTAGCCTAGATCTGGCCTAGGGTGACTATAGTTAACAATAATTTATTGTATATATTTATATATTTCCTTTTTTTTTTTTTTTTTGAGAAACAGTCCGCTCTGTCGCCCAGGCTGGAATGCAGTGACGCGATCTCAAATCACTGCAACCTCCGCCTCCCAGGTTCAAGTGATTCTCCTGCCTTAGACTCCTGAGTAGCAGGAATTACAGGCTTGTGCCACCATGCCTGGCTAATTTTTGTATATTTTGTAGAGATGGGGTTTCGCCATGTTGGCCAGGCTGGTCTCGAACTCCTAAGCTCAAGCAATCCCTGAGCTCAAGCAATCCTTGAGCTCCTTACAGGCATGAGCCACCATGCTCGGCCTTTTTTAATTTTTTTTTGAGACAAGGTCTTGCTCTGTCACCCCGGTTGGAGTGCAGTAGTGCAATCACAGCTCACTCAGCCTCAACCTCTCAGACTCAAGCGATCCTCCCACCTCAGCCTCCTGAGTAACTAGGACTAGAGGTATACACCACCAATCCCAGCTAATTTTTGTATTTTTTGTAGAGATGGGGTTTGCCAGGTTGCCCGGGCTGATCTCGGACCCCTGGGCTCAAATGATACTCCTGCTTTGGCCTCCCAAAGTGCTGGGATTATAGGCATGAGCCACCATACCCAGTCTGTATATTTCCAAATAACTAAAGGAGTGGAGTTGGAACGTTTCCAACACAAATAAATGATAAATGTTTGAGGAGATAAATATCCCAATTACTCTGATTTGATCATTACACATTGCATGCTTGTATCAAAATATAACATGTACCCCATAAATATGTACAACTATTATGTATGCATAAAAATTAAAAATAAACATGACAAAATGTACTATTAAGAATATTAGTCCAAAAAACAAATAAAAACAACAAAAGAAGAAAAAAAGAAATAATTAAAAAAAATAAAAAGAAGAATATTAGTCTGAGGCCAGGTGCGGTGGCTCTGGTGAACCCAGAGATTAAGGCTGCAGTAAGCCATGTTTGCGCCCCTGCACCCTAGCTGGGTAATAGAGACACTGTCTCAAAACAAAAATAAAACTGGGCAAAGGCTGGGCAAAGTGGCTCATGCCTATAATATTCCCAGTGCGGCCGGGCGTGGTGGCTCATGCCTGTAATCCCAGCACTTTGGGAGGCCAAGGCGGGCAAATCACAAGGTCAGGAGTTTGAGACCAGCCTGGCCAATATTATGAAACCCGGTCTCTACTAAAAATACAAAAATTAGCTGGTGTGGTGGTGGGCGCCTGTAGTGCCAGCTACTCGGGAGGCTGAGGCAGGAGAATCACTTGAACTCGGGAGGCAGAGGTTGCAGTGAGCCGAGATCGAGCCACTGCACTCTAGCCTGGGCGACAGAGCAAGACTCCATCTCAAAAAAAAAAAAAAAAAAAAAAAAAATATATATATATATATATATATATATATATTCCCAGTGCTTTGTGAGGCCAAGAGTTTAAGATGAGCCTTGGAAACATAGTGAGATCCCATCTCTACAAAAAATAAAAAATAAAAAAATTAGCTGGGCACAGTGGCTCACACCTACAGTCCTAGCTACTTGGGAAGCTGAGGCAGAATTGCCCGAGCTCAGGAGTTTGAGGTTACA
Organism: Homo sapiens; assembly: GCF_000001405.40. Classification (NCBI taxonomy): domain Eukaryota; kingdom Metazoa; phylum Chordata; class Mammalia; order Primates; family Hominidae; genus Homo; species Homo sapiens. Next base: position 69,164,233 of record NC_000005.10, read on the forward strand.
GTGAGCTATGATCACACCAGTGCACTCCAGCCTGGGTAACATAGTAAGACCCTATCTCAAAAAACAAAACAAAACAAAAACTAGGCAAAATACCTGAACAGATACCTCAACAGAGAAGTTATACAGATTATAATCACAGAAAAAGATACTCAATATCATATGTCATTAGAGAACTGCAAATCAAAAAACAATGAGTTACCACTACACACCTAATAGGATGGCTACAATTTTTTTAAAAACTGACAACACCAAATGCTTGTGAGGATTGCTGATGGGAATGCAAAATGGTAGAGCAGCTTTGGAAGACAGTTTGGCGGTTTCTTACAAAAGTAAACATACTATATGATCCAACAGTCTTGCTCCTTGGTATTCACCCAAATGAGTTTAAAACTTATGTCCACTCAGCCGGGCACAGTGGCTCACGCCTGTAATCCCAGCACTTTGGGAGGCCGAGGAGGGTGGATCACGAGGTCAGGAGATCGAGACCATCCTGGCTAACATGGTGAAACCTCGTCTGTACTAAAAATACAAAAAATTAGCCAGGCCTGGTGGCGGGCGCCTATAGTCCCAGCTACTTGGGAGGCTGAGGCAGGAGAATGGCGTGAACCCGGGAGGCGGAGCTTGCAGTGAGCCTAGATGGCGCCACCGCACTCCAGCCTGGGCAACAAAGCAAGACTCCGTCTCAAAAAACAAACAAACAAACGAAAAACAAAAACAACTTACGTCCACTCAAAAATCTGCACACAGATGTTAGTAGCAGTTATATTCATACCAAAACTTGGACGCAATCAAGATGTCACTTAGTAGGTGACTGAATAAATAAACTAGTACATCCAGACAATGCAATATTATTCAGGGCTAAAATAAAATGAGATCCCAACCCATGAAAAAAACATGGAAGAACCTTAAATGCATATTTGAGTAAAAGAAACCATTCTGACCGCCAGGTGCAGTGGCTCACGCCTTCAATACCAGCACTTTGGGAGGTTGAGGCGGGTGGACATTATACGTCATTATATATTTGTCAAAACCCGTAGAAGACACAACACCTAGAGTGAACCTTAATGTAAACTATGGACTTTGGGTAATACTGTGGTGTCAATGTAGGTTAACAGATTATAATTAAAGTACAACTTTAATGTGGGGTGTCAATAGTGGGGAAGGCAGGTGAAATGCTCTATACTTTCTGCTAAGTTTTGCTGCGAACCTAAAACTGCTCTAAAAAATAAAGCATATAAAAGGAAAAATTTGGCCGGGCGTGGTGGCTCACGCCTGTAATCGCAGCACTTTGGGAGGCCGAGGCGGGCGGATCACCAAGTCAGGAGATCGAGACCATCCTGGCTAACATGGTGAAACCCCGTCTCTACCAAAAATACAAAAAATTAGCCGGCCGTTGTGGCGGGCGCCTGCCGTCCCAGCTACTCGGGAGGCTGAGGCAGGAGAATGGAGTGAACCCTGGAGGTGGAGGTTGCAGTGAGTCGAGATCGCACCACTGCACTCCAGCCTGGGCGACAGATCGAGACTCCGTCTCAAAAAAAAGTAAAAAAAAAAATTTTTAAACTGGAACACAGAGGATAAGTAATCCTGCTTCGCCCCTTGCCTCTCGCCCCTGCATGGGGCGAGGAAGGATTGATCAAACCCAGAAAGACTGAGTGAGAATGGATGTTGAACACAGAACTGAAGGATGAATGGGAGTTACCTGAATAGAACCCAGGGGCTTGAATGCAAGAAGAGGCGGGCATTCCAGGCAGAGGAGAGCAAGGGTAAGGGCCCCACGGGAGGCATTCGAGTAGGAGGGTGAACTATGATGACAGAAGACTCAATAACGATCCAAAGAAACCAAATGATTGGGCGCCTTCTTTCGGATCCGTGACTTCCAGCGCCAGGAGTCTCTATTGGCTCTTATACCGTTGCTCTATGGGATAGCAATGTTTTTGTCCTTCAGCCTCCCCTCCAATTGCTGAGCTGCTGGTGTGTTTTGAGGAGTAGAAGGCAAAAAGAACCCTCTTGTTTTTCTTTGGATCTAGAGAGAATCTGAGCAAATGACAAAGCAAATGGGGTAAAATGTCTTTTTGTTTAGTTTTTCCTGATTTTCCCATGAGAGGCAAATACATGTTAAGGATAGTTGAATCTGAGTAAAGGGCATAGAAATATTCCTTACAAGATTTTTGTTGGCAACTGGTCTAAGTATGAAATTATTTCCAAATAGAAAGCTAAAACAAACAAAACAATTGGCCTTGGGAAACTGGACAATCTTGAAGTAATCAAGTAATATTGTTAAGGGACAATCAGTGTTGTGAAAACAACACGGATACACCCCCTCCCTCCCCCTCAAAAAAAAAAACCCTAAATTCAGTTCCCCCGTTGCTAATGTGTGACCCTGGCAAAGTCATCTAAGTCGCTGAGCTTCAGTTCCTCCAACCCAGAGAGTTGTTGCAACGATCAAATGAAAGAATGTCTATTAAAGCCTTTCATGAACTATATTATTGCTGCTACCGTAGAAATGGAAAGTGTGCAACACTAGATCCAAAACTACTTTTGACACTTCTGAGACTGTGGCCGCGCCTCTGTCACCTTCCAAAGGCCACTAGGCCTTTCCTGAGCTGGCATTGGCAACGCACACTCTTGCCCGGCTAACCTTTCCAGGTGGGCGGCGCACTGGCTTCACTGCTCTCCAGGTGGCCGCTGCAGCTGCCCGAGAGCGCAGGCGCAGAGGCAGACCACGTGAGAGCCTGGCCAGGCCTTCCGGCCTAGCCTCACTGTGGCCCCGCCCCTCTCGAACGCCTTCGCGCGATCGCCCTGGAAACGCATTCTCTGCGACCGGCAGCCGCCAATGGGAAGGGAGTGAGTGCCACGAACAGGCCAATAAGGAGGGAGCAGTGCGGGGTTTAAATCTGAGGCTAGGCTGGCTCTTCTCGGCGTGCTGCGGCGGAACGGCTGTTGGTTTCTGCTGGGTGTAGGTCCTTGGCTGGTCGGGCCTCCGGTGTTCTGCTTCTCCCCGCTGAGCTGCTGCCTGGTGAAGAGGAAGCCATGGCGCTCCGAGTCACCAGGGTGAGCCGCTTCGGACTGCGAACTAACGCGGCCTTCTTAGCTGCTGCCTGCTCTCCCTGCCTCGCCTGCGGGAGCCTCCCGAGCGGGAGAGGGCCGCAGGAGCGATTTGGGGAGGAAGGTGGGAGGGGACTCACCAAGAGAGCGCCGAGGTGGGCCCAGGCCTGGTGAGAGAGTGTGGGGGACGATGGATGGAGGGAGGAAGGTGAGAAAGAGAACTGGACGGATATTGGATAAATGTTTTGGGGAGGTGGAGAGTCGACTGGGAACCTTTTGAAAAAGTGATAGAGGGTCCCTGAGTGGGCCCGCCAGCAACTCTGTAACCCCCTTCCCAGAGAGAAGGTGTCTGCAATTGGAGGCTTTTTCGGTTTCCTTTCAAATGTAAATTCTCGGTATTTTAGGGCTGGCCAGGACTAATCAGGGAATCCCTCAATTGGTAAATGTAGAGGTCGGCGGAAACTGACTTGTCACGGCCGCAGAGTAGACTCTGGGACCCATGTTTTCCCTCGGAACCCATTTTTAGTCGGCTTTCTTTCTGGGAACTTCTCCTTGTGCCCCACCTTAATTAACCCTTGACTTACTCGAGCCTTCGTGGATCAGCTCTTAAAGTGGTCTTGCTTCTTTCAGAACTCGAAAATTAATGCTGAAAATAAGGCGAAGATCAACATGGCAGGCGCAAAGCGCGTTCCTACGGCCCCTGCTGCAACCTCCAAGCCCGGACTGAGGCCAAGAACAGCTCTTGGGGACATTGGTAACAAAGTCAGTGAACAACTGCAGGCCAAAATGCCTATGAAGAAGGTAACTCTCTTCCTGACCTAACTTCTGTAAGAGCCCGCCTTCCAACTGTGGCCTTTGATGCAGAAACATTTCATTCTCTCTGTTTCATCTACAGGAAGCAAAACCTTCAGCTACTGGAAAAGTCATTGATAAAAAACTACCAAAACCTCTTGAAAAGGTACCTATGCTGGTGCCAGTGCCAGTGTCTGAGCCAGTGCCAGAGCCAGAACCTGAGCCAGAACCTGAGCCTGTTAAAGAAGAAAAACTTTCGCCTGAGCCTATTTTGGTAAACTTATTCTTACCATTGTAGAGTCTGTTGATTATTTCTTGTCCCTTATTTCACTGATACATGCAAGAGCATTCAAATGAATAGTAATATTAATACCATTTATTGAGTGCTTAGCATGAGGCAAGCTCTGCCTAACATTTTACATGCATTAACTCACATAATCTTTACACGTACTCTCTGAGGTATTGTCACCTCTACTATTTAAATCATGGCTTTAGAGAGGTTATGTCAGGGTCACACAGGTAAGTGGCCCATATGGGATTCAAGCTCAGGCTGTCTGGCTTCAGAATCTATGCTTTTAATTGTCAACTGTCTTATATTCCTTCGTTAATGATATTAAGTAGTAGCTGTCTGAGCCAAAGGCTTTGTTATCCAACTACAAGCCATCTCTGCAGAATTTATTGGCGTAAACATAGAATGTTCTCTTGAATTTTTTTACTGCTGCATATGGCTACTAAATAATAAGCCTGTAACATTGGAATATGCAAAGGAGTAAAACAGGAAGAAGGCAACTTTTCAGGGAGTGGTTAAGAAGATGAATTAACACTTAGCCTCAAAAATAATAACTTTTTATTAAATATAAGGTATGTAAATGTATTCTATGATAGACCTACCTGTGAAGGAAAGGTAGGTCATGTAGAGGAGGCTGCTTTGATGAAATTGCAATGAACTGTATTCTGAAGCTCTGTTTTTTTAAACTTAGTTAAAACCAGTTGGGAAAATTATCTGAAAAAAACTTGTTGAGACAGAGTCTGGCTCTGTTGCCCAGGCTGGAGTGCAGTGGCGTGATCTTGGCTCACTGCAACCTCTGCCTCCCAGGTTCAAGCAATTTTCCTGCCTCAGCCTCCCTAGTAGCTGGGATTACAGACGCACGCCACCACGCCCAGCTAATTTTCATATTTTTAGTATAGATGGGGTTTCACCATGTTAGTGTACTCCTGACCTCATGATCCGCCCGCCTCGGCCTCCGAAAGTGCTGGGATTACAGGCGTTAGCCACGGCGCCCAGCCAGTTCAGCTTCTTATATCTAAGGATAAGAGATTGAAAGCTATTGCTTTAGTGTTGAATTTCTGGGCATAGCACATGAAATATGTAGCCAGCACAGTCTTTGGGCATATCAAACTACGTGAGGCTTTCTTGGAAGGCCCATACTGATTCTTACCTTTGCTTTCCCACTTAGTAAGAATGCCTTCCCCACCCTGTCTTTCATTTAGCTAATAACCTTTTCATCCTTGAAAACAGCTCAAGCATCAACTCCTGAAGCTTTCCCAAACTTCCCCCATCTCCACCCCCTGTTCCTAGAATCAGTCTTTTTTTTCCCTTTGAGACAGAGTCTCACTCTGTTGCCCAGACTGGAGTGCAGTGGTGCCATCTTGGCTCACCACAACCTCTGCCTCCCGAGTTCAGTGATTCTCCTGCTTCAGCCTCCCAAGTAGCTGGGGCTACAGGCACATGCCACCATGCTTGGCTAATTTTTGTATTTTTAGTAGAGACGGGGTTTCACTATGTTGGCCAGGCTGGTCTCGAACTCTTGATCTCGTGATCCACCCGCCTCAGCCTCCCAAAGTGCTGGGATTACAGGTGTGAGCCACCATGCCCAGCCTTAGTCTTATTTTTGTTTATTTTTTTTTTCCCAAGACAGAGTCTTGCTCTGTCACCCAGGCTGGAGCACAATGGCACGATCTTGGCTCACTGCAACCTCTACCTCCTGGGTTCAAGCAATTCTCTTGCCTCAGCCTCCTGAGTAGCTGGGATTACAGGTGCCAGCCACCACACCCAGCTAATTTTTTTATTATTTTTTTATTTTTTTATTTTTAGTAGAGATGGAGTTTCACGATGTTGGCCAGGCTGGTCTCGAACTCCTGACCTCGTGATCTGCCTGCCTCGGCCTTCCAAAGTGCTGGGATTACAAGCGTGAGCCACCATGCCCGACCTTATTTCTTTACTTTGTCTACTAAATTCAGAGTCCTTTGAGGATGCCATGAAGTCAATGCCTTGTAGAGTTTGACTTCAAGAAGGTGCTCAATAAATGTTTGAACAATGGGATAAAGGGAGCTTGAAGGAAATGGTTAATGGCGATGAAGTTAGTTAATCCTTAGTAGTCAGGATAGAATTTGTGTTGAGTAGTGAGAAGCAGTTTATATTATGAAATAAAGACTAAAGACTGAATTGTCATTTATTTGGACTAACTTCACATGTTGCTGATAAAAATTAATTACTTCTCAGTTTCCTTTGCAGCAAAGTCTAGAATGTGAATTTATTTGCTTCCAACTTTAAACTGACTCACTCTAAGTTGGCATTTCACTGTTTTTTTTTTTGCCCAGGCTGGAGTAGAATGGCGCAATCATAGCTCACTGTATCCTCAAACTCCTGGGCTCAAGTGATCCTCCTGCCTGGGCCTCCTGAGTAGTTAGGACTGTAGGCAGCTGCCTTCATGCCCAGCTAATTTTTTGTAGAGATGAGTTATTGCTATATTGCCCAGGCTAGTCTGGAACTCATGGTCTCAAAGGATCCTCCCACCTCAGCCACCCAAAGTACTGGGATTACTGGCTTGAGCTGTTATGCCCAACCTCATTCTTTTTAATTGAGGAATTAAATGATCACTTTTTTCTTTTTTAACAGAGACAGGGTTTTGCTATGTTGCCCAGGCTGGTCTTGAACTCCTAGCCTCAACCTCAGCCTCTCAAAGTGCTGAGATTAAAGGTGTGAGCCACCGCGCCCAACCCAAATGATCACTTTTGATGTTAATCACTTCCTAAAAAGAAATGGAATAAATCTGAAAAGATACTTTTCCTTTAAGGAAATGAATTGTATGCCGATTCAGCAGAATACTAGCTTGAGTTGGTACCAATAACCTGAACTTCATGCCCAAACTATAGTGCTTACTTCTATTTGCTATTTCAAGATATCTCTTTGTTTCAAGGTTGATACTGCCTCTCCAAGCCCAATGGAAACATCTGGATGTGCCCCTGCAGAAGAAGACCTGTGTCAGGCTTTCTCTGATGTAATTCTTGCAGTAAATGATGTGGATGCAGAAGATGGAGCTGATCCAAACCTTTGTAGTGAATATGTGAAAGATATTTATGCTTATCTGAGACAACTTGAGGTAAGTATTATCATTCGTTTTTTTTCTAAACTGCATCTAACTTTATGAAAGTATTTTCCATCAATAGTTTATAATAATACAAGCAGGACGTGGGCAGCATTTCTTAAGAGATCGCACTTTCAAATTCTCCTTCATGGAATACCTATAATAAAAAGTCACTAAATAAACCAATGGAGTCTATTTGTCACTTTGTGCAGGAAAGTTCGAAGTTAGGGTGGATACTACTATCGCTTTCTAAAGGAAAATCCACAGATTGAATTTGATATGTATATATGCGATCTCCACCACGTTTGGAATGGTTAAGTCCCAAACTCTGCATTTTAGGTGATAACGGGTCAGGAAGTGGATGAGGATGTAGAATATACTCAAAGACTACAGCCACCCCTAACACAAGGCATTTTGTGTTAGTGTGGCTGATGTGCATCCAGTTGTTGGTGAAATTATTTGTGCCCAAAAGGAGTACACTCAAAAGCTACTTTTTTGGTTCACTTCAATTTGATCCCACTTTTGAAACTTTCTATTAATGGCATTTGCCCTTTCCCTACAAATACAAGCACTCTTTATGGCAGCATAAACATAGTAACATAAATTATACTGTTACCACATTTACGTAGTTTTTTTGTTGTTGTTGTTTTGTTTTTTTGAGATGGAGTCTCACACTGTCGCCCAGGCTAGAGGGCAGTGGTGCGGTCTCAGCTCACTGCAGTCTCTGTCTCCTGGGTTCAAGCAATTCTCCTGCCTCGGCCTCCCAAGTAGTTGGGGTTGCAGGCACACACCACCATGCCTGGCTAATTTTTTGTATTTTTATTTGGTTTTGGTTTTTTTGAGACAGGGTCTTGCTCTGTTGCCCAGGCTGGAGTGCAGTGGTGCAATCTCGGCTCAGTCCAGCCTCCGCCTCGGGTCAAGTGATTCTCATGCCTCAGCATCCCGAGCAGCTGGGATTACAGGTGCCCACCACAACACCCAGCTAATTTTTGTACTTTTAGTAGAGATGAGGTATCACCATATTGGCCAGGCTGGTCTCGAACTCCTGACCTTAGATGATCTACCCATCCCGGCCTCCCAAAGTGCTGGGATTACAGGCCTGAGCAACCGCACCCAGCCCCCAGTTGTTTCTAATGTGTTGTCTTATGTCATCACTGACATGTTCATCTCTTGCCTGCTCCTTTTTGGCCTCTCCTTTTTCTATAGGATTCTTCTGCAAGACTTCTTTGCCAGGAGCAGCCTTCTGCTTTTAGTTTCTTCTTCCATCTTTCTAGTGCTTTTTAAAGTTGTGTTCTAACTTTGGAGGATTCAATTTAGTAAATGTGCTGTTTCTTTTTTTTTTTTTTTTTTTTTTGGGACAGAGTCTCGCTGTGTCACCTAGGCTGGTGTGCAGTGGCACAATCTCGGCTCACTGCAAGCTCTGTCTCCCGGGTTCACGCCATTCTCCTGCCTCAGCCTCCTGAGTAGCTGGGACTACAGGCATCCGCCACCACGCCTGGCTAATTTTTTATATTTTTAGTAGAGACGGGGTTTCACCGTGTTAGCCAGGATGGTCTCAATCTCCTGACCTCATGATCCACCCGCCTTGGCCTCCCAAAGTGCTGGGATTATAGGTGTGAGCCACCGCGCCCAGCCTGTAAATGTGCTGTTTCTTGATGCTTCGTTCTTGTTCTGTGCAAGGCCATTTATGCAAAGCAACCCCTCAAGTGGCAGAGGAGCTGAGAAACCAAGGAATTAGGCAGATAAATGGAGTTTGCTGGTATTGGGTGACTGATGAGGGGGAATTTACAGACATAAGTATGGTCTTTGATGGCTGTAAGATGTAGATCTCTGCACTGTAACCCCTCGTACCCACGGCTTGGGTATGTATACATTTTCTTGGGCAAAGTATACATGCTCTAGAATCAATGTGTGGGTGGCTGACAGAATGCTGCAGACATCACAGCCTATAATGTATACAATAATATCAAGGGCTGTTTTGGAGGAAAGGCCAAACTTAAAGTGAATAGGCAGAAGTCACATTGAATTAGTATTTAAAATAAAGTCACTGTTGTCCCCACAGTTCTTAGCTATGTTGCTGTTGGGATTTAACCCAGGAGCAGGCAGGAGTGTTGTAGTACATGGGTTCCAGCTGCCCTGGGAGTTACTGATATTTTCTCTACATAAAGCTCAGGTTCTAAGTTTAGAGGCTTAAGTGAAAAGATCTGAGATGATAATGTAGTATCTTTATTTGGAAGGGAGTGGACCAGCAGCAGTTGTGGTGAAGAATATCGTAAGACCTGACAATATAAAAAAGCTGTCATACTGTCCTATCTAATGTTTGCCTTTTTTTTCTTTTTTTTTTGGGGTGGGGAGACAGTCTCACTCTGTCACCCAGGCTGGAGTGCAGTGGTGCAATCTCGGCTCCCTGCAACCTCCACCTGCCAGGTTCAAGCAATTCTCCTGCCTCAGCCTCCCAAGTAGCTGGAACTACAGGTGTGCGCAACCATGCCCAGCTAATTTTTGTATTTTTAGTAAAGACAGGTTTTGCCATGTTGGCCAGGCTGGTCTCGAACTCCTGGCTGCAAGCAATCTGCCAACTTCAGCCTCCCAAAGTGCTGGGATTACAGGCGTGAGCCACCACGCCAGCCTTCATGTTTGCTTTATTTCTTGGTGATGGTGTTGTTTGTGGTTGACCATATGAATAATTGAATTAAGAACTGATATAGATTATAAATGCCCCAGTGCTACTGTAGGAACTAACTGATCTTTCTGGACATAAATGTGTCACATGGAGTCATGTTTCTAAGAATAATCAGCATTTTCTTTTGCAGGAAGAGCAAGCAGTCAGACCAAAATACCTACTGGGTCGGGAAGTCACTGGAAACATGAGAGCCATCCTAATTGACTGGCTAGTACAGGTTCAAATGAAATTCAGGTTGTTGCAGGAGACCATGTACATGACTGTCTCCATTATTGATCGGTTCATGCAGGTGAGCATTTCAGTAAGAGTTTTCCCTTCCAGGATTCTAGCCGAGTCATAAGAAACTGATGTTTTCAGGCCAGTCTGGGCGCAGTGGCTCATGCCTGTAATCCCAGCGGGCGGGTGGATCACAAGGTTAGGAGATCGAGACCATCCTGGCCAACGCAGTAAAACCCTGTCTCTACTAAAAATACAAAAAATTAGCCGGGCATGGTGGCGGGCGCCTGTAGTCCCAGCTACTGGAGGCGGAGGTTGCAGTGAGCTGAGATCACGCCATTGCACTCCAGCCTGGGTGACAGAGCGAGACTCAAAAAAAAAAGAAAGAAATAAACTGACTTTTTCAACTAAAATCTTTCTTGGGGGATATGGTGTCATTAAGATTTTGCTATGGGAGAATGTCTTTCTACCTCTCCTTCATCATAGCTCTGTGTCTCCTTTTCAAACATTTTATTCACCCTATTGAAATTCCCATTGCAGAATAATTGTGTGCCCAAGAAGATGCTGCAGCTGGTTGGTGTCACTGCCATGTTTATTGCAAGCAAATATGAAGAAATGTACCCTCCAGAAATTGGTGACTTTGCTTTTGTGACTGACAACACTTATACTAAGCACCAAATCAGACAGATGGAAATGAAGATTCTAAGAGCTTTAAACTTTGGTCTGGGTCGGCCTCTACCTTTGCACTTCCTTCGGAGAGCATCTAAGATTGGAGAGGTACAGGTTTCTTGAGAAACCTCTCCGTATGGGTACATTAGGGGGAACACTGCTGCTGACCAAGCACGTTGAATTCAACTGACCTGTATTATACCTAACTACATGGGGAAGGGATAAAGTTGTTCTTTATTTCTAGTCAGGCTGCATGTTAATATTAGGACTTTCCATGGGCATTTGAGAGTTTGTAGACAAACATTTGTAGTTAAAGATACATATGGGCATGCAGGTTAGTGCCAAAGGAAAATTTTCTGAAAGAAACTCAGTAACATGGGTTTTGTTTCAGGTTGATGTCGAGCAACATACTTTGGCCAAATACCTGATGGAACTAACTATGTTGGACTATGACATGGTGCACTTTCCTCCTTCTCAAATTGCAGCAGGAGCTTTTTGCTTAGCACTGAAAATTCTGGATAATGGTGAATGGGTAAGCTGTGTCCCACAGAACTCCTAAGCTTTTAAATTTTAAAGAGTGACTAAATACAGAACTTTTGTTATTAAAAGGCAATTCAAGTGGTTCATAAATATGGGATCTACTGAAGGAATAGTTAAAAAAGATGTCTTAGAATGTTTCCACATCTTTTTGTTTTTGAGACAAGGTCTCGCTCTGTCACTCAGGCTGGAGTGCAGTGGTGCAGTCTTGGCCCACTGCAACATCAGCCTCCAGAGTAGCTGGGATTACAGGTGTCTGTCTAGTTTTTAAATTTTTTTCATGTCAGATGGGTAATATGCCCACATTGTAACAAGGTTTGAGGGTGGCACGTTTCACATGTTCACATGAACACCAAATCATCACACTTATGAACTACAAAAGAGTCGCCCACCAGCCTGGGCAACATAGCAAATCCTCATCTTTACAAAAAATATATAAAATATATATATATATATATATATATATATATATACAGGCACACGCCTGTAGTCCCAGCTACTCTGGAGGCTGAGCTTTGTATTTTTTGTAGACATGGGGTCTCTCTATATTACCCAGGCTGGTCTTGAAACTCTGGGCTCAAGCGATCCACCCACCTCCACTTACCAAAGTGTTGGAATTACAGGCGTGAGCCATTGCAACCAGTCGAGTGTTTCCATTTCTTTCCCTGATTTCAACTTTATTCCCTTTGAGAAAGGTAGAGCAACTTTTACTCCTTACAGATGGAGAAACTTGAAGGTCAAATGACATACTAGTAGTTCATTCATATTCATTGATTCAACAAATGCTTCTCCTATGTGACAGGCACTACCCTAGGTCTTTTTTTGTTTTTTCGAGACGGAGTCTCTCTCTGTCGCCCAGGCTGGAGAGCAGTGGCGTGATCTCGGCTCACTGCAACCTCCGCCTCCTGGGTTCATGCCATTCTCCTGCCTCAGCCTCCCGAGTAGCTGGGACTACAGGTGCCTGCCACCACGCCCGGCTAATTTTATATATATATATATATTTTTTTTTAGTAGAGATGGGGTTTCACCGTGTTAGCCAGGATGGTCTTGATCTCCTGACCTCGTGATCCGCCCACCTTGGCCTCCCAAAGTGCTGGGATTACAGGCGTGAGCCATTGTGCCCGGCCTACCCTAGGTCTTAAGAATAGAACTATGTAGCTGGGTGCAGTGGCTTACATCTGTAATCCCAGCACTTTGGGAGGCAGAGTTGGGCAGATCACGAGCTCAAAAGTTCAAGACCAGCCTGACCAACATGGTGAAACCCTATCTCTACTAAAAATACAAAAATTAGCCAGGTGTGGCAGTGCGCGCCTGTAATCCCAGCTACTCAGGAGGCTGAGGCAGGAGAATCACTTGAACCTGGGGGCGGAGGTTGCAGTGAGCCGAGATCATACCATGCACTCCAGCCTGGAGCGAGACTCCATCTCAAAAAAAAAAAAAATTACAAAGTTGGCCTCAAGGAAGTGGAGTCTAGTTTTAGGGTGGGCAAGTCAGCAATTACAAAAGTGCAATTAGGTTTGAGCAGAGGAAGCATGAGAGCACCTAGGAAAGGAGTCTTTAGCTTTGTCTTAAATTTCAGTTATATTAATTATACAGTACCCATCTCTTTTCCACTCCTGAATAACATCTAACATCTAGAAACTTTATGAAAATCATTATTGATTTGAGCATTTTTAACATTAACTTGTTGCCTTAGACACCAACTCTACAACATTACCTGTCATATACTGAAGAATCTCTTCTTCCAGTTATGCAGCACCTGGCTAAGAATGTAGTCATGGTAAATCAAGGACTTACAAAGCACATGGTGAGTCAATATAGTGGCATTGTAAGATGCTGAAAAGTGTAATAATTCAAACTTAATGCCTGCAAATGCCTGGTTTATTTTTAATGAGTTAATGTTTTAAATGAATACCTGTATCATTGCATCTTGTGATTTTTTTTCTTTTGCCTCTTTAATTGCTATCTTTTTGTCTTCCAGACTGTCAAGAACAAGTATGCCACATCGAAGCATGCTAAGATCAGCACTCTACCACAGCTGAATTCTGCACTAGTTCAAGATTTAGCCAAGGCTGTGGCAAAGGTGTAACTTGTAAACTTGAGTTGGAGTACTATATTTACAAATAAAATTGGCACCATGTGCCATCTGTACATATTACTGTTGCATTTACTTTTAATAAAGCTTGTGGCCCCTTTTACTTTTTTATAGCTTAACTAATTTGAATGTGGTTACTTCCTACTGTAGGGTAGCGGAAAAGTTGTCTTAAAAGGTATGGTGGGGATATTTTTAAAAACTCCTTTTGGTTTACCTGGGGATCCAATTGATGTATATGTTTATATACTGGGTTCTTGTTTTATATACCTGGCTTTTACTTTATTAATATGAGTTACTGAAGGTGATGGAGGTATTTGAAAATTTTACTTCCATAGGACATACTGCATGTAAGCCAAGTCATGGAGAATCTGCTGCATAGCTCTATTTTAAAGTAAAAGTCTACCACCGAATCCCTAGTCCCCCTGTTTTCTGTTTCTTCTTGTGATTGCTGCCATAATTCTAAGTTATTTACTTTTACCACTATTTAAGTTATCAACTTTAGCTAGTATCTTCAAACTTTCACTTTGAAAAATGAGAATTTTATATTCTAAGCCAGTTTTCATTTTGGTTTTGTGTTTTGGTTAATAAAACAATACTCAAATACAAAAGGTATCTTTTTTAAAAAGTTAGTTTACTGCTTCCTTAGGCTCTTTCTAAATCCCACCCACCTGAAGGACATCAATTATGGATTTATCCTTCATGCCTTGTATAAATACAGATGTGCATATGAATTTTTATGGGTTTTTTAAAAATGTGGTTCATTCTATATACATAACAATTACTTTCAACATACATAAGCCTACCTGTATTTGTGCATTATATTACATGGTACAGATAAATAGTCATGTGCCCCATGAACATTTTGGTCAAAGATAGATTACAGATACAATGGTGGTCCCATAAGATTATGATGCCATATTTTTACTGTACCTCTTCTTGTGCCTAGATACACAAATACTGACTTGTGTTATAATTGCCTGCAGTATTCAATAATATGGTGTATAGATTTGTAGCCTAGGAGCTATAACCTATACTATATAGCCTAGGAGTGCAGGAGGGTATGCCATCTAGATTTGTGTGAGTACACTGATGTTTGAACAATAAAATCACCTAATGATAGGTTTCTCAAACCATATCCCAGTCCTTAAGCAACACATGACTAATGGATTCAACCATTTCCCCTGTTCGTTCAGATTGCTTTTTCTTTTTGCCCCTACAATTTTGTTGATAATACTGTTTTTTGGGGCTTTTGTTTTTGTTTTTTTTTTTTTTTTTGAGACAAGAGTCTCACTCTGTCGTCAGGCTGGAGTGCAATGGCGCTATCTCAGCTCACTGCAACCTCTGCCTCCCAGGTTCAAGCGATTCTCCTGCCTCAGCCTCCTGAGTAGCTGAGATTACAGGCATGCGCCACCGCGCCCGGCTAATTTTGTATTTTTAGTAGAGACGCAGTTTCACCATGTTGGTCAGGCTGGTCTTGAACACCCGACCTCAGGTGATCCACCCGCCTCAGCTTCCCAAAGTGCTGGGATTAAAGGCGTGAGCCACCACACCTGGCCAATTTACTGTTTTATACCATGCTTTTTTGTGTGTATTCTAGGTTCCCTAAAGCAAACATGCATTTTAAATTTTGATAGAACCAGATGACATACAAAAGTGCCTGTTTTCTCTGCATTATTAAAACTGAAGGTAATCAGTCTTTTATTTCTATGACTCCAACTGGCAAAAAATATTTGCCATTTTAACTTTTTTTTTTTGAGACGGAGTCAAAAGGTGCCAGTTTTCTCTGCATTATTAAAACTGAAGGTAATCAGTCTTTTATTTCTATGACTCCAACTGGCAAAAGATATTTGCCACGTTAACTTTTTTTTTTTTTTTTTTGAGACGGAGGCTCACACTGTCACCCAGGCTGAAGTGCAGTGGCATGATCTCAGCTCACTTGCAACCTCCGCCTCCCAGGTTCAAGTGATTCTCCTGCCTCAGCCTCCCAAGGAGTTGGGATTACAGGCGCATACCCGGCTTATTTTTTGTATTTTTAGTAGAAACGGGATTTCACCGTGTTAGCCAGGATGGTCTCAATCTCCAGACTTCGTGATCGCCCACCTCGGCCTCCCAAAGTGCTGGGATTACAGGCGTGAGCCACCGCGCCCGGCCCTCAGTAGGCGATTTTTATATGTGGTATAAAGTAGAATTCTTACAGATGGATACCCGTTTATGCCAGTGCCATGACTGAAACCCTGCTTGTCCAACTTGAAATATCTTCAATGCCCATCTATTCTTCCTTGATCTTGTTTTTTCCTGTGATAATACAATAGTTTTTACCAGTTAATCAGTTAAGATGAGGCTTACCAAATATATGGGAGTACTACTGAACACTTTTCTATAAAAACTTTAAAATTGTGTACAGTTACCAAAAAGTTCCTTTGAGTTTTGTTGTTGTTGTTTTGTTTTTTGAGAGGGAGTCTCGTTCTGTTGCCCAGGCTGGAGTGCAGTGGTGCGATCTCAGCTCACTGCAACCTCTGCCTCCCTGGTTCAAGTGATTCTCCTGCCTCAGCCTCCGGAGTAGCTGGGACTACAGGCACGGGCCACCATGCCTGGCTAATTTTTTTGTATTTTTAGTAGAGACAGGGTTTCACCACGTTGGCAGTTTGGTCTCGAACTTTTGACCTCAGGTGATCCGCCCGCCTCAGCCTCCCAAAGTGCTGGGATTACAGGCGTGACCCACCGCGCCCGACCCTCCTTTGAGATTTTGACTATACATTATGTACTAGCTTGGGATAGACTGACATATTATCTTACCATCTAGAAACTATCAATCCTTGTTGCATGCCCTTCAATAACGTTGGAATTTAATTGTATAATTCTGCAACTTTCTTAAATTTATGGTTGGATTTATGCCTTTTGCCTTTTGTCGTTATTGTGAATGGGATATATTTCCCACTTCTGTTTCTTTAAATTTTTTTCTTCATCTCCCTAGTAGTGTATCCCACTCCTGTTTAGTTTTAAATAGAGACAATGTCTCTCTGTCGCCCAGGATGGAGTACAGTGGTGCAATCATAGTGCACTGCTGCCCTGAACTCCAGCTATCCTACCACCTCAGCTTTCTAGGTAGCTATCACTACAGGTGGGCCAACCACATTTGGCTAATATTTTATTTTTTCCTTTTCTGTGTAGAGATGGGGTCTCACTATGTTGTCCAAGCTGGTCTCAAACTCCTGGCCTCAAGTGACTCTCCCACTTCAGCCTCTTAAAGCACCGGGATTATAGACGTGAGCCAATGCGCCTGACGCCCACTTCTATTTTTAATATCTTATCCAGTTGACATCAGTTTTCCTTCTTTAATATTTTTGTTGTTGTTGTTGTTGAGACAGAGTCTAGCTCTGTTGCCCAAGCTGGAGTGCAGTGGCGCGATCTCGGCTCACTGCAAACTCTGCCCCGCCGGGTTCACACCATTCACGTGCCTCAGCCTCCCGAGTAGCTGGGACTAGGGGTGCCCGCCACCACGCCCAGCTAATTTTTTGTATTTTTAGTAGAGACAGGGTTTCACTGTGCCAGCCACGATGATCTCGATCTCCTGACCTCATGATCCACCCGGCAGTGGCCCCCCAAAATGCTGAGATTACAGGTGTGAGCCACTGTGCCCAGCCCTTCTTGAGTGTTTTTTATTGGAGAATTTTCTAGTCCTTAAATCCAAAAGTTTCACCTATTTTATAATATTAGAATCTCTGAAATAATCAGTGATAATAAATGGTTTCCTGTCACTGAATTGATGTCACACAGTAATAGAAACTACAAAGACCAATTAAATAGCAAAAAATATCAAATGATAAAAATACTATGTCATGTTTATTTTTTAAATTTTGATTCCATGCTGTGCTCAAACTGTGGAGTTTTTAATAGGCAAGGTTGTGGAATTCCATTAACATTTTCAGCGTATGATATCATTTTGGCTTCTCTCTTTTGATATAGTATTCCACCTTAGAGATTTCCTATTGTGTCCGAAATTTGTTCCTTCCGGTGGGTTCTTGGTCTCGTTGACTTCAAGAATGAAGCCACGGACCCTCGCGGTGAGTGTTACAGTTTTTAAAGATGGTGTGTCCGGAGTTTATTCTTTCTGATGTTCAGGTGTATCCGGAGTTTCTTCCTTCTGGTGGGTTCATGTTCTCGCTGACTTCAGGAGTGAAGCCGCAGACCTTCGACCTTTGCAGTGAGTGTTACAGTGTTACAGCTCATAAAGACAGCACTGTTCTCTTCTCCCGGTGGGTTCATGGTCTCGCTGGCTTCAGGAGTGAAGCTGCAGACCTTCCGGTGAGTGTTACAGCTCATAAAGGCAGTGCAGACCCAAAGAGTGAGCAGCAGCAGGATTTACTGCAAAGAGCAAAACAACAAACATTCCACAGCATAGAATAGAACCCATGCCCCTGCTGGCACAGGTGGCCAGCTTTTATTCCCTTATTTCGCCCTGCCCACTTCCTGCTGATTGGTCCATTTTACAGAGTGCTGATTGGTCCATTTTTACAGAGTGCTGATTGGTGCGTTTACAAACCTTTAGCTAGACACAGAGCACTGATTGGTGCGTTTTTACACAGTGCTGATTGGTGCATTTACAAATCTTTAGTTAGACACAGAGTGCTCATTGGTGTGTTTACAATCCTTTAGCTAGACAGAAAAGTTCTCCAAGTCCTTTACCTGATTAGCTAGACAGAGAAGCCCAGTCGGCTTCATATCTCACTATGGTGGAATGAATTCTTGCTTATGGTATATACATTTAATTTGCTAATACTTCACTTACAAATTTTTGCAGCTCGGGCCAGGCGTGGTGGCTCACGCCTGTAATCCCAGCACTTTAGGAGGCTGAGAGGGGCAGATCACGAGGTCAGGAGATAGAGACCATCCTGGCTAACACTGTGAAACCCCGTCTCTACTAAAAATACAAAAAAATTAGCCGGGCATGGTGGTGGGCACCTGTGGTCCCAGCTACTCGGGAGGCTGAGGCAGGAGAATGGCATGAACCCAGGAGGCGGAGCTTGTAGTGAGCTGAGATTGTGCCACTGCACTCCAGCCTGGGCGACAGAGGGAGTCTCCATCTCGAAAAAAAAAAATTTTTTTTTTTGCAGCTCATGGAAAATTTGCTTGATTTTTGTTGCTACTGTTGTCTCATGTTTTATTTTACTAGCCTTAAGGTAGATTAGAGAGGGTTTCATCTTTTTTTTTTTTTTTTTTTTGAGACAGAATCTTGCTCTGTCGCCAGGCGGGAATGCAGTGGCACGATCTTGGCTCACTGCCTCCCGGGTTCAAGTGATTCTCGTGCCTCAGCCTCCCGAGTAGCTGGGACTACAGGCGCATGCCACCACGCCTGGCTAATTTTTTTAATTTTTATTTTAGTAGAGACAGGGTTTCACCATGTCGGCCAGGATGGTCTCTATCTCCTGACCTCATGTTCTGCCTGCCTTGGCCTCCCAAAGTGCAGGGATTACAGGTGTGAGCCACTGCGCCTGGCCGGTTTCTTCCTTTCTTTTTTTTTTTTTTTTTGAGACGGAGTTTCACTCTTGTTGCCCAGGCTGGAGTGCAATGGCACAATCTCGGCTCACTGCAACCCCTGCCTCCTGGGTTCAAGGGATTCTCCTGCCTCAGCCTCCCGAGTAGATGGGATTACAGGCATGCACCACCATGCCCGTTAATTTTGTATTTTTATTAGAGACAGGGTGTCTTCATGTTGATCAGGCTGGTCTCGAACTCCCGACCTCAGGTGATCGGGCCTCCCAAAGTGTTGGGACTTCAGGCGTGAGCCACCACACCCGGCCAGTTTCATCTTTTTAAAGCCTTAAATCATTTGAAGTTCCCATTCATTCGTTGGAAACTAGCTAAATTAAACAGTAAAGTCCTTTGTCCTGGAGCTATTAAATATAATAGGCCAGTCACAGTAGCTCACACCTGTAATCCCAGCACTTTTCAAGCCTGAGGCGGGTGTACTGCTTGAGACCAGGAGCTCAAGACCAGCCTGGGCAACATAGCGAAATCTCATCTATACAAAAATTAGCCAGGCGTACTGGAGTGCACCTGTGATTCCAGCTACCCAGGAGGCTGAGGTGGGAGAATCCCTGAGCCAGGGAAGTCAAGACTACAGTGAGCCAAGATCACGCAACTGCACTCCAGCCTGGGTGTGGGAGTGAGACCCTGTCTCAAAAAATAAAATGGTAGATATTCCATGCTTTTTTGGTCTCTAAAAATTTTTCTCTCTGTATGATATAATCGCTCTTTTAGAGATGTTCCCCTGGCCCCCGCCCCCACCCTGCAACAATAGAAAATTATGTCCATGTTTGGTGGCTCATGCCTATAATACCAGCACTTTGGGATGCTGAGGCAGGAGGATTGCTTGAGGCCAGGAGTTCAAGACTGACCTGGGCAACATAGTGAGACCCTGTCTCTAAAAAAATATAAAAAATCGAATCTTAGCACTTTAGGAGGCCTAGTCAGGAGGATTGCTTGAGCCCAGGAATTTGAGACCAGCCTGGGCAACATGGTGAGACCCTGTCTCTATTAGAAAAAATATATATATAATTTAAAAAATTAGCCCGGCAGTCATGGTGGTATGTGCCTGTAGACCTAGCTACTTAGAATGCTGAGGCAGGAGGATCACTAGAGCCCAGGAGTTTGAGGCTATAGTGAGCTATGTTCATGCTACTGCACTCCAAGCTGGGTGACACAGCAAGACCCTGCCTCTTACAAAAAAAAAAAAGAAAAAAAAATCATCCATTCTAGATTTTTAAAGTTATAGTTGTAGAGGACCATGACAAAATTAATCTCTTCTGAATGTACAGTTATATCTTCTTTCTCAGTCCTGATGTTGAGTACTTTTGTTTTCTAATCAGACTTGCCCATGAGATTATTTCATTGGCCTTTTGAAAGAACTAGTTTTTGGTGTTACCATTTCTACCATTTTTATTTTGTGGTTGTAGCTTTTACATTATTCCCACCATCTCCTTTATTTTCTAGTTTAAATATTTTCTATATTTTAGTCATGAAAGTGAGGCAATAGAATAGGGTCTGGAGGCAGGGAACCTAAGGCAGATTCACGCTGACTTCCTAGAACTAAATCAAAAGGAAAACCCCAACTTTCCACACTTAAGTAACAAATGGACCTGAGGGTACTCCCTTTGCAAACCCCCACCCCCCTTTTCCTGTGTGGCAGATGGAAAGTGGAAAGTACTTCTGATTGGCTGCTTTCTACAACCAATCATACTAATTGTGGGACACTACTTTATTTGCATGGGGTGTATACCAAGTGGCCAATGGGAAACCTCTAGAGGGTATTTAAACCCCAGAAAATTCTGTAACCTGGCTCTTGGGACCCTATGCTTGGCCTGCTACCACCCTGTGGAGTGTACTTTTGTTTGTTTGTTTGAGACAGTCTCCCTCTGTTGCCCAGGCTGTAGTGCACTGGCACAATTTCGACTCATTGCAACCTCTGCCTCCCTGGTTCAAGCAATTCTCCTGCCTCAGCCTCCCGAGTAGCTGGGATTACAGGTGTTCACCACCATGCCCAGCTGATTTTCGTATTTTTAGTAGAGAGGGGGTTTCACCATGTTGGCCAGGCTGGTCTCGAACTCCTGACCTCAAGTGATCTGCCAGCCTCGGCCTCCCAAACTGTTGGGATTACAGGCATGAGCCACCGCACCTGGCCAGTCAATATCTTTTTCTTTTTCTTTTCTTTTCTTTTTTTTTTTTTTTTTTTTTTTTGAGATGGTGTCTCTGTCACCCAGGCTGGAGTGCAGTGGCGCAATCTTGGCTCACTGCAACCTCCACCTCCCAGATTCAAGTGATTCTCCCGCCTCAGCCTCCTGAGTAGCTGGGATTACAGGCGCATGCCACTACGCCTGGCTAATTTTTGTATTTTTAGTAGAGATGCGGTTTCACCATGTTGGTCAGGCTGGTCTCGAACTCCTGACCTCGTGATCTGCCCACCGCGGCCTCCTAAAGTGCTGGGATTAAAGGTGTGAGTCACCGCACCTGGCCAGTCAATATCTTTTGAGATTTTATTTATTTATTTTTTGTCAGCTTGATGTTGGGTGTTTTTTTAAGAATTTTCAATTCTTGCCTCCTCAGAAGAAAGGATTTGACTGAGGGGCATAAGGCAGAAGAAGAAACCCAGGCAAGTTTCAGAGCAGGAGTGAAATTTTATTAAAAAGCCTCAGAACAGTAAGGAAAGGAAGGAAAGTAAAGAAAAGAAGGAAAGGTATGTGCTTTCCTTGGTTGATAAACCAAGTGTGCCTGGTGATTTTTAATGTTACTGAAGATGTGGCATGTTAAAAAGGCATCTTTCTGCTAGCACAGTGGCTCACATCTGTAATCCCATGATTGTTTTTGTTTTAAATCTTGGCCAGGCTGGTCTCGAACTCCTGGGCTCCACAGATCCTCTTGCCTCAGCCTCCCAAAGTGCTGGGATTACTGGCATGAGCCACCACACCAGCGGTGTAATCCCAGTGTTTTGGGAGGCCAGGGTAGGAGGATCAATTGAGGCCAGGAGTTTAAGACCAGCCTGGGCAACAGCGCAAGACACTGTCTCTACAAAAATTAGCCAGGCATGGTGGCCTGTGGTTCAACCTGAGTGAGACCATGACTCTAAAAATCAAAAAAAAAAAAAAAACCCTGCCACAATCCTATCACACTAAGAAAATTGGTAACTTAATATCTAATATGCAGAACATATTCAAATTTCCTCAGTTGTTCCAAAAATGTATTAGGGCTTTTATTTTTTTTCCTTTTCCAATCCAAGATTCAATCATGGTTTGTTTTTCTATATAGAACAACTGCCCTGTTTTCTGTGTTTCAGGACATAGACATGAATTGTCTTGTAGAATGTTCCTCAGTCTGGATTTCTTGTCTCATGTTTTCAGCACAGTTAAGTTCAGGTTACACATTTGGCAATATAGGTGATGTGTACAACTCATGCATTATATTAGAATCAGACATCAGATTGTTATACCATTTTTGATACCAATTTTGACCATCTGGTTAAGGTGGTAACCACTAGCTATAACATTCCTCTGAAGTGCTGGTCTCTAGTTTTAGCACTCATTAATTATACTTTCCTGACATTTATCTCCCTGGGAGTGGTAAGATGGTAGTTTTCTAATTCTATCATCTCTTCTATCTTTATTATTGACTTTTTAATGGATAGCTCCCTACCCACACCCACCCTTTCCCCCCACCCCCCGAGACAGGGTCTCACTCTGTCACCCAGGCTGGAATGCAGTGGTGCTATCTTGGCTCACTGCAACCTCAGCCTCCCTGGTTCAAGCGATTTTCCTGTCTCAGCCTCCCGAGTAGCTGGGATTACAAGCGTGTGCCCCTGTGCCTGATTAATTTTTGTATTTTTAGTAGAGATGGGGTTTCGCGATGTTGGCCATGCTGGCCTCAAACTCCTGGCCTCAAGTGATCTGCCTGCCTCGCCTTCCCAAAGTGCTAGGATTATAGGCATCAGCCACCATGCAGGGCCTTACACCCACCCTTTTTTGTTTTACTGTGAATTTTTTTTTTAATTGCGTTTTATGACCCTTTATGGTGGTGGTTCTCAAAGTGTCCTCCTCAATAAGCAAGAGCAACTTTACCTGGGAACTTGTTACAAATGCAAAACAATCCTAGAGACACCCAGAAATGTGTTTTAACAAGGTCTCCTCCGAATTCTCACGGTTGGATAACCATTGCATTATTATTTTTATAAAAAAAAATTTTGAGACAGTCTTTTTTGTATTTTTAGTAGAGATGGGGTTTTACCATGTTGGCCAGGCTGGTCTCAAACTACTGACCTCAGGTGATCTGCTCACTTTGGCCTCCCAAAGTGGTGGGATTACAGGCGTGAGCGACTGCACATTGCATTATTTTTGTCCCAAATGTGAGCAGTGGAGACACCTGATAGGCAACTGCTTAAAAGGATAAGATTGTGGTGAGACAGTGGAAGGCATCCACTAAGTGGTAAAGAGAAAAAGTTAACAATGGGATCATCCTTTTTGTAAAACAAAATGAAAGGAAACAAGAAAATGTTCCATAAGTTTACATGTAGGAATAGCAAACCTAATGCCTGATTTTACATCCTGTGCTTTTTTTTTTTTTTGAGACAGGGTCTCACTCTGTCACCCAGGATGGAGAGCAGTGGTGCGATCATAGGTCACTGCAGTCCTCAACGGCTGGGGCCCAAGTGATCCTCCCATCTCAGCCTCCTGAGTAGCTGGGACCACAGGTCTAAGTCACCACACCTGTTGTTTTTTTGTTTGTTTGTTTGTTTTTGTTTTAAGTAGAAACGAGGTCTCACTATGCTGCCCAGGCTGTTCTCCTGACTTCAAGCGATCCTTCCGCTTTGGCTTCCCAAAGTGCTGGGATTACAGGCGTGGGCCATCGCCACCAGTCCATTCTGTGTCTTTTGAACTGTTTTTTTGTTTGTTTGTTTGTTTTTCGAGAAGGAATCTTGCTCTGTTGCCCAGGCTGGCGTGCATCTCTGGTGTGATCTCGGCTCACTGCAACCTCTGCTTCCCGGGATCAAAGGATTCTCCTGCCTCGGCCTCCCCAGTAGCTGGGATTACAGGTGCCCACCACCACGCCTGGCTAATTTTGTATTTTTAGTAGAGACGAGGTTTCTCCATGTTGGTCAGGCTGGTCTCCAACTCCTGACCTCGAGATCCTCCCCCCTCGGCTTCCCAAAGTGCTGGGATTATAGGTGTGAGCCACAGCGCCCGGCTTTTTTTTTTTTTTTTGAGACGGAGTTTCACTCTGTCACCCAGGCTGAAGTGCAGTGGCGCGATCTCAGCTCACTGCAACCTCCGCCCCCCCGGGTTCAAACGATTCTCCTGCCTCAGCCTCCTGAGTAGCTGGGATTACAGGCGCCCGCCACCACACGCAGCTAACTTTTGTATTTTTAGTAGAGACGGGGTTTCACCATGTTGGCCAGGCTGGTCTTGAATTCCTGACTTCAGGTGATCCACCCGCCTCAGCCCCCAAAGTGCTGGGAGTACAGGGGTGAGCCACCACGCCCAGCGAATTTAACTTTTGTCAGGAGCCGTATTACATTGACAATGGAGAGGAAGAAAACAGCACAGTATGATCAAGTTTAACTAGTGGGTAATTAGCTGTAAAAGAACTCTCGACTCTTGTTCAAAGAGGTTCAAGCTGCTGTGCTTGTGCGGCAAGGACAGTGTCCAAATGAAAAACTACAAATCAGTCATCTGTCCTTCATTTTCTCCATTCCCCCCACTCACTACACAGCTAAGAAAGCTCAAAGGTACCCTGCAGACACTCAAAACTTGAGGGCACGCAACTCTCAGTTACGAGTGGTGGCAATCATAATGACAGAATGAAGTACCAGTGCAAGAAACTGGAAGCGTGTGGATGTCTCCAGGCTGGAAGTCTGGGTTCGAAATGTCTGCAATGCCTCGCACTTGTGGCCCGTCCCTGATCTTCAGAAGCCACTGGTTTCTCCGCCAAACAAAGGGTATGCACCTCATGGGCTCAGGTCAAAAAAGTCTTCTAAACAACCCTCTAATGTTTATCTTTCACAGCCTGCCGGGCACACCCATCTTCAAAGGCAGAGGACGGAAAAGTGCCAAGATGGATGGACATATGGCTGTCGCCGCACTCCCGTGTCCAAGCGCCAAGGCCGAATGACCACTTAGGTCAGGAGATTTTTCCCCTCCAGGCTGCTGTTCCCGGGAGATGTCCCAACGTCTCTAGTCCAGCCCCTAACTCAGCACTCTACACATCCGACGCTTAACGAAAGCTATTCCAACTTTTTACCAGCCGTCTGCAGTTATTTTCACCAGTAGAGCCCGGATGAAAGAGGAGCCCGTAGTAACCACGGCAACCGAAAAACAAGGCGGAAAGGGTGGGGCCCTGGGCGGAAGGGGCGGGGCCCTCGGGCCTTTTCCCGGCGTCCATTTAGTGGCGGGAAAAGCGACCTTTTCTGAGCGCGTTTGCCTGTTGAGTGGTAGCCTTTCCCCTCAACCAGCAATGGAGGAGCAGCCCCAGATGCAAGACGCCGACGAGCCCGCGGACTCCGGAGGGGAAGGCCGGGCAGGCGGGCCACCGCAGGTCGCCGGCGCCCAGGCGGCGTGCAGCGAGGACCGCATGACCCTGCTCCTCAGGTTGTTCCCTTTGGCCTCCTCAGCCGGGGCCAAGTGGGCGTTGTGGCCCGGAACTCCGCCCTTGCTCAGAAGGGCTAGGGTTCGAATTCACGCTCGGTCACGTCAGGTCTCCGTGATTGCCTCATTCACTTAAACTGTTGAAGCTCTTTCTTCATCAGCGAAAAGGAGAGAAAAATGACCCCCTGGAGAGAGGTTACAAGGGTTAAATGAGATAGTCTAGGAAAGTGTTGAGCACAGTGCCCCGGGCCCTTAGAAGCTGTAATTTCTCCTCCTGTTTCCCCGCCCTCCCCCTACCTCTCTGGTTTACAGACAAATTGAATGCCAGAGCTAAACTGGAAGGAAGGTGCCCCTACCATTTCTTTTAGAACTACGACCCTTTGTAACCCAGAAGCTTTATATGTTATAAATTCTACTAAGCGGACGGTGTTTATACTTTTCCACTAAGCGGTTGCTGGGGAAGATTCGATGAGAAGGGACATTCGTCTTCTAAACTAGTGAGCAGGAGAAGGTCCTGGGCCAAATCTGCCTAACTGCCTATTTTTGTGTGACCACTCAAGCTAAGAATAGTTTTTATGTTTAAGTGTTGCAGGGAAAAGATCATAAAAATATTTCATAACACGTGAACTCTATTAGAAATTCAAGTTTCAGTTTCCATAAACAGTTTTATTGGAGTACAACTTTCCTGCCACAAGGGTGGAATTGAGTAGCTAAAACAGAGACCGTGTGACTCACAAACCCTAAAAAATTTACTATCAGGTCCTTTACAGAAAAAAATTTGCGGTCCTCTGTTCTATATCATAACAGAGGTAGTTTTAAAAAAATCATTATTGGCTGAGCGCGGTGGCTCACGCCTGTAATCCCAACACTTTGGGATGCCGAGGCAGACGGATCACCTTAAGTCAGGAGTTCAAGACCAGCCTGGCCAACCATGGCCAACATGGTGAAACCCCGTCTCTACTAAAAATACAAAAATTAGCTGGGCGTGGTGGCGGGCGCCTGTAATCCCAGCTACTCAGGAGGCTGAGGCAAGAGAATTGATTGAACCCGGGAGGCAGAGGTTGCAGTGAGCAGAAGATTGTGCCATTGCACTCCAGCCTGGGCAATAGAGCAAGACTCTTGACTCAAAAAAAAAAAATTAATTACCATTTTTTTCTTTCTTAAATGTTTTGAAAAATGAAAAGATGTCTATTTCTTTTTTATTGTTTTTTCCTCCTCACCCTTGCTGTCATCTTAAATTACCATTTGCTCATAGTTTTTCTACTTATGTATGATTTTTGGATTTATAGAACAACTGAAAAACTATATGAATTAGTAATCCAAGGATTAGTATCTTTGTTATTTTTCTGTATCTCCTGATAAAAATCTGTGTTTGTAAATACAGTGGTTTGGGGTTTAATCATTTTGGTCTATTCTTTGTATAGCATCCTCAGTTCAGTCTGGCCTATTAAAAATAATCTTAAGCGGCCGGGTGCGGTGGCTCACGCCTGTAATCCCAGCACTTTGGGAGGCCGAGGCGGGTGGATCACGAGGTCAGGAGATCAAGACCATCCTGGCTAACACGGTGAAACCCCATCTCTACTAAAAATACAAAAAATTAGCCGGGCATGGTGGCAGGCGCCTGTAGTCCCAGCTGCTTGGGAGCCTGAGGCAGGAGAATGGCGTGAACCCGGGAGGCGGAGCTTGTGGTGAGCCGAGATTGCGCCACTGCACTCCAGCCTGGGCAAGAGTGCAAGACTCCGTCTCAAAAAAAGAAAAAAATCTTAAACACCAATTTTTTAACTTTTCCTGACAGATGCTGTTTTCCCAGTGTATTCCATTTTGTGTCTTCCTCTGAGGCCTTAAAGTTCTTTATACCCATTTTAAATAAAATGAGGCCAAATTAGAAGTTTGTAATTAGGAGTTTAATTATTTATATTTATTTTGTTGTATCAGCTTCCGAAAAAGAATGAGTTGGTTCGTCATGTGGTAATGAGTAAAACCTTAATCAATAAATATGTGACTTTATATTCTCTTTATCTGTTTTCAGGCTGAGAGCACAGACAAAACAACAACTCTTAGAATATAAATCAATGGTTGATGCAAGTAAGTATTTTCATTTTCAAATTAGGGTTTTGTTGTTTGTTTGTTTGTTTTTTTGAGACAGGGTCTTGCTATCACCCAGGCTGTAATGTAGTGGCGCAGTCTCTGGTTTACTGCAGCCTCAGCCTCCTGGGCTCCAGCAATCCTCCCACCTCAGCCTCCCAAGTAACTGGGACCACAGGCACATGCTACTGCGCCCGTCTAATTTTCTGTATTTTTTTTGTAGACACAGGGTTTTGCCACCACACCTGGCCTCAAATAAGATTTTGTGAGTTTGATGATTAACAGTACTCGAGTGAAAATAAAATTAACTTTACCAAAAATTGTTTATATATGTTATAGTGTGGCAAAACTGGTAAACATGCAAGATATTTATGAAGTATGCTAAGTGTGCTGAAGGAAACAAAGGCATGATAAGAGGGAGGGGCTTCTTTTCATAGGGATGGCTTCTCTAAGAAGATGATTTTAGAGCTCAGATCCAAATGAGAAGAAAGTTTACGTTCCAATAGTCTTTTTGTTCTCTATATAGCTAGTACCATTTTTAAGGGATTGTGACATCCAAAAACTAGATTTAGTTAACACTGTAGAATTTCTATACCTAGGAGACGACAGATGTAAGGCAGGCCACAGGAAGTTTAGTTGTAGCCTTTGAAAGAAGATGTTTATCTAAAATTGACTATCTGCTCTTTTAGAGGCCAAGACAAGAAGATCACTTGAAGCTAAGAGTTTGAGATTAGCCTGGGAAACAAAGTGAGACCTCGTCCCTACAAAAATAAAAAAAACGTAGCCAGATATGGTGATACATACCTATAGTCCCAGCTGGGACTCACTACAACATCCAACTCCTGGGCTCAAGTGATTGAGTGATTGTACTGTACTCCACTCCACTGGGCAACAGAGTGAGACTGTCAGGCAATCAACAGAGAAATAAGTATTGATTCTTTTACCATTTAAAAAATATATATATGGCTGGGCTTGGTAGCTCACACCTGTAATCCCGGCACTTTGGGAGGCCGAGGTGGGCGGATCACCTGAGGTCAGGAGTTCGAGACCAGCCTGACCAACGTAGAGAAACCCCGTCTCTACTAAAAATACAAAATTAGCTGGGCGTGGTGGTGCATGCCTATAAGCTCAGCTACTCGGGGAGGCTGAGGCAGGAGAATCGCTTGAACCTGGGAGGTGGAGGTTGCAGTGACGCGAGATCACGCCATTGCACTCTGGCCTGGGCAACAAGAGCAAAACTCCGTCTCAAAAACAAAAACAAACAAAATATATATATATATACACACACACATATACGTATATGTATATATATGTATATATATGTGTGTGTATGTGTATATATGTATATATATGTATATGTATATATATGTGACTGAGACTTTATTGGTTAAAGGATTGTTTTTTACAATAAAGGCATCTATTTTAAGGGTACAATTTGATGAGTTTTGACAAATTTCTAAATCTGTATAATCACTACCACAATCAAGATACAGAACATTTTCGGCTGAGCATGGTGGATCAATCTGTAATCCCAGCACTTTGAGGGGCCAAGGCGAGAGGATTGCTTGAGCCCAGGGCAACCAGCCTGGGAAACATAGCGAGACCCCCACCTCTAAAAAAAACAATTGGCCAGATGTGGTACCATGTGCCTGTAGTCCCACCCAGCTGAGGTGGGAGGATTACTTAAGCCTGGGATATCAAGGCTGCAGTGAGCCGAGATCACACCACTACACTACAGCCTGGGTGACAGTGACAGGAGACCCTGTCTCCCCCAAAAAAAGATACAGAACATTTTCTTTTTTTGTTTTTTCTGTTTTTTTTTTTTTTTTGAGACGGGGTCTTGTTCTGTCGCCCAGGCTAGAGTGCAGCGGCGCAATCTTAGCTCACTGCAACCTCCGCCTCCCGGATTCACTGCCTCAGCCTCTCAAGTAGCCAGGATTACAGGCACCTGCCACCATGGCCGGCTAATTTTTGTATTTTTAGTAGAGACGGGTTTCACCATGTTGGCCAGGCTGGTCTCTTAACTCCTGACCTCAGGTGATCCACCTGCCTCGGCCTCCCAAAGTACTGGGATTACAGGCATGAGCCATCACACCCCTGGCCACACGTGGCTTTTTAAAGCTAATTAAAATGAAATAAAATTTAAAATCAAGTACATATCAAATGCTCAGTTGCCACATGTGGCCAGTGGCTATCCTATGGGATAGCATAGATAGGAAACATTTCCATCATCACAGGAAGTTCTAGGCTTTTTTCTGTACCATTGAGGTATTTGTTGATCCCTACACAAGTGCCACATTGTCTTTGTTGGTTGATGTTTTTTTTTTTGAGATGATCTCACTCAGCCACCCAGGCTGGAGTGCAGTAGCAAGATTTTGGCTCACTGCAACCCCAACCTCGTGGGCTCAAGCGATCCTCCCACCTCAGCCTCCCGAGTAGCTGGGACTACAGGCATGCACTATTGTGCCTGGCTAATTTTCAGTAGAGACAGTTTCACTATGTTGCCCAGGCTGGTCTCAAAAGGTTAATCATCATTGAGATGGGCTGTAAATGTAAAATACAGACAGAATAATGTGAAATATGTCATTAGTAATGTTAAACTGACTGCACATTGAAATAATATTTTTGATCTATTGGGTTAAATAAGTATATTAAAATTAAATTTCACTGTTTCTTTTCTGTAATGTGAAAACGACATTTTAAATGATGTCTTTTGCCCTTGTGGCTTACATTATATTCCTTTTGGACAGCACCTCTCTAAAATGTTAGTAACTTCAAAAAATTATTTATTTGCAGGTGAAGAAAAAACTCCAGAACAAATTATGCAAGAAAAGCAAATCGAAGCGTATGTTATATTTAAAAATTTTGTTTATGGTCTTTACTAAGATTTAATCATATTTTCTATTATTTTGTTGTTAGATGGAGTCTCACTATCATGCAGGCTAGAGTGCAGTGGTGTGATCATAGTTCATTGAAGCCACAACCTCCTGGGCTCAAGGGATCCACTGGCCTCAGCCTCCTGAGTAGCTGGAACTACAGGCTCATTGTACCACACCTGACTTTCTTTCTTTTTTTTTTTTTTTTTTAAATATTTTAGGGCCAGGCACGGTGACTCATGCCTGTAATCCCAGCACTTTGAGAAGCCAAGGTGGGTGGATCACCCGAGGTCGGGAGTTCGAAACCAGCCTGACCAACATGGAGAAACCCCATCTCTACTGAAAATACAAAATTAGCCGGGCGTGATGGCACATGCCTGTAATCCCAGCTACTCGGGAGGCTGAGGCAGGAGAATTGCTTGAACCCGGGAGGCGGAGGTTGCGGTGAGCCAAGATTGCGCCATTGCACTCCAACCTGGGCAATGAGCGAAACTCCGCCTCAAAAATATATATATATTTTGTAGAGATGGGGCCTCATTTTGTTGCCCAGGCTGTTCTCAAACTCCTGGCCTCAAGTAATCCTCCACCTTGGCCTCCTAAAGTTCTGGGATTGTAGGCAAGAGCCACTGAGCCTGGTCATAATCTCATTTTTCTATGCTATAGCATTGTTTTTATTTTTCCTTTCCTTTATTTTTCCAAATAACTTGTGATGCATATATTGGGAAGTTGTTAATTTGGGATGGAGATTTATATGTACACAAGTGATCACATTAGAACTTTCTGGCCTCCCTTTTTATAAGATACTAAGTGAAGTAGCTGAGGGGCATTAGTTTACCAAATGTGTAAATACACATTGGTATATTGAGCCTGTAGAATACTTGTATTTAGATAGAGGTGTTTTACTTTTTTAAGGGCTTATTTTATACATTTATTTCAATAATGTCTTTTTCTGATATTGCTGAAATTCTTTTGCTCATGTTTCTTTGATAGTAAAATTGAAGACCTGGAAAATGAAATTGAAGAGGTAAAAGTTGCTTTTGAGATAAAAAAGCTTGCATTAGACAGGTAATTATTACATTTTAAATATAAGCATTGTGAACTGACTGCAAAATGGGTATGAGGGGAAAGTGGAGGGAATCTTTTAACTGGGCTGAGTGAATTAGTCAAGCACAGTGATGATTAGATAATGGTCACACAAAATTTTTATTTTATTATTGTTATAATTTTTTAATTTGACAAGGTCTCACTCTTGCCCACGCTGGAGTACAGCGACATGATCACTGCTCACTGTAGCCTCAACCTCCCAAGCTCAAGCAATCCTCCTGCCTCAGCCTCTGGAGCAGCTGGGACTACAGGCATGCAAAACCACGCTTGGCTAATTTTTTTTATTTTTTATGGAGATGGGGTCTCACTGTGCCCAGGCTGGTCTTGAACTCCTAGGCTCAGGCGATCTTCTCACCTCAGCCTCCCCAAAATGCTGGGATTACACAAGCCCAGCCTGGTCACACAGATTTTGAGCCCTGAGAGAAAATTTGCATTACAGATGCTCCTCAATTTGCAGTGGGTTTAGGTCCTGATAAACCCATTGTAAGTTGAAAATATGGTAAGTGAAAAATGCATTTAATACACCTAACCTGGCTGGGCGCGGTGGCTCGCGCCTGTAATCCCAGCACTTCGGGAGGCCAAGGTGGGTGGATCACCTGAGGTCAGGAGTTCAAGACCAGCCTGACCAACAATGCAAAACCCTGTCTCTACTAAAAATACAAAAATTAGCCAGGTGTGGTGGTGTGTGCCTGTAATCCCAGCTACTAGGGAGGCTGAGGCAGGAGAATCACTTAAACCCAGGAGGCAGAGGTTGCAGTGAGCCGAGATGACGCCACTGTGCACTCCATTGTGGGTGACAGAGCAAGATTCCCTCTCAAAAAACAAAAAAAAAGTTTTAAAGTTTATAGTCATATATGGTTTTGTATTCCCTAAGTCCTTCATTTCAGGCCCATCCTGATCTTTGTAGTGCCTTAATCCTTCCAGTGGCTTTGCACAAAAGTAGATGGTTCAGAGAACTCATTCAGCTCAGGCCAGGTTTCAGATTCACCTGGCCCCTCATTCTGGCAGTGTATACCCACACGCAACAGCCCTATCCATCTTGGTGTTATTTCATATTTTTGTGTTTTATTTCTCAAAGTATTTCTCTTATAATAATATTTTAAAACCTACTTCTGTTTTATGTATATTTGAAGGGAAATCAATCTTTTTCATGTTTTGAATTTTTTTAATGTACCACAAATGTTATCCATGTTTTATAATGCAAGCTTTTTCCCTCTCATAGGATGAGACTTTCAACTGCACTTAAAAAAAACCTGGAGAAAATTAGCAGACAGTCTAGGTATGATT
This sequence comes from Homo sapiens, assembly GCF_000001405.40. NCBI lineage: Eukaryota > Metazoa > Chordata > Mammalia > Primates > Hominidae > Homo > Homo sapiens. The sequence goes on from NC_000005.10 coordinate 69,197,118, forward strand.
TTTTTTTTCTCTGGATTCGGTAAGGATGGGATCTGCATAGTGACTTTAGTTTTGTGAATTTTAAAAAATTATTACTGCCAACTACCTTTGTCTGGGGAATAAGGAAAGTGATGAAATTTTTGTAGGTCCTCCCCAGAATTACAGCAACTTTTATAGTTCTAATTATATTTTGTTCCGTATGGATTGTAACTGTAAGAAGCAGAAGAGTTTATCCAGAAGATTGGAAAATTTTAAGGGAAAGCTTTAAAAGTTCATTTTCTTCAGTATTTACTATAAATCAGGAACAGGGCTATCTCATTTAATCCATCCAAAACACAGTGAGATAGGAAATATACTCCTCATTTTTTATTGGTAGAAATGAGCTTATTCGGATCCAACAATTTTCCAAGGGATATAATATAAAGACTAGCAGGTCTCAGCAAACTGTCACAAGGACAAAAAACCAAACACCGCATGTTCTCACTCATAGGTGGGAATTGAACAATGAGAAAACATGGACACAGGAAGGGGAACATCACACACTGGGGACTGTTGTGGGGTTGGGGGAGTGGGGAGGGATAGCATTAGGAGATATACCTAATGCTAAATGACGAGTTAATGGGTGCAGCACACCAACATGGCACATGTATACATATGTAACAAACCTGCACGTTGTGCACATGTACCTTAAAACTTAAAGTATAATAATAATAAAATTTTTTAAAAAATAAAAATTATTATGAGCAAAAAAAAAAAAGACTAGCAGGTCAGGTCCTCTGTATCCTGGTGTCTGGCCTCAGAGGTCTTACCTATGATCTTTTTTTTTTTTTTTTTTTTTTTTTTTGAGACAGTCTTGCTCTGTCGCCCAGGCCGGAGTGCAGTGGCACGATCTCGGCTCACTGCAACCTCTGCCTCCCGGGTTCACGCCATTCTCCTGCCTCAGCCTCCCGAGCAGCTGGGACTACAGGCGCCCACCACCACGCCTAGCTAATTTTTTGTATTTTTAGTAGAGACGGGCTTTCACTGTGTTAGCCAGGATGGTCTCGATCTCCTGACCTCGTGATCCACCCGCCTCGGCCTCCCAAAGTCCTGGGATTACAGGTGTGAGCCACCGCACCCGGCCTCTTACCTATGATCTTATCTCCCAAAGTTCTTGTGATAAAATATCCCCTTCCCTTGAGCACCAGAAAAATTCCTGCATGGGTATAAGCACTTTTTTTTTTTGGAGACGGAATCTTGCTCTGTCACTCAGACTGGAGTGCAGCTCACTCCAACCTCCATCTCTGCGGTTCAAGCAATTCTCGTGCCTCAGCCTCCTGAATAGCTGGGATTACAGGCACCTGCTACAACTCCCAGGTAATTTTTGTATTTTTAGTAGAGACGGGGTTTCACTATGTTGGCCAGGCTGGTCTGACCTAGGCACTTCTATCTTGAGTATCTTAGCCCACACTGCTACACATTTTCCCATATTCCAGCTAAATCCAGGATTACATAAATCCAAAAATCTGAATTTGAACACTCATAACTTTTTCTCTCCCATAAAAGGAGAGTTTAGCTTGGGTACAGAGGCTCATGCCTGTAATCCCAGCACTTTGGGAGCCTGAGGCAGGAGGATAGCTTGAGCCCAGGCATTTGAGATCAGCCTGGGCAACATAGGGAGGCCTCATCTCTACAAAAAATTTTTAAAAATTAGCCAGGCATGGTGGAGCCACCAGTAGTCCTTGCTACTCCAGAGGCTGAGGGGAGAGGATCAGCCTCCTGCCTTGATTCTAGGAGGTCATGGGGCTGCAGTAAGCTGTGATCTTGCCACAGCACCTTAGCCTGGGCAATAGTAAGACCCCATCTCAAAAACAAAAAAAAAAAAGACATTCTTGAGTTAAAGGTGTGGGGTGCAGGAGAGCAGGACAGATTCATCACATTGTTACTGAAATGTCAGGGCTTTGGTCTAGGTCCTGTTGCTTGCTGCACAGAAATGTAATCACTGACATGAGTGTTGTCAGGAAGAAGGCTTTGAGTACTGTAGCCAAAGAGAGGGGAGATCAGTCTCATCTCCTAGATGGACTAAAATTAAGGAGGTGTTTTGTTTTGTTTTGTTTTTTTGAGACAGGGCCTCACTCTGTTGCTCAGGCTGGAGTGCAGTGGCGTGATCCTAGCTCACTACCACCTTCACCTCCCAGGTTCAAGTGATCCACCTCAGCCTCCCAGGTAGCTGGGACTACAGGTGCCCACCACCGTGCCTGGCTAATTTTTGTATTTTTTGTAGAGATGGGGTTTTGCCATGTTGCCCAGGCTGGTCGCGAACTGCTGAGCTCAAAGGGATCCACCTGCGTTGGCCTTCCAAAGTGCTGAGATTACAGGTGTGAACCACCACACCCTGCCAAATTAAGGGTTTATATAGCAGGGAAGATATGTACCCATGTATGGGAAGACAGGAATTAGGGAGGGGTAAGGAAGAGGAGTTAGTCAATAGGAAGCAGGTTAGGCAATCATGATGGGTGAGGGGTCTGATGTCTTATTGTCTAGAGGGTGTGATCTTATAAGTTTCAGTTCCTTGATACTATCTGGGAGTCCTGATGGTTTCCTGAGAAGGGAACTCAGGTAAGACAGTTGTAACTTTCTCAAGCTTTAAGACTGGGAGGGTCAGTTTCTATGTTTATTCAAAAGAAATCATAAACATCAGTTCTGTGGGACAATTGGGCCAGTTTCACTGTTGACACCAAAAAACAGAAGGGTCAGGCCGGTGCGGTGGCTCACGCCTGTAATCCCAGCACTTTGGGAGGCCGAGGCAGGCGGATCGTCTGAGATCAGAAGTTCAAGACCAGCCTGGCCAACATGGTAAAACCCTATCTCTACTAAAAATGCAAAAATTAGCCGGGCGTGGTGGCAGGTACCTGTAATCCCAGCTACTCGGGAGGCTGAGGCAGGAAAATCGCTTGAACCCAGGAGGCGAAGGTTGCAGTGAGCTGAGATTGTGCCACTACACTCCAGCCTGGGCAACAGAGTGAGACTCTGTCTCAAAAAAAAAAAAAAAAAAAAACAGAAAGGTCAAATAGGCTGAGGCAGTGTTTTATTAGCACATTTTAAAGTTTATAACTGTTAAAAAAAATTAATTGGGATGCAACTGGAATGCCATTAGGCAGAACCATCTTTAGCCTTGAGCTCCATCACCTTGGGATTCCTATGTAAGCCTGATGTAAACAGTAAAATGGAACTTAAGCTTACCCAATGAGAAACTGCCAACTAACTTCTAACTAGAGATGATCCACTTTAACCAACCAATTACATTTTGTCTTCTATGAACACCTTATAAAAGCTTCCTCACTCAACTCCCACAGTAGAGCACTTAACAGCTTATAATCCTGTGCTGCCAGATGCATGAATTGTCTTCTCAAATAAACTTGTTAGATTTTAATATGCCTAAATTTATCTTTTAAGACAACCAAATATAGCTGTAAATAGTAGAAAAATGAGTTCAGCTCTCCCAGGTTTGTGCATATTCCCCTTTTGACCTTCTCAGTTAGTTGCTTCTACAGTGTTTTTCACACCTGGCTGATTATCAGAATAATGTCTATTATAGTGATCACATTGTTGGTCCTATCCCAAACTTTCTGAATCAGCGTATCTTTTTTTTTTTTTTTTTTTTTTTTTTTTTTTTTTGAGACGGAATCTTGCTCTGTCACCCAGGCTGGAGTGCAGTGGCACGATCTGCTTGGCTCACTGCAACCTCTGCCTCCAGGTTCAAGCGATTCTCCTGCCTCGGCCTCCTGAGTAGCTGGGATTACAGACACACACCATCACACCTGGCTAATTTTTGTATTTTTAGTAGAGATGGGGTTTTGCCATGTTGGCCAGGCTAGTCTCGAGCTTCTGACTTCAAGGGATCCACTGTACCTGACCTTTTTTTTTTTTTTAAATAGAGATGTGGTCTTGCTATATTGCCCAGGTCTCAAAACTCCTGAGCTCAAGCAATCCTCCTGCCTCAGCCTCCAAAAGTGCTGGGATTACAGGCATGAGCCACTGAACCAGGCCCCGAATCAGCATATCTGAAGGTCAGGAACTAGGAATCCTTACTTAACGAACCTCCCAGATGACTGTGGCACTCTGAAGTATGAGAGCCACTGCTCTGCGCAGTCTTATTCCATACTGTTTTGCTCCAGCCATACCAAACTACTTGATCTAGGCAATTACTTCATATCCTTATTCCACCCTGTGCATAACTCTGGTTCATATTTGTTACTGCGCTATAGTATGATTGTGGATTTATTTTTCTCCACTAGATTCTTTCCTCTTTGAAAACAGATACTGTGTTTTATTTTATTTTACATTCCTGGCACCTGGCATAGTTCTTGAAAGCATGTAGTAAGTACTCAAAAATATTTGTTAAAGAAGTAAAAAAGCAGTTTGTTCCTTGAAACTATTCTGTATGCTGCAATAATGGTGGATGCATGTAATTATACATATGTCAAAACCCAAAGAATGGGTGGGGCCTCAGTAGCTCATGTCTATAATCCTACCATTTTGGGAGGCTGAAGAGGGAGGATTGCTTCAACCCTGGAGTTCCAGACCAGTCTGGGCAACATAGGGAGACCCCGTCTCTACAAAAAATGTAAAAATTAGTGGGACATGGTAGTGTATGCCTATAATCCCAGCTGCTTCTGAGGCTGAGGCAGGATGATCGCTTGAGCCCAGGAGGTGAGGTTGCAGGAAGCTGTGATTGTGCCAGTGCACTCCAGCCTGGGTGGCAGAGCGAGACCCTGTCACAGAAAACAAACCCGTAGGCTATACACAAGCAAGAGTGAACCTTGATGTAAAATCCGGACTTTGGGTAACAATGATGTGTCGATATAGGTTTGTTGATTGTAACAAATGTGCCACTTTGGTGTAGGGGATGTTGATAATGGGAGAGGCTATGCATGTGTCAGGGGTAGGGTGTATATGAGAAATCTCTGTACCTTCCACTCGGTTTTGCTGTGAAACTAAAATTGCTCTAAAAAATACATTCAAAACAAAAGCAGCTTGTTAAAATTGCTCTAAAAAATACATTCAAAATAAAAACTAAAATTGCTCTAAAAAATAAATTCAAAACAAAAGCAGCTTGTTAGGAAGTTATTAGGGTGTTTCCTCTCTAAATATGAAATTTTTAGAAATGTTCCCACATTTTTAAATTTGGTATTCTTCAATGTCTGTGACCAAACATTTTTCTAGGGAAATGCATATCTAGTTTTAACAGAAATTTAGTTTACATCAAACTTTTCCAGATTTATTTTGTTAAACTGACTTTTTATCCAAGTGTACGGTGGATTTAATGAAAGTAAGTTTTCACTCATTGATTCCTTCATTAATGACAGCTATTATTTTTAATTAAGTTACAAATAACCTTAATAAATCATCTTTTTGTTTCCTTTTCAGTGTGCTCATGGATAACATGAAACACCTATTAGAGCTAAATAAATTAATAATGAAATCACAGCAGGTAAACTTACACATTAGGCTGATTATGCATTCTCATGATTTTACTCTCAACTTCTTGCTGGTAACTGTATTGTATATGATTAAATAGATTGTCCAAAGGGAATGCTATGATTGGAATTCGCTGTCCTTGAGTTCTCTCTTTTTTTCAAAATTCTATTATTTCTGACTAATGTTGAACATTATCTACTTATAATTTAAGTTACTGTCTTCCTTTTGCTGTCTGGAAATAGAGGAATTGAAAACTGGAACTTTAGATAACTAAGGCTAGTAGATAAACTCAGTGATTTAAGTATTACAGGTTTGTCCTTACATACAGTAATGTGCTTTAACTTTTTTATTTTTAATAACAGGAATCTTGGGATTTAGAGGAAAAACTGCTTGATATTAGAAAGAAGAGATTGCGTATGTAGAACACTTTTTTTTTGGCAGAACACATTTTGCTTACTTTATAGATTGATAAGGCCAGATCTCTTAGCCACTGAGAAATTTCCTAATTTCCGACTTCCAAAATTCCTTAAAATTTTTGACATGGCAACTTAAAAAGTGATATAAAGTACATTTTGTTCTGTTTATTCTCATTGTTTTAGAACTTTATTTTCGTTTTTTGTTTGCTTTTTCTGAGACAGTCTTGCTCTATCACCCAGGTGGAATGCAGTGACTTGATCTTGGCTCACTGCAACCTCTGCCTCCCAAATTCAAGTGATTCTCCTGCATCAGCCTCCTGAATAGCTGGAACTACAGGCACCCACCACCATGCCTGGCTAATTTTTGTATTTTTATGTTAAAAAAAATTTTTTAATATGGTATTTTTTTTTGGAGACAGAATCTCACTCTGTCGCCCATGCTGGAGTGCAGTGGCACGATCTCGGCTCACTGCATCCTCCGCCTCCTGGGTTTGAGCAATTCTTGTGCCTCAGCCTCCAGAGTAGCTGAGATTACAGGCATGTCCTATCACACCTGGCTAGTTTTCGTATTTTTTTAGTAGAGATGGGATTTCACCATGTTGGCCAGGCTGGTCTTGAACTCCCGACCTCAGATGATCCACCTGCCTCGGCCTCTCAAAGTGCTGGTTATAGGCATGAGCCACTGCACCTGGCCAAATTGTTGTATTTTTAGTAGGGACGGGATTTCACCTTGTTGGTCAGGCTGGTCTCAAACTCCTGACCTCAAGTGATCCGTCTGCCTTGGCCTCCCAAAGTGCTGGGATTACAGGCGTGAGCCACAGTGCTGTGCCTCATTAGTTTAGAACTTTAAATCACAAAATTAATACATTCTCAGAAGGGGAAAAATAAAAGGATGTAGTAAATTATAATGCAAAAGTCATGCCTCTTTTCTGTGTGACCACAGTTTGGTATTTATCAGTCTAGACTTTTCCATATCCATATAAACATTTATATGGACATGGAAATTTCTATATATATATATAGAGAGAGAATTTCTATATATATATAAATTATATATATAATTATATATATTTATATATTATATATATAAATATATATAATATATAAATATATATAATTTCTAAATGATCAAATGATATGTATGGATCTACAGCCTTATCACTTAATTTATCATGACATGAGATGGTTTTTTGTATTGAAACTGTTGGAATGTTTATTTCAAAGGCAATACACACTGTAGAACATTTGGAAATAAAGGTATACAAAGGAAAAGTTAAATTTTTTTTATTTTCCATCAAAAGATAATCAGTCTTCAAAGCTTTTTTCAGATAAGGGTCTTGTTCTGTCACCCAGGCTGGAGTGCAGTGGCGTGATCATAGTTCTTTGCAGTTCAGTGCAGCTTTGAACTCCTGGGCTCAAGCCATCCTCCCACCTCAGCTCCCAAGTAGCTGGGAATACAAGTGCACTCCACCATGCCCAGCTAACTTTTTTGTTTTTTGTTGACATCGAATCTTGCTGTGTTACCCAGGTTTGTCTTGAACTTCTGCCCTCAACGATCCTCCTGCCTTGGACTCCCAAAAGTGCTAGGATTACAGGCATGAGCTACCACACCTGGCTTGTATTTCTTTTTTTTTTTTTTTTTTTTTTTTGTGAGATGCTGTCTTGCTCTGTCACCCAGGCTGGAGTGCAGTGCTGCAATCTCGGCTCACTGCAACTTCTGCTTCCCGGGTTGAAGAAATTCTCTGCCTCAGCTTCCCGGGTAGCTGGGATTACATGCGCCAACCAGCATGCCTGGCTAATTTTTTGTATTTTTAGTAGAGACAGGGTTTCACTGTCTTGGCCAGGCTGGTCTTGAACTCCTGATCTCGTGATTCATCCACCTCTGCCTCCCAAAGTGTTGGGATTACAGGTATGAGCCATCGCACCCAGCCATTTTTTTTCTTTTTCTTTTTTTTTTTTTTTTTGAGATGGAGTCTCCCTCTGTCGCCCAGGCTGGAGTGCAGTGGTGCGATCTCAGCTCATGGCAATCTCCACCTCCTGGATTCAAGTGATTCTCCGGTCTCAGCCTTCTGAGTAGCTGGGACTACAGGCACCCGCCACCACGCCCAGCTAATTTTTTGTATTTTTAGTAGAGACGGTGTTTCACCATGTTAGCCAGGATGGTCTTGATCTCCTGACCTCGTGATCCACCCACCTCAGCCTCCCAAAGTGCTGGGATTACAGGCATGAGCCACCTCGCCTGGCCAACCTTTTTTTGTTTGTTTGTTTTTGTTTTGAAATAGTTTCGCTCTGTTGTCCAAGCTGGAGTGCAGTGGCGCGATCTTGGCTCTCTGCAACCTCTGTCTCCTGGATTCAAGCCATTCTTCTGCGTCAGCCTCTCGAGTAGCTGGGATTACAGGCGTGCCACCACGCCTGGCTAATTTTTGTATTTTTAGTAGATACAGGGTTTCACCATGTTGTCCAGGCTGGTCTCGAACTCCTCACCTCAAAGTGTTCTCCCCGCCTCTGCCTCCCAAAGTGCTGGGATTATAGGCGTAAGCCACTGTGACCGGCCTTTTTGTTTTTTGAGACAGGGTCTTGTTCTGTTACTCAGGCTGGAGGCACACTCATGGCTCACTACAGCCTCAACTTCCTGGACTCGAGCAATCCTTTCACCTCAGCATCCCTGATAGTTGGGACTACAGGTGCATGCCACCATGCCTGGCTAATTGTTTTTTTTCTGTAGATATCTTTTTTTTTTTTTTTTTTTTTTTTGAGACGGAGTCTCGCTCTGTCGCCCAGGCTGGAGTGCAGTGGCACTATCTCAGCTCACTGCAAGCTCCACCTCCCGGGTTCACACCATTCTTCTGCCTCAGCCTCCTGAGTAGCTGGGACTACAGGCACCCGCCACCACGCCCGGCTAATTTTTTTGTATTTTTAGTAGAGACCGGATTTCACCATATTAGCTAGGATGGTCTCCATCTCCTGACCTCGTGATCCGCCCTCCTCGACCACCCAAAGTGCTGGGATTACAGGCATGAGCCACCATGCCCGGCCTTTTTTTCTGTAGATTTCTTAAATTTATTTTTCTATAGAGACAGGATTCATTCACCATGTTACACAGGCTGGTATAGAACTCCTGGGCTCAAGTGATCTGCCCACCTTGGCCTCCCAAAGTGCTAAGATTACAGACGGGATCCTGTGATCCACTGTGCCTGGCCAGATTTGTTGGTTGGGTTTTTTTTTTTTATACGGAATTTCTCTCTTGTTGCCCAGGCTGGAGTGCAATGGCGTGATCTCGGCTCACTGCACCTCCGCCTCTCAGGTTCAAGCGATTCTCCTGCCTCAGCCTCCCGAGTAGCTGGGATTACAAGCGCCCGCCACCACTCCCAGCTAATTTTGTCTTTTTAGTAGAGACGGGGTTTCTCCACATTGGTCCGGCTGGTCTCGAACTCCCTACCTCAGGTTATCCACCCACCTCGGCCTCCCAAAGTGCTGGGATTATACGCATGAGCCACCGTGCCCAGCCGGTGTTTTGTTTGTTTGTTTTTATTGAGATGGAGTTTCGCTCTTGTCACCCAGGCTGGAGTGCAATGGCGTGATCTCGGCTCACTACAACCCCTGTCTCCCAGGTTCAAGCAGTTCTCCTACCTCAGCCTCTTGAGTAGCTGGGATTACATGGGATTACAGGCGCCTGCCACCATGCCCCACTGATTTATATTTTTAGTAGAGACGGGTTTCATCATGTTGGCCAGGTTGGTCTCCAACTCCTGACCTCAGGTGATCCACCCTCCTCAGCCTCCCACAGTGCTGATAACAGGCATGAGTCACTGCACCCTGCTCAGATTTGTCATTTGTAAACATTATATAGATTTGCCTGTTAGCAAATAATCTCAGGGTCATTAGTAGTATTGGTCATCTTGTCTATTCCCCCATGTTTTTTTAAGTAGAATCAGGGTCTTGCTATGTTTCCCAGGGTGGTCTCGAACTTCTGGCAATCTTCCTGCCTCAGCCTTCCAAAGTGTTGGAATTATAAGAATGAGCCACCCATGCTCAGGCTATACCCTTTTGATGATTCATTTTCTCCACTGCATTCCAACCTCCTTTAATATACATTAATGTTGAAGAACAGGCCCCTGAAATACATCCATTTATATTTCCAAGTAGTTTAATTCTTAGACTATTTCCAGTAATACAAAAAATGATTGATGATGTTTATCCCTGGAGAGGGGAATCTTACTTTTTTTTTTTTCCTGAGACAGAGTTTCACTCTTGTTGCCCAGGCTGGAGTGCAATGGTGCAATCTCAGCTTACTGCAACCTCTGCCTCTGGGTTCAAGTGATTCTCCTGCCTCAGCCTCCTGAGTAGCTGGGATTATAGGCACATGTCACCATGCCCAGCTAATTTTTGTATTTTTCATAGAGATGGGGTTTCGCCATGTTGGCGGGGCTGGTCTCGAACTCCTGACCTCAGGTGATCCGCCCACCTCGGCCTCCCAAAGTGCTGGGATTACAGGTGTGAGCCACCGTGCCTGGCCAAATAAGATTAATTTTAAATGAAAAGTAAGATTCCTTGGCCGGGCGCGGTGGCTCACGCCTGTAATCTCAGCACTTTGGGAGGCCGAGGCGGGTGGATCACTGGAGGTCAGGAGTTGGAGACTAGCCCAGCCAACGTGGCAAAACCCCTATCTATACTAAAAATGCAAACATTAGCCAGGTGTGGTGGTGGGCGCCTGTAATCCCAGCTATTCAGGACGCTGAGGCAGGAGAATCACTTGAACCCCTGGGAGGCGGAGGCTGCAGTGAGCCGAGATTGTACCACTGCACTCCAGCCTAGGCAACAGTGAGACTCCATCTCAAAAAATAATAATAAAATAAATGTTTATATGTTTCATTTTTGTAATTTAAGAGGGAAAAATATATGTATTTCCTACCTATTTTGGCAACCCAAAATAAGCCCTCATTACATGATGCCACTTGAAACATCTGTAGACAGCTGTTATTGTCATACAGAAATACCTGGAACATTTCACTAAGGGCATTGCTAAGTACGAAATTAAAATATTGTTATTTTGCACCAGGGAAGTCATTTTCAGATCGTAATAAAGTTGCAACCTAAAATGCTGCTTATTAAAATTTTTCTCTTGACTAAAATAACCAAGAAGTGATCTGCTTCATAATTTTTCAAGATCCTTGTTTATAGAGGTATTATATATGGTATATTATTTTATTTTTAACCTAACAGAATTAAAACAAGCTTCAGAAAGTAAGCTTTTAGAAATACAGACTGAAAAGAACAAACAGAAGATTGATTTGGACAGTATGGAAAACTCAGAGAGGATAAAGATCATACGACAAAACCTACAGATGGAGATAAAAATTACTACTGTTATTCAACATGTGTTCCAGGTAACATTTATATAAACTAGCAAGAGTTTTAATCTTGTTGCCCAGGCTGGAGTGAAGTGGCTCGATCTCAGCTCATTGCAAACTCCGCCTCCTGGTTCAAGCAATTCTCCTGTCTCAGCCTCCTGAGTAGCTGGGATTACAGGCGTCCACCACCATGCCCGGCTAATTTTTTAATTTTTAGTAGAGACGGGGTTTCACCATGTTGGCTAGGCTGGTCTCAAACCCCTCACCTTAGGTGATCCGTCTGCCTCAGCCTCCCAAAGTGCTGGGATTACAGGCATGAGCCACTGCGCCTGGCCAACTATTTGATGATGCTATCATACAGTATTGACTTAACTTTCAGCTAGTTTTTGATCTTGATGAAATAATTCAATGTTTAATATTGGTCTGTTTGTATATATCTGGAATGTGTGTATACTTAATGTTTAAGGTCTTGATTTTTCTTTTTTCTTTTTTCAGACGCAGTCTTGCTCTGTAGCCCAGGCTGGAGTGCAGTGGCATGATCTCGGTCCATTGCAACCTCCTCCTGGGTTCAAGCGATTCTCCTGCCTCAGCCTCCTGAGTAGCTGGGATTATAGGCATCTGCCACCACACCTGGCTAATTTTTGTGTTTTTTGGTAGAGATGGGGTTTCGCCATGTTGGCCAGGCTGGTCTCGAACTCCGATGTCAGGTGATCCACCTGCCTCAGCCTCCCAAAGTGCCGGGATTACAGGCTTGAGCCACCGCACCCAGCACGCTGCAAGTATTTTTAACAAGTAAAACCTATCCATGGAAACTGACGAGGCATAAAAAATTATTGTAAACATTGTAAATATTCCCTAACATTATGGAGATCAAGGCTAAAGCCTTACTAAAAGTGGAAATGAAAGTAGAAGAATGCTGCTGGGTGTGGTGGCTTATGCCTGTAATCCCAGCAGTTTGGGAGGCCAAGGCGGGTGGATCATGAGGTCAGGAGTTTGAGGCCAGCCTGGCCAAGAGACCAGCTGAGCCAATACGTTGAAACCCTGTCTCTACTAAAAATACAAAAATTAGCCGGGTGTGGTGGTGGGCGCCTGTAATCCCAGCTACTCGGGAGGCTGAGGCAGGAGAGTTGCTTGAACCCGGGAGGCGGAGGTTGCAGTGAGCTGAAGACCGCACCATTGCACTCCAGCCTGGGTGACACAGAGCAAGACTCCGACTCAAAAAAAAAAAATAGAAGAATGTATTATCATTTTTTTCTTATGATCACAGAGCTACACATGTAGTAAATGTTAATTACTTGATAAGATTCATGAAAAATGATATTCTAAAATCTTGTTAAATTTTTAAAGTACTTGTAACTTTAAAACAATTTTTTTTCTTTACAGAACCTTATTTTGGGGAGTAAAGTCAATTGGGCAGAGGATCCTGCCCTTAAGGAAATTGTTCTGCAGCTTGAGAAGAATGTTGACATGATGTAATAAGAATTCATTTCTGACATATTTTACATTTCTGGCAATCTCAACTCTTATTTGGAATACTTCTGTGCATTTGTCTGTCCACCGTAATTTTAGAAAAGCATATCCATAACGTTTACAGTTGTAGTACAGTTGTGGTTAGTTATTTGTAGTGGGATTGAAAGTAATTTTTTTCTTTTTATATTTCTATATTTAGTTTGTTTTTTTGTTGTTGTTGTTTTTTGAGATGGAGTCTCGCTTTGTTGCCCAGACTGGAGGGCAGTGGCGCGATCTCGGCTCACTGCAACCTCTGCCTCCCGGGTTCAAGCAGTTCTGCCTCAGCCTCCCAAGTAGCTGTGACTAAAGGTGCACGCCGCCATGCCCAGCTAATTTTTTGTATTTTAGTAGAGACGGGGTTTCACCGTGTTGCCCAGGCTGCTCTCAGAACTCCTGAGCTCAGGCAGTCCACCGCCTCGGCCTACCGAAGTGCTAGGATTACAGACGTAAGCCACCGAGCCTGGTCTAGTTTGCATTTTTTTTCTATCAGTTTTATAAGTTAAGAAATAAAAGGAATTAATGTTACTCTGTCTTATTTTTTTTTAATTCGTGCCCTTTACAAACAGTAGTACTCTTAGTAATTATAAAATAGAACTTGTCACTTTTTATAGCATCGCAATCCGTTTTTGAAAAACTCTAATTTGAACACTTTATTAATTTGGAGCTGTTGAACATTTTTACAGCTAATGTAGTATTTTCAACATTTTTTTTTCCCCTTGAGATAGAGGCTCGCTCTGTTACCCAGGCTGGCATGCACTAGTGCTATTTCAGCTCACTGCAACCTCCACCTCCTGGGTTCAAGCAATCCTCATGCCTAAGCCCCCTGAGTAGCTGAGATTACAGGTGTGGCCCACCATGCCCAGCTAATTTTTTGTATTTTCAGTTGAGACGGTGGTTTCACCATGTTGGTCAGGCAGGTCTCGAGCTCCTGACCTCAAATTATCTGACCACCTCAGCCTCCCAGACTGCTAAGATTACAGGCATGAGCCACTGCACCCGGCCTCAACATTCTTTTTAGAAGGACTTGAAACTTGAAATGATGCTAGCATTTGTTTTCTTTTCTTTTTCTTTTTTTTTTTTTTTTTTTTTGAGACGGAGTCTGGCTCTTTTGCCCAGGTTAGAGGGCAGTATGGCACGATCTCAGCTCACTGCAACCTCCACCTCCTGGGTTCAAGCAATTATCCTGCCTCAGCCTCCCTAGTAGCTGGGACCTGTACAGGCACGTGCCACCATGCCTGGCTAATTTTGTGTTTTTGATAGAGATGGGATTTTGCCACGTTGCCCAGGCTGGTCCTCAAACTCTTGAGCTCAAGCAGTCCACCCACCTTGGCCTCCCAAAGTGCTGGAATTACAGGTGTGAGCCACCTCACCTGGCCAAGTTCCTTCTTAAGGATCAATTCTGAGAGAGAAATTGTATTAGCTTTTCTTAAAATCATGCTGAATAATAACCCCAAGTCTCAGTGGCTTATAACAGACATTTCTGTTTTGGGTCTGTCCTTCAGCTGATAATTCTAGGACTCAGGCTGAGGGAACAACCACAATCTGAAATGTTCTCATGGCACAGGGCAGGAGCTTATGACGTCAAGTCCAATTATACCAGTATGATTAAAGTTTCTGTTTGAAAGAGGCTGACATTGACAAAACCCAACGTCATTGAGGCAGGAAAGTATACTTCTCCCATTGCAGGGGAGTGGTGGATTTCAGAGTTGGAGAAAGTGGGTATTTTACTGAAAGAATATAATTTATTAAACTCAGCTATCTTGGTCATAAATATGACCAAGAATCCTTTCTGCATCCTTTCATGCAGAATGCAGAATCCTTTCTGCATTCTGCCTGCAAAAGACACTTCCCAAGGAAGACAAGAAATAAGCTAATAGTGTCATCCAATTGTTACATTTTTTTCAAAGTTCAGTCTTTCATATCAGGTCCAGATGTGGCCCTTCATCTAGAGACCTGTGAACTTTTCAGACAAATTGTATCACCTCACACATCCAGCAAGCAATAGTGGAATAGGTCTGCAGTCTGTAGCAATTTTTTTTTTTTTTTTTGGTAGAGATAGGGTCTCACTTTGTTTTCCTGGCTGGTCTCGAACTCCTAGGTTAAAGCCGTCTACCCACCTCAGCCTCCTGTGGTGCTGGAATTACAGGTGTGAGCCAGCACACCCAGCCAAAATCTTAAGTATTACTTGGCAAATGATAGGAGATTCCCCTTCCTAGAGGATAGGGAATGACACTGATGAGGCTCTTGTGTTGTTTTCTGGAGGCACTTCATCCAGATTCTTCACTCTGCCAGTGGGGAGGTTCTACCTTTTTCATTATCAATGTCAGCCATATCTCTGAAGAGGGCATTAGAGAGTATGTCCTTCTGAGCAGCTTTCTGAAGTTGGGGACACAGATCTTTTTACGTGTACAACAGTCACAGTCTTGGTTTTGGTTTTGTTTTTGTTTTTTTGAGACGGAGTCACTGTGTTTCCCAGGCTGAAGTGCAATGGTGCCATCTCAGCTCACTGCAACCTCCACATCTCAGGTTCAAGGGATTCTCCTGCCTTAACCTCCTGAGTAGCTGGGACTACAGGTGCACACCACCATGTCTGGCTTTTTTTTTTTTTTTTTTTTTTTTTTTTTGAGACAGAATCTCACTCTGTTGCCCAGGCTGGAATGCAGTGGCACAATCTCAATCTCAGCTCACTGCAACCTCTGCCTCCTGGGTTCAAGCCATTCTCCTGCCTCAGCCTCCCAAGTAGCTGGAATTATAATCAGGCATGCGGCACTGTGCCCGGCTAATTTTTGTAGTTTTAGTAGAGACAGGGTTTCACCATGTTGGCCGGACTGGTCTTGAACTCCTGACCTCAGCTGATCCATCTGGCTTGGCCTCCCAAAGTGCTGGGATTACAGGTGTGAGCCACCATGCCCGGCCCGGCTAATTTTTTTGTATTTTTAGTAGACATGGGGTTTTACCATGTTGGCCAGGCTGGTCTCAAACTCCTGATCTCAAGAGATCTGCCTGCCTCAGCCTCCCAACGTGCTGAGATTACAGGGATGAGCCACTGTCCCCAGGCTTGCAGTAGATATATTATCTATGTGTTTTTTTTTCTTTATATGGAGTAGATACATTTTCTAAGGCCAGAAAACCTACCCATGGATTATATTCTACAAAAAGGACAGAAGAACTAACCTGCTAAGATGACATCGTATCACTAACAAACTCAGTGATCTGGGCATGGTGGTATGTGCCTGTAGTCCCAGCTGCTCAGGAGGCTGGGGCAGAAGAACTGCTTGAACTGGGGAGTTTGAGGCTGCAATGAGCTATAATGGTGCCAGTGTGCTCCAGCCTGGGTGACAGAGACCCTGTCTCAAAACAAAAACAAAAACTGGGTGCGGTGGCTCACGCCTATAATCCCAGCACTTTTGGGAGGCTGAGGCAGGCAGATCATGAGGTCTGGAGATTGAGACCATCCTGGCTAATACGGTGAAACCTTGTCTGTACTAAAAATACAAAAAATTAGCTGGGTGTGGTGGCGGGCGCCTGTAGTACCAGCTACTCCAGAGGCTGAGGCAGGAGAATGGCGTGAATCCGGGAGGCGGAGCTTGCAGTGAGCCGAGATCGTGCCACTGCACTCCAGCCTGGGTGACAGCGAGACTCCATCTCAAAAAACCTCAGTGGTAGTTGTCTGCTATCTAAGGCTAACAATAAAAGGCTGTTACAGAGCTGTATGGCAGGGCCACCCCTGTATGGAGGGCAGACTCCAGACCTGTAGAGCCATCAGCATGCAATACTTGCCTGAGAGAGCCCAGGTACCTCTCTTCAACTGCTGAGAGCTGCTGGGTTGGAACTGTGCCCATCAAAACCATGGGGTAGGGCTGCCCCGGGGCTTTGGGGGTCCAACCCCCAGCCCAATGCATCCTGAAGGCAAGATACTGAGTCAAGAATTATTCTCAAGCTTCAAGAGTTAATGTTGTTGGCCTTTTGGGTTTTTAACTTACTTGGGACCTATTACTCCTTTCTTCTTGCCTATTTCTCCCTCTTGGAATGGGAATGTCAGTCCTGTTCCTGACCCATCATTGTGTTTTGGAAGCACATGTATTTGATTTCACAGGCTCACAGCTGCAGGAGAAGTTGCCTCAGGATGAGTCATGGCCTTGAGTCTCATCCATATCTGATTTAGGTGAGACTCTGGACTTTATAGTTTTGAGTTGGTGCTGGAATGAGTTGAGACTTTTGGGGCTACTGGGATGGATAAATGTATTTTTGGGTTTTTTTTGTTTGTCTTTTGAGACAGTGTTTCCCTTTGTCCCCCAGGCTGAAGTGCAGTGGTACGATCTTGGCTCACTGTGAACAACTTCCGCCTCCCAGGTTCAAGCAATTCTCATGCCTCGGCTTCCAAGTAGCTGGGATTATAGGCATACACCACCACGCTCAGCTAATTTTTTTTATTTTTAGTAGAGACAGGGTTTCACCGTGTTGGCCAGGCTGGCCTGGAATTCGTGACCTCAAGTGATCCGTCTGCCTCAGCCTCCCAAAGTGCTGGGATTACAGGTGTGAGCAACAAGCGTCCGATAAATGTATTTTGCATGTGAGTAGGACATAAATTTGGGGGGCCAAAGGCGGTAAGCTATGGTCTGACTGTGTCCTTCAAAATTCATCTATTGAAAATTGCTAATGTGACAATACGAAAAGGTATTGGAAATGATTAAATCATGAGTACAGAACCATCATGGATGAGATTAAGGCCCTTAAAAAAAGGTTTGAGGGCCAGGCACAATGGCTCACACCTGTAATCCCAGCATTTTGGGCGGCCAAAGTGGGCCGATCACCTGAGGTCAGGAGTTCAAAGCCAGCCTGTCCAACATGGCAAAACCCCATCTCTACTAAAAATACAAAAATTAGCTGGGTGTGGTAGAGGGCGCCTGTAATCCCAGCTACTTGGGAGGCTGCAACAGGAGAATCGCTTGAACCCAGGAGATGGAGGTTGCAGTGAGCCGAGATTGTGCCACTGCACTCCAGCCTGGGTGACAGAACAAGACTGTCTCAAAAAAAAAAAAAAAAAAAGTTTGAGGGAATGGGTTCCTTCTCTTCTGCCCTTCTGCCATGTGAGCACACAGTGTTAAACCCCTCGGATGAAGCAGTGTTCAAAGCACCATCTTGGAAGAAAAGACTGAGCCCTCACAAAACACCGAAACTGCTGGTACTTTGATCTTAGACTTTTGAGCCTCCTGAACATGAGAAATAAATTTCTGTGGTTATAAATTACCCATACTAAGGTATTTTGTTACAGTAGCACACATGGACTAACAGAGGAGCTAATCAACATTTATAGAATACTCCACCAAACAACAGCAGAACACTCTTTTCAAGTGCTTACAGAACATAAACAACATAGACCATATCCTGGATGACAAAATATCAACAAATATAAAAGAATTGAAATTATACAGACTGTGTTCTGACTACAAGGGAATCAAATGAGGAATCAGTAACAGTCAGATAACAGGAAAATTTCCAAATACTTGGAAACTGAACACACTTTTAAATGAGGCATAGGTCAAAGGAGTCTCAAATGAAAATTTTCTAAAAAGCATTGAACTGGGCCAGGTGCGGTGGCTCACACCTGTAATCCCAGCACTTTGGGAGGCCAAGGTGGGCGGATCACCTGAGGTCAGGAGTTTGAGATCATTCTGGCCAACACGGAGAAACCCTGTCTCTACTAAAAATACAAAAATTAGCTGGGCGTGGTGGTGGGCACCTGTAATCCCAGCCACTCAGGAGGATGAGGCAGGAGAATCAGTTGAACCCAGGAGGCAGAGGTTGCATTGAGCTGAGATCATGCCACTGCATCCAGCCTGGGTGTCACAGCGAGACTCTGTCTCAAAAAAAAAAAAAAATTATCGGCTGGGCACGGTGGCTCACACCTGTAATCCCAGCACTTTGGGAGGCTGAGGCGGGCAGATCACGAGGTCAGGAGATGGAGACTATCCTGGCTAACACAGTGAAACCCTGTCTCTACTAAAAATACAAAAAAAATTAGCCTGGTGTGGTGGCGGGTGCCTGTAGTCCCAGCTACCTGGGAGGCTGAGGTGGGAGAATGGTGTGAACCAGGGAGGCGGAGCTTGCAGTGAGCCGAGTTGGCACCACTGCACTCCAGCCTGGGTGACAGAGCAAGACTCTGTCTCAAAAAAAAAAAGAATTACCACAGATGAATGGATAAGCAAAATGTGGTATACACATATAATGGGATTTTTTCAGCCTTAAAAAAGAAATTCTGACACATTCTACAACATGAATGAACTCTGAAGACATGCTAAGTGAAACAAGCTAATTACAAAAGGACAAATACTGTTATGGCTCCACGTACATTAAGTACCCACAGTAGTCAAATTCATAGACAGAAAGTAAAATGATAGTTGTCAGAGGCTGAGGGAAGGAGGAATAAGTTTTTGTTTAATGGGTACAGTTTCTGAAGATGGTAACAATTGCCCAACAATGTGAATGTACTTAATGTGACTGAACTGCACATTTGAAAATAATTAAAATGGGGCCAGGCGCAGTGGCTCACGCCTGTAATACCAGCACTTAGGGAGGCTGAGGTGGGTGGATCACTTGAGGCCAGGAGTTGGAGATTAGTCTGGCCAATATGGTGAAACTCTGTCTCTACCAAAAATACAAAAATTAGCCAGGCGTGGTGGCGGGCGTCTGTAATCCCAGCTACTGGGGAGGCTGAGGCTGGAGAATTGCTTGAATCCAGGAGGCAAAGGTTGCAGTGACCTGAGATCACGCCACAGCACTCCAGGCTGGGCAACAGAGCGAGACTCCGTCTCAAAAAAAAAAAAAAAAACCACAAAAACAAAACAAAACAAAACGGGTTAATGGCCTCTCTGTAGTCACTGAATCCCAATAGACCATACCTGGGTTCAGTAATTTATATTTCTAAAAAGATCCCAAGACTTAGAAATCACTGATGTATATCATCAAACACATTGGTCAAGCTTACAATACTATATATAACCTAAGCATTATCACAGAACGTAATGTAACTTTTTTTTTTTTTGAGACGGAGTCTCCCTCTGTCGCTCAGGCCGGAGTGCAGTGGCACACTCTCGGCTTACTGCAACCTCTGCCTTCTGGGTTCAAGCAATTCTCCTGCCTCACCTCCTGAGTAGCTGGGACTACAGGCGCCCGCCACCACGCCCGGCTAATTTTTGTATTTTTAGTAGAGACAGGGTTTTACAATGTTGGCCAGTCTGGTGTCGAACTCCTGACCTCAAGTGATCCGCCCGCCTCAGCCTCCCAAAGTGCTGGCATTACAGGCGTGAGCCATAGCGCCCCGCCCGTAATGTAATTTTGGGGGAAAGATATGAGTGGCTTACATTTCAAATATTTCTGAATTTTTGAGTTATCTCAACTTGAAGCAAAGGCCCAGCAGTTCGATATCAGGAGTAATAAACGGTAAAGAAAACAGAAACAAATTACAATCAAGCAATGCCAATCAGCAAGAGAGTGTGACATGGCCCTTTTTAAGCCAGAGTAAACTCTTGTGAGCTTGCCACTAACTCCCATTTTAACGAAATTATTCATTTTAGGAAACCGCAAGGTTTTTTTTTTGTTTTTCTTTAATTTTTTTAATCTTTGCAAGAGCTGTCAGATAAGAAGGTTGTATTATTTATTTGGTTCCAGATAAAATTTTGAACTATATCGAAATTATAGACTGGCTTTCTGGAAAGGAAATGGTCCTAGACAATTTATAGGCTAATGAGCAGAGACCCACCTTAACAAAATTTTGTCCCCAAAACGAAACAATAGAACACACGTGGGTGGATCCTAGTAGGGAGAAGGGGTGGGCGGGGTCAGGCACAGGGGGCGGAGCCAGCCCCACGGCGGAGGAGAGCCCAGTCCGGTCTCCGCCTCCGTGACGTCCCGGGAAGCACCGCCCACAGCTGCCCGGGACTCCAGTGATCGCCGCGGCTCGCTCGCGCCCCGGAAACTGCCCCTTCTCGGGGGTCATGATGGGCAGCAAGATGGCGTCTGCTAGTAGGGTCGTTCAGGTAAAGCAATTTGTCGCGTTTCCGCATCTTGGGCGGTAGGGACGGTGCTGACTATGGCGACGGCGTCGGGGAGTAAAGGCGGTGGCAGAGGCAGAGCGGTGACCGCGCCTCTGCGGAGGGCCAGTGACGGCGCCCGCGGGTGTGTGTGAGGATGGGACTTTGAGCCTGTTGGACCGGGCAGTGAGGTGGGTCCGGCGCCGAGGGTTCGAGCCTTGCGGCAACCGTGCAGCATCTTGGCAGGTAGGTCCTGTACCTACTGCCGGGATCCCCCGCTCCTCCGCCAGGACCTTGTTAGTCTTAGGCGTGTGCGGGTGAGGCGACCCTGGCGGTAGCCTGGCCAATCGCCGTCTAGGATTGGCTGTGGTGCCCCCGATCAGCCAATCGGAAGGAAGGCGGTAGCGGGGCGTGGAAGGAAGCGAACCCTGGATCTGACCCACTGTCCCTTCAAGGTCTCGGGAATGGTCGGGCAACTGGCCCCGCGTACTGCGTCCTCGCCGGAGCGGGTTCTCCCCAACCTCTCCAAGCGTCTGGCTACAGGCCAGATGAGGGAAATAGAAAAGTAAACTTAAGTTTAATTAGTATGTGTGTGTGTATATTAATGTGTGTGTGTGTGTGTGTGTGTGTGTGTATAAGCGTTGGTTTCACAAGCCTATTTTCCCCTGGTTTAGATAGACAGCTAAAGTAACTTTGTTAATCCACCTATCAGCTACTAACTCCTGATAGCCTTTTTATTTGTTTCTTCAGCTGTGGTTCTAACTTAGGTAAAATTATTATATAAGTGGAACACAACCTCCACTTTTGTGGTTGGTTTACATAGTCTTTGAACCCTGAAACTATATTATTTTATAATTGACTTTTATCTTTGATATGAGAAGTACATTCCGCTTTATATAAGTACATCTCTTAAAAGACCTTTTTCTAAATTCCTGAAATTGTTGTCTGAATGATAATCCTAGATCCCAGTCTTTGGTCCCATTGCAATGAATGATCCTTACTTATTCAGTAGGTAGTTACTGAGCATCAACTAGTTAAAGATTCTGTAAGGACTGAGAGACTGACAAAGGTCTGTTATCCATAATATATAACCATATGTATCAATAATATATAACAATTTAAAAATGGGTAAAAGACTTGGCGTGTTGCACAAAAGATACCCAAATGAGCAATGAACATTTTAAAAGGTGCTCAATATCATTACTTGCCAGGAAAATAAAAATTAAAACCATGAGGTCCTACACATCCACCAAAATGACTAAAATTTAGACGTCAGTGGTGATGAGAATGTGAAGCGTCTGAAACCCTCAATATTGCTGGTGGGAATATAAAATGTTATAGCCACTTTGGAAAGCTGTCAGTCTCTAATAGTTAAGCATGTATCTACCGTATGACCCAGCAATTCTACTCATAGGTTTATTGCCCAAGAGAAGTGAATGCACATACTGTCTCTGTACGTAAATGTTCACAGAAAAAAAAGAGTTACTAGCAAAGAACTGGGGTCCAGAGCTGAGGGGTTCCAGCCTGGCAGCAGGAGTGTGGCATCTCAGCAGGCAGGTACTATATATACTGCCATGGGGTCCCTGGCTCTATTTCTGATAGCCCCCAAACCACAAACAATCTCTATGTCTGTCTTTTGCATAAACAAATTGTGGTAGTTTGTTAAAATAGTACAGTCCAAAGCAATACTAACAGCTGATGTGTGCAAACAAATGAAGAAACTGTGAGATATACAGTAAGGAATGGTCTGTGCCCTTCTAACATAGGAACAAAGACCTGTACTCACCTATTTAGAATTCAAATCAGGTTCGTGATTGCGCTCTTAAAAAAAAAGAAAAAAAGAGAGAATACAACCAATATGCTAATATAATATCACTTGAGCCTAGGAGTTTGACGCTGCAGTGAACCACAATCACCCCACTGCACCCCAGCCTGTGTAACAGAGCAAGACCTGGTCTCGAAAAATAAATAATAAAGTATGTGCTAATATTATGTAATAATTACATATAACATTAGCAAAATTTGTTGAGTATCTCTGTGACAGGCCTATAAAGCTAGGACTACAGTGCCAGTTAGAGTTTAGGCCAGGCTCACTGATGTATGCCTGTAATCCCAACACTTTGGTAGTTTGAGGCAGGAGGATGGCTTGAGCCCAGGAGTTCAAGACCAGCCTGGGCAAAATAGCAAGACCCCATCTCTATAAAAATTTTAAAAAATTAGCTGAGCATGGTGATGTGCACCTGTGGTCCCAGCTACTCAGGAGGCTGAGGTGGGAAGATTGAGCCTGGGTGATCAAGGCTACAGTGAGCCATAATCATGCCACTGCATTCCAGCCTGGACAGTAGAGCTAGACCCTGACTCAAAAAAAAAAAACAAAAAAACATAGAGCTTAGAATTTGGTTGTTGATCCATATCTTGAAGGAAGAGAAGAGTGCCAAAAGACTGATTGGTACAAACTGATAGGAAGTCACAAAGCGTGGTCTCAGAACATTAAGTAAAGACAAAGCCAGCTGGGCACGGTGGCTCACACCTGTACTCCCAACACTTTGGAAAGCCAAGGTGGGAAGATTGCTTGAGCCAGGAGTTCAAGATTAGCCTAGGCAACATAGCAAGACCCCATCTCTATAAAAATTAGCCAGGCAGCCGCCCCGTCTGGGAAGTGAGGAGCGCCTCTGCCCGGCCGCCCCGTCTGGGATGTGAGGAGCGCCTCTGCCCGGCCGCCACCCCGTCTGGGAAGTGAGGAGCGCCTCTGCCTGGCCGCAGTGCAATCTTCCAAGTGTGAAGTGACAGCCTTTCTGCAGGTGTACCCAACAGCTCTGAAGAGACAGCAACCATCGAGAACGGGCCATGATGACGATGGCGGTTTTGTCGAAAAGAAAAGGGGGAAATGTGGGGAAAAGAAAGAGAGATCAGATTGTTACTGTGTCTGTGTAGAAAGAAGTAGACACAGGAGACTCCATTTTGTTCTGTACTAAGAAAAATTCTTCTGCCTTGGGATGCTGTTAATCTATAACCTTACCCCCAACCCCGTGCTCTCTGAAACGTGCTGTGTCCACTCAGGGTTAAATGGATTAAGGGCGGTGCAAGATGTGCTTTGTTAAACAGATGCTTGAAGGCAGCATGCTCGTTAAGAGTCATCACCACTCCCTAATCTCAAGTACCCAGGGACGTAAACACTGCGGAAGGCCGCAGGGACCTCTGCCTAGGAAAACCAGAGACCTTTTTGTTCACGTGTTTATCTGCTGACCTTCTCTCCACTATTATCCTATGACCCTGCCACATCCCCCTCTCCGAGAAACACCCAAGAATGATCAATAAATACTAAAAAAAAAAAAAAAAATTAGCCAGGCAGGAGGGGTAGTGTGTGGGTGTGTACCTGTAGTCCTAGCTACTTAGGAGGCTGAGGTGGAAAGATCACTTGAGCCCAGGAGTTTGACGCTGCAGTGAACCACGATCACTCCACTGCACCCCAGCCTGTGTAACAGAGCAAGACCTGGTCTCAAAAAATAAATAATAAAGTAAAACATTTTCAGACTGGCTAACAAATGAAAATCCAGTGCTATGCTATTTATAAGAGGCATAGCTAAAACTAAGATTTGGAAAGGTAAAAATAAAGAGATAGTCAACTGATCTTTGACAAAACGAGCAAAGGGAATACAATGGAGAAAAGATAGTCTTTTCAACATGGTGCTGAAAAAATTGGATATCCATCTAGACACAGACCTCACGTTCTTCACAAACATTAACTCAAAATGGATCCTAGACCTAAATGCAAAATGCAAAACTATAAAACCCTTAGAATATAACATAGGAGAAAATAAAAATAACCTTAGGTTTAGGAATGACTTTTTAGATATAACACCAAAGGCATGATCCATGAAAAATTAATTGATAAGCTGGACTTCATTAAAATAAAAAATTCTGCTCTGTGAGACACTGTCAAAAAAAGGCAAGCCACATATTGGGAGAAAATACTTTCAAAAGACATATCTGATAAAAGACTATTATAGAAAACATAAGGCTGGGCACGGTGACTCATGCCTGTAATCCCAGCACTTTGGGAGACCAAGGCGGGCAGATCACCTGAGGTCAGGAGTTCGAGACCAGCCTGGCCAACATGGCAAAACCCCATATCTATTAAAAGTACATTTGTATAAGTATATAATACATATTTACATGCCTATACAGTTAGACCTAACTTACAAATGGTTTATTCACGTATTTGGCAACTGTTACTTGGGCATTTACCATGTAACAGGAATGCTACTGCAGAAGTGCTTAGTTTTCTGTCTCTGACTGTCCAGGAGCTTAGTGCTCTTCTATAATCATTGGCTAACTTATCTGTCCTCTGAAAACATAAGGAGAGTTTTTAACTCAGACTTTGGAATTTGGGAAAGGTTCTTAGAGAAGAGTGACATTTGAGCTGTTGTAAAGGATAAGCAGTCAGAAGGATAGGCATGGAAGTGGAATGGGATAGGAGGGAGATTTCATGGCAGAGGACGTAAGCTGTAGATGGAATGAGGATAAATAGGATGAATTGGGGAAAGGAAAAATACTTCAGAATACTTGGAGCAATGGGTACATAAGACAGTAGGGGAGAAAGGCTGGCAAAGTAGGGAGAGGCCAGATCACAATGGGTGTTGTGAGTGCCAAAGAAGAGTTTGAACTTTATCCTGAAAGCTGTGGAACATTTTTCAAACTTCTTTTTTTTCTTCTTTTAAGTTGTAGAGAGGGAGTCTCATCTTCTTGCTCAGGCTGGTCTCAAACTCCTGGGCTCAAGCCGTCTTCCCAAAGTGCTGGGATTACAGGCATGAGCCACTGACCTCAGCCAGTTTTCAAACTTCTAAATAGGGGAGTGATGATAGGATAGATAGAACATTCTCTTAAGAAGCTTGGCTATGAAAGTGAAGAAACAGTTAATAGAGAAGTTTTTTTTTTTGAGACAGAGCCTCTCTCTGTCACTCAGGCTGGAGTGCAGTGGCTCGATCTCGGACTTCCACTCCAGGGTTCAAGCAATTTTCTGCCTTAGCCTCCCGAGTAGCTGGGATTACAGGCGCCCACCACCACGCCCGGCTAATTTTTTTATTTTTTTAGTAGAGACAGGGTTTCACCGTCTTGGCCAGGCTGGTCTTGAATTCGTGACCTCATGATCCACCCGCCTTGGCCTCTCAAAGTGCTGGGATGACAGGCGTGAGTCACGGTGCGCAGCTTTTTTTTTTTTTTTTTTTTTTGAGACAAAGTCTTGCTCTTTCACCTAGGCTGGAGTGCAGTGGCACAATCTCGGCTCACTGCAACCTCTGCCTCCCAGGTTCAAGCGATTCTCCTGCCTCAGCCTCCCGAGTACCTGGGACTACAGGTGTGTGCCACCACGCCTGGCTACTTTTTTTGTATTTTTAGTAGAGACGGGGTTTCTCCGTGTTAGCCAGAATGGTCTCGATCTCCTGACCTCATGATCCACCCACCTCGGCCTCTCAAAGTGCTGGCATTACAGGTGTGAGCCACCATGCCCGGCCGAGAAGTTTTTTAGCATGGAAGACTTGAGCATGATTTTATGGTGAGGGAGAGAACACATTCCAGCATTTTCTCACAGCCACAGAATTACAGTGGTGAATTTTTAGGCCAATCCCATACCTATTTGCTTCTGTGCCCACATAAAATGCATAATATGTACTACAAATATATAAATATATTGCAGATAAACCCACCTCAGTCTTATTCGTTACATAGCAATTTATAGATTAGTTGAAAATAGTACTTTGTTCATTAGATTCTTAGCATTGTATATTCAGAAGATTTCATATTGACAGGTCCATTTAAGGTCCTCTGTACCACTATCTGGAATTTTACGGACAAAAATGTTAATACTTTTCAAACATCTGTTCCAAAAACAGTATTCCAAAAATATGTATTCCAGGCCAGGCATGGTGGCTCACGCCTGTAATCCCAGCACTTTGGGAGGCCGTTCGAAACCAGCCTGGCCAACATGGTGAAACCCTGTCTCTACTAAAAATATAAAAATTAGCCGGGTGTGGTGGCGGGCACCTGTAATCCCAGCTACTTGGGAGGCGGAGGCAGGAGAATCACTTGAACCCTTGAGGCGGAGGTTGCAGTGAGCCATGATTGCGGCACTGTACTCCAGTCTGAGTGACACAGCAAGACTCTGTCTAAAAAAAAAAAAAAAAAAGTATTCCTATGGGTATAGGAAAAAGACTAAAATAAAGTGCTATCAAATGTTTTAATTTGGGCCGGGCATGGTGGCCCATGCCTGTAATCCCAGCACTTTGGGAAGCCGAAGCAGGTGGATCATTTGAGGTCAGGAGTTCAAGACCAGCCTGGGTAAAATGGGGAAACTCCATATCTACTAAAAATACAAAAATTAGCGGGGTGTGGTGGCGCAGGCCTGTAATCCTGGCTACTCAGGAGGCTGAGGCAGGAGAATTGCTTGAACCTGGGAGGCGGAGGTTGCAGTGAACAGAGATTACGCCACTACATTCCAGCCTGGGTGACAGAGGAGACTCCATCTCAAAAAAAAAAAAAGTCTTTTATTTGTTTTACGTGGGTCTTGGGATTATAGTGTTTTCTTCTTTGTGCTCTTCTGTGTTCTTCCAAATGTTTTACACAGAATTTGTGTTACTTTTGTAGTCAAAAAAAGTATTCTTTAATTTTCTAATTTTCAAAATGATTGTTTTTTCTTCCCTGTTAGGTATTAATATAGTAGGGAAATAACACTCAAAACAAGTCAGGAGGCCAGGTGCAGTGGTTCATGCCTGAAATCCTAGAACTTTGGGAGGCTAAGGCAAGAAGATTGCTTGTACCTAGGAGCAGGAGGCGGAGGTTGCGGTAAGGCCACATCATGCCAGTGCACTCCATCCTGGGCAACAAGCCAGACGCTGTCTCAACAAAAAATTTAAAAAGTCAGTAAATTTCTGCCGGGTGCGGTGGCTCACACCTGTAATCCCAGCACTTTAGGAGGCCAAGGTGGGCGGATCATGAGGTCAGGAGATTGAGACCACCTTGGCTAACACGGTGAAACCCCGTCTCTACTAAAAGTGAAAAAAACTAGCCGGGCGTGGTGGCACGTGCCTATAGTCCCAGCTACTCGGGAGGCTGGGGCAGGAGAATCGCTTGAACACAGGAGGTGGAGGTTCCAGTGAGCTGAGATCGTGCCGCTGCACTCCAGCCTGGGCGACAGAGTGAGACTCCGTCTGAAAAAAGAAAAAAAAAAAAAAGGCAGTAAATTTCCAGTGTTTTTTCTTTGAGATGGGGTCTCACTCTGTTGCCCAGGCTGGAGTGCAGTGGCAAGATCTGAGCTCACTGCAACCTCTGCCTCCTTGGTTCAAGTGATCCTCCCACCTCAGCCTCCCAAGTAGCTGGAACTACAGGCACATAGCACCACATTTTTTTTTTTTTTTTTTTTGAGACGGAGTCTCGCTCTGTGGTCAGACTGAAGTATGGTGGCACTATCTCTGCTCACTGCAACCTCTGCCTCCTGCGTTCAAGCGATTCTCCTGCCTCAGCCTCCTGAGTAGCTGGGATTACAGGTGTGCACTACCACCATGCCCTGCTAATTTTTGTATTTTTAGTAGATACGAGGTTTCACCCTGTTGGTCAGGCTGCTCTCGAACTCCTGACCTCGTGATCCACCTGCCTCAGCCTTCCAAAGTGCTGGGATTACAGGTGTGAGCCACCATGCTCAGCCACCTTTTTTTTTTTTTTTTTTTTTAAGATGGAGTCTCACTCTGTAGCCCAGGCTAGAGTGCAGTGGCACGATCTCAGCTCACTGCAACCTCTGCCTCCGGAGTCCCGGTTGGTTCAAGCAGTTCTCCTGCCTCAGCCTCCCAAGTAGCTAGGATTACAGGCACGCATCACCATGCCCAACTAATTTTTGTATTTTTAGTAGAGATGGGGTTTCACCATGTTGGCCAGGCTGGTCTTGAACTCCTGACCTCGTGATCCGTCCGCCTCGGCCTCCCAAAGTGTTGGGATTATAGGCGTGAGCCATCACACTGGGCCTTGTTTTTCTTTTTGTTTTTGTTTTAATTTTTGGTAGAGACGGGGTTTCACCATGTTGCCCAGGCTGGTCTCAAACTCCTGCACTCACGCAATCTGCCTGTCTGGGCCTCCCAAAATGTTGGGATTACAGGCATAAGCCACTGCACCCAGCCAGCTTTCATTCTTACCAATCTATAAGTCATGCAACATAAACTCTACATCATCTCCTCCATTGGGTTGCTTTGAAGTGAAGTACACCTTCGATAGTACAATGAAGTCTTGTGATATATAAAGTACAAAGTTGTGTTTACCGGGTAGACAAGTTAATAATTCATAGACCAGCTTTCCTGGTTGGGGAAGAGTATAATTTAAAGTTGCTGTAAAATAGTAATTTTAACAAACGTATCTACTTATGAGGTTTAGTAGATCATTTCTTTTAGTTAATGAGATTGTTTTTCATGCATATTACTTTTCATTTAGGTAGTCAAACCACACACTCCATTAATAAGGTTTCCTGACAGAAGAGACAATCCTAAACCCAATGGTGAGTTGTATTTTATTTAAATTTCTTTTAAAATTGTGTACATGAATATTTATAAATGAGTATTTTATTATAGGCAATATTTCTCATTTTAAAATCAGTTAAGACTATTGTAGCTTAGATCAAAATAGTGCCTTATGTAGCATGCAAGTAGAAATTAACTTATGGCTGGGAGCGGTGGCTCACGCCTGTCATCCCAGCACTTTGGGAGGCCGAGGCACGCGGATCACCTGAGGTCAGGAGTTCAAGACCAGCCTGGCCAACATGGTGAAACCCTGTCTCTACTAAAAAATACAAAAAATTAGCCAGGCGTGGTGGCGGGCTCCTATAGTCCCAGCTACTCGGGAGGCTGAGGCATAGAATTGCTTGAACCCACGAGGCGGAGGTTGCAGTGAGCTAAGATCATGCCACTGCACTCCAGCCTGGGTGACAGGGCAAGACTTTGTCTCAAAAAAAAAAAAAATTATTACCTCTATTTTATTTTATTTTTTGAGACAGGGTCTTGCTCTGTCGCCCAGGCTGGAGTGCAGTGGTGCTATCTTGGCACACTGCAGTCTCCCCCTCCCGGGTTAAAGCAATTCTCGTGCTTCAGCATCCTTAGTAGCTGGGATTACAGGCATACACTAGCACGCCTGGCTAATTTTTGTATTTTTAGTAGAGACAGGGTTTCACCATGTTGCCTAGGCTGGTCTCGACTCCTGATCTCAGGTGATCTGCCTGCCTCCGCCTCCCAAAGTGCTGGGATTACAGGCATGAGCCACTCACCTGGCCTTTATTACCCCTATTTTAAAAGGTAGTGACTCAACAGAAGATGTCTCTGAATTTCTAGTGAGTTTATATGGGCAAAATTTTGTCCTACCTTTATTCTCTCCTATCCTTTAGAAGATTCTCCCATGCTTACATTTGCAGAGACTGGGAAAATAATAACCATTCCTGTTTCTCTCCTCACCAACCATCTTTTCTTTCATTCATTCATTTATCTATTCATCTAGTCAGTAAATATTTTTTGGATTGCCTTAATCCTTAGCATTTATTCAAAATTAATGGGAGAAGATTCTGAAAGGGTTCTGTTTTTCTCTGATTCCCGCCCTTTTTTAAAAAAACCAGATCCTCTGTGCCTCTCTTGATCTTTAATTCAGGCAATTTTAACACATTTTATAGGTATATTTTTAACTTATTGTAACTATTGAAGAATTAAGATGTTTAAACAAGTGTAAAGATATTGAGAAAACTACCCTCATTTACATTTACTGACTTTCTTATTCCTTATTGTAAGATATTACCTGTAAACTCCACCATGTGTTGGCCTATGAGGGGTTATGTGACATAAGCTTAAGTAGTGTAGGTTCCCCTAAAGGGTTGAATTCCACTAACTAGAAATTTCATTATTTTACATTTTTGTAATTCATTTACTTAAGACTGCCCCTTAGCTGGGTGCAGTGGCACATGCCTATAATCCTGACTACTCACAGGCTGAGGTGGGATGGCTGGCAGGATGTTTGCTTGAGCCCAGGAGTTCAAGATCAGCCTGGGCAACAAAGCAAGACCCCATCTGTAAACAATAAATGTATAAAAATTTTAAAGCTACCTCCTTATTTGTTTTTAAAAACCTTTATGAAATTATATATAGCCAACTGAGTTACTCTACAATATTTACCTTTTGGAATTATAATACTTCAAGAGTTATTTGAAGAATGACTTCATTTCAAGAATGACTTGATTATTTGATAGTATTTTAAGACTCAGTATTTTGACATCTGAACAATTTCTCTAATAAGGTCTTTTTTTTTTTTAATTTCAGTATCAGAAGCTTTGAGATCAGCAGGGCTACCATCTCACTCTTCTGTAATTTCACAACATTCTAAAGGAAGTAAATCACCAGATTTGCTGATGTATCAGGGTCCACCAGACACTGCAGAAATAATAAAAACATTACCTCAGAAATACAGAAGGAAACTTGTGTCTCAAGAAGAAATGGAATTTATCCAAGTATGTCGTTGCTCTTTATCCCAAGACTACGCAAAACACCATAACATTTGGGCTTTGGGGATTTCATTTGCTGATTTACATGCTATTCCTATTGTCTTGTCAGAGTGTGGTCAGAGCTAAGACAGGATGGTCAGGTAGGCCAAGACTATGAGAAAGAAACCATAGTCAAATCCCTCTGTAAATATGCATGATATATCAATATCAATAGATATAATCACATAAAAAACAGCTCTTTGGGGTCCTGAATAATTTTTCAGAGTGTAAAGAGCTTCTGATACCAAGAAATTTAAGGACAGGTCAACCTTGAGTCCCTTCCAGGTCTGAAATTATAAGAATTGATAAGAGGGCTGGGCATGGTGGCTCATGCCTGTAATCCCAGCACTTTGGGAGGCCAAGGCAGGTGGGTCACCTGAGGTCAGGACTTGGAAACCAGCCTGGCCAATGTGGTGAAACCTCGTCTCTACTGAAAATACAAAAATTAGCTGGGTGTGGTGGTGGGTACCTGTAATCCCAGCTACTCGGGAGGCTGAGGCAGGAGAATCTCTTGAACCCGGGAGGCGGAGGTTGCAGTGAGCCAAGGTCACGCCACTGCACTCTAGCTTGGGCAAGAGTGAAACTCCGGAAACTCCATCTCAAAAAAAAAAAAAAAAAAAAAAAAAAGAATTGATATGAGTACCCAAAAGTTTTGACTAATTCAAAACTATTTTTTAAAAACCAAAGATTACTTACTGAAGATTGTATAAATTTGTAAAATTGCCATCAAAACATTTCCTGAGTCAATTTAACATCTAATCTTACTGCTTTATTTTTTCCTTTTCAGCGTGGAGGTCCTGAATAACCATGGTGGCTGCTGTTTGTCATCAGACAATAGAATTGTCTTTACAATAAAGGACTTCCAAAATGACAGATGAGAAACTGTATATTAAACACCTTTAATAAATATTATGAAAAAAATGAAATATAGAAAATTTAGATGGACACTTGTATTTCCTAATTTATGTATCTTGGTCAGCTTCTCCACAAGCTTACCTAATTGTTTATATACTTTATACTTATTAAAGTATACATTTTTAAATGTTAGCCTATTAATTTACTCTTGATTATCAAACATTACCAGTGTTGAACTATTAAAAGCACACAATGTGTAGTAAACTATCATAGGATTCCCATAATTTCACTTTACTTTCTGTTTAGGCATGGAAAAATTTATCAGTCAGAATTGCTGTTTTAGGGACATGATTTTCCTGAAATTGGGTGAGGATCAGTGAAATAATTACTCTATTACTTGTTCTTAATTCTCTGTTCTCTAATGTTTTTTCATTCACAAGTTTACTGGAGTATAACTGGCTTAGTAAGTATATCCTACTCTGAATGATAAAAATATAGTCAAGCTAAAATAGGTGACTATACTATTAAGATAGAGATCATACAAAAGATTCCAAAGAAAGTCAAAAAGTGTAAAATGGAAAATAAGAGATCAAAATGAATATAGCATAGGAATAAAGATTTCACTAGAAATTGCAATTTATTATGTTTTGGAGGTTGTAAGGAAGTCTTGTTTTTTGGTTTATTTTACTGTTTTGTGATCTTGTATGCAAATCCTGATAACCATTAACCTTCTCAAACTTAATGTCTGAGAGCCTCATAAAATCAACATATTTACTTATTAAGCAGTTTATGAAACTTTAATGGGGCCCCTCCTGTGCCAAGGGTACGTATATTGTGAAGTAAAGCCTCACAAAGCTAAATAAATTCTCTTCCATACCTTTAATGATTTCTAGAATATGCTTTAAAGAAGTCCTCCCTGAGAGTTAAGGGTAGGTCATGAGCAAGAAATAGAATTGGCTTTGAGTATGCTTCTGTATTTACTCAGTTGACTGTGGGTTAATTTTTACTTATTTCTACTACTCCACAGAGTTGATCTACTTCTCTTATAAATTTTTTGCTGTGGCCTAGTGTAAATGTTGTTCAGCACAAATATGAGAGTTTGATGCTGGCAATAAGCTGTTCAGGTGACTCATTGAAAAACATGATTCAGGCCAGGTGCAGTGGCTCATGCTTTGTTAATACCAGCACTTTGGGGAGCCAAGGCAGGTTGATCACCTGAGGTCAGGAGTTCAAGACCAGCCTGGCCGGCAGGTGAAACCCCGCCTCTACTAAAAATACAAAAATTAGCCAGGCAATGTGACACACACCTATAATCTCAGCTACAGGGAAGCTGAGGCCAGAGAATCACTTGAACCCAGGAGGCAGAGGTTGCAGTGAGCCAACATTGTGCCACTGCATTCTAGCCTGGTCAACGGAGTGAGACTCCATCCAAAAAAAAAGAAAAACATAATTCATTTCTTTTTTTTATTATTTAAAAATTTATTGCCAGGCACAGTGGCTCACGCCTGTAATCCCAGCACTTTGGGAGGCCAAGGCAGGTGGACCACCTGATGTCAGGAGTTCAAGACCAGCCTGGCCAACATGGTGAAACCCCATCTCTACTAAAAATACAAAAATTAGCTGGGCATGGTGGCAGGCGCCTGTAATCCCAGCTACTCAGGAGGCTGAGGCAGGAGAATTGCTTGAACCCAGGAAGTGGAGGTTGCAGTGAGTGGAGGTCACACCACTGCACTCCAGCCTAGGCGACAGAGCAAGACTCTGTCTAAAAAAAAAACAATTATTTGGGAAAATTACTTTAGCAAAAGAAAGCCCAGGGCCAGGCCGGGTGTGGTGGCTTATGTCTGTAATCCCAGCACTTTGGGAGGCCGAGGCGGGCAGATCACCTGAGATCAGGAGTTCAAGACCAGCCTAGCCAACATGGTGAAACCCCATCTCTACTAAAAATACAAAAAATCAGCTGGGCGTGGTGGCGGGCGCATGTAATCCCAGCTACTCAGGAGGCTGAGGCAGGAGAATTGCTTGAACCTGGGAGCCAGAGGTTGCGGTGAGCTGAGATTGCACCATTGCACTCCAGCCTTTCCAGCCTGGACAATAAGAGAAAAACTCCGTCTCAAAAAAAAAAGCCCAGGACCATTATTTTGCTTTCAGAAATACATTCGGATTCAGGTAGTGAAGAGTGGTATGAGTAATACTGTGAGCCAACAGTTAGAAATCCTAATACCGAACTGTGGATGTATATCTGAGGGCAATCTTTACTACAGCTGCTGCCGTGAAAGTCAGAATGAAGAAAATCTGTCACTGTTACAGAATTTGTGAGTATAGGTATGGCAAAAGGTACGCCAGTGGGAATTGCTGTCACAGGATGAGCTCCCAAGGAGAGTATTATAGACTTCTGGTGAGGCTTACAGTTAAATAGCCTGTATTTTCATTTAGAGGTTAGGCACTTAAATATATGTAATCAGCAAATTGCTTAATTTGTCCAAGTTTCCGTTTTTCTTTCCAGTACTACACAGTGGGATAGTCAGGATCAAATTAGTGTATTATCTATTACTTTGTAACAAATGACCCCAAAATTAAGTGGCTAAACTCTTAATTTCTCTGGTTTCTCTGGGTCAGGAATTCAGAAGCAGCTTCACTGGGCAGTTTTGATTTAGTGCCTAATGCGGTTGCAATTAGAAGCCACTGAGGCTACAGTCATCTGAAGGCTTGGCTGAGGCTGGCTGATTCACCTCCAAGATGGCTCACTCACAGAGCTGACAAGCCGATGCTGGCTGTTGGCAAGAGGCCTTAGTTTCTCTCCACATGGTTGCCTGAGTGAATTCATGACATGGCTGGCTTTCACCAGAGCAAATAATCCAAGCATGCCAGTCAACAGCATCCTTTTATGTTCTAGCCTCATAAATCACACTTCAGCCATATTCTATTGGTCACACAGAACAACCTGTTTCATTGTGGGAGAAGACCACACAACAGGATTAATACCGGAAGGCAAGGATCATCATGGCCATCTTACAAGCTGGCTAATACAGATGCATGGAAGTGCTTTAAACTGAAAAATGCTTTGCAAATGTGTAATGCTATTTTCTTTTTTTTTCTTTTGGTTCAAAGTGCTCAAATGATATTTTATATATACAGTATCTCACTGTCTCAGAATATCATCTAAACGCTGTCTTCATTATCCTATTTTAAATGTCCCAGAATGGGAATTTACTTGTCAGCAGCACGCTGTAATACACTGATTATCAACTCATACGCCATGGCACACTTGGGGACCTCAAGTCTCACAACGGCATCATCAGATTTAGCTCACTAGCTTCTCTCTCTCTCTTTTCTTCCTTTCTTCCCTTCTTTCTTTCTTTTGACGGAGTTTTCACTCTTGTTGCCCAGGCTGGAGTCCAATGGTGCTATCTCTGCTCACTGCAACCTCCGCCTCGCGGGTTCAAGTGATTCTTCTGCCTCAGCCTCCCTAGTAGCTGGGATTACAGGTGCCTGCCACCACACCCAACTAATTTTTGTATTTTTAGTGGAGATGGGGTTTCACCATGTTGGCCAGGCTGGTTTGGAACTCCTGACTTAAGGTGATCCACCTGCCTCGGCATCCCAAAGTGCTGGATTACAGGTGTGAGCCACTGCACCTGCCGCTCACTAGCTTATTTCTACAAGTGAGGTTAAATTATTATTTCAATGATACCTGTCAGAAGAAACTATGACAACAGCATCACTAGGTATGACTTGCCTCAAGAGAGATGGTGTCTTTTCTGCAATGTGTGAGTTTTGCCTAGACCCAAGTAATGACAAGGGACTGAAAGATAATGGCTAACATATAGTAAACACTTAACTGTCAAACATTATTCTAAGGGCTTTGCAGGTGTGAGGTCATTTAAGCCTTGGAACAATCCTTTGAGTAGATCCTATTAGGGATGAAGAAACTGGAAACAAAGTAAGTAATTTGCCCTAGTTGTATCTAGTGGCTGAATACTGATAGGGCCACTATTCAAATGCAAGCAGTCTGATTCCAGAGTTAAAAAAAATAACTAAATTATTGGCCTTGGTATTTTGCTACTTTCTTCAACATATCTCTGAAACTTAGGATTTTCAACTCTTAGAAATAACAAATATAGGCTGGGCGCAGTGGCTTACACTTACAAATACCAGCACTTTGGGAGGCCGAGGAGGGTGGATCACCTGAGGTCAGGAGATTGAGACCAGCCTGGCCAACAAGGTGAAACCCCGTCTCTACTAAAAATACAAAAATTAGCTGGGTGTGGTGGAGCAGGCCAGTAATCCCAGCTAATCGGGAAGCTGAGGCAGGAGAATCGCTTGAACCCAGGAGGCAGAGGTTGCAGTGAGCTCAGATCGGGCCAGCGTACTCCAGCCTGAGCAACAGAGTGAGACTGTCTCAAAAACAAACAAACAAACAAAGGCAGGGGGAGGGGGGCACATTTCCATGTTGACAGCTGCTCTGGCTCAGAAACTTTTAATTATCCACTAGTAGAGCCATCTGGATTACTGCAATAGTTCTCTAATAGGCCTTCTTTCTTTTTCTTGTCCCTCAAAATCTATAATATAGTCTCCCAACAGCAAGAGTGAACCTTTTAAAAGTGAGTCAGGTCATATCACTTGTCTGCTCCAATCCCTCCAGTGGGTTTTCAGTGATGACTTTCTTGTACCACCCTATTTAAAACCTCCATCCCTGCCCCTGCCCTGATTTGTTATCCTTTATCTGCTTTATTATCTCTATAGCACTTATCACCTATGTATCATAACACATATTTGACTTGTTTTTTTATCTCCTCCCATTGGAAGGCAGGGATCTTTGCTCCCTGCTATCTCAGATTCTACAATGGTGCTTGGCACATAGATAACACTCAATATCAGCATCCTAAGAGAGAGAAAAATGAAAAAGGAAAAGCACTCAATATGTTTTTGAATAAATGAATTAGTGTGTTTGTTATGACAATTTATGATAATCAAGGGGTTGGGTACTCATTACTGCTAAGTTAATTGAGCACTGTCTCAATTAATTGAGTTAATGTCTAAGCTTTCTGCATGTTTCATTTAATACCCACAATCTCCTGTGATGTAGTTCATTATTTTTTCCATTTTACCGAGTAGAAAACTGAGGACTAGAAGCTGATTCCCACAGCACGTTTCAGTTGAGTTGGATTTTGTTTTCCTGGGCCTGCTTCTTCATAAAGGGACTGGACTAAGAATACTCTTGACCAGCCCGTAAGAACTTGGCACTCGTCTCAGTAATCTGAGATAGCAGGGTTTGGCGTCCATAGCAACCACGGCGACAGGACGCGCTCGAGCAAGAACCAAAAAGCGAGAACAGGTACAAGGCCAAACTTTCTACATTCACAGACACCTACCAAACCCCGAACATGGAACACCAAATTAGAACGCTGACCAGTTCCTGGTAATGTAGAAAACACCCAAGTTAAAACGGCAACAGAGTGACACAGCAGCCATTGAAGATGCCCCACTTCAGGCACCGACAGGCGTCACGTGACGGGTGGGGAACGCCAACCGCCTGGGCCTAGCGCAGCTTCCTCCGCCCACCACGGAAGTGAGGCGGGGATACTAAAGCGACGGAGCCCGGTGGACGGAAGTGGGTGTTGGAGGCTTTAAGGTAGCTTTAAATTCGTGTTGTCCTGGGAGCTCGCCCTTTTCGGCTGGAGTCGGGCTTTACGGCGCCGGATGGCTCTGGACGTGAAGTCTCGGGCAAAGCGTTATGAGAAGCTGGACTTCCTTGGGGAGGGACAGGTGAGGCTCTCTGGAAGGACGGGGAGGGCCCCAAGCGGACAGCCCCGCGCCGCCTCCACCTTTGCGGGTTTTCCCGTGGAGGCCAGAGGTCTGGCTTGGCTGCTCGTTCTCGTTGGGGGAAACCGTCCAGACGCACTTGCTGCCCATTCTTTACATCCTGGGGGTGAATCCCTGAGGGGCCTCTCCTTGCTGAAGAGTAGCCTGGAGCTGGACGGAGACTGACCCGCCACGTTTCCAGCCGCCGCGAGTCTGCTCAGGAACTCTGGGCTCTTTGCTTCGCGAAATGTAAAAATGCAAAAAGGCAAACACAAAAACTCCCATAAACTTATGTTATTTCTATTTTTCTTTCTAGTTTGCCACCGTTTACAAGGCCAGAGATAAGAACACCAACCAAATTGTCGCCATTAAGAAAGTGAGTTACCTTTTTATGTTGTTTTTAAGTCTCCTTGAAGATGTCTGTATTATTAATTGACTGATAGCCATTTTATTAGTCTTGACCATACTCTGATAATGAGTTACTCATGTCATTTTCAGAGACAAAATAATTAATTAGTGCTTTGTGTTCCCAAACGGAACTCTAGGGTTGAACCCGTTTTAATTTCTATTGAAATGAAGAAGAAGCTGTATGTTATTTTTACTGCATAAATTCATATGTTGTGGGCAAGTACTGCCCATCTTTTCGGTCCTCAGAACTATTGGATACCATGATCTTTCTAGGTCACTGTTTATACCTCACCTGCATCCACTCAGTGTGTCGTATCTGTATTTTCTGTGTACGGATTTACCATGAAAGACTTTCACTAGCATGAACAACATTGATGTGAGGTCTAAAATGAGTTCAGTAGCTTCTTATATTCATTCAAAAGACCTGGGTCGGATTCAGTAGCTTCTTATATTCATTCAAAAGACTTGGGTCGGGCCAGCCGCGGTGGCTCACGCCTGTAATCCCAGCACTTTGGGAGGCCGAGGTGGGCGGATCACTTGGGGTCAAGAGATCCAGACCATCCTGGCCAACATGGTGAAACCCTGTCTCTACTAAAAATACAAATATTAGCTGGGTGTGGTGGCACCTGTCTGTAATCCCAGCTACTCGGGAGGCTGAGGCAGGAGAATCACTTGAACCTGGGAGGTGGAGGTTGTAATGAGCCGAGATGGTGCCACTGTGCTCCAGCCTGGTGACAGAGGGAGACTCCATCTTAAAAAAAAAAAAAAAAAGATTTGGGTCATAATTACATAACTCACGTTCACCTACATTGTTTCTTTTAACCTTCAAAACAATCTATAAAGTGGTTAAAAGTAACCCTATTTTATACTTGAGGTACCTGAGACTGAGTGACTAGGTGACTTGTCAAGATCACACAGCTAGTGATTGCTGAAGCTGGGATTTAAATCCAGGTGTCCTGATGTTGCTTTTGTTACCGTTGCTACTTTGAATCTGCTTCTCCTGCTTCAAAAACCCTAACTCCTTGGAAGTTATCCATATTTAACATTAATTCCCCCTTTTTTTGGTCATCTTCCAGCCTCCAAGTACTGTCTTGCATTCATTTAAAACCTGACTGACTACTTCTTCTCAATTATTCCTGCCATAATTTTTTTATTTTTTATTTTATTTTATTTTTTATTTTTTTTGAGACAGAATTTTGCTTGTTGCCCAGGCTGGAGTGCAATTGTGCGATTTCGGCTCACTGGAACCTCTGCCTCCCGGGTTCAAGCACTTCTCCTGTCTCAGCCTCTCCAGTAGCTGGGACTACAGGAACCTGCCACCACGCCCAGCTAATATTTGTATTTTTAGTAGAGACAGGGTTTCGCCATGTCGGCCAGGCTGGTCTCGAACTCCTGACCTCAGTTGATCCACCCACTTCGGCCTCCCAAAATGCTGGGATTACAGGTGTGAGCCACTGTGCCTGGCCTTCTTTTTTTTTTTTTTTTTTTTTTTTTAACTTTTTTACTTTTTTTATGTCCGTGTTTTCTGGTTTATGTTTTATGATCCACCACTACAGCCACTCCCTTTAAAACCCTTAACTCTACTGAATCTTTCTTCATCTTTCTTTCTTTTGTGGTGGCGGGGC
This sequence comes from Homo sapiens, assembly GCF_000001405.40. Lineage (NCBI taxonomy): Eukaryota > Metazoa > Chordata > Mammalia > Primates > Hominidae > Homo > Homo sapiens. The sequence continues at coordinate 69,237,111 of NC_000005.10, forward strand.
AGGAGGAGGTCTCACTCTGTCGCCCAGGTGGAAGGGTTAGAGTGCAGTGGCACAGCCATAGCTCACTGCAGCCACCAACTCCTGGACTAAAGTAATCCTTCCACCCCAGCCTCCAAGGTAGCTGGGACTATAGACACATGCCACCAAGCCTGGCCTAGTCATCTTTTTAATTCTGTCTCTGGTTCACTATATCATAGCCACACTGACTTTTCTGTCCCTGTACAAATTAAATTTATTCCAGTCCCAGAATCACAGGATCATTGCATTTGGTCTGGCTTCTTGGTTGGTATATTTTCCGTCTAGAACATGGCATGGCTGATTCCTTATCATCCAGGCTTCACTCAAATGTCTCCTCCATAGAGGCCTTTGTTCATTCCAGCTACATGTATGCCTCCCTCCTTCCCTATGCTTTGCTATATTTCTGTCATCGATGTGGCATTTGTCGAAATTTGAAATCCTCCTATCTATGAGTTTATTGTCTGTTTAATTCCATTCACACTGTACCTAGGGCCATGGCTAGTACATTTGTAGACACTGTTAAAAATGTATTGGCCTTTCAGCTGGGCGCGGTGGCTCATGTTTGTAATACCAGCACTTTGGGAGCTCGAGGCAGGCGGATCACCTGAGGTCAGGAGTTCAAGACCAGCCTGGTCAACATGGCGAAACCCCTGTCTCTACTAAAATACAAAAATTAGCCAGGCATGGTGCCCCTGCTAGTCTCCTGGCCTCAAGTGATTGTCCTTGCCTAGGCCTCCCTAATTGCTGGGATTACACGTGTGAGTCACTATGCCTGGCCTATTTCTTGAGGTGTTTTTTCTCCCCCAGTTTTAGACGTTGTCTATACTTTCTACTATGAACATTGAGGATTTGGTGTTGTAGACCTTATTCCAACACTCATAATTTCTACTCCCGTTCATTTGCTAGGATGTGTTTAATTTTATAAAAAGGGAAGGAATCAATAAATAAGTTACTCTGTACTCATTCACCTGTTGAGTCTTGGACTTTAGAAATACTGATGTATCTCATCCTTTTAAAAAGATTATGTGGAATTTGTTTCCCAATTTATTTAACCAATCACCTATTGATGGCCTTTTGGGTTATATCTCATTTTTCAGTGTGTGTCTTAAATCTGTGTATCTCAAAACAATATATAGTATTGCATACTTTTTTTTTCCTTTTTTTTTTTTTTTGAGACAGCAACTTGCTGTGTGTTTCCCTGGCTGGAGTGTAGTGGTACAATCATAGCTCACTGAAGCCTTGACCTCCTGGTCTCAAGCATTCCATCTGCTTCAGCCTCCCAACCAGCTAGGAGTACAGGTGCATGCCACCGTGCCCCACTAAATTTGTTGTTCTTCTTGTAGAGACAGGGTCTCACTCTGTTGACTAGACTGGTCTTCAACTCCTGGGCTCAAGTGAACCTTCCACCTTAGCCTCCCAAAGTGCTGAGATTACAGGTGTGAGCCCCTGTACTCAGCCAGTATTGCATACTTTAAGCTATATATGTATATTTGGCATATTCTTCTGCAACTTGTTATTCTTTTTTTTTTATTTTATTTTTTTTTTTGAGACAAGGTCCCACTCTGTCGCACAGGCTGGAGTGCAGTGGCGTGATCTCGGCTCACTGCAACCTCCACCTCCCCAGGCTCAAGCAGTTCTCCTGCCGCAGCCTCTCAACTGCTGACCTCAACTGATCTGCCCACCTCGGCCTCCCAAAGTGCTGAGATTACAGGCTTGAGCCACCACACCCAGCCTGCAACTTGTTATTCTGAGTCAACATTATTTCCGAAATCCTCTATATCGTATGATACATGTAGATCCAGTTGATTCATGCTCGTTGATTATTAGATTCCATTATATGACTACACTGAAATTTTCTATCCAAACTCTCGTTGATAAACATTTAGGCTGCTTTTTAATGTTTTCCTTTAATACATTCCTTCTCTGGATAGTCATCTGTGAGTCATCTTGTATGCAGGTTTGAGTTTCTCTAGAGAATGTATCTATAATTGAAACAAATTATGAATTGATGCTTCAGAGTATCACAACCATCAGCTTTACCAGATATGGTCAAATTGCTCTCCAGAATGATTGGACCAGTTTACTGTCCCACCACATTCTCAACATCATTTGCATTGTCAGACTTTAAAACGTTTGTCAATTACGTAGATTGAAAATGGTATGTACTTATTGTTTCAATTAACATTTCTCTGATTACTGGTAAAGTTCATCATCTTTTCTTACACTTACTGGCTTCTTAGATTTTCTCCTGTTTTCTGTTGGATTACGTACTTTTTTTGTCCTATTGATTTATTGGACTTATTCATACTTTTTGTTTTTTTTAATAGAGACAAGGTTTCACTTTGTTGTCCAGTCTGGTATCAAACTCCTGGCCTTAAGCAATCCTCCAGCATCGGCCTCCCAAAGAGCTGGGATTACAGGTGTGAACCACAGCAACCAGCCAGAATTCTTTTATATTCTGGATATTGATCCTTTGTCAGAAATACACATTGCATATATCATTTCCCAGTCTTTGGCAAGGCTTTTAGTTTATTTATGGTATCTTTGAGGTACTGAAAGTTAAATTTTAATATGATTGAATTTGTTAATTTTTTTGAAATCTTTAAAGGCTTCCTTTTTATGTGCTTTCCTGTTTCTGGATTACAAAGAATTCTGTACTTGTAAAATTTTTAAAATATTGATTTTAATACTTAGATCTTTATTCCATCAACAAGTTTTTCCTTTGTTGTATGATATGAGGATCCAGTATTTTTTTTTTTTTTCAATAGAGACAGGGTCTTTCTATATTGGCCAGGCTGGTCTTGAACTCCTGGCCTCAAGCCATCCTCCTGCCTCAGTCTCCCAAAGTGCTTGGATTACAGGCATGAGACACTGTGCCTGGCTAAGATTGAGTATTTTTTCTTCAGTTGTCCCAGTACTATTAATAGTCTGTCCTTTTCCCAATGAGTTGTAATGCCAAATTCCCCATACCCTTGCAATACCAAGTTCCAGTATTGGAACTTGGGTCCAATTTCTGGGCACACTATTCTGTTCCAGTGGTGGGTTTGTTTGTTTTTTTTCCCATTGCTGTTGAAATATTACAGTGACTTTAAGAAGTCTTAAAATCTGTCAACTTCCATACACCTTGTTTTTCTTCTTCAAAATCATTTTGGCTACTCTATGAGACAGTTGGGAAATGTGAATCAGGAAAATTTGAATAGGAACTAGATATTAGATGCTACTGTGGCATTATTGTTAATTTTGTTAGGTGTCAAAATGGCATGGTTATGTAAGAATGTCTGTATTTTAGAGATGCTTACTTAAGTACGTTGGAGTGAAATGACATGAAGTCTGGGGTTTTAAAATATTTTAGGCAACAAAAAGGAGAGGTTGGATGAATGAAGTAAGTGTGGCAAAATATTGGTCACTGTTGAATCTGGGTGATGGAGTAGAGGGCTTTATGAAATTACTCTATTTTTTATTATGTGGGAAAATGTTAAGAATTTTAAAATCAACTGTTCTTAGCTCCTTCCTTTTTTGAGACGGAGTCTCCCTCTGTCGCCAGGCTGGAGTGCAATGGCGCGATCTCGGCTCACTGCAACCCCCGCCTCCCAGGTTCAAGCAGTTCTCCTGCCTCAGCCTCCCGAGTAGCTGGGATTACAGACACATGCCACCACACCCAGCTAATTTTTTGTATTTTTAGTAGAGACGGGGTTTCCATGTTGACCAGGATGGTCTCTATCTCCTGACCTCAAGTGATCTGCCTGCCTTGGCCTCCCAAAGTGCTGGGATTACAGGTGTGAGCCACCGCACCTGGCCTCTTTTATTTTTGAATGGTACTCTTTGTGTATATGCACCACATTTTCTTTATTCATTCATTTGTTGACAGACGCATAGATTGCCTCCAAATCTTGGCTATTCTGAATAGTGCTGCAATAAACATGGGAGTTCAGATATCTCTTGGACATACAGATTCTGTTGGCATATATACATAGCAATGGAATTGCTAGATCAAATGATAGTTCTATTTTTAGTTTTTTGAGGAACCTCCAAACTGTCCTCCATAGTGGTTGTACTAATTTACATTCCCACCAACAATGTACCTAGGGTTCCCTTTTCTCCACATCCCTCACCAGGATTCATCCTTATCTTTTGGATAAAAGCCATTTAAACTTAGGTGAGATGCTCTCTCATTGTAGGTTTTTTCTTTTTTTTTTTTTTTTTTTTTTTTGAGACGGAGTCTTGCTCTGTCACCCAGGCTGGAGTGCAGTGGCGCAATCTCGGTTTACTGCAACCTCCGCCTCCTGGGTTCAAGCAATTCTCCTGCCTCAGCCTCCTGAGTAGCTGGGATTACAGGTGCACACTGCATCACCACACCCGGCTAATTTTTGTATTTTTAGTAGAGACGTGGTTTCACCTTGTTGGCCAGGCTGGTCTCGAACTCCTGACCACGTGATCCGCCTGCCTCAGCCTCCCAAAGTGCTGGGATTACAGACATGAGCCAACGGGCCCGGCCCTCATTGTAGTTTTCATTTGCATTTTTCTGATGCTCAGTGATGTTGGCACCTTTTCTTATGCTGTCTGCCATTTGTATGTCTTCTTTTGAGAAATACCTACTCAGATCTTTCGCCCATTTTTAAATTGGATTATTAGATTTTTTTCATATAGAGTTGTTTGAGCTTCTTATATATTCTGGATATTAATCTCTTATCAGATGGATAGTTTGCAAATATTTTCTCTCATTCTGTGGGTTTTCTCTTCACTGTGTTGTTTCCTTTGCTCTGCAGAAGCATCTTAACTTGATGTGATCCCATTTGTCCATTTTTGCATTGGTTGCCTGTGCTTGTGGGGTATTACTCTAGAACTCTACCCAGTCCAATGTTCTGGAGAGGTTTTCCACTGTTTTCTTTTAGTAGTTTCATAGTTTGAAGTCTTCAACTTAAGTCTTTAATCCATTTTGATTTGATTTTTGTATATGATGAGAGATATGGGTCTAGTTTCATTCTTCTGCATATGGATATCCAATTTTCCCAGCACCACTTATTTATTTTGTTTGCAACAAAGAAAGAGTTTAATTGTCACAGGGCCAACCAAGTGAGGAAGACAGTAGATAATTCTCAAATCTGCCTCCCTGAGAATTCGGGGGCTAGGGTTTTTCAAGGATAGTTTGGTAGGCAGTGGGCTAAGGAATGGGGAATGCTGATTGGTTGGGTCTTGGATAAAATTGTAGAGAGTTGAAACTGTCTTCTTGCCCTGACTCAGTTCCTAAGTAGTGGTCACAGAACCAGTTGAGTCAGTTTCTTCATATGGGCTCCTGGTCCAAGTGGCACCAGTTGGTCCATCAAAATGCAAGGTCTGAAAGATACCCCAACCACCAGTTTTACGTTTTACAATAGTGATGTTATCTATAGGAGCAATTGTGGAGGTTGCAAAATTCTTGTTACTTTTGGCTACATAACTCCTAAACAATAATTCTAACCTCGTGTAATTTTACAAAGATGCTTTTAGTCTCTGAGCAAGGAGTGGGTTAATTTTGGGAAAGGACTGTTAATCATCTTTGTTTTAAAGCTAAACTTTAAACTGAATTTCTCCCATAGTTAGCATTGCCAACACTCAGGAATGAGCAAAGAGCTTGTGAGATTAAAAGCAAAGATAGGGCCAGGCGCAGTGGCTCATGTCTGTAATCCCAGCACTTTGGGAGGCGGAGGCAGGCGGATCACCTGAGGTTGGGAGTTTGAGACCAGCCTGACCAACATGGGGAAACCCTGTCTCTACTAAAAATACAAAATTATCCGGGCGTGGTGGTGCATGCCTGTAATTCCAGCTACTCTGCAGGCTGAGGCAGGAGAATTGCTTGAACCCAGGAGGTGGAGGTTGCAGTAAGCTGAGATTGCACCTTTGCACTCCAGCCTGGGCAACAAGAGCAAAAACTGTGTCTCAAAAAAAAAGCAAAGATGGAGTCAGCTATATCACGTTTTACTCACTGTTGTAATTTTTGCAAAGGTGGTTTCAAAAATATGCCTTTTTGGCATGTTGATTGTTGTGAGCTGGTTATCCTGAGAAACTGCAGATACAGGAGTAGTTCTGAAAAGTTGCCCTTTTTTAAGGGAAGTGTACGTTTGTAAAGGAGTATCTCTTTGACAGGGTGTCTCCCTCTCTGCACCAGGAAGAGAAGAAAGACTAGAAAGACTAAATCTCTAGAGACTGTCAATGCAGAAGGCATCAACTTAAGTCTGTACAGCAAACCTAACCTCTGCTTAAGGCACAGCACCATTTATTGAAGAAACTGTCTTTTCCTCATTGTATGTTATTGGCACCATTGTTGAAAATGAGTTTGCTGTAGATGTATGGATTTTTTTCTGGGTTCTCTATTCTGTTCCATTGGTCTGTGTGTCTGTTTTTATGCCAATATCATGCTGTTTTGGTTATTATAGCTTTGTTGTATGAAGTCGGGTAATGTGATTCCTCCCTTTTGTTCTTTTTTCTTAGGATAGCTTTGGCTATTCTGGGTCTTTGTGGTTCTACACAAATTTTAGGATTGTTTTTCCTATTTCCATGACGAATGTCATTGGTATATTGATAGAGATTACATTGAATCTATAGATTGCTTTAGGTTGTATGGACATTTTAACAATATTGATTCTTCCAATCCATGAATATGAATTATCTTTCCATTTTTTTGGTGTGTTGTCTTCAATTTCTTTCACCAATGATAGTTGTTTTTTTTTTTTTTTTTTTTTTTTGAGATGGAGTCTCGCACTGTTGCCTGGGCTGGAGTTCAATGGTGCAATCTCAGCTCACTGCAACCTGTGCCTCCCGGGTTTGCGCCATTCTCCTGCCTCAGCTTCCTGAGTACCTGGGATTACAGGCGCATACCACCACAGCTGGCTAATTTTTTGTATTTTTAGTAGAGACGGGGTTTCACTATGTTGGCCAGACTAGTCTTGAACTCCTGACCTCGTGATCCGCCTGCCTTGGCCTCCCAAAATGCGGGGATTACAGGCGTGAGCCACCATACCCGTTCAGTAGTTTTTATTTTAGAGATCTTTCACTTAATTTGGTTAATTCCTAGATATTTAATTTTATTTGTAGCTGTTGTGAATGGGATTACTTTCTTGATTTCTTTTTCAGATTGTTCACTGTGGGCATATAGCAGGGCTACTGATTTTTGTATGTTGATTTTTGTATCCTGCAACTTTTGTGAATTATCAGTTCTAGTCGTTTTTTGGTGGAGTCTTTAGGTTTTCCCAAATATAAGATCATATTGTCACCAGGTGTGGTGGCTCATGCCTGTAATACCAGCACTTTAGGAGGCCGAGGTGGGCGGATCACCTGACCAACATGGAGAAACCTCGTCTCTACTAAAAGTACAAAAAAAATTAGCCAGGCATGATGGCGCATGCCTGTAATCCCAGCTACTTGGGAGGCTGAGGAGGGAGAATTGCTTGAACCTGGGCGGTGGAGGTTGTGGTGAGCCAAGATCACACCATTGCACTCCAGCCTGGGCAACAAGAGCAAAACTCCGTCTCAAAAAAAAAAAAAAAAAAAAAGATCATATCGTCTACAAACAAGAAGAATTTCACTTCTTTGCTTGCTCTTGCTAGGACTTCCAGTACTATATTGAATAACAGTGGTGAAAGTGGGCATTCTTGGTGTGTTCAAGCTCTTAAAGGAAATCAGTTTTTCCCCATTCTGTATACTGACCATGGGTCTGTAGTATATGGCTTTTATTATGTTGAGATATGTTCTTCTATACCCAGTTTTTTAAGAGTTTTTATCATGAAGGGATGTTAGATTTTATCAAATGCTTTTTCAGCATCAATTGAAATGATTATATAGTTTCTGTCCTTCATTTGTTGATATTACATATCACGTTGATTGATTATAGCATATGTTGAACCATCCTTGCATCCCCAGGATAAATCCCACTTGGTCATGATGATCTTTTTACGTATTGTTGAATTCAGTTTGCTAGTATTTTTTGAGGATTTTTACATGAATGTACATCAGGATATTGGCCTGTAGTTTTCTTACTTTGATGTGTCTTTGTCTGATTTTGGTATCAGGGTAATACTGGCCCCATAGAATGAGTTTGGAAGTATTTACTTCTCTGTTTTTTTGGAATAGTTTGAGTAGTATTGGTATTAGCCCCCTCCCCTCCCCCGTCCTCCCTCCTTTTCCCCTCCCTTCCCCCTCCCCTTCCCCCTCCCCTTCCCCTCCCTTACCCTACCCTCTTATTTTTTTAATTTTTTTTTTCTCGCTCTATCGCCTACCCAGGCCCTGGAGTGCAGTGGCGTCATCTCAGCTCATTGCAACCTCCACCTCCTGGGTTCAAGTATTCTCCTGCCTCAGCCTCCCAAGTAGCTGGGATTACAGGCATGCACCACCACGCCTGGCTACTTTTTATATTTTTAGTAGCGATGGGGTTTCACTATATTGCCCAGGCTGGTCTCGAACTCCTGACCTCAAGTGATCGGCCTGCCTCAGCCTCCTAAAGTGCTGGGATAGCCACTGTGCCCAGCCTAGCCCTTCTTCAAATGTTTGGTAAAATTCAGCATTGAAGCCATCAGGTCTTGGGCTTTTTGCTGGGAGATTTTTTATTATGGCATCAATCTCATTACTTGTTACTGGCCTGTTTAGGTTTTCAGTTTTTTCATGGTTCAATCTTGGTAGGTTGTTTGTGTCTAGGAATGTATCTGTTTCTTCTAGGTTTTCCAGTTTCTTGGCGTATAGTTACTCATAGTAGCCACTAATTATCCTTTGGATTTCTGCGGTATTGGTTGTAGTGTCCCCTTTTTTCACATCTGTTTTTATTTATTTGCATCTTCTCTCCTTTTCTTTTAGTCTAAAGGTTGGGTAAGTTTTTTAGTGGTCAGGGTTTTTATTGGGACTGGTCATGCAGGCATTTTCTGCCTGGCATGTACCAAAAATCCAGACTTAATCATGGCGAAAGGTGAAAGGGAAGCAAGGCACCTCTTATGGTGGCAGGAGAGATTTTTTTTTCTAGAGCAGGAGTGGAAGTTTGTTTGTTTGTTTGTTTGTTTTTTGAGATGGAGTCTCGCTCTGTCGCCAGGCTGGGAGTGCAGTGGCGCGATCTTGGCTCACTGCAATCTCCGCCTCCCAGGTTCAAGTGATTCTCCTGCCTCAGCCTCCTGAGTAGCTGGGATTACAGGCGCATGCCACCACGCCTGGCCGATGTTTGTATTTTTAGTAGAGATGGGGTTTCACCATGTTGGCCAGGATGGTCTCGATCTTCTGACCTCGTGATCTGCCCGCCTCCGCCTTCCAAAGTCCTGGGATTACAGGTGTGAGCCACCGCACCCGGCCAGAAGTTTATTAAAAAGCTCTAGAAGAGTAGGAAAGAAATGAAAGTGCACTTGGGAGAGATCCAAGTGGGCAACTTGAAGAACATGTGTCCAATTTTGATGGTCTTTTCAAAACACCAACTTGTTATTTTGTTGATCTTTTGTATTTTTTTGTTTCAATTTCATTTATTTCTGCTCTGATTTTTATTATTTTCTTCTAACTTTGGGATTGGTTTGCTCCTGCTTTTCTAGTTCTTTAAGATGCATCATTGTTTATTTGAAGGTTTTGTTTTTGGTTTTTTTTTTTCATGTAGGCAGTTACAGCTATAAACTTCCCTCTGAGTACTGCTTTCCCCGTATCCCAAGGTTTTTGGTATGTTGTGTTTCCGTTATAATTTCTTTGAAGAAATTTTTCAATTTTCTTCTTCATCTGTCCATTGACCCACTGGTCATTCAGGAGTGTATTGGTTAATTTTCGTGTATTACATAGTTTCCAAAATTCCTCTTGTTATTGATTTCTGGTTTTATCCCATTGTGGTCAGAAAAGATATTTGATATGGTTTCAGTTTTTTGGAATGTTTTAAGACTTGTTTTGTGGCCTAACATATGGTCTGTCCTTGAGAATCATTCATTTGCTGAGGAGAAGAATGTTTAATCTACAGCCATTGGATGACATTTTCTATAAATATCTATTAGGTCCATGTGGTCTGTAGTGCGGATTAAGTCCAATGTGTCTTTGTTGGTTTTCTGCATTGATCTGTCCAATGGTGAAAGTGGGGGTGTTGAAGCCTCCACCTATTATTGTATGGGGTCTGCCTCTTTAGTGCTAAAAATATTTTATATATCTGAGTGCTCCATTGTTGGGTGCATATATATTTTCAATTTTTATATCCTCTTACTGAATTGACGCCTTTATCATTATATAGTGACTTTGTCTTATTTTACAGTTTTTGCTTGAAATCTATTTTATTTAATATAACTACTCCTGTTCTTTTTTGGTTTCCATTGGCAGTGAATATCTTTTTTCCATGTCTTTCAGTCTGTGTGTGTCTGTATAGTTAAAGTGTGCTTCTTGTAGGCAACAGATCTTTGGGGCTTCTTTTTTTTTTTTATCCATTCAGTCACTCTGTGTCTTATGATTGAAGCGTTTAGCCCATTTATATTCAGTGATATTATTGATAAGAACTTTTATTCCTGCCATTTTCTTACTTGTTTTCTGGTTGTTTTGTGGTCTTTCCTTCCTTCTGTCCTTTCTTCCTGTCTTCCTTGTAGTAAAGGTGATTTTCTCTGGTGGTATGTTTTAATTTCTTAATTTTTATTTTTTTGTGTATCTATTGTTATGTTTTTAGATTTGAGGTTACATGAGGCTTGCAAATAATATAACCCATTATTTTAAACTGATGACAACACTGATTACATAAACAAACCAACAAGCAAAAAGAAAACTAATAAAACTCTGCGTTTTAACTTTGTCTCCCCACTTTGTTGTACTGTCTTGAAAAATTGTTATTGTTTTTGATTGGTTCATTTTTTATCTTTCTGCTGGATATGAGTAGTTTACATACCACAATTACAGTGTTATAATATTATGTGTTTTTCTGTGTACTTACTATTACCAGTGAGTTTTGTACCTTCAGATGATTTCATATTGCTCATTAACGTCTTTTCTTTCTGATTGAAGAACTCCCTTTAGCATTTCTTGTAGGACAGGCCTGGTGTTTATAAAATCTCTCAGCTTTTGTTTGTCTGGGAAAGTCTTTATTTCTCCTTCCTGTTTGAAGGATAATTTTGCTGAATATACTATTCTAGGTTAAAAGTTATTTTCCTTCAGCACTTTATATCATGCCAGTCTCTCCTGTCCTGTAAAGTTTCTACTGAAAAGTCTGCTGCCAGATATATTGGGGGCTCCATTATATGTTACTGGTTTCTTTTTTCTTCTTGCTGCTTTTAGGATCCTTTCTTTTTCTTTTCTTTTTTTTCTTTTTGAGACGGAGTTTCATTCTTGTTTCCCAGGCTGGAGTGTGGAGTGCAATGGCATGTCGTTGGCTCACCGCAACCTCCTCCTCCCGGGTTCAAGCGATTCTCCTGCCTCAGCCTTCCCAAGTAGCTGGGATTATAGTCATGTGCCACCACGCCCAGCTAATTTTGTATTTTTAGTAGAGACGGGGTTTCTCCATGTTGGTCAGGCTGGTCTTGAATTCCCTACCTCAGGTGACCCACCCTCCTCGGCCTCCCAAAGTGCTGGAATTACAGGTGTGAGCCACAGTGCCTGGCCTAGGATCCTTTCTTATTCCTTGACTTTTAGAGTTTGATTATTAAATATGTTGAGGTAGTCTTCTTTGAGTTAAACCTGCTTGGTATTCTATAACCTTCTTTTCTTTTTTTTTTTCTTTTTTTTTTTTTTTTTGGAGACGGAGTCTTGTTTTTCTTGCCCAGGCTGGAGTGCAGTGGCACAGTCTTGGCTCACTGCAACCTCTGCCTCCTGGGTTCAAGTGATTCTCCTGCCTTAGCCTCCTGAGTAGCTGGGATTACCAGCGTGAGCCACCGTCCCCAGGTCCCAGTGTTCCATAACTTTCTTGTACTTGAATATTGGTACCTATTTCTGCATTTGGGAAGTTTCCCGTTATCCCTTTGAATTAACTTTCTTCTTTGCCTCTCTCTCTCTACCTCCTTTTTAAGGCCCAAAACACTTAGATTTGCCCTTTTGAGCCTGTCTTCTAGATCTTGTAGGCACGTCTCATTTCTTTATTTTTTTTCTTTTGTCTCCTCTGTTTTCAAATAGCCTGTCTTCAAGCTCATTAATTCTGCCTTCTGCTTTATCAATTCTGCTATTAAAAGGCTGATGCGGCTGGACACAGTGGCTCATGCCTGTAATCCCAGCACTTTGGGAGGCCGAGGTGGGTGGATCACTTGAGCTCAGGAGTTTGAGACCAGCCTGGGAGACATGGTGAAACCCCATCTCTACAGAATATAGAAAAATTAGCTTGACATGGTGGTTTGTGCCTGTGGTCCCAGCTTCTTGGGGGGGTCTGAGTGGAGAGGATGGCTTTAGCCTGGGAGGCGGAGGTTGCAGTGAGCCGAGATTGCACCACTGCACTCCAGCTTGGGTGACAGAGTGACAGAGCAAGACTCTGTTTCAAAAAAGGGAAAAAAGTGTGGGTATGGTGGCTGACACTAGTAATCCCAGCACTTTGGGAGGCCACGGTGGGTGGATCATTTAGGTCAGGAGTTCGAGACCAGCCTGACCAACATGGTGAAGCCTCGTCTCTACTAAAAATACAAAATTAGCTGGGCATGGTGGTTCATGCCTGTAATTCCAGCTACCTGGGAGGCTAAGGCAGAAGAATTGCTTGAACCCAGGAGGCAGAGGTTGCAGTGAGCTGAGATTGTGCCATTGCACTCCAGCCTGGGCAACAAGAGCAAAACTCCGTCTCCAAAAAACAAAGACTGATGCATTCTTGAGTATGTCACTTGCATCTTTCCACTCCAGAATTTCTGCTTAATTCTTTTTAATTCTTTCAAGTATTTGTTGAATTTACCTGATAGGATTCTGAATTCCTTCTCTGTGTTATCTTGAATTTCTTTGAGTTTTCTGAAAACAGCTATTTCGAATTCTCTGACTAAAAGGTCACATATCTTTCTCTGCAGGATTGACCCTTAGTGCCTAATTTAGTTCATTTGGTGAGGGTATGTTTTCCTGGATGGCCTTAATGCTTGTGAGTGTTCACTGCCATCTGTACATTGAAGAGTCAGGTATTTATTATAGTCTTCACAGTCTGGACTTGTTTGTACCATTCTTATTGGAAGGTATTCCAAGTATTCAAAGGGAATAGAGTGTTGCAATCTATGTCTTTGGTCACTGTAATCGTATCTGCATTAGGGGGTACCCCGAACCCAGTAATGCTGTAGTTCTTATAGACTTATAGAGGTACCATCTTGGTGGTCTTGGATAAGGTCCAGAATTCTCTGTATTACCAGACTCTGTATTACCATTCTTTCTTCCCCTTTCTTCAGGCAGAGGAGTTGCTCCTGTGTCCATCAGCACCACAGGCCCATGAAGAGGGGATTATTGCCAGGGTACCACCAGTGTTCACTTAAGGCCCAGGGCTCCTCAGTCAGCTTATGCTGGATGCTGCCAGGCCTGGGACTCATCTTCAGGGTAGTGGGTTCCCCTCTGTTCCAGGGGTAGGTCCAGAAATGCCATCCAAGAGCCAAGGCCTGGATTCATGGACCCTAGTAGCCCACCTGGTGCTCTTCCCCAGGGCAACCAAGCTGGTCCCTAAGCTGCAAGACAGAATCTCCTTTACTCTTCCCTCTCATTTTCTCAAACAGGAGTCTCTGCTGGTAGCCACTACAGCTGTGAATGTGCTGTGTCATACCTGAAGCCAATATGTCTCGGAGTTTCACCTGAGGCCCATGGTGAGGCCCTGGTTACCACTGCTGATTATTCAGGGCCCAGGGGCTCTATAGTGAGCAAATCATGAATCCTAAATGGTCTACTTTAAGAAATTCTGTGGGTTTTTTTGTTTGTTAGAAGTAGAATCGCCTGTTCTGTTGCCCAGGCTGGAATGCAGTGGTGCAATCATAGCTCACTGCAGCCTCGAACTCCTGGGCTCAAGCAATCCTCCCACTTCAGCCTTCCAAGTAGATGGAACTACAGGCACATGCAACCATGCCCCGGTAACTTTTTTTTTTTTTTTTTCGAGACAGAGTCTCGCTCTGTCACCCAGGCTGGAGTGCAGTGGCACGATCTCGGCTCACTGCAAGCTCCGCCTCCTGGGTTCAAGCGATTCTTCTGCCTCAGCCTCCCAAGTAGCTGGGACTACAGGCGTGTGCCACCATGCCTGGCTAATTTCTGTATTTTTTTAATAGAGACGGGGTTTCACCATATTGTCCAGGCTGGTCTTGAACTCCTGACCTCGTGATCCACCTGCCTCGGCCTCCCAAAGTGCTGGGATTACAGGCATGAGCCGCCGCACCCAGCCAATGCCCCAGTAACTTTTTACATTTTTTGTAGAGACGGGGTCTTGCTATGTTGCCCAGACTGATCTTTAACTCCTGTACTCAAGCAATCCTCCTACCCAGGCCTCCCAAAATACTGGGATTGCAGGCATGAGCCACTTGTGTTTTTGTTTTTTTGTTTGTTTGAGACAGTCTCTCTCTGTTGCCTAGGCTGGAGTACAGCAGTGTGATCATGGCTCACTGTAGCCTGGGCTCAAGCAATCCTCCTGCTTCAGCCTCCTGAGTACTTGGGACTGTAGGCACGTGCCACCACTCCTGGCTAATTTTTAAAAATGTTGAGTAGACACAAGGTCTTGCTATGTTGCCCAGGCTGGTCTTAAACTCCTGGGATCAAGCGATCCTCCCACCTTGGCCTGTCAAAGTGTTGGAATTTACAAGTGTGAGCCACTACACCCCGCCAGTCTTTTCTTGATTACTGACAGTTTTCTAAAAAGCAGTGAGAGAATGTTCTTTACCCAGGTAATTTATTTTGTGTAAGACTAAACCTGTTAATGTAATTTGTTATGTTTATTCAGAGTAACAACATTTTAACCATCACAATTTGTAATTTTGCTTTTTGAAAAATGTGGTGTCTAAGAGCATATTATTGGGCTTATTACCAACTCTACAGCATGTTATTTTCTGTATCTTTCCTCCCAAGTAGCCTAATTTGAAGTTACGTATTTATTTTTAATCAGGGTACCCTTAGTTATTTGGTCCACATTGAACCTTGAAAAGGTAAAATAGATTTTTCTTAATTTTATTATTTGAATGTGTAGTTCAGAAACTTAAGGGACAAGGGTAGGTATTTGATTCTCTCTTATATTGTTAATTTTATCTTTCTGATCATGATTCCTACTCTCTTTTTGCCTAGTAGGTACATATTGGTTGCTAATTGTTTTTTTTTCTGTGGCGAAGTATTTGAAGTATTTACACATTATTCATTGATTCTAAATAATTTAACACATTTTTAATATATTTGGGTTTTTTTCCGTTTCTACCAGATCAAACTTGGACATAGATCAGAAGCTAAAGATGGTAAGTATTTCATGTAATCTGACAGATAGGAAAAGTTTTCTCCTTTTTTTTTTTTTTTTTTTTTTTTTTTTTTAAAAAGACAGGGTCTTGCTCTGTCACCCAGGCTGGAGTACTGAGACACAATCGTAGCTCACTGCAGCCTCAAACTTAGGTACTCAAGCAGTTCTCCCACCTCAGCCTCTTGAGTAGCTAGGGCTGTAAACATGTGCCACCACTTGTGGTTAATGTTTTATTTTTTGTAGAGATGAGGTCTGGCTGTGTTGCTCAGGCTTCTCTCAAACTCCTGGCCTCAAGCTATCCTCCCACCTCGGCCTCCCAAAGTGCTGGGATTACAGGCTTGAGCCACCATGCCCAGCATAAAGTTTTCATTCTCACTGAAGAAACGAGCAAAGTATGAATTAATAAGTTAGTAATGGTTCTGGATAGAGTTACTGCAGGGTCCCCGAAGAGTAAAGATAGACTCAGCATAGAGAAGGAGTATTTGGTGATTTTTACTTACTGGATATTCAGAGAAACATTCCAAATCACCCACATAAATGGAAGGCAGCAAGCTTAATTAGTTTGTCTTTCTGTCTTCATTACTGTTTTAGGTGTTACAAGCCATTGTTTTTTCTGTTTCTGAGTTTCTAATTACTTTGAAAATTCAGGATACATTTTCATGAAAGTACATAAAGCTTACTATGGAATAGATACATGAGGAAATTATTTCATTAAACTTTCTTCCAAAGTCTTATTTATTAGGATTCATCATAAAATAGCTCTTACAAAAGAGACCCATTGTCTGTGTAAGTGCCAATACTATATCTTATTTTTATTTTGTTTATTTTTTTTGAGACAGAGTCATGCTCTGTTGCCCAGGCTGGAGTGCAGTATCGCAATCTCGGCTCACTGCAACCTCTACCTCCCGGGTTCAAGCGATTCTCCTGCCTCAGCTTCCTGAGTAGCTAGGATTACAGGTGCACACCACCATGCCCAGCCAATTTTTTGTATTTTTAGTAGAGATGGGGTTTTGCCACCTTGGCCAGGCTGGTCTCGATCTCCTGGCCTCAAGTGATCTGCCCACCTAGGCCTCCCAAAGTGCTGGGATTACGAGCCACCGCGCCCGGCCTGTATCTAATTTTTAATTTTGAAATCTGTCATTTGTATTGGAAAATATACTATCTTATCACTAGTTTGCTTTTAGCACAAACAATATGCCACTAATATTTGTAGGGCAAGAGTAGGGAAGCTTATCACCTATATGCTGCACACTTATATATGTTGTTAGTCTAGTAGTGGTGTTCAGATCCTGGTATAGATAAGGTGAAATATTTTTCACCATTTGTCGTAGTCTTTGTTAAGCTATTTTAAAAGTAAAGCAATATTGGCCTGGTGCCATGGCTTACGCCTGTAATCCCAGCACTTTGGGAGGGTGAGGTGGGTAGATCGCCTGAGCTCAGGAGTTCGAAACCAGCCTGGCCAATATGGCAAAACCCCATCTCTAACGAAAATACAAAAAATTAGCCAGGCGTGGAGGTGCACACCTGTGGTCCCAGCTACTCGGGAGGCTGAGGTGGGAAAATTACTTGAGTCTGGGAGGTGGAGGCTGCTGTGAGCCGAGATCATGCCACTGCACTCCAACCTGGCTGACAGGGTGAAACCCCATCTCAAAAAAAATAAATAAATAAAAATAAAGCAATGTAAAAGAACAACAGATTTGACATAAAAATTGTCAAAGTAGCCCTTATTTTTGTGGGTAATGTTCACTATTTTCTGAGATTACTAACCTTTCTTTAAAAATATGTGTTTGTGGCTGGGTGTGGTGGCTCACGCCTGTAATCCCAGCACTTCAGGAGGCCAAAGCGGGTGGATCACGAGGTCAGGAGTTGGAGACCAGCCTGATGAACATGGTGAAACCCCGCCTTTACTAAAAATACAAAAATTAGCCGGGCGTGGTGGCGCGTGCCTGTAATCCCTGCTACTCTGGAGGCTGAGGCAGGAGAATTGCTTGAACCCGGGAAGCAGAGGTTGCAGTGAGCCGAGATCACGCCACTACACTCTAGCCTGGGCGACAGAGCGAGACTCCATCTCAAAAAAAAAAAAAAAAAAGAAGTGTTTGTAAGGTTTGAGATTTCAGAATTATTCACTTTTTGCTTTGCCTTTTTATATAGGTATAAATAGAACCGCCTTAAGAGAGATAAAATTATTACAGGAGCTAAGTCATCCAAATATAATTGGTGTGAGTATGATCAAAACTGTTACTGGGATTTGGGACTCTGCCTTTTCTTAATATAATGGATGTTGATTAAAGGCTCAGCAAGATGACTTGTTCTGGATGAGCCTTGTAGAAGCTTAAAGGAAATACATTTTCTATCCCAGTTGTTTTGGTAGGCATTGTCTTCAAAACTATACCACTGATTAAATAAATGAAATATTGACATGTAGGCTAATTTTGTCGGAAATAATTTTGAAGTCTAGGGAGCTCTAGCATGTAGTGGCTGAGAGTGTCAACCTGAATTCAAAACCTTTCTTTCTGCCTGTGTGAGACCTTGAGTGTGTTCACTCACAACTCCCCAGAGTCCCTGCCTCATAGGGAAGTTGTGAGACTAGCCAATTGAATAGATGTAAAGTATCTGGAATAGTGCCTACCATAGAAAATGTATTCATTCATTCAATGATAGCTGCTGTTATTTAGAGGATTTCTTAAGAATCACATTTGGGACTTTTCTTTTGAATTGGAGACTGGAATGAGGTTTTCATTGGTTAATTTCTTAATTCTAACTCCAAATATTTGGGGAAAGAGGTTGGGTATTTTTTTAAGTAAAATTTAATATTTTTATGCTTCAAAATACTAATTCCTTTAGTACTGTCCAAAAAAGGACAAATGTCAAATTTAATCAAATGATTTAAGCTTTATAGGGAATTACCAACAGTTTAAATGCTTTTTAAATTTTTAAAAATTGCCTCAGTTGCTATGATACTGTCAGGTATTAAATAGTGAATCACATTTTAATTTTTTAACTTTGCAGCTCCTTGATGCTTTTGGACATAAATCTAATATTAGCCTTGTCTTTGATTTTATGGAAACTGATCTAGAGGTAAGATTAAGATTCCTGGAGAAATTCCTTTGTCCCAGTTTATCAAACAAGAACCTAAATATTTGTTTTCTACCCAAGAAGATACTGGTAGTAAAAGAAAAAAAGCTTAATTTTGTTGAAATTTGGATGTACTCTGAGGCAAAAGGATCTCTAGTTATTTTCTTCTAATCATTTAGTGATATCCCCAGTGTTACATACAAAGATTTGGATTTCATTGGCATTTCTGCCTTCTAAGTTCCCATAGCTAGTTGACGTCATTTTTGGAGAAATGAGCATTAGACCTATAAGATTTGTTTGCTTTTTTTTTTTTTTGTGATGGAGTCTCAGTCTGTTCACCCAGCCTGGAGTGCAATGGCGTGATCTCGGCTCTCTGCAGCCATCACCTCCTGGGTTCCAGTGATTCTCTCACTTCAGCCTCCCAAGTAGCTGGGATTACAGGTGCCACCACGCCCGGCTAAATTTTATATTTTAAGTAGAGACGGGGTGTCACCATGTTGGCCAGGCTGGTCTTGAACTCCTGACCTCAAGTGATCTGCCTGCCTCAGCCTCCCAAAGTGCTAGGATTACAGGCATGAGTCACCATGCCTAGCAACCTATAAGAATTTAAAATTTATTTCTGGCCAGTGCAGTGACTCACGCCTGTAATCTCAGCACTTTGAGAGGCCAAGGCAAGAGGATTGCTTAAGCCCAGGAGTTCAAGACCAGCCTGGACCCCATAGATCCTGTCTCAGCTTTACAAATTATATTAAAAAATAAAGAAACTTATTTCCATATAATCAGAGTAATGTCATTCTTTTGAAAGCCAAGTTTTTTTGTTTGTTTTTGTTTTTGTTTTGTTTTTTTGAGACAGAGTCTTGCTTTGTTACCCGTGCTGGAGTACAGTGGCGCGATCTCAACTCACTGCAACCTCTGCCTCCCAGGTTCAAGCAATTCTTGTGCCTCAGCCTCCTGAGTAGCTGGGATTACAAGCGCCCATCACCATGCCCAGCTAAAATAGAGATGGGGTTTCACTATGTTGGACGGGATGGTTTCAAACTCTTGACCTCTGGCGATCTACCTGCCTGAGCCTCCCAAAGTGCTGGGATTATAAGCGTGAGCCACCATGCCCGGCCTCTTTCTTTTAGATAAATACCTAGCAGTGGTATTGCTAGATCACAAGATTATTGATTAGTGGTATCGATCACAATATTAGTGATGCTGTTATAGATCACAATACTAATGGTATTGATCCTGGAAGGACCTATCATAATAGGCTATGGACTCACCACTAGGCTATGGATTGCACCATTGCACTCCATCCTGGGTGACAGAGTGAGATTCCCATCTCGAAAAAAGAAAAAAAAAAGAAACAAAAACGTATGCCAGAATTCAGTTGGTACAGATGTTTGGCTTTATTAATAATTATCAAAACTGGAACAATCCAAACATCCCTCATTCTAACTGTACAAACAAACTGAAATACTACTCAGGAATAGAAACACACTATTGATAAATGCAGCAACATAGATGAATCTGAAATGCATTATACTAAGTGAAAGAAGCCAGGCTAAAAAGACTATGTATTGAACCATTTCATTTATATGATATTCTGGAAAAGGCAAAATGAAAGGAACCAGAAACCAGATCAGCGGTTATGGGGGCTTTGGGGTAAAGGAAAGGAGTAAGTACAGAGGGGCCTCAGGGAATTTGGGGAGGTTACGGAACTATGCTTTGATTATAGTGGTGGTTACATGACTGGATGCATTTGTCAAAACTCATGGAACTATACACTAAAAAGGGTATGCTTTACCTTAAATCTGATTTTAAAAAAAGAAAAGGGGAACTTTTAGTTCCTAACTGATAAATCTAGAATAAACTGACATTAGGCACAGCTCATAAATAATGCCATCAAAACTCAGTCTTACGCTTTAACTAAGCTCCATTTTCTTCTCTGTTGCATTCTTCATGTGTACAGTTCTCAATATGGTGTTCCAGATGCTTCTAGGTATATGTTTGTAGAGTTTAATAATACCTGAGGAACGAAAGTGCTTTCTTTTCTTTGATTCTAGCACAAGTACTTGGCCTGGTTGATTGACTTGTCTTGTATCCCTGAACCAATCACTTGGCCAGGAGACTGCAGTGTGATAATGGGGATGCCTGGGTCATGTGCCTACCTCTGGAGGCCTTAGGTTGACTCAGTCCTACCTTAACCATGTGGACTAAGCTGAGAAGAGATGGCTTCCCAAAGGAACACTAACTGCTATTGTCAGAAGATGCAAGCAGAAACAACAGGTGTTTGCTACTTTCATGCGAAAGCAGTAGAGGACAAAGCACTGCTTTCTTTTCAAACCAGAAATGCTCTCCCTACCCATCTAACTCTGGAGATTTTGACAGGGCTTCCTGAGGAAACTTAGATAACCTCTTTTGAGAGTCTCCTGTATTGATACTTACATTTTAAGTCTGTAAATTGTTTTATGTGGTAGAGTTTATTTGAAATAATAAAGGGTACCTGTATATTGTATACTTGCTTTACAGGTTATAATAAAGGATAATAGTCTTGTGCTGACACCATCACACATCAAAGCCTACATGTTGATGACTCTTCAAGGATTAGAATATTTACATCAACATTGGATCCTACATAGGGTAAGGTTTTTAATATTGCTTCTTTATACTAGTCAAGTTTTATATAGCCAATTTGGTACATAGTGGTCTGAATATGTAAATTGTTTAACAATGAATTTATAGCTGACTGTTTTATCCCATCTTTTTGCTATATATTATTCCCTTCACTTGTTCCAGCAGTTGGTGCTGTAAGGACTCCATATTACTTTGTGAAATTTAGAACTGGAAGAGATCCAGTCCCTCATTTTTTTTTTTTTTTTTTTTTGAGATGGAATCTTGCTCTGTCACCCAGGCTGGAGTGCAGTGGCGCGATCTCTTGCTCACTGCAAGCTCCGTCTCCTGGTTTCATGCCATTCTCCTGCCTCAGCCTCCCGAGTAGCTGGGACCACAGGTGCCCGCCACCACGCCCAGCTAATTTTTTGTATTTTTTTAGTAGAGACGGGGTTTCACCGTGTTAGCCAGAATGGTCTCGATCTCCTGGCCTCGTGATCTGCCCATCTTGGCCTCCCAAAGTGCTGGGATTACAGGCGTGAGCCATTGCGCCCGGCCTCCTCATTTTTTAATAGATGAAGAGCTAAGTTGCTAAGTGACCTGACCATGGTTATATTTTTTTTCAAGGTTGGCTGCTGATAATGGACAGAGTATTAAAACATAGGTTTTGACCCAGGCATGGTGGCTCACTTTTGTGTTGCCAGCACTTTGGGAGGCTGAGGCAAGTAGATATCTCGAGCCCAGGAGTTCTAGACCAGCCTGGGCAATATAGTGAAAACTCATCTCTACAAAAAATACAGAAATTAGCTGGGTGCAGTGGTGCACACCTGTAGTCCCAGCTGCTCAGGAGGCTGAGGTTGGGGGATCACCTGAGCCCAGGAGGTGGGGGTTGCAGTGAGCTGAGACCTCACCACTGCACTCTAGTCTGGGTGACAGAGTGAAACCCTGTCTCAAAAAAAAAAAAAAGAACATAGGTCTTTTGGCTTTAAGTTCAGTATTCTTTGTGCTACAATGTTGTTGTGGGGAAAAAAATATAGAGATGGTCTTGGATTAACTCATACAATGCCAAAATACTAGAAAAGTAATGTTTCTTGTAGCTCTAAAATTCAAGGTACAAAATACAGTTTATGAAATAGTGGGAACATTCAGCTTTTAGAACAAAGCTGATAATTTAGCTAGGTAGATGCTAGCTACCTAGCTATTTAGATAAGTAGCTAAGAATATATAATTTATAACTAGTAATTCTCATATCGTAAGTTTGGAATCCCTCTTAGGTTATTGCTGATGTCTTTTTAGCATGGATTTTGAAGAATGTCATCCTCATTCTTATACATTAACAACGTATATTATGAAAGTTCATATTTATTATTAATAGTAGGAACCATTTATTGAGTGCCTACTATGAGCCAGTTATTACACTAGACTACAGAAAATATCAGATTTAATCCTCACAGAAACTCTATGAAGTATGTAAATTATGGCTTAGTGAAATTAAGTTCCTTACCAAGGTTATATATTATAACCAATCCAATTTTGCTTTGATGGGATTTTATATCAGTGGGAAAAAAATTGATTGTTTAGATTTCAGGTGTTACCTTGTTTTTGCTAAGTTTAAAGTTATGCCAACTAAATGTAGCACTACAGTGTTCTCCCCTACCCTGCTTATTTGTTTGTTTAAAACTTCCGTCATATAGGATCTGAAACCAAACAACTTGTTGCTAGATGAAAATGGAGTTCTAAAACTGGCAGATTTTGGCCTGGCCAAATCTTTTGGGAGCCCCAATAGAGCTTATACACATCAGGTTGTAACCAGGTAAGAATCTCTTAAAGCTACATGTGCAGGAGTTTGATCAGAAATGAGCATCAACTGGCTTCTCTGAACTATCTTGGCAGAGTTAAGGAATCATTGTTGATAGATACCGTCTTAAAAAATACTGCCATTTGGCCAGGCGCGGTGACTCATGCCTGTAATCCCAGCACTTTGGGAGGCCAAGGCAGGCAGACCCACGAGGTCAGGAGTTTGAGACCAGCCTGGCCAACATGGTGAAACCCCGTCTCTACTAAAAATACAAAAGAATTAGCTGGGCATGGTGGCGCACGCCTGTAATCCTAGCTACTCAGGAGGCTGAGGCAGGAGAATTGCTTGAACCAGAGAGGCAGAAGTTGCAGTGAGCAGAGATTGCACCACCGCACTCCAGCCTGGGCGACAGAGAAAGACTCCCTCTCAGGGAAAAACAAAAAACAAACAAAAAAAAAACCTGTCATTTTTATGTTAGGTATACTTTACCACGATGAAAAAATACATAGCCCCTTTTCAAACAGAGTCTAACTTAATCCTAAGACATTTACCTTGTAAATGGGAACAATTTATACTTTAACATTTTAGTTAGATAATCTAGAATTTCAGTGGATATTCTTCTACCTAATCATCTGATTTATTGGACCCATTTTTATTATGTTGGTCAGTGCTGATTCTGTATCCTTCTATGTAAATGAAAATTCTCTAAACAGAGCAATGTCTTGATATTTGAATTTTTCATATTGGTAATTATATTTTCCATTTGTATTTTTGATGTGAAAAAACAGAAAATCACATTAAATAGGAATGATAGATTTTATAATTTTTGTCCCAGTGGCATTTTGTTAATTTCCAAGACCGTTTTAAGGATCTGCAAAGATTTTCAAATTCTGTATTTTTTCTTTTTCTTTTTTGAGACAGGATCTCGCTCTGTTGCCCAGGCTGAAGTGCGGTTGTGCAAACAGTACTCACTGCTGCCTTGACCTCTTGGGTTCAAGCAATCGTGCTACCTCAGCCTTCCAAGTATCTGGGGCCACAGGCACGCCCCACCATGGCTGGCTAATTTTTTAAAGTTTTTATAGAGATGGGTTTCGCCATGTTGCCCAGGCTGGTCTCAAAGTCCTGCACTCAAGCGATCCTCCCACCTCAGCCTCCAATAGTTTTGGGATTACAGGTGTGAGCCATTGTGCCTGGCCCCAAAGTCTCTATTTTAAATTATTTTGCCACCTTCTTCCAAATAGATGTCACTGAGTATAAATCACCTAAGCCCTGAGTAAGAAGTAGGGGATGTGAGTAATTGTTTATGTAATTGCTAGAGCAGTTAAGCTCAACATTCAGGAACTCATAGAAACAGGGACCTGTGTACAAGAGCATTGTTAACAGAGCTTTCTCATCTACCAGTTTCTCATATTTTCTCTGTCTGTAAATCAAATGCTGCTGGTAAATCAAATTAAGATGAAGACTCTGGGAATTGACAATGGGATTTAGCAGTGTGGACATGACTGATAAGCTTGATAAGAGCAGTTTTGATGGAATGGTAAGGATGAAAGCCTGATTGAAAAGGTTCTCTGTGTGTGTGTGTGTGTGTGTGTGTGTGTGTGTGTATGTGTGTGTGGTGTTTTGTTTTGAGACGGAATCTGGCACTGTCGCCCAGGCTGGAGTGCAATGGCGCGATCTCTGCTCACTGCAACCTCTGCCTCCCGGGTTCAAGCAATTCTCCTGCCTCAGCCTCCCAAGTAGCTGGGATTACAGGCGCCCACCACCATGCCTGGTTAATTTTTTGTATTTTTAGTAGAGACGGGTTTCACTATGTTGGCCAGGCTGGTCTCAAACTCCTGACCTCGTGATCCGCCCGCCTCGGCCTCCCAAAGTGCTGGGATTACAGGCGTGAGCCACCACACCCGGCCTGAAAAGGTTTTAAGAGAGGATGGAAGAAAAGGAATTGGAGACAGTAAGAATAGACAATTCTTTGAACTGGGCAGAGAATGAGGAGGCACCTATTAGGGGAGGTAGGGTCCAGAGAAGTTTAAGACTGGAAAAATACTGGTATGTTTGTACATTGTTGGGAAAAGTCTAGTAGAAAACAAAAGACTGCTGTAGGAGAAAAAGGAGAGAACTGCAAGAGTATTATATTTAAAACTTCATGAAAGAGTATGGTATCTAGTCCTTAAAGTAAGGGATTGCCTTTAAAAACAGAAAACAGACAAGGATCGTTCATCCCTAGAGATAGAAGTGCTTTGATAATTTCATGCTAAAATGATACTAATTCTTTTTGTTCTTTAGGTGGTATCGGGCCCCCGAGTTACTATTTGGAGCTAGGATGTATGGTGTAGGTGTGGACATGTGGGCTGTTGGCTGTATATTAGCAGAGTTACTTCTAAGGGTAAGTCTAAATTAATGTACGCACTTTAATATTGTTGTTGCAGTTATTTGTTCTGACAGTTTGTATAAGAATTCTTGTCCTAGGCCAGGCATGGTGGCTCACGCCTGTAATCCCAGCACTTTGGGAGGCCGAGGCAGGTGGATCACTTGAGGTCAGGAGTTCGAAGCCAGCCTGGCCAACATGGTGAAACCCCATCTCTACTAAAAATAGAAAAATTAGCTGGGCATGGTGGCGGGTGCCTGTAGTCCCAGCTACTCGGGAGGCTGAGACAGGAGAATCGCTTGAACCTGGGAGGCAGAGGTTGCAATGAGCCAAGATTGTGCCACTGCACTCCAGCCTGGGCAACAGAGCAAGGCTCCATCTCAAAAAAAAAAAAAAAGAAAAAGAAAAAGAAAAGAATTCTTGTCCTGCCAATGTCTTTACAACAAAAAGCCTACAAATAGTCCAATTTTTAAAAAGCCAAATGTAGCATTTTTTAATGTTAATATGAAATGAGAATATCTTCCATTTAGGACAATAAGAACTTTACTGTAGAAGTTTTATACTTCAGAACATAGAAATTCACTTGTAATATGGCAGTATCTCTATAACAACTAAATATGTTCAGATAAACTTTTGTCCTCCTGAGGGTTTTTTTGTTTGGGTCTGTTTTAAGTGCGCTTTAGGAAATGTATAATACCAACCACTGCAGCTACTACTCTGTATAACTTAAGCCTTGTGTGAGACCATTATTTTAGTTCTGTTGAAACAGAACAGATACAATGTTACTATAGCATTTCTGTGACTGAGACCATCATCTTACAGTAAAAAAAATCCCCTGCTTCCCCTCACCAGAGAGAAAGATGCTGACTTGGAAACTTCTCTTTAGCTATGAAGTTTAGATCTCCAGAAAGACTAGCCCTTACGAATGATGAAGGTAAAGGGATACAGGGGAATCCTTCTGAAGCTAGTTTTTTTCTCTCCATATTCTGACCCCTGCTCTCCCTCTCCTTAAGCCATATGTATTTAAAGAAATTCAAACCAAGATTGAATAGCTTTTTTATCTCCTTGAACACAGAAAACAACTTTTGTACACCAAAGAGAAAAACACTAAACTAAAAATGTTTAGTTTAAGCATAGTGGTGGCTCACGCCTATAGTCCCAGCTACTTGGGAAGCTGAGGTGGGAGGATCACTTGTACTCAGGAGTTTGAGGCAAGCCTGGACAATATAGCAAGACCCCAATCTCTTAAAATAAAAAAAAGTAAATTCTGTGCATCATTTTGAGAAACTTACCCAATGGGCATTTGTAGAAGAAACCCACACATTCAAACTTGGAAGGTAATATGGGAATCACAGTGCTAACAGGGGGTCCTGTGAATCAGCTGGCATGATAACTGCTACTTACCTGAACATAGAGTATACCAGAAATTCACACTGAGAATTTATCAACCACCACAATCCATTCATGGCCAAGAAGAAAACAGAATTCCATAGCCCCTAATGTTATGACTGATCACTCCATTGAGAAAGCAAATGAAGAGAGACAGCAGTTGAGAGTAGACAGGTTAGAGATTGTGGACCTGTTAACAATCATACTTGGAAATTTATTAGCCATTGGCATTGTTGCTGGAATCATCTTTAAAGTTATAAGGAAAATGACATGCAGACTAAAGAATTGTACTCTTCTGCCATACCTTTTGTCCTATTTTAAGCTGTTCTTGTGCTCAATTGAAAAGGTAGAAATGTTGCCCATATGAATGCTTAGCCAGGGATCACCAGATAGTTATTAAGGATCTTCAGATAGTAATGAATACTTCCAAAATGAAAGGCAGACTGAAACAAACTAAAAAGAAACTTGGAAAAAATGGAAACAACCAAAGCAGAAGAAAATTCACCGCCCCCAGCCCCCTTTCCAAATATTCAGAGATCTAAGAGATTATAGTGCATCTATAGAATAAGCACACCATACTTTTTTAAAAGGGGAACAATAAAATAAGAGACACTTGAACTATTAAAAATAGAAGATAGCCAAAAGCAAACAAAAACAGTGAAAGGAATGGGAAAGTAAGCTGCAAAACTCTTTCATTAACTAAAATCAAAAGATGAAGAGATGGCTAGGCACAGTGGTACATACCTGTGGTCCCAGCTACGTGCGAGGCTGAGGCAGGAGAATCTCTTGAGCCCAGCAGTTCAAGACCAGCCTGGATAACATTGTGAAACCCTGTCTCAATAAAAAGATAGATGGACTATAGTAGAGAAAAGATAAAATTAACAGATTGATCCAGGATTCTAGAATGTACCAACAGAAAACAAGGAAAATGGAGGGTAGGAAATCTCAAAATAGTGAAGCACTGCTAGATGTGAATCGTCAGACTAAAAGTGCCATGAAGAGTACAATTATGAGGCCGGGCGCAGTAGCTCATGCCTGTAATCCCAGCACTTTGGGAGGCCGAGGTGGGTGGATCACCCAAGGTTGGGAGTTTGAGACCAGCCTGGCCAATATGGAGAAACACTATCTCTACTAAAAATGCAAAATTAGTTGGGTTTGGTGGCACATGCCTGTAATCCCAGCTACTCAGGAGGCTGAGGCAGGAGAATCGCTTGAACCCGGGATGTGGAGGTTGCAGTGAGCTGGAGATCACACCATTGCACTCCAGCCTGGGCAACAAATGTGAAATTCCGTCTAAAAAAAAAAAGGCCAGGCACGGTGGCTCACGCCTGCAATCCCAGCACTTTGGGAGGCTGAGGCAGGCAGATCACGAGGTGAGGAGATAGAGACCATCCTGGCTAACACAGTGAAACCCCGTCTCTGTTGAAAATACAAAAAAAATTAGCTAGGCGTGGTGGCGGGCACCTGTAGTTCCAGCTACTCGGGAGACTGAGGCAGGAGAATGGCATGAACCTGGGAGGTAGAGCTTGCAGTGAGCCAAGATCGCACCACTGCACTCCAGCCTGGGTGACAGAGCGAGACTCCGTCTCAAAAAATAAAAAAAAAAATGAGTACAATTATGAAAATTACAAAGAAAACTTTCAAAAAAAAATTCTAAAGGCTCTGCATGAAAAAAAAAAACCTGTGCCAAGACACACTGTTGTGAAATTTCAGAATACGAAGGGGTAAGAAAAATATTTTATTTGCACAGAGAAGAAAAGCAGCATACATAGAAAAGAAAATAAAGTATTAGGGAAAAAGAATGGCATGAGCCTTCTCAACAGCAGCACTGGAATCTGGAAGTGTTCACATTGTGAGGGAAAATGATGCTCAACCTAGAATTCTTTGCCTGTTCATATTTTCAGTTTGCTCTGAGGGTAACTACAATTTATTACATCAGAAATTTACATCTAGGCCAGGCAGGGCAGCTCACTCCTGTAATCCCAGCACTTTGGGAGGCCAAGGCGGGTGGATCACTTGAGCTCAGGAGTTTGAGACCCACTTGGGCAATGTGGTGAAACCCTGTCTCTACCAAAAATACAAAAATTAGCCGGGCATGGTATTGAGTGCGTGTTTTCCCAGCTACTCAGGAGGCTGAGTTGGCAGGATCACTGGAACCTGGGAATTTGAGGCTGCAAGGAGGTGATATCGTGCCACATCACTCCAGCCTGGGTGACAGAGCAAGACACTAGCTAAAAAAAAAAGAAAAAAAGAAATCAAGAAATTAGCCAGACTTGGTAGTGCATGCCTGTAGTCCCAGCTGCTTGGGAGGCTGAAGTGGGAGGATTGCTTGAGCCTGGTTGTCAAGGCTGCAGTGAGCCACGTTTGTGCCACTGCATTCCAGCCTGGGTAACAGGCTGGGGTTCACCTTTAATTGGGCTCTGCAGGCGCTGCCGCACTCTCCACCTGGTGTGTATAGGGCATTTGGGGCCTTTAGAGGGCGCACTTGCGGTCAGCAGGCTGAAGAGGCTGCGGCGGCGAAGGCTGGGGAGCTGAGCTGAGCTGGTGCAGAGACAGCACAGGAGAAAAACAGAACCGAAAAATTCACACCGAATTAGAGGAGACAGACCTTGTCTCAAAAAAAAAGTTTAGGGCTGGGTGCGGTGGCTTATGCCTGTAATCCCAGCACTTTGGGAGGCCAAGGCAGGTGGATCACCTGAGGTCAGGAGTTCGAGACCAGCCTGGCCAACATGGTGAGACCCGGTCTCTACTAAAAATACAAAAATTAGCTGGGCATGGTGGTGGGCGCCTGTAATCCCAGCTACTCGGGAAGGTGAGGTGCTTAAACCCACAAGGCAGAGGTTGCAGAGAGTAAACCAACGGGAAGACATGAGATGCAGGGAACATAAGATTCAACACAGGAAAAAGGCAGTTCAAATTCTCATTTAATAGTGAAGGAAAGTTCTGGGAAAGCAGGTATGCATCAGGCCTGGAGAGTAGCTAGTCCAGATTGGAGCAGGTGGGGTGAGGACTTCAGCAGGGGTGGCTTCCAGGAAAAAAAAAAAAGGAACCGATGGATATGATTGGTTTAGTCATATAGAAATCGATATTTAATAACTGGAATATTTAGCTTTTATATAAACCAAGTTGTCAAAGAGCAGGCATTAGGAGTTGGTGGCGGAGGGCTAGGAAATCATTACCTTTAGGAAAACCAAATTGTATAAGAAGGGGAATTAATCTTAATTTTGGCTCTGCACTGAGCAAAAGTTACGTAATTATCAAAAATGAGAGGGAGATGATGGGTCAAAGAACCAATTTTTATTATAAGTCTTTAGTACTATTTAGTGTTTTAACAAGGTTCATGTATTTAATACAAATAAGACATTTTAAACACACAGCTTAAGTCCCAAAGCAGCTCTTTCTTTAGGGAAAAATAGTTTTCTTAGTATGGATATTTTCAAACATGCAAAAGCAAAGACTAGTAAAATGAGCCTCTATCTATACTCATCAACCAGTTTCAATAGTTTCAACATATGATTCATTTTATCAGTACTCTCCCACACTAGATATTTTTGCCACAAATTCCAAACATGTAATTTTATCCATGTTTCTTTAGTATTTTTC
The DNA here is from genome assembly GCF_000001405.40 of Homo sapiens. Classification (NCBI taxonomy): domain Eukaryota; kingdom Metazoa; phylum Chordata; class Mammalia; order Primates; family Hominidae; genus Homo; species Homo sapiens. Next base: position 69,267,279 of record NC_000005.10, read on the forward strand.
TCTATAAGGATTCCTTTTTTTTTTTTTTTTTTTTTTTTTTTTGAGACAGAGTCTTTGTCGCCCAGGCTGGAGTGCGGTGGCGTGATCTCAGCTCATTGCAACCTCTGCCTCCCAGGCTGAAGTGATTCTCGTGCCTCAGCCTCCCAAGTAGCTGGGATTACAGCCGTGCACCATGACACCCGCCTAGTTTTTGTATTTTTTAGTAAAAATGGTTTTGTGATGTTGACCAGCTGGTCTCAAACTCCTAGCCTCAATTGATCCACTCGCCTCACCCTCCTAAAGTGCTGGGATTACAGGAGTGAGCCACCACACCTGGCCATCTATAAGGATTCTTTAATCATAACCACAATACCATTGTCATCTGAAAAAAGTGAACATTAATTCCTTAATAAAATCAAGTCTGTATTCAGATTTTCCTACTTTTTCTCATAAATGTCTTTTTACATAGGCTTGTTCAAATTGGAGTGTGAAATCCATACATCAGACAGCTTAGTTTCATTTTTACATCATACAAAAGCACACCAATTCTTAAAATTTGTTTAAATTACAACCTTGTCCACAATTTGGCCTGCAAAGTGAGGGTACAGGTGCCCTACAAAAAACAAAAGATAATCCTTTTGGGTTTAAGAAGAAAATTAGCATGTCTAAAAATAGTTGTAATATTATTTAATATCCTTTTAGTTTTTTTGTTTTTTGTTTTTAAGATGGATTCTTGTTCTGTCGCCCAAGCTGGAGTGCAGTGGCTCCATCTCTGCTCACTGCAGCCTCCATCTCCCAGTTCAAGTGATTCTCCTGCCTCAGCCTCCTGAGGAGCTGGGACTACAGGCATGCACCACCACGCCTGGCTGATTTTTCTATGTTTGGTAGAGAGACAGGGTTTCAGCATGTTGGCCAGACTGGTCTTGAACTCCTGACCCATCTAGAGTAAGTTAGGTGCTCTTTCCATGTGGTCTAGGATCTCGTACTTACTCAACACACCGAATTGTAAATGCTTGTTTATGTGTATCAGCACTGCTTACCACCTCCACCTAAGGGGAGGGCAGGGAATGTCTCGTTTTCCTCTTTTAATTCCTGAGGCTTAGCACAAGGCCTGTTATATGGGAAGTGTTTATTAAAATTTGGAGTGAATAAAATGGATAGTAAAGGTGCTGTTTTGTTGGTTAGCAGTGGTAGGATCTAATAACGTACCCAATACACTTTGTACTAAATTTTCAATATTCGTTGCAGAGTTTTTAAGTTTTTCTTATTAAATTTATAGTATTTGTCTAACAGGTATCAAAAACCACTTTGAAGGCCAGGCATGGTGGCTGACGCCTGTAATCCCAGCACTTTGGGAGGCCGAGGCGGGCAAATCACAATGTCAGGAGATCGAGACCATTCTGGCTAACACGGTGAAACCCCATCTCTACTAAAAATACAAAAAAATTAGCCAGGCGTGGTGGCGGGCGCCTGTAGTCCCAGCTACTCTGGAGGCTGAGGCAGGAGAATGACCTGAACCCAGGAGGCGGAGCTTGAACTCCTGCACTCTAGCCTGGGCAACAGAGCGAGACTGTCTCAAAAAAAAAAAAAAAACCCATCTCTAAGGCTGGCGTGGTGGCTCACGCCTGTAATCCCAGCACTTTGGGAGGCTGAAGTGGGTAGATCACTTGAGGTCAGGGCTTCGAGACCAGCCTGGCCAACATGGCAAAACCTCATCTCTACTAAAAATACAAAAATTAGCCAGGCATGGTGGCATGCCCCTGCAGTCCCAGCTACTCGGGAGGCTGAGGCAGAAGAATCGCTTGAAGTGAGGAGGAAGTTGCAGTGAGCCAGGATTGCATCACTCACTGCAGCCTGGGTGACAGAGCGAGACTCTGTCTCTCTAAAAAAAGAAAAAAATTAAAAAAAAAAAACCCACCTTGAAAAGTCTCCCTCTTACTTTCTTTCAGGTTCCTTTTTTGCCAGGAGATTCAGACCTTGATCAGCTAACAAGAATATTTGAAACTTTGGGCACACCAACTGAGGAACAGTGGCCGGTAAGCCTTTATGCATTTTCTTTGAAATGTAATTAGGACTCTGTAAAGTTCTTAAACTGTCATATACTTTATATAGTGCTGTCACGTGAATATTAAAGACATTCATTATAATATGTACTCAGAACACTTTAAATGATAAAGTATATAAAGTAAGAAGTTACAATTGTGATATACCATCAACCTCTTGTATACATGTAGTCCTTTCCCCCCACCCCAGTAATCCTGACCTCAGGGTAATCACTATTAACAATTCATTGTAAAGTCATGTTAGGAGTTTATAAGCACACTACGAACATAAAAGGGTTGCATGTTCTTTGACTCCTTGACAAAAATGGGTTCACGTCGTATATATACACGGTGTGAAGCCATTATATATATAAAACCCATTACACACACATGCACACATGTAGGTGTACATATATGTATATATGATGTTTCTCTTAGATTTTTTTAAATTATTATTATTTTTTTTAATAGAGATGGGGTTTCACCGTGATGCCCAGGCTGGTCTCAAACTCCTCGTCTCAAGCAGTTCTGCCTCAGCCTCCCAAAGTGCTGGCATTACAGGCATGAGCCAGCGCACTTGGCTAACATGATTTTCTAAATAGTAATTGCTTACTGATGTTTCTCTTTGATTTTTTAAAAATTAAACTTCTTGGTGGGTGCGATGGCTCACGCCTGTAATCCCAGCACTTTGGGAGGCTGAGGCGGGCAGATCATTTGAGGCCAGGAGTTTGAGACCAGCCTGGGCTACAGAGTGAGACTCTGTCTCCAAAAAAAAAAAAAAAAAATTAAACTTCTTATTTTGAGAATATTATTCACGTGCAATTGTGAATATATAATTCACAATTATATATTGTGGCTGGGCACAATGGCTCACGCCTGTAATCCCAGCACTTTGGGAGACTGAGGTAAATGGGTCACTTGAGCCCAGGAGTTTAAGACCAGCCTGGGCAACATAGTGAGACTTCGTGTCTATAAAAAACAAAAATTAAAAAAATTTAGCCAGGCTTGGTGGTGCACACATTATGGTCCCAGCTACTCAGGAGGCTGAGGTAGGAGGATTGCTTGAGCCCAGGAAGTCAAGGCTGCAGTGAGCTGTGATTGCACCACTGCGCTTTACCAGCATGAGTAACTGAGTGAGTCCCTGTCTCAAAACTATAATAGTAATACTACAGACATATTTCACGGACCCTTTACCTAGCTTTTACAAGATGGGAGCATCTTATAAAATCAGTACAGTATCACACCAGGATGCTACAGTCAAGATACAGAATATCACCACAAGAATCTCTCATGGTATTCTTTTATAGCTATGCTTACTTTCCTTCTACCTACTCCTTAACTCTTGGCAATCACTAATTTGTTCTCCAGCTCTGTAATTTTGTCATTTCAAGAATGTTATGTAAATGGATAAATGGAATCACACAATATATAACTTTGTGGGATTAACTTTTTCATATCCATCATAAATGGAAGTTCATTCAGGTCATTGCATGTTAATAATTCATTCTCTCTTTTGTTAACTGCTGAGTATTGTGTGGATTTATTTCAGTTTCTTCAACCGTTCACCCATTGAAGGACATCTATATTTGTGTTGTTTCCAATGTGGGGCTATTACCAATAAAACTGCTCTAAACATTTATGTACAGTTTTTTATATAAGAATATATTTTTATTTCTCTGGGATAAATGCCCAGGAGTTCAGTTCTTGAGTCATATGGTAGTTACATATTAATTTTTAAATAACCTGCAAAACTCCAGAGCAGCTATACTGTTTTACATTCTCATCAGCAGTAAATGAATGCTCCAGTTTCTTGGAATCCTCTCCAGCATTTGGTGTTGTCACTTTTTAATTTTAGGCATTCTAATGAGTGTGTCATGATAGCTCATTTTGATTTTAATTTTCACTGCTCTAATGGTTAATGGTGTTGAATATCTTTTCTTGTGGTTATTTGCCATCTTTAGTTAAATGTCTCTTCCCCATTTTCTGATTGGATTCTTTGATTTTTGACTGTTGAGTATTGAGAGCTCTTCATATATTCTAGATAGTAGTCCAAAAAGTGTATGTAGTTTGCAGATGTTTTCCCTCGTGCTGCCTTTTCATCCTCTGCAAAATTGTAATCAGGTTTGTCACTTTTTCTTTAATTGATCATCCTTTTGGTGTCAAGTCAAAGAGCTCTTTTGCCCAGCCCAAAGATTTTTTGACAATTTTTTTTTCTTTTTTTTTTTTTTTTCAAGACAAGATCTGGCTTGTTGCCCAGGCTGCAGTGCAATGGTGTGATCTCAGCTCACTGCAACTTCCACTTCCCAGGCTCAAGCCATCCTCCCACCTCAGCCTCTTGAGTAGCTGGGGCTGTAGGCATGCACCACCACGCCCAGCTAGTTTTTGTGTTTTTTGTAGAGACAGGGTTTCTGCATGTTTCCCAGGCTGGTCTGAAACTCGTGAGCTCAAACGATTTGCCCACCTTGGCCTCCCAAAGTGCTGGGATTACAGGCATGAGCCACTATGCCCTTGGCTGTGACAATTTTTTTTGTATTTTTTTCTACAAGTTTTGTAGTTTTATACTTAAGTCCAAGATCTGTTTAGAGTTTACCTTTATATGATGTGTGAGACTTAGGGCAAGGTTCAGTTTTTGTTTTTTTTTTTCTTTGAGACAGTCTCACTCTGTTCCCCAGGTTGGAGTGGGGTCTCACTTTCTTGTCCAGGCTGGTCTCGAACTCCTGAGCTCAAGTGACCCTCCTGCCTCAATCTCCCAAAGTGCTGAGATTACAAGCGTGAGCTGCCACACCCAGCCAAGTTCAGATTTTTGCACATGTATGTCGAAGTGTTCCAGCAGTATTTGTTGAAATGACGGTCTCTTCATTGATTTAGTTTTTCACTTTTTTCAAAAATCCTTTTGGCAGATTTGTGTGGATTTCTAAGTCCTTTATTGAGTTCCATTGATTTATGTATCTCTCTCTCTGCCAATACAACAGAGTCTTAATCAAAGTAGCTATATGTTAAATCTTGAAATCAGGTAAAATGAGTCCTCCCACTTTATTGTTCTTTTTCAAAATCATTTTAGCTACTGTAGTCCTTTGCCTTTCCATATAAATTGTAGAATAATTGGTCCTATATCTAAGATAATTTTGCTAGGATTTTGATAAAAATTACATTAGACTTGCAAATCAATTTGAGGATAATTAACATCCTTCCTCTGTTGAATATTCCAATATGTGAACACGATATGTTTCACCATTTATTGAGATCTTTTGATGACTTTCATCAGCATTGTATAGCTTATAGTATATTACCCTATACATGTTTTGTTACATTTTTCACCTGTTTCATTTTTCTTTTTGGGGTGATTATAAATAGTACTGTGTTTTTAATTTTGATGTCCACATATTTATTGCTAGTGTACAAAATTACAATTGATTTTTAAATTTTCAATTTATATCCTTTTCAGCCTTGTCTTACTACTAGTTCTAGGACTTTTTAATAGATTTCTTGGAATTTTCTATATAAACCATCATATCACCTGAAAATGATTTATTTCATTTGCAATCTATATGCCTTTAATCCTTAAGTTTGAATTACAAAATTATTTTTACAGGACATGTGTAGTCTTCCAGATTATGTGACATTTAAGAGTTTCCCTGGAATACCTTTGCATCACATCTTCAGTGCAGCAGGAGACGACTTACTAGATCTCATACAAGGCTTATTCTTATTTAATCCATGTGCTCGAATTACGGCCACACAGGTATTTTGGTGTATCTTTTTTATACTAGGAAATATAAAAATAATCTTAACTGTAGCATTGATAAAAATAGAATTTCATAAAATTAACATTTTTTAAATACTGGAAAGATGTGTTTTTGTTTTAAGAAATAACAAACTTTGTATCTTTTCCCCAAACTACAAACACTATTAAGACTGAGATTAAATTATATGCACACAGAGATACAGGAGAGTTTACACTTATTACACTTGCTTAGGGACATTTAAATACATGTCTATTTCACATAATTGGCTTGTAAATACTTTACTTAGAAAAAGAAAACCAAGGCTTTTTATTTGTTAAGAAACTGGTATATTTCAGTTGAGCTCTTACAAATTCATTTAAATCTTGTAGCAATGCTGAAAGTAGTTTGTTCGGCTTATTTTTTCTTTCCTATATAATGCAATCCAGGTATGCATGCTGATCATTCTCACATTGAGAACATGGTAATGGGGAGGAAATGGTATAGTCAGATATAATTGTATGCTTACAAAAGCTTGAAAAATATTTGAAATAAAACAAAAACTGAAACTAACTGCTGTTTAAAGGAAATAACAAACTCATGAAAAATTTGGAAGACCTAGAATAACTTAGGGCAGAGCACTGTACAACACAGTGCAGTGATTTTACCTCATGAAGGGAGAGACTAATGAAAGTGAGATCACAGGTCTTTATGGAAACATATTAATGTACAGTAATATTAAGCATACAAAATAGATTTTTTTCTCTTTAGGTTTGTTCCAGGCTACAAAATCATTGTTTAATGCACTTGCTTGTATAAGCCTTCTCTTTTTAGCAATGTGTGCTATGTGAATATATATGGAGATGGATGGATGGATGGAAGGATAGATAGATATAGATGGATAGGTAGGTAGGTATATGCTGGGTATTTACCATTAGAATTATTCTCCTAATTTCTTTTTTAAAAAATTTTTCTTTATTATTTTTATGTCCATGTGTACACATACTCTTTTAATTTCAAACAAGTAATTTGTTGCCTTTTCACTCATACTTCTATGTATATTATTTCCATCATAATAAACTTGAGACCACATTTAATTATCTAGAAAGTTGTTTTCATTGGTAGTATAGTTTGAAACTTAACAGAAAAATACTAGTTGTTGTATTTGGGTTGTATTTTAATAGAATGAAGTTTTTAAAGTGAGTTTTGTTTCATGGATGTCTTTATTAAAGTTGGAATGAGGTATTTTCTTAGATCTTTAGCCCAGAATTAGCCTAATTTGCATATAGAACTGCTGTGATTTAGAAGTAATGCTTTAAAAATGCAGCTGTAGGCCGGTGCATCGGCTCACACCTGTAATCCCAGCACTTTGGGAGGTGAAGGAGCAAGGATAGCTTGAGCCCAGGAGTTGGAGCCCAGCCTGGGCAACATGACAAAACATCATCTCTACAAAAAGTAAATAAATAAAAAATGAAAATGCAACTGTTGAAGTAAGGAATCTCTAAATTACTGCAAATAATATTGGGAGTGGTGAGGAATGCTTGCAAAGTTTATATGGGCTTCATCTTTCTTAAAGGATTATCCTAAAGGAAGTATTTATTTATTTATTTTTGAGACGAAGTCTTGCTCTGTCACCCAGGCTGGAGTGCAGTGGCACGATCTTGACTCACTGCAACCTCTACCTCCCAGGTACAAGCGATTCTCCTGTCTCAGCCTCCCTAGTAGCTGGGATTACAGGTGCACACCACCATGCCTGGCTAATTTTTGGATTTTTAGTAGAGACAGGGTTTCACCATGTTATCGAGGCTGATCTCGAACTCCTGACCTCAGGTGATCCATCTGCCTCGGCCTCCCAAAGTGCTGGGATTACAGGCATGAGCCACCCCGCCCTGCCAGAAGTATTTTAAATCATTGTAGCCACTGGACAGCACTATGCTGCTGATGTAAATAGACAAGCATGTGAACCCGGGAGGTGGAGGTTGCAGTGAGCCAAGATTGTGCCACTGCACTCCAGCCTGGGCAACAGGGTGAGACTCTGTATCCAAAAAAAAAAAAAAAGACAAGCATGACCTGACAAACTTGTCATTTAGGATATAATTATTTTTATCAGAATTGTGGACCCAAGTCAAGAAAATGTATTGTATCTACAGCACTATAGTAGGGGGAAAAAAAGAGAAAATGTATTATAGAACATTGGCCTGGTAATTAATAGAAATAATCTTGGAGAAGCCCTTCCAAGTAAAATTTCTGTCCATTTGCAATGGATTGTTGAATTAGAATCCATTGGTTCCAACCTACTGTATTTTTTAAAAAGCCTTATTTTTTAAGAATTTATATTTTACATGACTTGGAATTTGAATATATATGGATAGTGTGGCCAACTTGTAAGTTCTTTTTAAGTTTCTCTCTTTGCATTTTGAACTGTAGAGTTCAATATGTAGAGAATGGAAATGTACAATATTTCACTAAGGATAGCTCATAATTAGTATAGGTTGAGCATCCTTAATCCAAATATCCGAAATCTGAAATGCTCCAAAATCCAAAGCTTTTTGAATGATGACGTGATGCCACAAGTGGAAAATTCTACACATAAGGACATTAACAAAACTTTGTTTTATGTACAAAATTAAAAATTTTGTCAAATTAAAAATATTTTATAAAATTACCTTCAGCCAGGCGCGGTGGCTCACGCCTGTAATCCTAGCTCTTAGGGAGGCGGAGGCGGGAGGATAGCTTGAGCCCAGGAGTTCAAGACAAGCCTGGCCAATATAGCAAGACCCCATTCTCCACAAAAAATAAGTGTAAAATTACCTTCAGTTTATATGTATAAGCTGTATATGAAACATAAGTTTCATTTTTAATCTTGGCTTCCATCCCCAAGGTACGTCATGTATATGCAAATATTCCACAGTCCAAAATCTGAAGCACTTCTGGTCCCAAGCATTTTAGATAAGATATATTCAGCCTGTATAGGCTATTTAATTATGGAAAAATTAGAAGGGAGTCTTTTTTTCTTTTCTTTTTTTGATACGGAGCCTTGCTCTGTCGCCCAGGCTGGAGTGCAGTGGTGCGATCTCGGCTCACTGCAACCTCTGCCTCTGGGTTCAAGCGATTCTCCTACCTCAGCCTCCCGAGTAGTGGGGACTACAGACATGCACCACCACGCCCAGCTTATTTTTGTATTTTTAGTAGAGATGGAGTTTCGCCACGTTGGCCAAGCTGATCTCGAACTTCTGACCTCATGTGATCCACCCGCCTCAGCCTCCCAAGGTGCTGGGATTACAGGCATGAGCTACTGTGCCCGGCCAGTCTTTTAATGGAATTATCAGCCAATCTTAGGATCCTAGGTATTTATTTGTAGTAATTTCCATTTGCAAATACTTGACATTAATTTTGTTTTGTTGGGAATGAGGGCATTCACATAGTATTTTTAATGCTCCCTATAATCTTGAAGGTAAGATTTTCCTTAACACATTTCAGATACTCACCTACCTTACTTTTGGTATCTTTTCTTTTAAAAGGCACTGAAAATGAAGTATTTCAGTAATCGGCCAGGGCCAACACCTGGATGTCAGCTGCCAAGACCAAACTGTCCAGTGGAAACCTTAAAGGAGCAATCAAATCCAGCTTTGGCAATAAAAAGGAAAAGAACAGAGGCCTTAGAACAAGGTAAGATTCCCACTTTTAAAAGAAATTAAATGAATTTAGAAAACTCCAAATAGCTCGTGTATGGCTAGCGACTGAACAACAGCAAAGAAATGTAGCTTGCTAGCTATTTAATTTTTATAAATTTAATTGTATAAAGTAGAGAGACTGTGCCGTTTTAGGTATGTTTACTTTCATTGTGAATACTTCGGCAGCTTTTGTGTATACCTCAGAATTATGGGAACTATGTATGTGTACCTTGTTCCCTTCATAAATTCCTTCTGTAAACTACATGCTAAATGTTTAACAAGTGCTACTGGAAAAAATGTGTCAGTGAAATAATGTAGTTGGAATGCAGTGACTGGTTAAAATTGCTATGAGAATGTGAACTTTGTTAAATGTGAACAACTTTTTTTTTTCTTGTTCTTTTTGCTTCCTAGGAGGATTGCCCAAGAAACTAATTTTTTAAAGAGAACACTGGACAACATTTTACTACTGAGGGAAATAGCCAAAAAGGCAAATAATGGAAAAATAGTAAACATTAAGTAAATGCTGTAGAAGTGAGTTTGTAAATATTCTACACATGTAAAATATGTAAAACTATGGGTTATTTTTATTAAATGTATTTTAAAATAAAAATTTAATTCTGGTTTTTCTGATTAGAGTGCAAAAGTGAGAAAAGTTCAATACTCTTGAAATGTAGAATTGAAAATGCATTAGGGAAAACTTAATAAAAATTATTACCAGTTATTTGGAAGATCTGACCCATATAGTATCACAAATCTGTAGTAGCATGGGTAGTGTTTAAAAATAAAAATGTTGGCCGGGCGCGGTGGCTCACGCCTGTATTCCCAGCACTTTGGGAGGCCGAGGCGGGCGGATCACAGGTCAGGAGATCGAGACCATCCTGGCTAACACGGTGAAACCCCGTCTCTACTAAAAATACAAAAAAAATTAGCTGGGCGTGGTGGTGGGCGCCTGTAGTCCCAGCTACTCAGGAGGCTGAGGCAGGAGAATGGCGAGAACCCGGGAGGCAGAGCTTGCAGTGAGCCAAGATGGCGCCACTGTACTCCAGCCTGGGTGACAGGGCAAGACACAGTCTCAAAAAAAAAAAAAATGTAGTAGTGGTGTAGTAAATACTACCCAAACTTAACAAATATTAATATACGGAATGTACTAAAAAAAGAAAACATTACAGATAAAATTGAGATTCCCCCCAACCTTTTTTCTGAGGCGGGGGACAAAGTCTCACTCTGTCACTCAGGTTGGAGTGCAGGGGCACAATCCCAGCTCACTGCAAACTCTGCCTTCAAGTGATTCACTTGCTTCAGCCTCCTGAGCAGCTGGGATTATGGGCACGCACCACTACACCTGCCTAATTTTTTTTATATTTTTAGTAGAGACAGGATTTCACCATGTTGGCCAGGCTGGCCTCTAATTCCTGACCTGAAGTGATCTGCCCACCTCGGCTTCCCAAAGTGCTGGGATTACAGGCATGAGCCACTACACCTGGCCAGAGGTTCCCTCTTAAAAATTCACTTTATTTTATTTTTTTTTGAGATGGAGTCTCGCTCTGTCACCCAGGCTGGAGTGCAGTGGTGCGATCTTGGCTCACTGCAACCTCCACCTCCTGGATTCAAGCAGTTCTCCTGCCTCAGCCTCCCAAGTAGCTGGGGTTACAGGTATGTGCCACCACGCCTGGCTAATTTTTTTTTTTTTTGTATTTTTAGTAGAGATGGGGTTTCACCATATTGGCCAGGCTGGTCTCGAACTCCTGACCTTTTCATCCACCTGCCTTGACCTCCCAAAGTGCTGGGATTACAGGTGTGAGCCACCGCGCCCAGCCAATACTTCACTTTATTTCTATTTTTTCCTTTTCACTTTCCCCAGAGGGAAATGACTCTATGAAATTGGTGTGTATCTTTCCATGATTTTATGCTAGTATTCTGTAAGAGTGCATGTAGTGAGATGCATAACAATGTACAGCATTGTTTTGGGTCTCAAAATTGTATATAAATTGATAGAATCTCTCTCTCCTTTTTTTTTTTTTTTTTTTGTGAGATAGTCTCTGTTGCCCAGGTTGGAGTGTAGTAGTGCAATCATGGCTCACTGCAGCTTCGAACTCCTGGGCTCAAGCCATCCTTCCACCTCTGTCCCCAGTAGCTGGGACTACAGGTGCATACCACCATGCCTGGTTAATTTTTTTTTTTTTTTTAATGAGACAGAGTCTTGCTCTGTTGCCCAGGCTGGAGTGCAGTGGTGCAATCTCAGCTCACTGTAACCTCTGCATCCTGGGGTTCAGGTGATCCTCCTACCTTAGCCTCCCAAGTAGCTGGGATTACAAATGTGTACCACCATGCCCAGCTAATTAAAGTAACACAAATGTATTAGCTCACAGTTCTGTAGGCCATATATCTGGCTCAGCTGTGTTTTCTGCTTAGGGTCTCACAAGGCCAAAATCAAGGTGTTAGTCAAACTAGTTTTATTTGGAGGCCCCTGGAAAGAATCTGCTACCAAGCTCATGCAGGTTTGTTTTTTTTTTTTTTTTGGAGATGGAGTCTTGCTCTGTCGCCCAGGCTGGAGTGCAGTGGCACGATCTCGGCTCACTGCAACCTCCGCCCACTGGGTTCACCCATTCTCCTGCCTCAGCCTCCCGAGTAGCTGGGACTACAGGTGCCCGCCACCACGCCCAGCTAATATTTTGTATTTTTAGTAGAGACGGGGTTTCACTGTGTTAGCCAGGATGGTCTCTATCTCCTGACCTCGTGATCCGCCCACCTTGGCCTCCCAAAGTGCTGGGATTACAGGCGTGAGCCACCGTGCCCGGCCGCTCATGCAGTTCTTATAGTTGCAATTCTTGTGCTCCATTGCCCCCATTTCCCTTTTGACTGTTAGCCCAGGGCCTCTCTCAGCTTCTTAAGGAAACTTCCATGCCTTTGTCCTGTGGCACTCACCACAGGACAGCAGCAGTGCATCAAACCCACTCGTGCTTCAAATCTGTCTGACTTCCTCGTGTGTGTGTGTAGACAGGGAGCTGCCAAGGGAGAAGCAGCCAAGCAGCTAAGAGTCCAGGAGATAATAGCGCCAAAGGGATCTGAGGACACTCAAAATGTGTCTAACACGTGAGGCAGGATAGGAGTGTATTATTCCGTTCTCAAACTGCTATAAAGAATACTACCCAAGACTCAGTAATTTATAAAGGAAAGAGGTTTAATTGACTCATAGCTCCACATGGCTGGGCAGGCCTCAGGAAACTTACAATCCTGGCAGAAGGGGAAGCAGGCATGTTTTACATGGCAGCAGGAGAGACTACCATGTATAAAACCATTGGATCTCGTGAGAACTCACAATCATGAGAACAGCATGGGGGATACCACCCCCATGATCCAGTCACCTACCACCAAGTCCCTCCTTCAACATGTGGGAATTATGGGGATTACAATTCAAAATAAGACTTGGGTGGGGACACAGCCAAACCGTATCAGGTAGTCAAGGAAATGACCATTTTCTCATGACCATACAGCCAACACAATAAACCTCAGCATTCACATTGTAATTGAGCTCATTTAAGCAAAGCTATCTTCAGTAGGGACTTTCCCTTCTAGAGAGCATACACATTTTGATTTTACCTGTCCTCAAACTGATCCTTTGCACATGATAATAATAAAAAACACACCTCTAGGTGGAAATTTAAGATGCTACTGAGACATGTGGTGTATGAACAAGCATTAACAGCTACTGCACCTGTGCAGAGGACCACCCAGGACATGATTACTGCAACACCTCACCTCCTTATGAATAATAATGCAAAACTCCCATAAAGGGAGTTTCTCCAGCAATAATCAATGCTGTCTCACCCTTACGAGCAGCCGGCCCTGAATTCTCTCTCTCAGGTGTACTGTCTGTTCTGCACCTAACTTTCAAAATACTCCTTTTCTTTTGCAATAAATTATGCTGCATCTCCTTTGCTGTCTCATTTAAATTCTTTTAAACCAAGAAGACAAGAACTGAGGTATCACAACAGCTGTCAACACATGCATTTTGCTTTATTCATTTGCTTTATCTTATGGATCTCTCCATTTTGTAGAGTATTCCATTGTATAGCTGTACAGTAATTTAGATAAACTTTTGTATTGATAGCCTTTTCTTTTGGAGATGGGGGTCTCACTCTGTCACTCAGGCTGGAGTGCAGTGGCACAATCACAGCTCACTGCAGCCTCAAGCTCCTGGGCTCATGCCATCCTCCTGCCTCAGCCCCTGAGTAGCTGGGACAACAGGTGCATGCCACCATGCCTTGCCGAGTTTTTGTATAGATGGGGTTTCACCATGTTGCCCAGGCTGGTCTTGAACTCTGGACTGGTCTGGACTTGAGATTCAGACCAGATCTGTAAGCCACTGCACCCGGCCTTGATAGCCATTTGTTTTCATACACAGCAGCAATTAGTAGCCATTTAAGATATCTGTGCGCCAGCCTACAAGAAATACAAATGTACAGGGTAAAATCCTAGCTGGATCAAATATGAGCTTTGTAAATTTTTAAAAACTTTTTTATTGAGTTGTGGTTTATGCCTGTAATCCCAGCACTTTGAGAGGCTGAGGCAGGAGGATCCCTTGAGGCCAGGAGTTTGGCACCAGCCTGAGCAACACAGTGGGACCCTGTCTACACACACACCCCACCCCCACACACCCCAATTCACATACCACAAACAAAAAAACTCCTAGAAATCACCTTGGCTCAGGCAGCTTCTTCAGATTCCTGAGACCCCATTTCCTGGATCATCACAACCATCTCACAGGATGCAATGAAAAGAGCTGTTAAGCACTTTGTAGACTTGGCTACAAATCTGTGCAGATTTGGTTGCAAAATGTTACTACCCTGACAAGAAGCCATGAACGCAGCCGGCACTGACTCAATATACTTCTGCCAAGGTCCCACCATCAAAACTGTCTTATTGAAGTTAACTTAAGGAAATTGTTATTTCTAAACTTCATATGGTAAATGAAAAATACTGAACAAGGCAAATAAAACAAGATAAATGAATTCCAGAAATTAACATTCAGTCAGTCCTAGGTATTGTTACTTTTTAGAGCATTAAGATACATTGCTATATTGTTGATTTAGCCAAGCTAAGATCCCTATAGTCAATCAAAATAGTTAAATAATTTTTTGTTTTTCCCAAAAATCATTATTTTTTGTTTTAGGATGTTGGCAAACACTGTAATGTGTTTTTTTTTTTTTTTGAGACAGAGTTTCGCTCTTGTCGCCCAGGCTGGAGTGCAATGACACAGTCTCGGCTTACCACAACCCCCGCCTCCCAGGTTCAAGCGATTCTCCTACCTCAGCCTCCCAAGTAGCTGGGATTACAGGCATGCGCCACTAGGCCTAGCTAATTTTTTGTATTTTTAGTAGAGATGGGGTTTCTCCATGTTGGTCAGACTGGTCTTGAACTCCAGCCTCAGGTGACCCACCCACCTTGGCCTCCCAAAGTGCTGGGATTTATAAGCATGAGCCACCATGCCCAGCCTGTAATGTAATTTATAAATACAGTAATGTAATTTATAAATAAAATGTCAACACAGAATACTAATTTCTTGTAGAAAATGTAGAAAATAGGCTGGGTGTGGTGGCTCACGCCTGTAATCCCAGCACTTTCGGAGGCCAAGGCAGGCGGATCACTTGAGGTCAGGAGTTCAAGATCAGCCTGGCTAACATGGTAAAACCCCGTCTCTACTAAAAATACAAAAATTAGCTGGGCGTGGTGGCACATGCCTGTAATCCGAGTTACTCGGGAGGCTGAGGCAGGAGAATTGCTTGAACCGGGAGGCGGAGGTTGCAGTGAACCGAGATCACACCACTGCACTCCAACCTGGGTGACAGAGCAAGACTCCATCTCAAAAGAAGAAAAAGAAAATGTAGAAAATATTTGATTTAAGTGACCTCCTAAAATTTAGAAATACCTAGGAAACATACAACTTCTCAAGATGCAGCAAAATTTACAAAATCATTTTTCAAAGTATCTCGATATAAACAACTCTCAGTTCCAATTTCAACTGGCTTGTCTTTAAAATATGATACTTGATGGCAAAGAATGGGATCTTTTAAGAGTTCTATAGTTTGGATCTATTTGAGAGTGCTGGATTGAACAAATGCAGCCCACAGAATTTAAAATGCAGACACTTGAATGTATAGGATCACCCAAAACAGAGAATTCTGAAGTCTTACGCCAGGGGTTGTTGAAAGGGAAATTCTCTTTTATAGGATTTTTTTCTTTATTCTCGTTTGAAGCAGTGTCTTTGTCTTCCAATGCCCGAGCAAGCATGTAGCTAACTTTTCTTTGATGAGCCAAAGCTTCTTCTTTATCATTAAGCTGCATGCACAGAAATTAAACATGTACAAGTTAGTCAATAAATCACAGAATATATTCAGAGAAAGGAGTATTGTACTATTTTATCAAGTTATTCAACCCTAATATTCATACTGATCTGTCCATCAGTATGAATAAATTAGGTATCACCTGATCCCCAAACATTATACTACATGTTATTCATGAATCTTTTTTTTTTTTTTTTTGAGACGGAGTCTGGCTCTGTCACCCAGGCTGGAGTGCAGTGGCACTATCTCCACTCACTGCAAGCTCTGCCTCCCAGGTTCACACTATTCTCCTGCCTCAGCCTCCCAAGTAGCTGGGACCACAGGTGCCCGCCACCACACCCAGCTAATTTTTTGCATTTTTTAGTAGAGACGGGGTTTCACTGTGTTTGCCAGGATGGTCTGAATCTCCTGACCTTGTGATCAGCCCACCTTGGCCTCCCAAAGTGCTGGGATTACAGGCGTGAGCCACCGTGCCCGGCCAATTCTTTTTTTTTTTAAGACAGGGTCTGGCTCTGTTGCCCAGGCTGGAATGCAGTGATGCCATCTTGGCTCACTGCAGCCTCTGCCTCCCAGGCTCAAGTGATTCTTGGGCCTCACCCTCCCGAGTAGAGTAGCTGGGACTATAGGCGTGCACCACCACACCTTGCTAATTTTTGTAGGCTGGTCTCGAACTCCTGGCCTCAAGTGATCCACTCGCCTCGGCCTCCCAAAGTGCTGGAATTACAGATGTGTGCCACCATGCCAGGCTGACAATTTTTTTTTTTTTTTGAGACAGAGTCTCGCTCTGTCACCCAGGTTGGAGTGCAGTTGCATGATCTTGGCTCACTGCAAGCTCCGCTCTCCTGGGTTCACACCATTCTCCTGTCTCAGCCTCCCATGTAGCTAGGGACTACAGGTGCCAGCCACCACACCTGGCTAATTTTTTGTATTTTTAGTAGAGACAGTTTCACCGTGTTAGTCAGGATGGTCTCGATCTCCTGACCTCATGATCCACCCGCCTCGGCTTCCCAAAGTGCTGGGATTACAGGCATGAGCCACTGTGCCCAGCCCCGACGATTATTTTTTAAAAATAATTTTTTAAAAAAAAAAACAGAAGACAGCATTGAAAATTTTGCAAGTCATCTGGAAATGAAGGGAAAATATAGATCTATATGAAGTGTGTATATATAGGTATATAATATCAACATATAAAAAATATATCAACGTGCATATTTATAAAATAATGTTGAAGTTATTTGTATATAAAATTGCTTTCATATATTTGTATGCAAATATATAACAGTCTAGAGATAAGTATGTTCATATAACCTGAGTCTCAGTGTCTTAGTTTAGTCATTCCATGTGGAATGTGGGTAGCAGGACTGTAAAGGATATAATGTGTGAGGAAATGCCTTGAACACTTTAAAAATGCCTCAATAAACAGGCAGACTTGTCACAAACTGTATATATATAAATGTAGATGGCAAAGCTGGCTGGAGTTAACTACAGGAGCCCCCTGTTTTCCAAGATGGAGCCTTTAAACCTGCACAGAAAGAATATGAATGACGAGAAAAGATGAGCTGAGGGAGATAAAGATCATGAAGGTAGAGTCTGGTACTCCAACTGGGAAAAGGACATAGAAGGCAAGTGCAAGTCTAGAGAGATAAAGAGTTGAATTAACAGGAAGCAAATAGATTAGCTTAACCTAGGGGTGTCCAATCTTTTGGCTTCCCTGGGCCACACTGGAAGAAGAAGAATTGTCTTGGGCCACACATAAAATACACTAACACTGGCTGGGCATGGTGGGTCACGCCTGTAATCCCAGCACTTTGGGATGCCGAGGTGGGCAGATCACTTGAGGTCAGGAGTTTGAGACCAGCCTGGCCAACATGGTGAAATCCTGTCTCTACTAAAAACGCACACACAAAATTAGCCAGGCGTGGTGGTGGGCGCCTGCAGTCCCAGCTACTCTAGAGGCTGAGGCAGGAGAATTGCTTGAACCCGGGAGGTGGAGGTTGCAGTGAGCCGAGATCGCGCCGCTGCACTCCAGCCTGGGTGACAGAGACTCTGTCTCAAAAACCAAACAAACAAAAAAACCAAAAAACAAACAAAACAAAAAAATACACTAACACTAATGATAGCTGATGAACTAAAAAAATATATATATATATCAAAAAGATCTCATAATGTTTTAAGAAAGTTTACGAATTTGTGTTGGGCCACATTCAAAGCTGTTCTGGGCTGCATGCTCCCCACGGACCGTGGGTTGGACAAGCTTGGCTTAACCATAACCTGCAAAAAAAAGCAAAGACACTAACCAAATCTATGAGCATCTTAAGGACCTCTTGAGGACTGTCCTGGTCTTCCATCCTCTTAGAACTGTTTTCTGAAGGGAGCATACCCAACAGTCTCTGCCCGAAGGTCTTCTTACTCCTTGGTGATGGAAATCCTAAAATTGAACATGAGAATCCAGCTGAGACATTAAAATATCCTCACTGATATACTTCCAGCAAAAGAGGTAACTTGATCTCTAGGACAAGTGAGTCCAGGAGCACACAGTGGAATGTAGTGAGCAGAGCACAGCCTTCAGAGCCAGGAGCAATGCAGGTGAGAGGCAGCAAGAGTGCCGCCCTGCCATGCGGCACAGCCACCCCTCTGTGCCAGCTGACACACAGGCCACACAAGAACACAGTCCATGTCACTGGATCATCACAGTCTTCAAGAGCAGCCAGAAATGCAGATCTGTCATGACATCTTCCAATTCTAAATGTCAGCCACTAGTCTTATTGTTTGACTACACTAAGCCAACCTAACAAAACATGTCTGCAGGCCACAGGGGGCCTCTGAGCCATGCAAACTCTGCTTCCGAACAGCAAAGACCTGGACTTGAATCCTCATTCAGCCACTTACTAACTGTATGACCTCGGGTGACTTTTCTCAGCTTGATTTCCTCATCTCTAAAATGAGAATAGCATTACCTTCTTCTCAGGGAACTGTGCCATTAAATAATAAATCACACGGGCTGGAGAAGGGGAAGTGAGGAGTTACTGTTTCATGGGACAGGGTCTCTGTAAAGAAAGATGAAAATGTTCTGGAGCTGGATGGTGATGAAGGTTACATTACAATGTGAATATACTTAATACCACTTAAAAACAGTTCAAATGGTAAACTATATATATATATATATATATATATATATATATATATATATATATAATTTTTTTTTTTTTTTAGATGGAGTCTTGTTCTGTCACCCAGGCTGGAGTGCAGTGGCGCAATCTCGGCTCACTGCAAGCTCCGCCTCCCGGGTTCGCGCCATTCTCCTGCCTCAGCCTCCCGAGTAGCTGGGACTACAGGCGCCCGCCACCACGTCCGGCTAATTTTTTTGTATTTTTAGTAGAGATGGGGTTTCACTGTGTTAGCCAGGATGGTCTCGATCTCCTGACCTCATGATTCGCCCCCTCTTGGCCTCCCAAAATGCTGGGATTACAGGCGTGAGCCACCGCGCCCGGCCAACTTTAGATATATTTTACCACCATCACGACAACAACAAAAAATACCACAATTGTCAAAGGCCCTGCTCAGGTATTAGCATAATATTTAATATTTCACGTGCTGACATCATTGATGTCCTTCTTCATCCATTGAAGGAAAGTAATTTGCAGAAGTTATAAAATCTCAGATTGTACAAGGAAAATTTCAAGAATGTTTTTGGAATATTCTCCAAAAGTGGTTTAGTGGGAAACTGAGAGCAGATGAGGGGAGATCCCCTTCCCACCAATCCTGACAGACCACAGTGACGAGGGCGGCCCTGACCCCTTCCACGAGGAGCTGTGGCAAACAGAAGTCAGAGAAACTGACACTTTGATGAGTAGATGAATCTGTGTCCCTATTTTCAGTCTAAAAAAAGAAATAGCTTGGTGTGATGGCTCAAGCTGGTAGTCTGGAGGATTGCTTAAGCCCAGGAGTTTAAGATAAAAAAAAAAAAAAAAAAACCCAAAAGCAAAAATACAAAGAAAGAAAGAAGTATGCCTATAAACTACTTCCGGAAACTTGTCTAAACTGCCATATCAAAAAGAAAGTTGATATTAAGTGTTACTAAACATAAAATAATCTGTATCACCCTGTACCTCTTAAGATTACTGAAATATACTAATAAAATGAATTAAAGTCTTGTCACTGAGAAACTGAGAAAGAACTACTCAAACTTGTATAGATTTATAAAAGCTGTGCGAGATTAATCAATTTTTTTTTTTTTTTTTGAGATGGAGTCTCGCTTTTGTCGCCCAGGCTGGAGTGCAACAGCGCAATCTTGGCTCACCACAACCTCTGCCTCCCGGGTTCAAACATTTCTCCTGCCTCAGCCTCCCGAGTAGCTGGGATTACAGGCTTGTGCCACCACACCCAGCCAATTTTGTATTTTTAGTAGAGACAGGGTTTCTCCATGTTGGTCAGGCTGGTCTCAAATTCCCGACCTCAAGTGATCCACCCACCTCAGCCTCCCAAAGTCCTGAGATTACAGGCGTGCCACTGCACCCGGCCATCAGTTTTTGGTGGTTTTTTTTTTTTGAGACAGGGTCTTGCTCCATCACCCAGGCTGGACTGCAGTGGTGGGATCATGACTCACTGCAGCCTCAGCCTCCCAGGCTCAAGCGATCCTCCCACTTCAGCCTCCCTAGTAGCTGAGACCACAGGTATCTACCACCACACTTGGCTATTTTTTTTTTTTTAATAGAGACAGGGTCTCCCTATGTTGCCCAGCCTGGTCTCAAACTCCTGAGCTCAAGCAATCCTCCTGCCTCAGCCTCCCAAAGCGCTGGGATTACAGGCATGAGCCACTGTGCCCTGCCTATATCAATTATTTAAAATTCTGCCTTCAGTCTCTCTCAGTGCCTTACTGGAACTCAGAGATTGGGAGCTATACCCCTCTGAATTGCATTTTTTGTGGGAATCTTCCTTAGATTTGTCAATAGCTGAATGTGATATTGTAATATAAGAAATATATATTTGGTCTTTGCCCTCAGTTCCTGACATAGAGCTCCTAAAATCCTAGTAGATAGGGGTGTTAGGTGAATCTTTTCTCATAGTTGGTCTTTGACCCCAGTTCCTAACACACAATTCTTAAGACTGTAATTTCCTCAGTGCTAGGAGCATCTGACACAGAGCCCCTAAATCCCTTGGAATTTCCTGGGTAATAGAAGCATCTTTTGTTCTAATGAGGCTCTTGATGGGCTCCTGGATAGCCTCAGGATGGGGGCTGGTTGCCAGGGGAACCAATCTTGTGATTAGAAAGCTGGAACTTTCAGCCCTAGCCCCCAAACTCCAGGGAAGCGAGAGGGGCTGAAGGTTGAGTTGATTACCAATGGCCAATGATGTAATCACCAATGGCCAGTGATGTACCGTGTCCATGTAATGAAGCCTCCATAAAAACCCAAAAGGGTCTGGGGAGCTTCCAGATAGCTGAGCATGTGAGGTTCCTGAGGGGTGGTACGCCAAAGAGAGCATCCCTTCCCACGTGCCTTGCCCTGTCCATCTCTTTATCTGGCTGTTCATCTGCATCCTTTGTAAGATCCTTTATAATAAACTGGTAAACGGAAGTGTTTCCCGGAGTTCTGTGAGGCATCCTAGCAAATCAATGGAGCCTGAGGAGGGCGTCATGGGAGTCCCAATGTACATACAGCCAGTCAGTCAGGAGCAGCAGAGACAACTCTGTGCTTTTGACTGGCATTTGGAGTGCAGGCCATCTTGTGGGACTGAGCCTTTAACTTATGGGATCTGACTCTAACTCCAGGTAGACAGTGTGAGAATTGAGGGAAATGATAGGATACCCAGCTGGTGTGTGGGGAATCCCCCACCCCTAGCATCTGGTGTCAGAAGCGCTGAGCTGAGTGGTAAGTGCTGTGTGAATAGGAAAACACTTTGGTTTCCCCTGTCTCTTACACTGTGGAAGGTAGGAATTATGGAACATCAAATGCACATATTCTCAAGTGCTGAAATGAGTATGAATCTAGCTCTTGAGAAAAATGCAGCTTTGTCTACACTGCACTATCCTAATGGCCAAGCTCCACACAGGGTTGCAGGCCTTGCAGGCAGGTGACAGGGTCTGACAGGCATTCGTAAGATTAAGATTACTTTAACCCTGACTTTCCCCTTCGTCTCTTCTTTTTCCCATCACTTTTCTTTCCACCTCTATCAAAACAAACAAATATTTACAATCTGACTTTCTAAGAAGATCTGCCTTCAATTAGCACAAAACACCAGGGCTGTCCTCAAAGAGGATTTTACAATCCAACTGCTATTAAGGGCTTAGCTGAGAGAGGAGGTGTCTGAGGAAGATTATCTACACATAGCTGTGGTCCGTGGTAGAACCAGGTATTCTTAGTGTTTTCCACTGGTTCCTAAAAGGCTAAATACATGGACCATGTTAGCTTTTTCCCTGGCAAAATCACCTAACCTGGATTGAACATTAAAGTTGTACCTTCAGCTTTTATGAAGAGTTTATTATAGAAAATGACCATATTATCTAAATACATTATTTTGTATTTATTATAAGACATTGTTGGCCAGGTGCAGTGGATCACATCTGTAACCACAGCATTTTGGGAGGCCGAGGAGGGAGGACCGCTTGAGCCCAGGAGTTTGAGACCAGCCTGGGTAACACAGTGAGACCTCATCTCTATAAACAAATACAAAATTTAGCCTGGCATGGTGGCACATGCCTGAAGTCCCAGCTGCTAGGGAGGCTGAGGTGGGAGGATTGCTTGAGCCCATGAGGTAGAGGCTGCAGTGAGTCATGATCACACCACTGCACTCCAGCCTGGGCAACAGGATAAGATGCTGCCTCAAAAAAAAAAAAAAAAAAGCTACTAAAACACTGTCGGGAATTTAGCCATTATATTTTCTCAAAAGTTTCGTGTCAGAAAACATTTTTAGAAATTAATTTCAAGAAAATATGAATGACTTTCTCAGAATAAGTGTTACAAAACATTATATTTTCCTGTTTTGTCCTGGCTTCCATCTAATGAACACTCCAAACATGTAGCTTCTATGATCTGCATTTCCCTACTCTGTAGTTCTGATTTACTGCTTCTATTTCTATCATCCCTCTGCATCACTTCTTACCCTTTTCAGCAAAGAAAAGGGGGAAAGCTTAGTTAATGAAACTAAAATTCACGACAGCTGACTCCTATACTATTAGTAATATATACTGTTTGAAAATAAATATTTCAAACAAAATGGCTATCTACTATAAAGCTTTCATTTTATTATTATTATTATTATTACTATTATTATTATTATTTTGAGACAGAGTCTTGCTCTGTCACCCAGGCTAGAGTACAGTGGCGCAATCTTGGCTCACTGCAACCTCTGCCTTCCAGGTTCAAGCGATTCTCCTGCCTCAGCTTCCCGAGTAGCTGGGATTACAGGTGAGTGCCATCACACCCAGCTAATTTTTGTATTTTTAGTAGAGATGGGGTTTCTCAATGTTGGCCAGGCTGGTCTTGAACTCCTGACCTCAGGTGATCTGCCTGCCTCAGCCTGCCAAAGTGCTGGGATTACAGGCCTGAGCCACCGCACATGGCCAGGTTTCTTTTTTTTTTCTTTTTTTTCTTTTTTTTTTTTTTTTGTTTGAGACAGTCTTGCTCTTTCCCCCAGGCTGGAGTGCAGTAGTGCAATCTTGGCTCACTGCAACCTCCACTTCCCAGGTTCAAGCAATTCTCCTGCCTCAGCCTCCCAAGTAGCTGGGACTACAGGCGCCTGCGACCAAGCCCGGCTAATTTTTGTATTTTTAGTAGAGGCAGGGTTTCACCATGTTGGCCAGGCTGGTCTCAAACTCCTGACCTCAAATGATCCACCCACCTCGGCCTCCCAAAGTGCTGGGATTACAGGCATGAGCCACGACGCCCAGCCAACAGGTTCCATTTTAAATATTTTCTATGATGGTGTTCCCCTAAGATCATTTTAAATATTACAAGATGTGTATTAGTCTTTCTAAATTCACCTGAATATAAGAGATGTTAGAATTATAGATCTGACAGATAAGAAAATATTTAGAAATACAGTCATCCTAGAATTTTTCTACAAAACATTTAAAATTCTTATAAACTTCACTTGATTCTTTCTCAACTGATAAATGGTTTCAAATTATAATTTGACATTTTAAACTGAAGCAATATGAATTCTACAGAATAATACTGATGAATAAAAATTGGTATGAACTACTTAGAGAAACAGATTTCTAAAAAATAACAGCTACTTTGTTCATACTGGAAGATCTACTTCAATTCTCTCATGCTATTTTAATATATTTTTTAATACACAGATATAATAATACTCAATACTGATCATTTTTTTTTTTTTGAGATGGAGTCTCATTCCGTCGCCCAGTGCAGTGGCGCGATCTCAGCTCACTGCAACCTCTGCCTCCTGGGTTCAAGCGATTCTTCTGCCTCAGCCTCCTGAGCAGGTGGTATTACAGGCATGTGCTACCACGCCCGGCTAATTTTTGTGTTTTTAGTAGAGATGGGGTTTTGCCATGTTGGCCAGGCTGTTCTCGAACTCCTGACCTCAGGTGATCCACCCTCCTTGGCCTCTCAAAGTGCTAGGATTACAGGCGTGAGCCACCACACCCAGCCTGGCCATAAATTTTTGATGGGTTCGTGAACCAAAACCTAAACCTAAACTTCTGCTTCATTTTTTCTAAGAATATTTTATTAATTTGTCCAACTTAAGGTTTTTCCTCTATTCCTCAATTTCCTTCTCAAAAGCATACATTTCAATAAAGTTTAATTAGATAGATACATTTAATGTCATGTTTAAGTGACATTTTTCACATTACTTCCTTCTTGGCAGTTTCCTTTTAATCACCTAGCACTTTTATTGTAAAGTTTTTTCACTAAACATGGTCTTATTTAAATGAAACAGAAGAGTACTAGAAAATAAATATTCCTGTTATGTTATGGTTTATGGATTCCAGTAGTTCACCTGCACATGTAATATCCAATGACTCCTTTTTTTCCATAGTTGCTAAGTTTTTAAGTAAACCACAACCATATGTGAAGTTTCAATTATTTTTGCCCACATTGGATTAAGTGTGCTTCATCAACTTGGATTATAAACAAAACAACTAAAATTACACCCACTTATTGCCATTATAATTCATAGTTACCATCCTCTTTAAGGTGCTTCCAATTCATCCATTTTGTTGCTTTTTTATGCATTTTATCCATTTGTGTCAATTGTAGTGCCTGGTCATTTTTTCTCATTAATTGTTGCTCAAATGCAATTCTGAAAGCATCTGCCATCACGTAAGCTTCTTCTTTACTCTTCTGCAAAATTTCCAACTGATTTTGAAAGACAGTTTGGGAGGTGTCAGAGGCAAAACCAGAACAATTCTTGCTGAATGGGGAATCAAATTAACATATGCAATCTCACTGCCTAGCACTGGTTTATTGCCTGTGGTCTGATCTAGTTTATCTGATTACGCTAATTAATGCTTGCTATTTCTGCAGTAGCAACTTACTCTGATCCAGATTATCAGTTTCCCTTGTGGTGCCTGTCAACTGCCTGCTAACCTAACCCCTGGACCTCACTACCCCATGCAGGCCCTGTGTGTGTGTCCTGCTCAAGTCCTGGGACAAAGGGCCCAGCATGAAAGATAAGAGGATACCAAAGGCTGCATTTCAACTCAGCTTTGGGCCATTCCAGACCACACCACTGAAAATAATGATGAATACGACCTTTCAAATACGTCTTATAGATGACCTTGACTTTGATCAATGTAATCTCATGTTTTTCTTTTCTTCTATTTTTTTCTTCTTCTTCTTTTTTTTTTTTCTTTTGATGGAGTCTCGCTCTGTCGCCCAGGCTGGAGTGCAGTGTCGTGATCTCGGCTCACTGCAAGCTCCGCCTCCTGGGTTCAAGCAATTCTCCTGCCTCTGCCTCTCGAGTAGCTGGGACTATAGGCGCATGTTGCCACGCCTGGCTAATTTTTTGTATTTTAGTAGAGATGGGGTTTCACTGTGTTGCCCAGGCTGGTCTCGAACTCCTGAGCTCAGGTAATCCACCCGCCTCGGCCTCCCAAAGTGCTGGTTTACAGGCATGAGCCACTGCGCCCGGTCTTTCTTTTTGTTTTGGAGACAGGGTCTCTCACTCTGTCACCCAGGCTAGAGTGCAGTGATGTGAACACGGCTCACTGTAACTGTGACGTCTTAGGCTCAAGTGATTCTCCCACCTCAGCCTCCCAAAGTGCTGAGATTACAGGTGTAACCCATTGCCCCCTCATGCTTTTCTTAATGAATGGCTACTGTCCAAATGTTGGCTTTCCTATATACTTTAAAGATTTTATTTTGGCTGGGCTCAGTGGCTCACGCCTGTAATCCCAGCACTTTGGGGGGCCAAGGCGGGTGGATCACGAGGTCAGGAGTTCAAGACCAGCCTGGCCAACATAGTGAAACCCCGTCTCTACTAAAAATACAAAAATTAACTGGGAGTGGTGGCAGGCGCCTGTAATCCCAGCTACTCAGGAGCCTGAGGCAGAGAATCACTTGAACCAGGAGGTGGAGGTTGCAGTGAGCCGAGATTGCACCACTACATTCCAGCCTGGGCGACAGAGCAAGAATCCGTCTCAAAAAAAAAAAAAAACCCAAACACTTTAATTTTTTTAAATTTAATTTTGTCCTATTTTATTCTATTTTAAGTTCTAGGATACAGGTGCAGGATGCAGGTTTGTTACCTAGGTAAATGTGTGCCATGGTGGTTTGCCACACCTAAGGACTTTAAATTCCATACCTTCAATAAAGGTAAAACATTTTAGAATTATGGTCCATGTACTACTGTATTTGTAAGTAAAGACCAAATATAATGGCAGCTATCATTTGAATTAATGTCTGGCATGTTCATGGTGCTGTGCTAAACATTTTATGTCTATTTCCTCACAACAATCATCCAAGGTAGTTATTACCCTCCACTTAATATAGTAGGAAAACTAAGACCTACCCCGTCCAAAGCCACACAGCTAGTAAATGGTGGAGCAAAGATGCAAACCTAGGTCTGGCTGGGACAAAGGTTCCTTTCACTGTGCCTTGCTGCTGTTCAAATACATTCCATGCTTATCTCTCCATTAATCAGTGTTGCTGATCCTAGTGATTTTAAGCATAAATGTACATTTTCCTTCTATTATATAGTAATTTTAGGGACATGTATAGATGAGAACATATAAATTTTAGGAATATTAATTATGAACTTAGGCAAATGACTTTAGGTAGCTTCAAATATCATGCCAAGTACTTTTTTTTTTTTTCTTGGAGATGGAGTTTCACTCTTGTTGCCTAGGCTGGAGTGCAGTGGTGTAATCTCGGCTCACTGCAACCTCCGCCTCCCGGATTCAAGCGATTCTCCTGCCTCAGCCTCCCAAGTAGCTAAGATTACAGGTGACCGCCACCATGCCTGGCTAGTAGAGACGTGGTTTTACCATGTTGGCCAGGCTGGTCTTAAACTCCTGACCTCAGGTGATCTGCCTGCCTTAGCCTCCCAAAGTGCTGGGATTACAGGCGTGAGCCACCGCACCCTGCCCCAAGTACTATTAATATTTGTATTTTGGAACCAGGTAAACAAAATCCAGTTGATAAGTTGATGCTATCACATAAAAACTAAGCATAAGTTCCATAGGCAATAACTACTAAAATGAAGTTAATTATTGCAAACATTTCCATTTATTCTACTATTAACAGAGAAACAAAACTAAAGCTTTTGCTGTTGTGATAACGCAATACCTCTTGTTTGAGCTGAAGAAGCAGTTTCCGAGTGGATGCTGCCATTCTGGCACAAGAACAGGGGTTCCCTCCGGGCCCATGACAAAGGCAGGCTCCGAGGACCGCAAGCTTTAAATTGAAAAGCATTGCTCCTGTTATTAAGTGTCACACTGTTTTAGCTGCACACAAACACAGGGGCATTTACACACATACCCATGCACACTACTACTCAGGCATCTGATCCAAAAAAACTGGAAAGGAAAAACAAAATAGAAGAAAGCTGAGACTGGGATCTCAGAATACAAATAGAAATTAACTACAAACGACAAAAAGAATGTCATGACTTGGAACACAAACAAAAGGGAATTTTACCTTCCTTCATCTCACTCTTAAAACCTTTAATCCTGGCGCCACTCTCCTATAGGTCTGAGTCCTTGGCAGGAGTTTAGCCTAACAATATGGTTAACGCTAACATCCACAGCATACCTTTCCTGTAACAGTGTGGCCCTGATGCCCGGCATTCACTACTGCCAGTTTCCTCTAAGCTGAGTCATCTACTCAGAAATGACGAGGGAATTGTAATATATAATGAGAAAAACAGTCATCCCTCCACTCCTAAAAAAAATAAAAAAATACGATTGATTCCTGTGTAAAAGAATAAAACTTCAGCACCATCCAAACTTATGCCAAGGGTGAAGTTAAGCCCTGGAGACTCAGTCAGGTAGCATGTTTGAAATGCTGCTTCTAGATTAGAGAGTAACCCTCTTCCTCGTTGCTCTTGTTCTGTAAATGAGGAGGAGAGACCAGAGACCAGACCTTTCTGCTTCCATCACTGACCTCCGTTACAGATTAGCTGTCTTATCTTCTTATACCTAACTCAGAGCAGATGACTTCGAAAAGAACCCCATGGCTGTTACATCTTCAGTGTGGAATGTTAAATATACCTTCCCCAAAAGAAAACGATCACCTCAACTAATATCTCTGTAACTATGCACTAAACCATACCATCAAAAGATGTTGAAATTCTGTTAAACTTCCCTAAACATTGTCCATACTTCCCTAAACATTGTCCATATAAGCCAGCACAAACTTCTACACTTTAGAACACTGACTTCTTTTTTTTTTTTTTTGAGATGGAGTCTCGCTCTGTCACCCAGGCTGGAGTGCAGTGGCGCGATCTCGGCTCACTGCAAGCTCTGCCTCCTGGGTTCACGCCATTGTCCTGCCTCAGCCTCCCGAGTAGCTGGGACTACAGGCGCCACCACGCCCGGCTAATTTTTTTGTATTTTTAAAGTAGAGACAGAGTTTCACCGTGCTAGCCAGGATGGTCTCGATCTCCTGACCTCGTGATCTGCCCGCCTCAGCCTCCCAAAGTGCTGGGATTACAGGCATGAGCCATCGCACCCGGCCTAAAACACTGACTTCTTTGGAATCTGTGGCTCCTTGGGTGATCCATCCTCAACTTTTGTACTTGAATAAACTCTTTAAACTAGATTCTGGCCAGGCGCGGTGGCTCATGCCTGTAATCCCAGCACTTTGGCAAGCCAAGGCAGGTGGATGATCTGAAGTCAGGAGTTCGAAACCAGCCGGACCAACATGGTGAAATCCCATCTCTACTGAAAATACAAAAATTAGCTGGGTGTGGTGGCTCATGCCTGTAATCCCAGCTACTTGGGAGGCTGAGGTAGGAGAATCACTTGAACCTGGGAGGCAGAGGTTGCAGTGAGCTGAAATCATGCCTTGCACTCCAGCCTGGGCAACAAGAGCAAAACTCTGTCTCAAAAATAAATAAATAATAAACTAGATTCTGATTCCTTTATTTTTATACTTGGTTGACCACTGTAGTTGGAAGAAAAGTAGTATAATAATTTTACTTTTTAAAACTCCACTTTAAAAGCTAACTACAAGTGGGCCAGGCAGGGTGTCTTATGCCTATAATCCCAGCACTTTGGGAGGCCGAGGCAGGTGGATCACCTGAGTTCAGAAGTTCGAGACCAGCCTAACCAACATGGTGAAACCTGTCTCTACTAAAAAATATAAAAATTAGCTGGGCATGGTGGTGGGTGCCTGTAATCCCAGCTACTCGGGAGGCTGAGGCAGGAGAATCGCTTGAACCCGGGAGGCAGAGGTTGCAGTGAACTGAGATTGCACCATTGTACTCCAGCCTGGGCAACAGAGCAAGACTCTGTCTCAAACACAAAGCTAACCACAAATACTTTCCCAACATATTCCAGTATGTACCAATTTCACAGGGGCAATCTACACAACATAGCGTGCCATATATTTTATTTTATTCTTATTTATTTATTTTTGAGACGGAGTCTCGCTCTGTCACATAGGCTGGAGTGCAGTGGTACAATCTCGGCTCCCTGCAACTTCTGCCTCCCAAGTTCAAACTGAGATTTCAGGCATATGCCACCACACCCAGCTAATTTTTTTTTGTATTTTTAGTAGAGATGGGGTTTCACCATGGTGGTCAGGCTGGTCTCGAACTCCTGACCGCAAATGATCCACCTGCCTCGGCATCCCAAAGCGCTGGGATTATAGATGTGAGCCACTGCGGCTGGCCTGTGCCATATTTATTTATTTATTTATTTATTTTTCTGAGACAGAGTTTTGCTCTCGTTGCCCAGGCTAGAGTGCAATGGCGAGATCACAGCTCACCACAACCACTGTCTCCCAGGTTCAAGCAATTCTCCTGCCTCAGCCTCCCAAGTAGCTGGGATTACAGGCATACACCACCACGCCCAGCTAATTTTGTATTTTAGTGGAGACAGGGTTTCTCCGTGTTGGTCAGGCTGGTCTCAAACTCCCAACCTTAGGTGATCCACCTGCCTCAGCCCCCGCAAAGTGCTGGGATTACAGGCGTTAGCCACCGCACCTGGCCCATATATTTTAAAGTTTCATATGGGCTAGGTATGGTGGCTCACGCCTGTAATCCCAGCATTTTGGGAGGCTGAGGCAGGCAGATAGCTTGAGCCCAGGAGTTCAAGACCAGCCTGGGCAACATGAGACCCTGTCTCTACAAAAAATAAAAAAAAAACATTAGCTGGGTATGATAATGGTGTGCACCCGTAGTCCCAGGTACTTGGCTGGGAGGCTGAGGTCAGAGGATCACTTGAGCCCAGGAGGTCTAAGCTGCAGTGAGCCATGATTGTGCCACTGTACTCCAGCCTGAGCTACAGAGTAAGGCCCTGTCTCAAAAACAAAACAAAACAAAAAAATAAATAAAATTAAACTAAAAATAAAGTTTTTTTTTTTTTGAGATGGAGTCCCGCTCTGTCACCAGGCTGGAGTGCAGTGGCACAATCCCGGCTCACTGCAACCTCTGCCTCCCGGGTTCAAGCGATTCTCCTGCCTCAGCCTCCCGAGTAGCTGGGATTACAGGCATACGCCACTACGCCCAGCTAATTTTTGTACTTTTAATAGAGACGGGGTTTCATCATGTTGGCCAGGATGGTCTTGATCTCCTGACCTTGTGATCCGCCCGCCTCGGCCTCCCAAAGTGCTGGGATTACAGGCGTGAGCCACCGCGCCCGGCCCCTGTTGCTGTACTTTCACATGGATGAGCTGACATAAAATACAATCCTTTTTAAGAGGCTTTTCAGAGAGGAAAATTCCACTGCCTCCCTTAGTGTAAAGGCCATTTCGGAACATTCTTTCTCACATCAGTGATAACCGTGAAGCACGGAGTGAGCTTTCAGTTGAGCTGAATGTACAAATGGTGGATCTGTGGCAGAAAGGTCTTTTCCCTTTTCATTTTCCTACTCCTGATAATCTCCCATGCCTAGGTTGCCAAAAGCAACTAAGACCTGGGAAGGGCCAATATCAATCACAACGGGTTGCGGCCAGGACCCCTGACTCCCGGTGCTACTTCCTCACCTCAGTGCTCCCTCACCAGCTGTGTCGGGGCCCTTGTTCCTGCCTGGCTGGAGGTAAGGCTGGCCCATAGTCTACTCGAGACTATCATAAAACACCCTGTCCCTAAACTTTCTTTAAGCTGTTTCTTGCATTTTTCCTTTTTGCTATTATACTAGTTTTCCACCCATGGCAGTAGAACATGGTGCTCAAAAGCACAGACTCTAAGCTCTGTCTACAGGCTGCAAATCCCAGCTCCACCACGCACTAGCTGTGTGACACCAGGCAAATTACCTAACCCCGCAATGCCTCTGTTACCTCATTTGTGAAGTGGGGATTTTAACAGTACCCACTTTATGGGGTAGTTGTGTAGACTAAATATGTCAATGTATGTAAAGTTCTTAGAACATCATCTGAACTTGCTCAGGACTATGCAGGTATTTGCTATTATTATTACCAATTTTTCTTAAGTTCTTTCTTTCTTTTTTTTTTTTTTTTGAGACGGAGTCTCGCTCTTTCGCCCAGGCCAGACTGCAGTGGCGCGATCTCGGCTCACTGCAAGCTCCGCCTCCTGGGTTCACGCCATTCTCCTGCCTCAGCCTCCCAAGTAGCTGGGACTACAGGCGCCCGCCACCGCGCCTGGCTAATTTTTTGTATTTTTAGTAGAGACAGGGTTTCACCATGTTAGCCAGGATGGTCTCGATCTCCTGACCTTGTGATCCGCCCGCCTCGGCTTCCCAAAGCGCTGGGATTACAGGCGTGAGCCACCGTGCCCGGCCTTCTTAAGTTCTACAAGAAGTGCATGGCTGCCCCCTATCACTCTACTGCTCCATTATTTTTTTGTGAGGCCCCTTCTGACCTCATTAGCCAAACTCCCACATTGCCAGCCATTGGCATTGCACCAGCAGATTTTTGTTCTGAACCTGGCTTTACCACAGATTGACCTTGCCACCTCAGGAAAGTAACTGAACTAATTTGAGCCTTAGTTTCCTCTTCTCTAAAATGGGGATAATATCTGCTTTGCAGCCCTCACAAGACTCCGATGAAGATCAGATACAACAATTTGTATGAAAGCACTCAAACGGTAAGCCCCGACCCACATGTGAGACATTACCCAACACAGCTTCCGCTAGAACTGTAAAGATGAGAAATAAACGGGGCAGAAGTGGCCAGCACATTCCCTCATGTCCAAGAATGTCCTGTATGAAGGGCATGGAACCAGCAGAACTGGAAGAACCAACCTGGGCCCAGGGGCGTCTCTCACTCCCATCCTCAAATTGCTAAGTATGTGCTATCCTACAATGTGTACACAAGGGCAATGGGAGAAAGAAAGGAAAGTAGCAAATGTCCCTTCTGTTCAGCTTTCCTGCATGCTTACCTACCTCAAGACCTGAAGCCTCTGCAAAGCCACTTTTATCACAGCACATGTTTTCCTGAGCCATCTTCTGCTGTTTGATATCAAGCATGGCGAGGGCCTCCAAATACCGTTGATTCAAAACTAGGAAGGGCCATATGAGAAAGTATTCATTATGAAGCCTAACTCCACCCTCATCCAATCTAGTTACCCCAACATGACATATTCATTTCGTACAAGCAATACACTACCCACAACATCGGGCTCCATTCAGAAAACCTATCTGATAGAATAGTGAGTATCACGTAAGATCATATATATGTAATACTAGATGAGATGGTGTCATTTTTAATGGAAAAGCATCTTAACTTTGCAACTGAAGTCGGATTCCTGTTTCCTCTTGGAAAATTTGTAGGATTTTTCCAAAAGGGAATATGTAAAAGCAAATTATTCAGAGACTTTATGGTTAGTGAGAAAACTGGATGGTGAGATCTCATATATTGTATCCATATCAAACATACCAGCTATCCAAGCTCTATCAGGTTTTTGTATTAGGAGTTTTCACAAGAAGATCTCAAACCAAACATTTAGAGAGGGGTCCTGCTGTCTACTGGAGAGCAGAAAACAGTATCTTTTCCCTGTCACTGCAGGGTAGAGTGGTAGGACAGAAGGGGAGGACTTATGATCATGAGCAGCTTCTGTCCTGAACTTATCTCACACAGGAGACATCTTTATCAGCTGGAGTCCCTGGTGCTGAGAAGCTCCAGCTGTGTGTGCAGATCTCAGCTGGAGGCGTTTATACAACTCAGCTAAGACACAGCATAAAGTGCCGCTCTCAGCCCCAGGGCCTAATTTAGAGCTTTTTTTGTCCTTTTCTTCTTTTTTCCTTTCTTTTCTTCTTTTTTTCCTTCCTTTTCTTTGTGTAAGAGACAGAGTCTTGCTCTGTCACTCAGGCTGGAGTGCAGTGGTCCAATCATAGCTCACTGCAACTTCAAACTCCTGGGCTCCAGGGATCCTCTCACCTTAACCTCCCAATCAGCCAGGAAGTTGCAGTGAGGTGAGATTGCGCCATTGCACTCTAGCCTGGGCGACAGAGCAAGACTCCCTCTCAAAAAAAAAAAAAAAAAACCAGGTGCATGCTACCATGCCTGGCTAATTTTTGTTTATTTTTTGTAGAGGAAGAGTCTCGTTATGTTGCCCAGATTGGTCTCAGACTCCTGGCCTCAAGCAATCCTCTCCCCTTGGCTTTCCATAGCACTGGCCATTACGGGCATGAGCAACAGCGCCTGGCTTGTGATTTGTCCTCTTCAAGCCACCTCTTTAATTTCTGCTAAGAAGGAAGAACTAGCCTCTTCTCTAAATTTTTAGGGCTGGGTGCAGTGGCTCACACCTGTAATCCCAGCACTTTTGGAGGCCAAGGTGGGAGGATTGCTTGAGCCCAGGAGTTGAGCCCTCACAAAGTGAGTCACCCCCATGTCTACAAAAATTTTTTTTTTAATGTTGCACTTTGGGAGGCCAAGGCGAGCAGATCACCTGAGGTCAGGAGTTCAAGACCAGCCTTGTCAACATGGTGAAACCCCGTCTCTACAGAAAGACAAAAATATTAGCTGGGAATGATGGCAGGTGCCTATAATCCCAGCTACGTGGTAGGCCAAGGCGGGAGAATCCTTGAACTCGGGAGGAGGAGGTTGTAGTGAGGTGAGATTGCACCATTGCACTCTAGCCTGGGTGACAGAGTGAGACTCTGTCTCAAAAAAAAAAAAGAAATCTGGGCATGGTGGTGGGTGTCTGCAATCCCAGCTACTCAGGAAGTGGAGGCAGGAGAATCACTTGAACCTGGGAGGCAGAGGTCACAGTGAGCCAAGATTGTGCCACTGCACTCCAGCCTGGGCGACAGAGTGAGATTCTGTCTCAAAATAATAATAATAATAATAATAATATATTTTTTAATTAGCTGGACATGGTGGAACATGCCTGTAGTACCAACAACTTGGGAGGCTGAGGTGGGAGGATCTCTTGAGCCCAGAAAGTGGAGGTTGCAGTGAACTGAGATTGTGTCACTGCACTCCAAACTGGGCAACAGAGCAAGACCCTGTGTGAAAATAAATAAATAAATAAACAAATAAATAAATAAAATATGTAAAAAGTTAACATCAGTTTGGACATGGTGATTCACACCTGTAATCCCAGCACTTTGGGAGGCCAAGGTGGGTGGATCATTTGAGGTCAGGAGTTTGAGACCAGCCTGGTCAACATGGTGAAACCCTGCCTCTACTAAAAATACAAAAATTAGCCAGGTGTGGTGGCAGGCACCTGTAGTCCCAGCTTCTTGGGAGGCTGAGGCAGGAGGATCACCTGAACTGGGAGGTGGAGGTTGCAGTAAGCCAAGATGGCGTCACAGCACTCCAGCCTGGGCAACAGAGTGAGACTCCATCTCAAAAAAAAAAAAAAAAAAAAAAAGGCCAGTCGCGGTGGCTCACACCTGTAATCCCAGCACTTTGGGAGGCTGAGGCGGGCGGATCACGAGGTCAGGAGATTGAGACCATCCTGGCCAACATGGTGAAACCCCTGTCTCTACTAAAAATACAAAAATTAGCTGGGTGTGGTGGCATGCACCTGTAGTCCCAGCTACTCAGGAGGCTGAGGCAGAAGAATTGCTTAAACCCAGGAGGCGGAGGTTGCAGTGAGCTAAGATTGCACCACTGCACTCCAGCCTGGCGATAAAGTGAGACTCTGTCTCAAAAAAAAAAAAAGTTAACATTAAATATCTTATTATCCTTGCATCAACTTTCATCGTAAGGTAGACCATTATATAAGAGATATATAACATATAAATTATATACACACATATATATCATTTCTACTTAGGTTCTTCAAATATCAGGTGCTCTACCATTTTGCTTTAAGTGAAAACTAAATAAAAAGGAGAAAATGGGGAGAAATTGCTTAATAGGTAGGAGATTTTACTTTGGAGTACTGGAACTGTCTGGAACTAGACAGAGGTGGTGGTTAGGCAACTTTGTGAATGCCACTGAATTGTTAACTTATTTTTTCGAGACCGAGTTTCGCTCTGTCACCCAAGCTGCAGTGCAGTGGCACAATCATGGCTCACTGCAGCCTCAACCTCCTGGGCTCCAGCAATCCTCCCACTTCAACCTCCCAAGTAGCTGGGACTACAGGCCAGTGCCACCACATCTGGCTAATTTTGGTTTTTCTGTTGTTGTTGTTGTTTGTTTGTTTGTTTCTAATAGAAACAAGGTTTTGCTATGTTGCCCAGGCTGGTCTCAAACTCCTAAGCTCAAGTGATCCTCCTGCCTTGGCCTCCCAAAGTTCTGGGATTACAGGCATGAGTCACTGTGCCTGGCAAGAATTGTTCACTTTTTTTTTTTTTTTTTTTTTGAGATGGAGTCTCACTCTGTTGTCCAGGCTGGAGTGCAGAGGCACAATCTTGGGTCACTGCAACCTCGGCCTCCAGAGTAAAAGCGATTCACCTGCCTCAGCCTCCTGAGTAGCTGGGACTACAGGTGCGCACCACCATGTCTCGCTAATTTTTGTATTTTTGGTAGAAATGGAGTTTCATTATGTTGGCCAGGCTGGTCTTGAACTCCTGACCTCAGATGATCTGCCCACCTTGGCCTCCCAAAGTGCTGGGATTACAAGAATGAGCTACTGTGCCCAGCCAGGAATTGTTCACTTTTAAATAGTTTTATGTTATGTGAATTTCACCTTGATAAATTTTCTTAAATTTAAAAAACCTAAATGATACATTTCTCCCCTCTATTATACTTAATGTATATTATTTCAAAATACTAGCATGTTATCTTTATTGATACATGTGCTCTTAATACAAAAATCATCATTACCTGCATTGTCAGACTTCAGCATTTTAATTTCTTCTGTTTTCACTTTCAAATTCTCTTTGAGGACTGCATTTTCACAGTTTAGCCTGGAAAAAAGTGGCTTTCAAATAACTAAAACATTAATATTTCCTTGCTGAGCGAGAATATTTTTATTGCCATAATTGGAACACAAAAATCTAAATATAGTTTTTCCTACTTCAAAATAGTCTGGAATTTACACGTATCACAAAAATAAAAACAATTTAAAGGAATGTGGTAAGAATTTTTTTTTTTTTTTTTGAAATGGAGTCTCACTCTGTCGCCCAGGCTGAAGTGCAGTGGCACAATCTCAGCTCACTGCAACCTCCACCTCTTGGGTTCAAGTGATTCTCCTGCCTCAGCCTTCCAAGTAGCTGGGATTACAGGTGTCTGCCACCACACTTGGCTAATTTTTGTATTTTTAGTAGAAACGGGATTTCACCATGTTGGCCAGGCTGGTCTCGAACTCCTGACCTCAAGTGATCAGCCCGCCTCAGCCTCCCAAAGTGCTGGGATTACAGTTGTGAGCCATCATGCCCGGCCAGGATTTTAAACATACCCTTTTTTTTTTTTTTTCTTTTTGAGACGGAGTCTTGCTCTGTTACCTAGGCTGGAGTGCAGTCATGTGATCTCGACTCAGTGCAACCTCCGCCTCCCAGGTTCAAGTGATTCTCCTGCCTCAGCCTCCTGAGTAGCTAGGATTACAGGCGCCCGCCACCACGCCCGGCCAATTTTTGTGTTTTAGTAGAGAAGTGGTTTCATCATGTTGGCTGGGCTGATCTCAAACTCCTGACTTCAAGTGATCTGCCCACCTCGGCCTCCCAAAGTGCTGGGATTACAGGCGTGAGCCACTGCGCCTGGACTAAACATACTCTTAACCCTTCTTAGCTGAGACATAATCAGAACCAGAAATATTTTTAAACCATCCATTTTGCATACTCATTCTCTTTACTTAATAACCATTTGAATTTCAACTATATGCTTAGGTCACCTTCAGAAACTTACATACACAGGTCCTCATGTAAACTATGGACTTCGGGTAATAATGATGTATCAACATTGGTTATAAAAAATGTACCACTCTGGTGGGGGATGTTGTCAGTGGGGGAGGCTGTGTATATGGGAAATCTCCGTACCTTCTGATCAATTTTGTTGTGAATCTACAACTGCTCTAAAAAAAAAAAAACCAACAAAGTATTTCATGGAAAAAAAAGATACATAGGGTACACCCATGTTCATAGCAGCATCATGCAAAATAGCCAAAAGGTAGAGTTAACTCAAGTGTCCATCAGGAATGAATGGATAAACAAAATGGCGTACATACATAACATGGAATATTATTCAGTCTTTCTGGTTTTTTTTTCTTTTTGGATACAAGGTCTCGCTCTGTCATCAAAGCTAGAGTACAGTGGCCCAGTCTCAGGTCCCTGTAGCCTCTACCTCCTGGGTTCAAGCGATTCTCCTGCCTCAGTCTCCTGAGTAGCTGGGATACAGGTGTGTGCCACCACGCCCAGTTAATTTTTGTATTTTTGGTAGAGACAGGGTTTCGCCACATTAGCCAGGTTGGTCTAGAACTCCTGGCCTCAAGTGATCCACCTGCCTCAGCCTCCCAAAATGCTGGGATTATGTAGAGAGCCGAAAGCCAGAGGATCGTGACCAACTTAGCATTCCACTGAGGCTATATGATCAAACAGCAAACTGTTTATCATGAATGCAGGATGTAGGCAAACTCACATCTGCACCTGCCGCCAGAAGGTTTGCTGAGGGCAGTCACTCTCTGGCGCCGTGCTCCTTGAGGTTATCTACTGGAACATCTGGAGACTACTGTTCAGAGAATGCAGTTGTGCAAGCCTGCACCGAGTCAAGCAGCTGACTGACAACCACCTCCTCCCTATCTCCTTTACTCAATAAA
The DNA here is from genome assembly GCF_000001405.40 of Homo sapiens. Classification (NCBI taxonomy): domain Eukaryota; kingdom Metazoa; phylum Chordata; class Mammalia; order Primates; family Hominidae; genus Homo; species Homo sapiens. Next base: position 69,305,774 of record NC_000005.10, read on the forward strand.
TACGAAGGGTGCTAAAAGCTCAGGACCCTTGTTCACTGGAGCAAGGAGCCCCCTGACCCCTTCTTCCAAATATACTCTTTTGTCTTTATTTTTATTCCCACGTTCGTCTCCCTTTGTTCAGTCCAACAGGGATTGGGGCCACGATAGGATTGTGTGAGCCACCATACCCAACTGAAATGACTGACTTTATAGTAAGTGTATAATTTAAAGTTATTAAATAAACTCACACAAATAAAAGTTGTTCCAAAGATATTTTTTCTCTTTTTGGAGCTGATTGTCAGAACATAAACATTTACCATCTTAACCATCTTATTTTTCATCTTTTTTTTTTTTAACAAGATGAGGATCTTGCTATGTCATCTAGGCTGGTTTTGAACTCCTGAACCAAAGCAGTCCTCCCACCTCAGGCTCCCAAAGTGCTGAAATTACAGGTGTGAGCCATCATGCCCAGCCCCTCAAAAGATTTTGTTTGAAAAAAACAAATAGTTCCAATTCTAAAATAATTCTTACACTGTATTTTAAGATAGAGTTTATACTATTTTGGTTTTTGTTTTTTTGTTTTGTTTTATTTTTGAGACACGGACTCACTCTATCATCCAGGCTGAAGTGCAGTGGCGCAATCATGGCTCACTGCAGCCTCCAACTCCCAGGCCCAAGTGATCTTCACACCTCAGCTTCCCATGTAGCTGGGGCTACAGGTGCAAGCCACCACACCCAGTTACTTTTTGTATTTTTGTAGAGATAGGGTTTCAACATGTTGCCCAGGCTGGTCTCAAATTCCTGGACTCAAGTGATCCTCAGATCCAAGTGCCAAAGATTCCCAAAAGTGCTGGGATTAAAGGTGTGAGACACCACACCCAGCCTATGCTATTTTTTTTCTTTAAGGAAAATTAACACTAACAAAAATATGCGACTAGTAAGTGGATAAGCAATAAAAATTTTGTAATATTTTGCACTTGGCTCAAAGAAGAAAGCATAAATTACTTTTGAATTACATAGATTTTAAAGGTTGTCAAAGAAAAATAATGGAGTAATATACAAACCTGTCATATTTTTGGATCCAAGATTCCTCTATATTTTTAAATCTATTATGATCAAATTCTATTTCCCACTGCAAGGCATTTATTTCCTATGGAAAGAAAATAGTACCTTCATGGCAAATTACTACAAATAAATCATTTCAGGACATTGTGAATAGCTGAAATAAATCATATAATCAGTTCTCAGAAATGGTTTAAAGAGAAAAAATTAATTATTGCTCTAAAAGTATCTCTGACATTTGCAAACACATATAACATGCCTCTTTAGCATTCAAAACAACTCTGCCAAAACTCACTTAATATAGAAAAAATTTCAAATTGTTTGCCTTCAAAATTTGCTGGGCTGCTACACCTAGATTTCTCAGTGCCCACCTCCGCTGCATGTAGAGACCTCAAGCAAAATCCACTCCTGGAAATCTTAACTCAATGGTCCCATCAAGGGAGAACACACCAAGCACAGGAGACATGACCATCTAGGATGATTCCTAACTACCTTTATAGTGAAGATGAGATGGTCAGAAAGACGTACGTCCTGCCAGGCAACGATAAGGATTTAAAAAAAAAAATTTTTTTTAAGAAGAAAAATGGGCTGGGCACGGTGTCTCACGCCTGTAATCCCAGCACTTTGGGAGGCCAAGGTGGGTGGATTACAAGGTCAGGAGATCGAGACCATTCTGGTTAACATGGTGAAATCCTGTCTCTACTAAAAATACAAAAAATTGGCTGGGCGTGGTGGCGGGCACCTGTAATCCCAGCTACTTGGGAGCCTGAGGCAGGAGAATGGCGTGAACCCGGGAGGCAGAGCTCGCAGTGAGTAGAGATCGCGCCACTGCACTCCAGCCTGGGCGACAGAGCAGGACTCCATCTCAAAAAAAAAAAAAAAGAAGAAGAAATGAGAAGTACCAATTTGGCAGGCCTCCTACTACCTTAACATGGGGAAATAAAAATAACCTGAATTCATTGTGCACATGACAATCTGTTTTAGATTGTAAACTCCAAAAGGGAAGACCATCAGAACTGAAGCACACCTAGCAGAAGGTAGGCACAAGTGACAGATCCATTAGTATGGTGAGTTTAGGGAAATTATATTTAACAGCTTATTGGATTCAATAAGTCTACACTAAAAGCACCAAATACCTTCTCCAAGGATCTGTTTTGTTCCATAGTTTTTTGAAGCACTGCCTGCGTATGACTTGTGGCTTTGCCCAGTATTGCCTAAGAAAAATAAAACTAGCATCAGTATAAATTAAATTTGTAATCACTCCTATGTACATCATGAAGTTCTCTTTTATTTTAAGGCAATGGAAAATTAAGATGAATTGACATAAGAATTTCACAGTGACCACCTTTTATGGAGAGTCTGATAGTTCAAAAGTCAGGAGATCTTGGTTTGGCTCTTTTCCAATGAATGTGGGAATTAATGGATGAATTTTCCACACAAAGAAAGTGTTCAGAACAGTACTATTCATCAGTCAAAAAGTGGAAACCATCTGATACGGTTTGGCTCTGTGTCCCCACCCAAATCTCATTTTGAATTGTACTCTCATAATTACCACATGTTGTGAGAGGACCCGGTGGGAGATAATCTGAATCATGGGGGTGGTTTTCCCCATACTGTTCTCATGGTAGTGAATAAGTCTCAAGAGATCTGTTGATTTTATCAGGGGTTCTGCTTTTGCATCTCTCTCATTTTCTCTTGCTGCTGCCATGTTATAAGTGCCTTTCGCCTCCCACCATGATTCTGAGACCTCCCCAGCCATGTGGAACTGTAAGTCCAATTAAACCTCTTTTTCTTCCCAGTCTTGGGTATGTCTTTATCAGGAGCATAAAAATGGACTAATACAGTAATTTGGTACCAGTAGAGTGGGGCATTGCTGAAAAGATACCCAAAAATGTGGAAGCTACTTTGAAACTGGGTAACAGGCAGAGATTGGGACAGTTTGGAGGGCTCAGAAGAAGACAGGAAAATGTGGGAAAGATTGGAACTTTCTAGAGACTTGTTGAGTGTCTTTCACAAAAACACTGATAATGATATGGACAATGAAATCCAGGCTGAGGCGGTCTCAGATGGAGATGAGGAACTTGTTGGGAACTAGAGTAAAGGTGACTCTTGTTATGTTTTAGCAAAGAGATTTGTGGCATTTTGCCCCTGCCCTAGAGATCTGTGGAACTTTGAACTTGAGAGAGATGATTTAGAGTATCTGGTGGAAGAAATTTCTAAGCAGCAAAGCATTCAAGAGATGGCTTGGGTACTGTTAAAGGCATTCCATTTTAAAAGGGAAGCACAGCATAAAAGTTCAGAAAATTTGCAGCCTGACAATGCAATAGAAAAGAAAATCCCATTTTCTAAGGATAAATTCAAGCTAGCTGCAGATATTTGCATAAGTAATGAGGAGCCAAATGTTAATCCCCAAGATAATGGGGAAAATGTCTCCAGGGCATGTCAGAGACCTTTGCAGCAGCCTCTCTCATCACAGAGCCAGAAGTCTCGGAGGAAAAAATGGTTTCGTGGGCAGGGCCCAGGGTCCCCGTGCTGTGTGCAGTCTAAGGACTTGGTGCCCTGCGTCCCAGCCACTCCAGCGGTGGCTGAAAGGGGCCAAGGTACAGCTCCGTCTGTGAATATAGAGGGTGCAAGCCCCAAGCCTTGGCAGCTTCCACATGATGTTGAGCCTGCAGGTGCACAGAAGTAAAGAATCGGGGTTTGGGAACCTCCACTAGATTTCAGAAGATGTATGGCAATGCCTGGATGTCCAGGCAGAAGTTTCCTGCAGGGATGGGGCTCTCATGGAGAACCGGGGCTAGGGCACTACAGAAGGGAAATGTGGGGTTGGAGCCCCCACACAGAGTCCCTACTACAGCACTGCCTAGTGGAGCTATGAGAAGAGGGCCACCATCCTCCAGACCCCAGAATGGTAGATCCACCCATGGCTTACACTGTGCACCTGGGAAAGCCGCAGACACTCAATGCCAGCCTGTGAAAGCAGCCAGGAGGGAGGCTGTACTCTGCAAAGCCACAGGGGCGGAGCTGCCCAAGGCCATGGGAACCCACCTCTTGCATCAGTATGACCTGGATGTGAGACCTGGAGTCAAAGGAGATCATTTTGGAGCTTTAAAATTTGACTGCCCTGCTGGATTTTGGATTTGCATGAGCCCAGTAACCCCTTTGTTTTGGCCAATTTCTCCCATTTGGAATGGCTATATACCTACATCCCCATTGTATGTAGGAAGTAACTAGCTTGCTTTTGATTTTACCAGCTCATAGGCAGAAGGGACTTGCCTTGTCTCAGATGAGACTTTGGACTGTGGATTTTTGGGTTAATGCTGAAATGATTTCAGACTTTGGGGGACTGTTGGGAAGGCATGATTGGTTTTGAAATGTGAGGACATGAGATTTGGAGGGGCTGGAGTGGAATGATATGGTTTGGCTCTGTGTCCTCACCCAAATCTCATCTTGAATTGTATTCCCATAATTCCCACGTGTTGTGAGAGGGACCCAGTGGGAGATAGTTTGGATCATGGGGGTGGTTCCCCCATACTGTTCTGGTATGTGAATAAGTTTCATGAGATCTGATGGTTTTATCAGAGGTTTCCACTTTTGAATCTTCCTCATTTTCTCTTGCTGCTGCCACGTAGGAACTGCCTTTCACCTCCCACCATGATTCTGAGGCCTTCACAGCCATGTGGAACTGTAAGTCCAATTAAACCTCTTTTTTTCCCCCAGTCTTGGGTATGTCTTTATCAGCAGCATAAAAATGGACTAATACACCACCCAAATGTCCATCAACTGGTGAATGCATAAGCAAAACATGGTGCATCTACACAATGGAGTATTACTTGGCAATAAAAAGGAAGAAAGTACTGATACACGCTACGACATGTATGAACCTCTAAAACATGCTAACTAAAAGAATCTCAATGCAAAAGAATCCAGTCACATATCTTATGATTCTATTTATATTAAATAGAAAAGGCAAATCTACAAACAGAAAATAGATTACTGGGGATAGGGGTGGGAATGAGGAATGACTGCTGATGGGCACCAAGTCCCTTTTCTGGTGTTGGAAATATTCTAAAATTAGATTATAATGATGGTGGTACAACTCTTATATCTAGTAAAAATGAATTGTAGTGTACATTTACATGTGAACTTCAGGATATATAAATTATAAAGCTCTTAAAAATATACATACCTAAAAAAACCCTCAACTATATTAAGTCCTTCTGCCTTGGTTTTAAAAGTTAAAACCATACCAACATTATTATTGGAATGTGTAAATGGTGAAAGTTTAAAAACAACTTCTTACCATGCTTTGAAGAATTTTCAATGCTTCCTCTTTACCTCTGAGTTGTCTTTGAGATGCCTCAAGTTCAGTTTTTAACATTTCTACCTCCTGAGGACAGAAAGAAAATTAGTCTTCCTATCTGCAAGATATGCAACCCTAAAATTATCAGTTTGGCTAGTCTACATTTACCCTTGGCTCAAACCACTTACAAATGTGGCTGAAAATTCTTCTAGACTTAGTGAGTGAACCAGACATACTAAAATTGAAAGCCTCGGCCGGGCAAGGTGGTGTGACCTGTAATCCCTGCATTTTGGGAGGCCAAGGTGGGTGGATCACCTGAGGTCAGGAGTTCACGACCAGCCTGGCTAACATGGTGAAACCCCGTCTCTACTAAACATACAAAAAAATTGCTGGGCGTGGTGGTGCATGCCTGTAATCCTAGCTACTCTGGAGGCTGAGACAGGAGAATCGCTTGAACCCGGGAGGCGGAGGTTGCAGTGAGCCGAGGCTGAGCCACTGCACTCCAGTCTGGGTGACAGCAAGACTCTGTCTCAATTAAAAAAATAAAAAATAGCTGGGCATGGTGGCTCACACCTGTAATCCCAGCTACTCCGGAGGCTGAGGCATGAGAATTGCTTGAACCAGGAAGGTCTCTGAGACAGAGTCTCACTCTGTCACCCAGGCTGGAGTGCAGTGGCGTGGTCTCAGCTCACTGCAACCTCTGCCTCACAGGCTCAAGCAATTCTCCTGCCTCAGCCTCCCGAGTAGCTGGGATTGCAGGCATGTGCCACTACTGCCCAGCTAATTTTTGTATTTTTAGTAGAGACGGAGTTTCACTATATTGGCCAGGCTGGTCTCGAACTCCTGACCTCAAATGATCCACCTGCCTTGGCCTCCCAAAGTGCTGGGATTACAGGCATGAGCCACTGCCCCCAGCCTCAGTTGGCTTTCATGTTGTTTACATACTGAGGTTGTAGTTCCTTATGTAGGGACTCAAGGTGAGGAGGCAGCTGCAGGCCCCAATCCAATGACTAGTGTCCTTATAAATTGAGGGAAATTTGGACCCAGACTCATAGGGAGAAGGCCATGTGACAGGCAGAGGCTGGATTTCTGCAGCTACCAGCCAAGGAACACCAAGGATTGCAGCAAGCATCAGAAGCTAGGAAGAGGCAAAGGACTCTCCTCTAAAGCCTTCAGAGGGAGCACGGCCTGCTGAAACTCTGGTTTCAAACTTCAGCCTCCAGAACTAAAAGCAAACAGATTTCTGCTGTTTTAAGCCACCAGTTTGTGGTACATTGTCTCGGCAGCCAAATACAGTAGCTTTCACGGGAAGAGTCCCAAACACACAGTAAGGTGGGCTTCCTATTTCCCAAAGGACAGACACCCCTCGCAGAAACTGCTATTTCCACCAAGGCAGTGGGCTACTCAGGCCACCTGAGACTCTGGGCTTCTGACTTTAATGAGGTTAAATTAAGTCAGATTGTTTGAAGCCACACATACGGGGAAGGCCGGTGGAAGGAAGTGATAACTTACTTTCTCAAGGAGGAGATAAGAGAAGTGGGGTGGAAAGGAGAACCGGTGGGCATGTTTACATAAGTAGCTTCTTTTAAGAGATGAGGTGGATAAGAAACAGAGGAGGCCAGTTGAAAAAGATGAGCTCTCAAGTTCAGCAAGAATGTCTGGAAAGCCAAAATTTGCCTTCCACACAGATTTGGTACCATTTAAACAAAATATCTATCAATGGACTTTATTCACTTGAGAATTTTTTTTTTGTAATCGAAAGTCTCTTACTGGTCCTGCTTCCATGAGTAGCAGTGACCAGGGGAAAAGGGAGAGGAACCAGCCAGCACAGGGAGGGGTCATCTCCACAACATTCCATTTATATACAGAACTAAACAGACAAGCACAGAGTCACTATTGCAGTTACAAGTCAGCAGCAAGGGAAGAGGGGGAGGAACAGGTGGGGAGTGGGGGTGTTGTTAAAGAAAATACAGGCCCCCCCATAACTGGGGTGCCTGGGGGGAACTTGGTCTTCTTCAACCCAAGAGGAATCAGAAGATCAAAAGCAGTTTCGGAAGGCCAGAACCATCAGGGATGGAGGGAGGAGGAAAATCCAGGGGGTGGGAGGTCTGTTTGGCAACTGGGGTGAAGGGATTGCCCTTCCCCTGCTGGGATTCCCCCAGCCCCTCCTATCTGGCAGGAAGGGGGCAGCCTGCAACCCCCGAGGACAGGTGTGGGGCTGCCAGATGCTCTAGGCAGGTGGCCAGAAGGGGCTCACAAAGGCTTGCCCTCCAGGGAGATGATGGCACTGCCCCCCAGCTTCTCTGCCAGGGTGCAGTGGTCCTTGACCTCCTCATAGTAGTTTGCTTGTAATTCTTGCTTGATTCCTGTCAGCTTCTTGTTGATGGCGTCCTTGGAGCTGGCATTGATCATTTTGCTCTTAAGGGGCACAGACTCAGTGGCCCAGAAGATAAACACCAGGTCCTCCTTCTTGCTCTCTTGGTCTCATAGGTTGCGTCATAGAGGGCGTAGAGGCAATCCTTATCCGGTAGCATCTTGACAAAGGTGGCATAGGGGTTGTCGATGGTCTGGTCCACATTGCCCACCAGTATCTCCTTGCCCTCCCCTTCAGGATGATGTTCTTCTTGTCTTCACTCAGGCGGAAGAGCACCGCCTTCTTGCGCTTCTTCAACTTCTCTGGTGTTGAAGACTTACACAACTTCATGTCGTTGAACACCTTGATGACACCATCAGAGACAGCCACAACAGAGGCCATGTTTCCAGAAGCAAAAAGGAGAGGGCATGGAGAGCTGCAGAAGACGAGAGCACTGCAGCCGCTGCTGGGACCCAGCTAAACTGATAATTTTTATATTAGCCAGAGTACCTACCTCTAAAGTTTCATTAAGACATTGCCTTAATTCTTCATTTGACAATTCTGAATTCGAATCTACTTGGGAGGGAGGAGAAAAGAATCTATTAGGGGAAAAATTTTGAATATTTTAACTAATTAAACATAGGACATTTGTTTACAAATTACCAAATACAGGTATCCCCTAAATTGCAAAGAGAAGAGAATTATAATAGAACACCAGGTGCGGTGGCTCACATCTGTAATCCCAGCACTCTGGGAGGCCGAGGCGGGCAGATCACTTGAGGTCAGGAGTTCAAGGCCAGCCTGGCCAACATGGTAAAACCCTGTCTCTACTAAAAATACAAAAATTAGCTGGGCGTGGTGGTGCCTGCCTGTAGTCCCAGTTACTTGAGAGGCTGAGGCAGGAGAATCACTTGAACCCGGGACATGGAGGTTGCAGTGAGCGGAGATCGTGCCACTGTATTCCAGCCTGGGTGATAGAGTAACTCTGTTTCAAAAAAAAAAAAATTATAACAGACCAAATTATGGTAAAAATAGGAGTGTAAAACATTTCACAAATGAAAAGACATATACTGTACTTTTGAATAAAAAAATTTTTTGAATAGACTCTAAGGCTCGCTTGAGGCCAGGAGTTAGAAACAAGCCTAGGCAACACAGACCTCCGTCTCTACAAAATATAAAATAAAAAATTAGCTAGATGTGGTGATGTGCCGGAGTCCCAGTTACGTGGGAGACTGAGTTGGGAGGATCACTTAAGTCCAGGAGTTCGAGGCTGCAGCGAGCTATGACTGTACCACTATACTCCAGCTTGAGCAACAGAGCAAGACTATCTAAAAAAAACAAAAAAGGACTCTAAAATAAAACTGATGTTAATGAGTTGGTTAATTACTGCATTCAAACAAAAATAAAGAAAAACATGAATATTGGTGAGTAAAATAAATAGATTTTGGTGTTTTGGCTTAAGCTTGAATGATGTAGTGGTATAAATATGTAAGAAATAACTTTGGCCAGGCACAGTGGCTCACACCTGTAATCCCAGCACTTTCGGAGGCCAAGGCGGGTGGATCACTTGAGGTAAGGAGTTCAAGGCCAGCTTGGCCAACATGGTGAAACCCCATCTCTACTAAAAACACAAAAATTAGCTGGGCATGGTGGTGCCTGCCTGTAGTCTCAGCTACTCAAGAGGCTGAGGCAGGAGAATTGCTTGAACCCAGGAGGCGGAGGTTGCAGTGAGCTGAGATTGCACCATTAGACTCCAGCCTGGGAGACAGAGCAAGGCTCTGTCTCGAAAAAATAAAAAAAATAACCTGAAGGCTGGGCACGGTGGCTTACACCTGTAATCCCAGCACTTTGGGAGGCTGAGGCAGGCAGATCACCTGAGGTCAGGAGTTTAAGACCAGCCTGTCTACATGGTGAAACCCTGTCTCTACTAAAAATCCAGCCTAGGTAACAGAGCGAGATTCTGTCTCAAAAAAAAAAAACAAAAAAAAAAACAAAAAAAAAAAAGGCCAGGTGTGGTGGCTCACACCTGTAATCCTAGCACCTTGGGAGGCTGAGGAGGGTGGATCATCTGAGATCAGGAGTTCTAGACCAGCCTGGCCTACATGGTGAAACTCCATCTCTACTAACAAATACAAAAATTAGCCGGGCATGGTGGCGGGCGCCTGTAATCCCTGCTACTCAGGAGGCTGAGGCATGAGAATCGCTTGAACCCGGGAGTCAAAGGTTGCAGTGCACACTGTGATCGCACCATTGCACTCCAGCCTGGGCAACAAGAGCAAAACTCCGTCTCAAAAAAAAAAAAAAAAAAGAAACCAAAAAAAAACCTAAATTTAATTTCTTTCCAAAAAGAATGACTAGAAGAGTCCTGTAACTTCAATTATTTGCTCCTTAATGTGATCAACTGAGAATTTAAATTGAGCTTCCTAAGAGCTTCATTTTCCTTTCTGCCTCAACGGCAGTAAAAAAAAAAAAAAAAAAAAAAATTAAAGTGGCAAGTTATAAGCAAGAGTATAGGAAGTAAAAAAAAAATTTTATTGAGAAGAATGTTTGCTTTGAAAAAATATTTCTCAAAACAACTTTCTTTGCTATTCTGAAATTTCATTAACATGACAGTATCTAAGGCAAAACCTAAATCATGTTTGTACTGTGATTGATGATACAGGCTTCCAAGGAGGGCAGAGTGACTCTGGGTTGGCAGTGACAAGTTCTGTTCTATTAATACTTGTGGTAGGCAGAATATGATGTCCACATGCCAATTCCCAGAAGCTGTGAACACATGGCAAAAGGAACTTTGCAGATGTGATGAGATTAAGGATTTTGAGATGGGAGAGTACTCTGGATTATCCAAGTGAGTCCAGTGTACTCATAAGAGTCCTTATACATGAAAGAGGGAGACGAGAAGGTAAATGTTAGAGTGATATGATGTGAGAAAGACTCAGCCATCGTTGGCTTTGAAGATGGGGAGGGGGCCATGAGCCAAGGAATGCAGTAGCCTCTGGAGCTAGAAAAGGCAAAGGAGTAGAGTCTTCCCACTGAACCTCCAGAAGGAACGCACCCTGCCAACACCCTGGCTTTAGCCCACTGAAATTTATTTGGGACTTTTTTTCCCACAGAGAGAGGGTCTTGCTTTATTGCTCAGGCTGCAGTGCTCCTGCATCAGCTTCTCAAGTAGCTGGGACTACAGGTGCACACTACTACACCTGCTAATTTTTAAACTTTTTTTTGTGGAGTGTGGTCTTTCTATGTTGACCAGGCTGGTGTCGAACTCCTGGCCTCAAGTGATTCTCCCACCTCGGCCTCCCAAAATGCTGGGATTATAGGCATCAGCTACCAGACGTAGCCTGTTTGGGACTTCTGACCTACAGAACTGTAAAATAATAAATTTGTGTTGTTTTAAGCCATTAAATGTGTGGTATTTTGGAAATTATCTATTAGTGATAGGGCCAACTTTAATAAAAAGAAAAGTTCATAACCCAACAAAATGGGAACTCATACTATTACTATTTAAATCTTATTTATACCCCAGTGTTTCTTCATGCTGTTTGTTTGTTTGTTTGAGATGGAGTCTTGCTCTGTTGCCCAGGCTAGAGTGCAGTGGTGTGATCTTGGCTCACTGCAACCTCCGCCTCCCAGGTTCAAGTGATTCTCCTGCCTCAGCCTCCCAAGTAGCTGGGATTACAGGCACCTGCCACCATGCCCAGCTAATTTTTTTGTATTTTTAGTAGAGACGGGGTTTCACCATCTTGGCCAGGCTGGTCTCAAACTCCTGACCTCATGATCCACCCACCCCAGTCTCCCAAAGTGCTGGGATTACAGGCATGAGCCACCGCACCTGGCATCTTCATGTTTTTATAAAGGCATCTTAGCATCATGCTCAGTTTCCAACATTTTGCTTTCAAAACAGTATCCATTCTCTATACACAATAAGGAATTGGAAGAAAAATATAAAAATAATCCCATTCTGATTTCAAGAGGGATGTTGAAGGATGGGGATGAACCCTGAGCTACCACGAGCTACCACGTATTTTTGTAAATCTGAAACCATGTTTCTTAAATCACTCTCATGTTGTTCTAATTTGTGTTTGTTCAACTTTGAGGGGAAGTTTCAGAAGAGGAAGTTTTACAACATAGATTACAAAATATTTAGCCAGATAACAGCTGGTGCCATGGTACAGGCATGGGCTTATCCACAGACTCCCGATCATTTTGGAGTTGTAACATTTTATCAAAATACGATGCTAAATTTTATTATTTCCATAAGGTAAGGTATAATTTCTTTTTGGTTATGATAAATTAAGACTAACTGTTTTGACAATTTTTGAGAGTTTCATGACCTCCTAAAATAACCAGAAGCATCTCTGTTCTTCCTGGAACACTCCTTTCCCAAAGATCCACTGCCTTACTCTCCCCTTCATTCTGGTGCTCAGGCCAAGGTGGGAGGACTGCTTGAGGTCAGGAGTTTGAGACCAGCCTGGGTAACATAGTGAGACCTTGTCTCTAGAATTTTTTTTTTTTTTTTTTTTTTTTTTTGAGACTGAGTCTTGCTCTGTCGCCAGGCTGGAGCGCAGTGGTGCGATCTCGGCTCACTGCAACTTCCGCCTCCCAGGTTCACGTGATTCTCCTGCCTCAGCCTCCTGAGTAGCTGGGATTACAGGTGCACGCCACCATGCCTGGCTAATTTTTGTATTTTTAGTACAGATGGGGTTTCACCATGTTGGTCAGGCTGGTCTGAAACTCCTGACCTCATGATCCACCCGCCTCAGCCTCCCAAAGTGCTGGGATTACAGGCGTGAGCCACAGCACCTGGCCGAAAAAATTTCTTTTAAATTAGCCGGATATGGTGGAACATGCCTGTAGTCTCAGCTACTCAGGAGACTGAGGCAAGAGGATTGCTTAAGCCCAGGACTTTGAGGTTGCAGTGAGCTGTGATCATGCTACTGCACTCCACCTTAGTGACACAGTGAGACTGTCTCTTTTTAAAAAAGAAAAAGGCCAGGCACGGTGGCTCATGCCTGTAATCCCAGCATTTTGGGAGGCTGAGGTGGGCGGATCACTTGAGGTCAGGAGTTTGAAACCAACCTGGCCAACGTGGTGAAACCCCATCTCTACTAAAAATACAAAAAAAAAAAAAAATTAGCCAGGCATGGGGGCGGGCACCTGTAATCCCAGCTACTCAGGAGGCTGAGGCAGTAGAATACCTTGAACCCAGGAGGCGGAGGTTGCAGTGAGCCGAGATTGTGACACTGCACTCTAGCCTGGGCGACAAGAGTGAGACTCCACCTCATAATAAATAAATAAAAATAAAAAATAAAAAGAAAAGTAAAAAGAAAAAAAATGTCACCTCCTTACAGAAGCCTTCCTAACCCTGGCCTGAAATACTAGCACCCCATTCCCCATAATCACTCACTATCCCTTCACTTACCACTGCCCAATGTTACACATCTGTTGATTTGCAGGGTTTTGGTTTTTTTTCTTTTTTTTTTTTTGAGACAAAGTCTTGCTCTGTTGCCCAGGCTGGAGTGCAGTGGTACAATTTTGGCTCCACCTCCCGGGTTCAAGCAATTCTTGTGCCTCGGCCTCCCGAGTAGCTGGGACTACAAGCACGTGCCACCACACCCAGCTAATTTTTATACTTTTAGTAGAGATGGGGTTTTGCCATGTTGGCCAGGCTGGTCTCAAGCTCCTGACCTCAAGTGATCCATCCGCCTCAGCCTCCCAAAGTGCTGGGATTACAGGCATGAGCCACTGTACCCGGCCTGCAGGTTTATTTTCTATCTCCTCTATTAGAATGTGAAATCCATGACATTAGGGCCTTTGTCTATTTTGTTTACTGACATTATTCTCAGAAATTGGACCTGTGCCTGACACCTAATGATGCCCAGTAAATATTTGACTGCAAAAAAAAGTACTTCACAAAAAAGGCAAGGTTGGTAATCATTTATAGATATCATTAATATATTAGATGCATAACTACTGTACTGTACAATATTTAGAAATATAAACATCGACTACTTTTTTTTTTTTTTTTTGAGATGGAGTCTTGCTCTGTCGCCCAGGCTGGAGTGCAGTGGTGCCATTTTGGCTCACTGCAAGCTCCGCCTCCCGGGTTCATGCCATTCTCCTGCCTCAGCCTCCCGAGTAGCTGGGACTACAGGAACCTGCTACCACGCCCGGCTAATTTTTTGTATATTTAGTAGAGACAGGGTTTCACCATGTTGGCCAGGATGGTCTCGATCTCTTGACCTTGTGATCCACCTGCCTCAGCCTCCCAAAGTGCTGGGATTACAGGCGTGAGCCACCACGCCCGGCTATCAACTACTTTTATACTACCACCAATCCCAAGAGATGAATAAAGATAAATTTCTAAAAGCTGGGTGCAGTGGCTCATGCCGGTAATCCCAGCACTTTGGGAGGCCGAGGCAGGCAAATCATTTGAGGTCAGGAGTTTGAGACCAGTCTGGCCAAGATGGTGAAACCTCGCCTCTACTAAAAACACAAAAATTAGCCAGGTGTAGTGGTGCATGCCTGTAATCCCAGCTACTCCAGTGGCTGAGGCAGGAGAATCGCTTGAACCCGGGGGGTGGAGGTTGCAGTGAGCCGAGATCGCGTGCCACTGCACTCCAGCCTGGGTGACAGAGCAAGACTCCGTCCAGAAAAAAAAGAAAATCTAAAATCCAATATGGTTATTTATTTTAGATTTTGGAAGGGTTATAGCTTTGATACTATGCACAGGAGAAAGAAAGGAGAGGAAATTCAGCATTCTTACCAGTGCTACTTTGTCGTCTGTAATTGGAAATTCTGGACACTTGAGGGAATGTATCTTGCTGGCTCTTATGCTTGGAATACTGAAAACTCGCTTCATTTCTTTCTTCTCCCTTTCTCGGAAATGGAGGAGGGCTAAAGTTCTTTCCATCTGATCTTTTTCTAGACCTATGTGAAAATTCTATTTCATAAATCCCACCAGGTTTCCTTCCGAGGCCATACCCTAAATCACCTTCTGTCATGTCATCCTCTTCTGTTTCCCAGAGCTGCACGTCTGACTCACTTGATGATCTTGCCACCTTGCTCATGAGCCAAATGCCGTCTTTATCATAAGAAAAAATGGGCTGTCTGTAGTTAAGAAAAACAGTAGTTAGGAAAACATCAGTAGATCCAGCAACCCCACCTCTCGATATTTACCCAAAACATTTGAAATCAGTATGTCAAAGAGATGTCTACATTCCCATGTTTGCTGTAGCACTGTTCACAATAGCCAAGATATGGAATCAACCTAAGTGTCCATCAAAGATGAACAGGTGAAGAAAATATGGTGTGGGGTGTGTGTGTGTGTGTGTGTGTGCGTGTGCGTGTGTACACAATGAAATACTAGTCAGCCTTGAAAAAGAAGGAAATCCTGTCACTTGGGACATCATGGATGGAACTAGAAAACATTATGCTAAGTGTAATACGCCAGACACAGAAAGACAAATACCACGTTCTTCCTTATGTATAAAATAAAAAACAATCAAACTCAAAGGAGCAGAAAGAAAAATGGTGGTTACCAGAGGCTGGGGGATGGGAGGAATGGGGAAATGATGGTCAAAGGGCACAAAGTCCTAGTTAGACAGGAAGAATAAGGTTTTTTCCTTTGCAATACATTGCACAGCATGGTGAATATAACAAAAATGTATTGAACATTTCAAAATTGCTCATAGAATAAAATTCAAATATTCTCACCACAAAAATGATAAGTATTTGAGATGATGGATATGTTAATCAACTTGATTTAATTATTCCACATTGTATTCATAAATCATAACATCACTTTGTACCTCATAAATATAGGCAGCCATAATCTGTCAATTTTCAATTAAAAAAACAAAAAACCTAACAAACAAAATGAAGAAAACCCATCAGTAAAGTCATGTGTCACCTAATGATGGGAATATATTCTGAGAAATGTGTTGTTAGGCAATTTTGTCGTTGTGTGAACACCATAGAGCATACATACACAAACCTAGATGGTATAGCCTACTATACCCCTGGGCTACATGGTAGAGCCTATAGTTCCTAGTCTACAAACCTGTACAACATGGTATAGCACTGAATACTGTAGGAAATCGTTACACATGGGTCAATATTTGTGTATGTAAACATACCTAAACATAGAAAAGGAACAGTAAAAATACAATAGTATCTTATGGGACCACCACTGTCTATGTGGTCTGTCATTGACTGAAACATAATTTGGTGCATAACTGTATAATAAAGCTGAATTTTTCAGGGAAAAAAGTTTCTTTCTGTATTATACAGGCATGAATATCCTAGCAATGCACTCGCACATAAATGCCCTTGCAATCCAATTATAAGTATTTAACATTTCAGAACTCTTTTTTTTTTCTTTTAGACGGAGCTTCGCTCTTGTTGCCCAGGCTAGAGTGTGGTGGCGCAATCTTGACTCACCACAAACTCCGCCTCCCGGGTTCAAGCGATTATCCTGCCTCAGCCTCCCAAGTAGCTGGGATTACAACCATGCGCCACCATGCCCGGCTAATTTTCTATTTTTTTTTTAGTAGAGACGGGGTTTCTCCATGTTGGTCAAGCTGGTCTCGAACTCCTGACCTCAGGTGATCTGCCTGCCTCGGCCTCCCAAAGTGCTAGGATTACAGGCATGAGCCACCGCGCCCAGCTGGGTTTTTTTTTTCATTTGTTTGTTTGAGAGATGAGGTCTAACCATGTTGCCCAGGCTGGTCTCCAACTCGTGGGCTCAAGTGATTCTCCCAGTTCAGCCTCTGGAGTAGCTCGGATGACAGGAGTGAGGCACCACGTGGGGGTGGGGAGCAGATATACTCTACATTCAATAAATACTTGTTTAGTAACTGAATAAAGGAAGAGAGGAATAAAGAAACAAACTGAAATACAATCATCCCAAGGAATTCAAGGGGAACTGGTTCCAGGACCCCTGTGTATTTCCTTGGATCCTCAAATTCTTAGCCAGGCATGGTGGCTCACACTTGTAATACCAAGGCTTTGGGAGGCTGAGGCTAGAGGATTGCTTGAGCCCAGGAGTTTGAGACCAGCCTGGGCAACACAGTGAGAACCTGTCTCTACAAAAAAAAAATTTTTTTTTTTTGAGACAGTCTTGCTCTGTCGCCCAGGCTGGAGTGCCGTGGCGCAATCTCAGCTCACAGCAACCTCCGCCTCCTGGATTCAAGCAATTCTCCTGCTTCAGCCTCCTGAGTAGCTGGGATTACAGGCACGCGCCACCACACCCGGCTAATTTTTGTATTTTTAGCAGAGACGGGGTTTCACCATGTTGGTCAGGCTGGTCTCAAACTCCTGACCTCATGATACACCCGCCTTGGCCTCCCAAAGTGCTGGGATTACAGGTGTGAGCCACCGCACTGGCCCAAAAATTTTTTTTTAAATTAGCTGGTGGCACACGCCTACTCAGGAGGCTGAGGTGGGAGAATTGCTTGGCTCTGGGAGGTGGAGGCTGCAGTGAGCCATAACTGTGCCTCCACACTCCAGCTTAAGCTACAGAGCAACATTCTATCTCAAAAAATTTTTTGTTCGGCCTGGCGCGGTGGCTCATGCCTGTAATCCCAGCACTTTCAGAGGCCAAGGTGGGCGGATCACTTGAGGTCAGAAGTTCAAGACCAGTCTGGCCAATATGGTGAAACCCCATCTCTACTAAAAATACAAAAAAATTAGCCGGGCATTGTGGCGTGTGCCTGTAATCTCAGCTACTCAGGAGGCTGAGGCAGAAGAATTGCTTGAACCTGGGAGACAGAGGTTGCAGTAAGCCGAGATTGCGCCACTGCACTCTAGCCTGGGCGACAGAGAAAGACTCCATCTCAAAAAAAAAAAAATTTGTTAATTTGTTAATCAAAAAGGTATCATATTTGCATATTATCTAGGCACATCCTCCTGTGTACTTTATATATATTTTCAATTGTCTCTAAATTACGTATAATATCTAATACACTGCCTATACATCACTTCATTCCCGTGGATTTAACCTCGTACTCTGAGTCCTGCAAATTCGTCTTTGTTTTTGGAACACTGTGGATTTTTTTTTCCAAATATTTTCAACCCTGGTTGGTTGAATCAACCAATGTGGAACTCACGGAGCTCCTATCCCACCTCAGGCCACGCACAGCAGGTTTGGTTAGACTGTACTTGCTTTTAGGGCAGAAAAACAAAACCGGCACCCTAGCAGGACTCCACAGCAGATACAGAGGAGTTATGCCTGCCTTTCTTCCCAGCAGAAAACTTCTCCTGGCAAAAATGCCTACAGATCAACTAGTATCACTGAGCCCTCCCCATGTGGAGACCACCCTAGTCACCTACCTGGTGACAGTGAAGCAGCCGGGAGAAGCAGAAATGCTCAACCTTGTGCCTCCAGGACAGAGTGCAGTTAAGAGGGACTTTCACCACCAGGCATTTCAAAACAGCTGCTTTGCTATAGCTATTTAGAAATATTTCATCCTTCTCTCAAGGCTCATTAAAAAAAAAAGTGGGGTGTGGGGGTATAAACATGTCTAACATTTTTCTCTAAATATCCTGCTGTTTAAGTAGTTGCTTCCAAAACTTCGAAAGACATTTAATCTCAGTCTTGCATTTGTTGTGGAGATCTCTCTATTCTTCCACTATTAAACCTTATGTAGACACCAAATAAATCTGACCATGTATTAAGGAATTTCTGTCATTTTTAGGATCAAAATGCCATATATTTTCAATGTTAAAAACAAATACCCTTAAAAGATTTGAACAGATATGTCATCAAAGAAGATACATGGATGGAAAGATGCTCAGCATCATTAGTTATCAGGCAATTATAACTTAAACCCCAGTGAGATTCCACCTCACCGCACTGACAATTCCAAGTGCTGCTGAGGATGTGGAGTAACTGAAACTCTCATACATTGGTGATGTGAGTAAAACATGGTACAACCACTGTGGAAAACAATTTGATAGCTTCTTACAAACATGTGACCTGGCAACTGCATTCTTCAGGATTTACTCAAGAGAAACAGAACCCCATGTCCGTACAAAGATGTGTGCATGAATATTCATACATCACTCAATTTGTCAAAAATTGGAAACAACCCAAGTGTCCATCTGCAGTAAAACAAAGAAACTGTGGTCTGTCCATACAACAGAATATATTTGTCAGTAAAGAACAACGCATTTCTGACATATGCATTACACATGCAATGCATTTCCGATATATGCAATGAATTTCCCAGACATTACGCTAACAAAAAAGCACATACTAGGCCGGATGTGGTGGCTCCCACCTGTAATCCCAGCATTTTGGGAGGCTGAGGTGTGAGAATCACTTGAGGCCAGGAGTTCGAAACCAGCCTGGGCAACATAGCGAGATCCCCATCACTAATTAAAACAATAAATAAATAAACAACAGCACATACTGTATGAAATACTGGGAAAACTAACACACAATGATGGTAAACAAATTAATGGTTGCTTGGCATTGGAGAAATGACCACAAAGGGCATGAGGGAAGTTTTCTGGGGTAATGGAAAACTTCTATATCTTCACCACAGTGGCCACTTATCAAAACTCATTAGGCTGGGTGTGGTGGTTCATGCCTGCATCTCAGCAGTTTGGGAAGCCAAGGTGGGCGGATCACGTGAGGTCAGGAATTCAAGACCTGCCTGGCCAACATGGTGAAACCCCATCTCTACTAAAAAATACAAAAAATTAGCCAGGTGTGGTGGTGCATGCCTGTAGTCCCAGCTACTTGGGAGGCTGAGGCAGGAGAATGGCTTGAACCC
Organism: Homo sapiens; assembly: GCF_000001405.40. Taxonomy (NCBI): domain Eukaryota; kingdom Metazoa; phylum Chordata; class Mammalia; order Primates; family Hominidae; genus Homo; species Homo sapiens. Next base: position 69,325,251 of record NC_000005.10, read on the forward strand.
GGGAGGCAGGGGTTGCAGTGAGCCGAGCTTGCACCACTGCACTACAGCCTGGGCAACAGAGTGAGATTCTGTCTCAAAAAAAAAAAAAAAAAAGATGTAATAATACCTAGCACTTGTTGCCTGCTTTCCATGTGCTAGACAGTTTTAAGTGCCTTAGATTATATTTATTCTTTACAAACACTCTGCAAGAAAATACCATTATTAAGTACGAAAATTAAACTGAAGCAGACAGAGACTGAGTAACACAGTCAACCAGAAGTGGAGATGGATTTTTTTTAAGAGACAGGGTCTCGGGCTGGGCACAGTGGCTCACGTCTGTAATCCCAGCTCTTTGGAAGGTCGAGGTGGGCGGATCACGAGGTCAAGAGTTTAGGACCAGCCTGGCCAACATGGTGAAACCTCATCTCTACTAAAAATACAAAAATTAGCCAGGTGTGGTGGCAGGTGCCTGTAATCCTAGCTATTCGGGAGGCTGAGGCAGGAGAATCACTTGAAACCAGAAGGTGGATGTTGCGGTGAGCCAAGATCGTGTCACTGCACTCCAACCTGGGTGAAAAAGCAAAACCCTCTGTCTCAAAAAAAAAAAAAAAAAAAAAAAAAAGAGAGACAGCATCTCACTCTGTTGCTCATTGCTTAGGCTGAAGTGCAGTGATGGCATCCACAGCTCACTGCAGCCTCGACCTCTTAGGCTCAAGTGATTCTCCCACCTCAGTCTCCAAAGTAGCTGGGACTACAGATGTGTACCACCTTGCCAGGCTAATTTTTAATTCATTTTGTAGAAACAGGGTCTCGGGCCAGCCAGTCTTGAACTTTTGACCTCACGGGATCCTTCCACCTCAGCCTCCCAAAGTCCTGGGATTACAGGCATGAGCTACCACCCCTGGCCCAGAGACAGATTTTTAATCCAGATATCTGATGTCAGAGCCAACACTCTTAGCCACTGTTTTGTATTATTTGGAGAATTTCAATGAAATTAACATCAGAGTATACCAAGTTTCTATTATTTATGACTTCAAATAGAACTTAAAGTAAAAGTCTAAAATATCTAGTTTGAGCAACATCTAACAGATTCTGGATCCACTTTTTCCCAGATTTTTATAAAATCATCTTGGTTCTTTTACAAGATTATTTCCTTAAAAAGGAGATTTACCTATTTTGTCAAGGTAGATAAGAAGATATTTATTGAATCAAAGAATAATCCCTTGAGAGGCTGTGTTTTACCTCTAGTGCAGTAGACTCCTGCTTGTTAAGGGCAACCTCTGGCCTGTGTTAAGAAGGGTGTGGTCAGGATTAGGCAGGCAGCAGAGAAGAAAATGGAATTGGTCAATATAAGGGGGAAAAGCTGTAAAAGGAAAGAGTAAGCAATTGTAGAGTTAGCTAAGAATATTTTTCAATGCACCACATAAATTCAGGCATCATGGGTACGCCTTCCTGCTATTCAGAGTTGAATATAATGAGGTTTTGTTGTTGTTTTGTTTGTTTTTTATCCCTGCCTACTGTTTCTTAAACTTAACTTCAGGCTGGGAATGGTGGCTCATGTCTGTAATCCCTGAACTTTGTGAGGCCAAAGAAGGAGGACTGCTTGAGCCTAGTAGTTCAGACCAGCCTGGGCAACACAGTGAGACCTCATGTCTACAAAAAAAGGAAAAAAAGAAAACTGCTGGGCATGGTGGTGCACACCTGTAGTCCCAAGCTACACGGGAGCCTGAGGTGGGAAGTCAAGGCTGCAGTGAGCTGTGATCACGCCACTGCACTCTAGTCTGGTCAACAGAGCAAGACCCTGTCTCTAAAAATAAATAAAATAAAATGTAACTTCAGGGACTGCTGACTGTATATTCTCCCACTTTTTTTTTTTTTTTTTTGAGACAGCGTCTTGCTCTGTCGCCCAGGCTGGAGTGCCCTGGCGAGATCTCGGCTCACTGCAAGCTCCGCCTCCCGGGTTCATGCCAGTCTCCTGCCTCAGCCTCCTGAGCGGTTGGGACTACAGGTGCCCGCCACCACGCCCGGCTAATTTTTTGTATTTTTAGTAGAGATGGGGTTTCACCGCGTTAGCCAGGATGGTCTCGATCTCCTGACCTCATGATCTGCCTGCCTCGGTCTCCCAAAGTGCTGGGATTACAGGCATGAGCCACCCCGCCTGGCCTATTCTCCCACTTTTTATATGCTGATAGTAAGGTAACATGAAATACCATACAAATTAAACTTCACTTTTGAAACACATTACTTCCAAGAAAGTGAAAATATTTGAAGTCACTAAACTATCCAACCAGTTTAATGTATTCAGGGTTGATGACCAGGGAAGCAGCAGGATGTGTTAACGGAGAAGGCACTGACTCGAGAGGTCTGGGTTCAAATCTCACTTCACCACTTGCCACTTTTTGATCTTGGGTAAGTCATTTAACTTCTTAGAGCCTGTTTTATTTCTTAACAGGGGTTTAAGCATAACTACTTTATTGGGACATTTTTGGGCACCACTGATATATTTGAAATCAACTATGGTAGCCAAATCAATGTTTATTGAATTTGAATACTATTTTCTTCAATTGTCAATTTAGGGGACTAGATTTTTGGTTCTTCAGAGCTCTAAAATTGTTTCTGTATCAGCATTTTCCAAAGTGTGCTCCATGGAACATGTTCTCCAGACTATTAGGTTTTGCTAGGAATAAAAGTGTCCTTTTGGTTTTATTGAGGGCTGGAGTGCAATGGCGCAATCTCAGCTCACTGCAACCTCCGCCTCCCAGGTTGTAGCAATTCTTGTGCCTCAGCCTCCCAGGTAACTGGCATTATAGGCACCTGCCACCATGCCCAGCTAATTTTTGTATTTTAGTAGAGACAAGGTTTCACCATGTTGGCCAGGTTAGTCTCAAACTCCTGACCTCAGGCCATCCGCTCACCTCTGTCTGCCAAAGTGCTGGGATTATAGGCGTGAGCCACCAAGCCTGGACTTTTTTTGTTTTAATTTTTTAAATTAAAATGAGTCTGTATTTATGCCTGTTTTATGTTCAATGCATTCAGCAATTTACTCTACCATTTAATTTCTAATTGGACAAAATTAGAAAATAATAAAATATGTTGAACAATAAAGAAATAGTTAAATCTTGGTTTAACAACTTTATAAAATACTATGTAATTAAACAAAATTAATTAAATAAGTATTAGAGTTATAGTGTATTTAACATAGTTTAAGAATAATCTCCAGCCTGGGCAACAAGAGTGAAACCCCATCTCAAAAAATAAAAATAAAATAAAAATAAAAATAAAAATACTATGTAGTATAGACTAGGCAGCAACATGATAAATGCTCACATATACAAGTGTAAAACATAAAAAGCAGAATTCAAAGTTGTCTGTACTAGAACAAAGATTAGAAGAAAAACAAAAGATAAAAATAAATTAGTAGGATTAGAGTATTTTTCCATATACCATTTTTATAATATTGTATTTTAACAGTACTACAAAATCTAAGAATATCTACAGCTGATTCTGTACTATATGGTAATCTTGAATAGATAAACACAGAGGTTCCTTCATACTTTATACGTTTGACTTTTTTTTTTTTTTGAGATGGAGTCTCGCTTTGTCACCCAGGCTGGAGTGCAGTGGCGCCATCTCACCTCACTGCCAGCTCCGCCTCCTGGGTTCACACCATTCTCCTGCCTCAGCCTCCTGAGTAGCTGGGACTACAGGTGTCCGCCACCACGCCCGGCTAATTTTTTGTATTTTTAGTAGAGATGGAGTTTCACCGTGTTAAGCAGGATGGTCTCAATCTCCTGACCTCATGATCCGCTGGCCTCGGCCTCCCAAAGTGCTGGGATTAGAGGCGTGAGCCACCACGCCCGGCCTACCTTTGACTTTTAAAAGACGACTTGAACCAACATATCAATATATGCTGTCTAAAATAGATGTGTCAACGTTTAGGATTAAAGTATTTATTTTTATATGGACAGAGTCTCAGTCTGTTGACCAGGCTGGAGTGCAGTGACAGCTCACTGCAGCCTCGACCTCTGGGCTCAAGTGACCCTCCCATCTCAGCCTCCCGAGTAGCTGGGACTACAGGCATGTGCCACCACACCTGGCTAATTTTTTTGTTCTTGTAGAAGCTAATTTTTGTATTTTTTGTAGAGACGAGGTCTCCTTATATTGCCCAGGCTGGTCTCAAACTCCTGGGCTCAAGCAATCCTTCTGCCTCGGCCTCCCAAAGTGCTGAGATTACAGGTGTGAGCCACCATGCCCAGCCAGGATTCAAGTCTTTTTTTTTTTTTTTTTTTTTGAGACGGAATTTTGCTCTTGTCACCAAGGCTGGAGTGCAATGGCGTGATCACGGCTCACTGCAACCTCTGCCTCCTGGGTCAAGTGATTCTCCCACCTCAGCCTCCTGAGTAGCTGGGATTACAGGTGCCTGCCACCACACCCAGCTAATTTTTGTATTTTTAGTAGAGATGGGATTTCACCATGTTAGCCAGGCTGGTCTCGGACTCCTGACCTCAGATGATCCACCTGTCTCGGCCTCCCAAAGTGCTGGGATTACAGGCATGAGCCACCGAGCCCAGCTCGGATGTATTTTTTTCTATTCCAGCCCAGGCATACGTGACTTGCCCCAAATACAATGGTAATTAGCAGCAGAGCCAGGACTAGAAACAATATTTCTGGCTCTTTGTCCAGTCCTCTGGCCACTTGGGAAAGGCTGTAGGATGAATAGATTACAGTCTGTTAGCAGTCGTCTCACTTTTCCACTAAAACAACTCTTTAAAAGATGACCAGTGACTTCCTCATAGATAAATCCAAGATCAAGTTTCATTCCTCAGTCTCCTCTACCTTTGCAGGAGCTGTGACACTACTGACTCACTAAGTCCAGGTCCACCTGACTCCTGAAGCCCCTAGAAATAGAAATCTGATCCTCCTCCTTCCCTGACTCATATCTTCTCATATCTGTCCTCTAAGGCTCTTTTTCTTTTTCCTGTCCCTTTTGTAAATGTTTGGCTTCTTTTACTAATCTTAAATACACATCTCCAACTGGATATTCCACCAGCAATCCAAGCACATCTTGCTCAAAAACAAATTCACCGCCGGGCACGGTGGCTCATGCCTGTAATCCCAGCACTTTGGAGGCTGAGGCGGGCGGATCATGAGGTCAGGAGTTCGAGACCAGCCTGGCCAACATAGTGAAACCCTGTCTCTGCTAAAAATACAAAAATTAGCTGGGCACGGTGGTGTGCACCTGTAGTCCCAGCTACTCGGGAGGCTGAGGCAGGAGAATCGCTTGAACCCGGGAGGCAGACATTGCAGTGAGCCGAGATTGCACCACTGCACTCCAGCCTGGGTGACAGAGCAAGACTCCATCTAAAAAAAAAAAATTCACTATCCTCCCAGCCCCCATTCCAGGTCTCCCTCTGAGTCCTCTATTTCTGCAAATGCATCAACTATGCTCCAAAACACTCAGGAGCAAAACTTTGGAATTGTTTTTTCCTCTTTGGTCTTCACATGCCTTCAGTTGCTAGGTCTTCTAGACCCAAAAAAATCTCCCCAAACTATGTCATTCTTTGCACATTAATTTCACTGCCCTGGTGGAACGTCTCTTTAATTCCCCAAGGCTAGCCTGATAATTTCCTAATTGGTCTACTTCAAGCCAACCTACATACTGCTGCCAAGTCAATAATATCCAAGTGCAAACCGAATGATGTCTCTCTCTTGCTGTAAAACATTCCATGGCTCCCATGGCATGTATAATTGTAGTCAATGTCACCCTGTTTTCCTTTTTAAAAAAAATGTAGGCTGGGCACAGTGGCTCACACATGTAATCCGAGCACTTTGGGAGGCTGAGGCGGGCAGATCACCTGAGGTCAGGAGTTTGTGACCAGCCTGGCCAACATGGTGAAACCCCGTCTCTACTAAAAATACAAAAATTAGCCAGGTATGGTGGCGGGCGCCTTTAATCCCAACTACTTGGGAGGCTAAGCAGGAGAATCGCTTGAACTTGGGAGGTGGAGGTTCCAGTGAGCTGAGACAGCACTATTGTCTGTCACCCACGCTGGAGTGCAATGGTGCGATCTCGGCTCACTGCAACCTAGACCTCCTGGGTTCAAGCGATTCTCCTGCCTCAGCCTCCCCAGTAGCGGAGATTACAGGCGCCCACCACCATGCCCGGCTAATATTTGTATTTTTGTAGAGACGGGGTTTCACCATGTTGGCCAGGCTGGTCTAGACCTCCAGACCTCAGGAGATCTGCTCACCGGTCTCCCAAAGTGCTGGAATTACAGGCGTGAGCCACTGCGCCCAGCCGAAACTCCGTTTCAAAAAAATAAAAATAAAAATAATGTATCCAACTGAAGTGTCACCCTGTTTTCTACAACAAAGCTACAGTTTTCACCTCCAGTTTCATCTGGCAGTACTCCCTGGATGTACTCTGCGCTTCCACGTAAGAGGAACTGCACTTGCTCCCAGGGCTCCTCCCTCAGCTCAGCTTGGTCACCTGCAAGCCTCTATTGGTGCCATTCTTCACCCCAGGAATGCTGTTTCTTCTCAGAGCCCCCTCAGTTCAGGACAGCACTCCCTCCAGTAGCCTTCCTGACTCCCTTGGACCAGATGTGATTTCTTCCACATCTGAGTCTTCCCAGTTCTGGGAGGTTTTACTGAATCTTTTTAATAGTGCTTACTTCCTACCTGACCTAGACTGACTGTATATTCCCTTATGCAGAGACTTTGTGTGTCTCGTTTGCTTATGCACAACATGTGTTCCAAAGATATTTGACAGAATCGAAAGAGAAAACCGATTCCTGCCCGGAAACCTTTGGACAGAAGAATCTACATTCAGTAGCCTGACAACTCTGCCTTAGCAAACAAGTTGGTCAAACATGCCTAACTCCATGACAAAGAGGAACTAACTTGAGCCCTCCCTGGTGAACAATGGCCTGCTGCACTTTGCTTTAGGATTTTGTTTCTTAACTTTTCATTTTAGAATAATTTTAGATGTACAGTAAATTGCAAAGATAGTACTAAGAATTCCTGTGTACCTTTTACCCAAATTCCTCTAATGTCAACATTTGTGTACAATTTGTCGAAATTAAGAAATTAACATGGGTACGTGCTATTAACTAAACCACAGCCTTTATTATTTTTTCCACTAATGTCTTTTTCTGTTTCAGGATCCAAACCAGGATACTGGCGCTATAGTTTTATAAGGCTCAAAATTAACAGAAGAGAAAAAAAGTAAAGCAGGTGGAGAGGCAGAGAGAGAAATAGGGTCTCTGAAATCTATTTCTTATTTTTTTCTTATCAGACGAGGCCATTAAACTGGCATTCAGGGAAAAGGATTTGGGCAGTTTGTCCACAACCTGCAGAGTTTCCACGAATCTGCGCATCCCGCCCCTGCCCTGGGTCCTCCCCACTCCCGGTTCCCACCTGCCAGGTCTGACCCCGGGTACCCTCTCAAGGTCCGTGGCGGGGACCGGAGCCCGGACTCCAGCTCAGCGAACAGCACCCTCCTACCGCCCCGGCGCCCCACTCAGCTCGCTCACCTGGCAAGTAGCCTCCTCTCCGTGCGCGTGCGCCGCTGCCGCCGCGCGTCCTCCGGGCCACCACGTGACCGCGTGGGCGCAGTCCCAGACAGGAAACGCCGGTGAGGTCGCCCTGGGCCATGGAGGCAGCTCGCGCTACTTTTTCGCGACCTCACTGTGTTCCTGTGTGCAACCTGATGTTAGCTCTGTCCACCTTCAGCTCCAAAGCCAACCACGGGTAACCAATATGCAAACAATGACATGAGATTTAGAAAAACAACAAGACGGGGCCTGTGTCAATACAGGTAAAATTTGGTGGTTCAAACATTGAGGTTCAGACCGGCGCGGGGTTTCACACCTGTAATCCCAGCTTTTGGGAGGCCAAGGCGGGAGGATCGCTTGAGGCCAGGAATTCGAGACCAGCATGGCCAACATAGTGAGACCCCGCTCTACAAAAAATTTAAAAAGTAGGGCTGGGCGCGGTGGCTCACGCCTGTAATCCCAGCACTTTAGGTGGCCGAGGCGGGTGGATCACGAGGTCAGGAGATTGAGACCATCCTGGCTAACACAGTGAAAACCCTTCTCTACTAAAAATACAAGAAATTAGCCGGGCGTGGTGGCGGGTGCCTGTAGTCCCAGCTGCGCAGGAGGCTGAGGCAGAATGGCGTGAACCCGGGAGGCGGAGCTTGCAGTGAGCCAAGATCGTGCCACTGCACTCCAGCCTGGGCAACAGAACGAGTCTCCGTCTCAAAAAAAAAAAATAATTAAAAAGTAGCGGGTGTGGTGGTGCGTACCTGTAGTCCCAGCTACTCAGGAGGCCGGGAGGCCGTCAGGTGGGAGGATCCCGTGAGCCTGGGAGATCCAGGCTACAGTGACCACTGCACTCCAGCCTGGGCGACGGAGTGGAGACCCTGTCTCAAAAAAGAAACAAACCAAAACCAAAATATTAAGTCTCTAGGAATCCTGTAAGAGAAGGGTAGATCGGGCCAGGTGCGGTGGCTCACGCCTGTTAACCCAGCACTTTGGGAGGCCAAGGTGGGTGGATCACCTGAGGTCAGAAGTTTGAGACCAGCCTGGCCAACATGGTGAAACCCCATCTCCACTAAAATACAAAATTTAGCCGGTCGTCACACGTCCGGAGGCCGAGCCGTCGCGTACCTAGGATGCCGCGTGGAAGCCGAAGCCGCACCTCCCGCATGGCCCCTCCGGCCAGCCAGGCCCCCTCAGATGAGAGCTGCACCCAGGCCAGTACCAGTCGTTCAGCCACCAGCAGCGGCACCCCCATCTGTAGTTGGCTCTTCTGCTGCTGCGCCCCGGCAGCCAGGTCTGATGGCCCAGATGGCAACCACTGCAGCTGGCGTGGCTGTGGGCTCTGCTGTGGGTCACGCCATTACTGGGGCTTTCAGGGGAGGAAGTAATGCTGAGCCTGCGAGGCCTGACATCACTTACCAGGAGCCTCAGGGAACCCAGCCGGCACAGCAGCAGCAGCCTTGCTTCTATGAGATCAGTTTCTGGAGTGTGCCCAGAACCAGGGTGACATCAAGCTCTGTGAGGGTTTCAATGAGGTGCTGAAACAGTGCCGACTTGCAAACGGATTGGCCTAATCAAGAAGTTCAACCTGGAGAGATGGAAAATCAGCTCTCATAACTAAGTTAATTTAGTATAAAAATAGAATTGATAGTGAGGGTATAAAGTGTAACCATGAGTTAAACCTCTCCTGTCATTCCTAGCTTCCTTGCTTCAGAATTGAAATGGAAGGGGGGTGTTCCTACTCTGTAGAATCTGTGACAGGGCAAATGTTTGTGTGGCCTCCTTAAACTAGCTGTTATGATTTTATTCTTTGTGAGTTAATTAGAATAAAGTCATTTTCTTCCAAAAAAAAAATTAGCCGGTCGTGGTGGCAGGTGCCTGTATTCCCAGCTGCTTGGCTGAGGCAGGAGAATCTCTTGAACCCGGCAAGCGGAGTTTGCCGTGAGCCGAGATCGCGCCACTGCACTCCAGCCTGGGTGACAGAGCAAGACTTTGTCTTAAAAAGAGGAGGTGGGGGTGGGAGAGAGAGAGAGAGAGAGAGAGAGAGGGAGAGGGAGGGAGAGAGAGAGAGAGAGAAATCTAAGCTGAGGTTCAGAGGTAGAGGCAGTCATTGAAAAACAGGCTTTTGCGGGCGGGCGGCGTCCACTGCAAGGATGCACTGTCTGGCTCCCTCTGGAGGCGGGAGCACGAAGGAGCGACCACGGAGCCCTTGAGCCTGTGGATGGTGGCCTCGGCGGCCGGCAGGCCATGCTGGAGTATCTGCCAACCTGATGAAGACGAGGACGTCCCACAAGTTCCGGACAGACGTGGCCGCCAAATTAATGAGGAAAGAAAAGGAGTCTTTTTTTTTTTTTTTAAAGACAGAGTTTTTCTCTTGTTGCCAGGCTGCAGTGCAGTGGCGAGATCTCAGCTCACTGCAACCTCTGCCTCCCGGGTTCAAGTGATTCTCCTGCCTTAGCCTCTGGAGTAGCTGAGATTACAGGTCTGCACCACCACGCTCAGCTAATTTTGTATTTTTAGTAGACAGGGGGTTTCTCCATGTTGGTCAGGCTGGTCTCGAACTCCTGACCTCAGGTGATTCGCCCGCCTTGGCCTCCCAAAGTGCCGGGATTACAGGCGTGAGCCACCGTGGCTGACCAAAGGTGTCTTAAGCTTAGAAAAATGATAAAAGATATAAAAGCTGCCTAGGAATGAAACTACTGGGTCATATGAGGCTCCTTCAGGGTGCGCAAAGTCCTGGAAACCAGCATGCAGATAAGGAAAGAAAGAGACCATCAGTCCATGCAGTTGTCAGCTGGCTGGGAGCTGAGGAGAGTCACTTGTGGAGGCACCTGATCTTTGTCCCCCACGTCCCAGACAAGCCCATATCTCACTTTCAGAACTAAGATGCTTGGGAAACCAAGACAAGGAACTGTGTATTGCAAACAGCATTACCCTAGAGAAGAAGTGGCAGGAGATGACCTACAAAAAAATGGAGCAATAGCCTAGAGCAAGAAACAGAACAAAAGAGAACTGAGTCACCTCCTGGAAGGTCACACAAGACAAGCACATATTCAGGGGCCTCCTAACAGACTAGACTTCCAGCATCCTCAGTTGGGGCTAGACACTTTTTACATAGACATTCAATACTAGAGAACTCAGGGACATCTGATTTATACCATGAAATACATACACAGCAGATGTGTGCCTGTGGAGCAGAATTCTGGAAAAGCTCACAGCCCAGAACATAATGCAGACTCCCCCAGCCACAGCACCTTCCAATCCTGAGAAGAGTGCTGATTCTCCATCTGAGCACCCATTCTCCTGCAACATCAGGGGAGAGGAGTTCACCTAAGGATCAGACCAGTATCTCCAAACCCAGCTCCCCACCTCTGCCTGTTGGTGGCACTTGTGGGTGAAGGGGAGATGGTATGAAAAGACTCACAACAGGAGTCACCTGAACAAGGTGGGGCTTGGTGGAAACTGACATTTGTTCCTGTTGGAGGCAAATGTGGAATTTGGCATCTTGCCTTAGCAACAGACACATGAAATTCTCCAGTGCCCAGGACTTTTGACAGTGACTTCAAAGCACAGCTGGGAGACCCATGTGGCCCAGGCTCTACCCAGGCAGGAGCTCAGCTTCACTCACAGCAGGATTCCTAGTGCCAAGAACACCATGGGTGCATAGCAGGTGATCAAAATAATTGTATGTGGCTGAATCAGTGAGAGGTAAGAGAGAGGACTTGAGGCCGGGCACGGTGGCTCATGACTGTAATCCCAGCACTTTGGGAGGCTGAGGTGGGTGAATCACAAGGTCATGAGATCAAGACCATCCTGGCTAACACAGTGAAACCCCATCTCTACTAAAAACACAAAACATTAGTCGGGCGTGGTGGCACGCACCTGTAATCCCAGCTACTCGGGAGGCTGAGGCAAGAGAATCGCTGGAAGTCGGGAGACGGCGGTTGCATTGAGCTGAGACTGCACCACTGCACTCCAGCCTGGGCCACAGTGCGAGACTCCGTCTCAAAAAAAAAAAAAGAGAGAGGACTTGATCCTAGCGGCAAACTAAGAGACCTCATTAAAACCTAACATGTGAGGCCCAGCATGGTGACTCATACCTGTAATCCCAGCACTTTGGGAGGCTGAGGCTGGAAGATTGCTTGAGCCCAGGAGTTCAAGACCAGCCTGGGCAACATAGTAAGACCCTGTCTCTTAAAAAAAATTGGATGAGCATAGTTATAGTCCTAGCTGCTTGGGAGGCTAAGGCAGGAGGACTGCTGGAGCCCAGGAGTTTGAGGTTAGAGTGAGCTATGATTGCACCACTGCAATCCAGCCTGGGCAATGCAGTGAGCCCTGTCTCTCTCTACAAAAATCATATATATATATATAATATATACATAATATATATAATATATACATTATATATATAATATATATTTAGTGTGTGTATGTGTGTGTGATATCAGAAAAAAAAACTATTCATCGTGAAGTAAAAAAGAGCCTGACTTTGGAGGTATATAAGCATGGCATTGGGTTCAAATCAAGCTCTGACAATTACCAAGCTCAGCCTCAGCGTCTCTACCTGTGAAATTGGCTTGATTCAGTACCTACCACACAGGGCTGCTATATGAATTGTTTGTGAAATATTTAGAATGGTGCCTGACACATGGTTCACAGTAAGAAACAACTATTGCTATTATTAAGTGCTTTGCACTTTGGTTTTCACAGAGCTAATGGTTTTCACAGAGCTAACAATTTTTACTGTCTAGCTTTGTGTCTTTGAAAGATTTTTGAGGTCTAAGAATGCCGTTTTAAAACCTCTCAACACTCCTAGAAGAGGTCACACTTTGAGCTTCAATAACTGCCTTTTTTTTTTTTTTTGAGACGGAGTTTCGCTCTTTTGCCCAAGCTGGAGTGAAATGGCGCGATCTCGACCCACTGAATCCTCAGCCCCCTGAATCCTCAGCCCCCTGGGTTCAAGAAATTCTCCTGCCTCAGCCTCCCGAGTAGCTGGGATTACAAGTGCCCGCCACCACGCCCGGCTAATTTTTGTATTTTTAGTAGAAACAGGGTTTCACCATGTTGGCCAGATTGGTCTCAAACTCCTGACCTTAGGTGACCTGCCCGCCTCAGCCTCCCAAATTGGTAGGATTACAGGCATGAGCCACCGTACCCGGCCAATAGCTGGCATTTTTGTCAATTAGTTAACAGTGTGCTTAGAGCAAGTCCCTGTAGAGAGTGTCCACGGGCATGAGCCACAGGGAATACAGTGCGAGGCCTGTGGAGGTAGGAGCTGAGGATGTCAACAGGGAAAGCACAGAGTACCAAAGACAAAAGTCACCCAGGACATTTCTTTGTTAGCTACCTGGTGGCAGCCTGGACACCTGAAGATAGAGTTGAAGACACCTCTAATGCAAGAGGTGGATGCCCCGGAGATGTGGCTGATTCCTCCAGCCCCGCCATCATGCAGCTTCGTGACTTCCTGGAGAGCCTTATATGCAAGCAGAAAAGTCCCAGAATAAAGCAATGTGGATATTGCACACTTTTTTTTTTTTTTTTTTTGAGATGGAATCTCTCTGTGTCACCCAGGCTGGAGTGCAGTGGCTCAATCTCGGCTCACTGCAAGCTCCGCCTCCCAGGTTCACACCATTCTCCTGCCTCAGCCTCCCTAGTAGCTGGGACTACAGGTGCCCGCCACCACGCCCAGCTAATTTTTTGTATTTTTAGTAGAGATGGGGTTTCACCATGTTAGCCAGGATAGTCTTGATCTCCTGACCTTGTAATCCACCCGTCTTGGTCTCCCAAAGTGCTGGGATTACAGGTGTGAGCCACCACGCCTGGCCAATTGCACACATTTTTAAAAGAACTGGAGGGGTGAAGAGTACCAGCTGTCCCTACTGGGCCAGGACTGCCCTGGTTTTAACACTAAATGTCCCACATCCTGATAACCCTCAATCCCACGCAAATCAGGCCAGATGGTCATCTACTTGGAAGTTATCAAAGGAGGTGGGTTTTAGCATCCCTTCCCTTTCCTGTTACATTGAGACCATGGGGTGCTGTTAACTTGATTTTAGTTTCTTCAAAAATGCCAGAAATTTAGCTAATAGGTTTTCCTTATATTTGTTAATTGAATTAGACTATATACAGTCTGCATGTTTACCTTATTTTCCATTATATAATGGCACCAAATATTGCAATAATTTTTTTAAATTAATGTCTTTAGTAATGGATTGCTAGGTGTTGAAATGCTTTAATATATTTATGAAAACATTTGTACAAATAATTTTATCTTCCACATGACATTTAGAAAAGTTTAGTCTGGCTGGGCGTGGTGGCTCACTCATGTAATCCCAGCACCTTGGGAGGCCGAGGTGGGTTGATCACCTGAGGTTAGGAGTTTGAGACCAGCCTGGCCAACATGGTGAAATCCCGTCTCTACTAAAAATACAAAAATTAGCTGGGCCTTGTGGTGCGGACCTGTAGTCCCAGCTACTTGGGAGGCTGAGGCAGGAGAATCACTTGAATCACTCCGGGAGGTGGAGGTTGCAGTGAGACAAGATTGCACCACTGCACTCCAGCCTGAGTGACAGAGTGAGACCCCGTTTCAAAAAAAAAAAAGAGAAGAGAAGAGAAAATAAGAAAATAAAAGGAAAGGTTTAGTCTGAAATTCCATTACTGAAAGTTCTTGGGGTTGGGGGAGGTGGAAGGCAGTATCTTTTTGCTGTTATATTTCTTATACTGCAGTGTCAGTGAAACTACATCATCCTTTGTAAAATCAATAAAATCCCTGATAATTTAAAAAAAAAAAGAACAAAAGAAAAGCAGGCTTTCATTACTGAGAAACCAAGCAGGCATTGTAGGCCAAAGGAATTCCTGGAGCAAAGTCATGGAAGTGGAAACCAACAGGAATGGCCCTGTGGGCTTAGAAAGCTACTACTGGGGACTGTTACCTATTCCTGGTGGTTTTCTGAGATGGGTGCTACCTACCTATAACCCCATGAAAACATGCTGCATCATAACTTCATTACCTTGGTGAAATAATTTTGGTTTTATTTCCTAATATCCTACAACCTTGGAATAACCAAAGGGACGTGGTAGTGGTCAAAAAACTGCTGGGTCTAAAGATCATTCTGCATTAACAACAAAGACAAGTAATAAACACTTTCCTCGCAGTGACAAACCTCTTTATTCTTTCTCTTCTCCAGATCCAGCTCACATTTGCCTTAACCACTTATACCCCAAAAGTAAACATATCTAGGTATACTGGGAAATATACGAGACTTAAAATTGAGGCTCTAAAATTTCTCCTGATTATAAATAAGGTCAATGCTATGTGCACATTAGATGCTCAAGGATTTAAGATTATTTTAAAAGATTAATACATAGGCTGGGTGAAGTGGCTCACGCTTGTAATCCAGCACTTTAGGAGGCCGAGGCAGGTGGATCACAAAGTCAGGAGTTCAAGACCAGCCTAGCCAACACAGTGAAACGCCGTCTCTACTAAAAATACAAAAATTAGCCAGGCGTGGTGGCAGGTGCCTGTAATCCCAGCTACTCAGGAGGCTGAGGCAAAAGAATCGCTTGAACCCAGGAGGTGGAGGTTTCAGTGAGCCGAGATCACACCACTGCACTCCAGCCTGGGTGACAGAGCTAGACTCCGTCTCAAAAAAAAAAAAAAAGATTAATACATTTATAATTTTAAAGTCAGTTTGCCTAGTATCTATTATGGTAGAGTAGGCACATCAAATAGCTTTTGCAAACCAAAAATAATTTTTCTTCACTTAAAACTCTGACATGTATTTAAAACAACAGTCTTCACTCTAAAAATATTTCAAGGCTTACTCCCACCTGTCCCCCTTAAAAAAACTTTAAGATAACCTCTAAGATAACCCTGATTTCTTTGTCAAAACTTTTCCAAAATTTAGAACTGTGGAGGCATGGATATAAAATTTATTTTTGGACCGGGCACGGTGGCTCACACATGTAATCCCAGCACTTTGGGAGGCTGAGACGGACAGATCACCTGAGGTCAGGAGTTCAAGACCAGCCTGACCAACATGGGGAAACCCTGTCTCTACTAAAAACACAAAATTAGCCAGGCATGGTGGTAGGTGCCTGTAATCCCAGCTACTTGAGACGTACTCAAATTGTACATATAGCTTTTAAAGACTTTCGGCATATATTTGTTAAGCAATAGTTTAGCAGCATTGTACATGTATTTTTTGTCTTTTTTTGTTACCTGAGCACATGTTTTTTAAAAATAAATTTTATTTTAATTTTTTTTGAGATGGATTTTCAGTCTTGTTGCCCAGGCTGGAGTGCAACGGCACAATCTCGGCTCACTGCAACCTCTGCCTCTTGGGTTCAAGCAATTCTCCTGCCTCAGCCTCCCGAGTAGCTGGGATTACAGGCATGTGCCACCACGTCTGGCTAATTTTGTGTTTTTAGTAGAGATGGGGTTTCTCCATGTTGGTCAGGCTGGTCTCGAACTCCCGACCTCAGGTGATCTGCCCACCCCGGCCTCCCAAAGTGCTGGGATTACAGGTGTGAGCCACCACACCCAGCCAGTACTGCATTCTTTTTATGGCCAAATAATATTTAGTTTTATGGACATACCACAATTATCTTATACCATTCAGGCCGGGCGTGGTGGCTTACGCCTGTAATCCCAGCACTTTGGGAGGCTGAGGTGGACGGGTCACCTGAGGTCGGGAGTTTGAGACCAGCCTGGCCAACATGGTGAAACCCCATGTCTACTAAAAATACAAAAATTAGCTGGGTGTGGACGAGTGCCTGTAATCCCAGCTACTCAGGAGACTGAGGTGGAAGAATCGCTTGAACCCGGGAGGTGGAGGTTGCAGTGAGACAAGACCGTGCCACTGCACTCCAGCCTGGGTGACAGAGTGAGTCTCCAACTCAAAAAAAAGAATTACACCATTCATCAGTTGATGAACATTTGGATTGTTTCCAATTCTGGGCAATTATGAATAATGCTATAAACAGTCATGGACAAGTTTTTGTATGGGTGTATGTTTTCATTTCTCATGGGTATAGAACTAGGAGTGAAATTGCTGGGCCATATAGTACTCTATATTTAACATTTTGAGGAAATGCCAAGTGGTTTTTCAAAGTGGCTACACCATTTTATATTAACACTAGTTATGTGTAAGGGTTCCAATTTATCCACATCCTCACCAACACCTGTTATTGTTTGTCTTTTTGCTTTTAGTCATTCTAGTGGGTGTGAAACAATCTCTCATGATGGTTTTAATTTGCATTTTTCCTAATGACTAATGATGTTGAGCATCTTTTATGTGCTTATTGGCAATTTGCATATCTTCTTTGAAGAAATGTCCATTAAATTTCATTGTCCATTTTTCAACAGGGTTATTTATCTTTTTATGATTAAGTTATAAGAGTTCTTACTTAATCAGATATAATTTGTTATCTGATTAGAGTTCTAGACTCTAATCAGATATAATTTACAAATATTTTCTACCATTGTGTAGGTTGTCTTTTCACAGTCTTAAGGGTGTCTATTGAACCACAAAAGTTTTTAAATTTTGGTGAAGTCTGATTTATCTATTTTTTTCTTTAGTTGCTTATGCTTTTGGTGTCATACCTAAGAAGGCTTTGCCTCACAAAGGCTGATGAAGGTTTACTCCTATATGTTCTTCTAAGAATGTATTGTTTTAGCTGTTACATTTAGATCTGTGATCCTTTAGAGCTTTAGAGTTACTTTTTGTGTATGTGTGAGGAAAGGATTTATCTTTATTCCTTTTTCTTTCTTTTTTTTTTTTGAGATGGAGTTTTGCTCTGGTTGCCCAGGCTGGAGTGCAGTGGCATACTCATGGCTCGCTGCAACCTCCACCTCCTGTGTTCAAGCGATTCTCCTGCCTCAGCCTCCTGAGTAGCTGGAATTACAGGCATGTGTCACCACGCTTGGCTAATTTTGTATTTTTAGTAGAAATGGGGTTTCTCCATGTTGGTCAGGTTGGTCTTGAACTCCCGACCTCAGGTGATCCGCCCGCCTCAGCCTCCCAAAGTCCTGGGATTACAGGCGTGAGCCACTGCGCCTGGCGTCATCTTTATTCTTTTGTGTGTAGTTATCCAGTTGTTTCAGCACTATTTGTTTAAAAGATTGTTCTTTCATAGCATTAGGAGAAATACCTAATGTAGATGATGGGTTGATGGGTGCAGCAAACCACCATGGCACATGTATACCTATGTAACAAACCTGCACGTTCTGCACATGTATCCCAAAACTTAAAGTATAATTAAAAAAAGAAAAAGACAAACACACAAAAAAACAAAAAACAAAAACAAAACACAACAAACAAAAAAGATTGTTCTTTCTATGTTCAGTTGTCTTGGCAAGCTTATGAAAATTAATTGGTTATAAATATAAGGGCTTATTTTTGGTCTCTCAATCCTATTCCATTAATCTATATGTCTATTCTTATGCCAGTACTACCCTGTCTTAATGTGGCATTAGTAGTAAGTTTGAAAATCAAGAAATGTGAGTCCTGCAACTTTGTTTTGGCAGTTCTGAGTCCCTTGAATTTCCGTATGTATTTTAGGATTAGCTTGTCAGTTTCTACAAGGAAGCCAGCTGGGAATTATGATATGGATTGTGCTAATACTGTACATCAATTGGCAAGTATTGCCATTTTAGCAATGTTAAGTTTTCTGATGCATGAAGATGGGATAGCTTTCTTTTTTGTGTGTGAGATGGAGTCCTGCTCTTTTGCCTACACTGGAGTGCAGTGGTGCGATCTTGGCTCAATGCAATCTCTGCCTCCTGGATTCAAGCAATTCTCCTGCTTCAGCCTCCTGAGTAGGTGGGATTACAGGCATGCACCACCATGCTCAGCTAATTTCTTTTCTTTTTCTTTTTTTCTTTTCTTTTGAGACGGAGTCTCACTGTATTGCCCAGGCTGGAGTGTAGTGGCGCAATCTCGGCTCACTGCAACCTCCACCTCTCAGGTTCAAGCAATACTCCTGCCTCAGCCTCCTGAGTAGCTGGGATTACAGGCATGCACCACCAGGCCCAGCTAATTTTTATATTTTTAGTAGAGACGGGGTTTCACCATGTTGGTCAGGCTGGTCTCGAACTCCTAACCTCGTGATCCACCCACCTCAGCCTCCCAAAGTGCTGGGATTAAAGTCATGAGCCACTGCACCCGGCCGGGTCTTTTTTTTTGAGACACAGTCTCATTCTGTCACCCGGTTGGAGTGCAGTGGGGCAATCTCAGCTCACTGCAACCTCCACCTCGTGGATTCAAGCGATTCTCCTGGATCAGCCTCCCAAGTAGCTGGGATTACAGGCTCCCACCACCACACCCAGATAATTTTTGTATTTTTAGTAGAGATGGGATTTTGCCACGTTGGCCAGGCTGGTCTCGAACTCCTGACCTCAGGTGACCTGCCTGTCTCAGCCTCCCAAAGTGCTGGGATTACAGGCATGAGCCACCATGCCCAGCCTTATTTATTTGTTTATTTTTCAACTTAACAGAATTCATCTTTTTTTTTTTTTTTTTTTGAGATGGAGTCTTGCTCTGTTGCCCAGGCTAGAATGCAGTGGCACAATCTCAGTTTACTGCAACCTCCACCTCTCGGGTTCAAGCAATTCTCCTGCCTCAGCCTCCGGAGTAGCTGAGATTACAGGCGCCTGCCACCATCCCTGGCTGATTTTTGTATTTTTAGTAGAGATGGGGTTTCACCATGTTGGCCAGGCTGGTCTCAAACTCCTGACCTCAGGTGATCTGCCTGTCTTGGCCTCCCGAAGTGCTGGGATTACAGGCATGAGGCACTGTGCTGGGCCAACAGCAATTCATCCTGAATGTAAACTTTTTAATATATGTTGGGAATTATTCCCTTATCTTCTATTTGTTGGGAGAAATTTTAAAATAATTGGTATTGGCTCTTTTTTAAACATTTAATAAAATTCACCAGTGGCTCTCTCTTCTTCCTGCTCTAGCCATGTAAGACGTGCCTGCTTCTCCTTGGCCTTCTACCATGATTATAAGTTCCCTCAGGCCTCCCCAGCCATGCTTCCTATATAGCCTGTGGAACCATGAGCCAATTAAACCTCTTTTCTTTATAAACAATAAAAAAAATCGCCAGGTGTGGTGGCTTACACCTGTAATCCCAGCACTTTGGGAGGCCAAGGTGGGTGGATCACCTGAGGCTGGGAGTTCAAGATAAGTCTGGCCAATAAGGTAAAACCCCGTCTCTACTAAAAATACAAAAAATTAGCTGTGTGTGGTGGTGGGCGCCTGTAATCCCAGCTACTCGGGAGGCTGAAGAAGGAGAATTGCTTGAATCCGGGACGCGGAGGTTGCACTGAGCCAAGATGTCACCATTGCACTCCAGCCTGGGCAACAAGAGTGAAGCTCCATCTAAAAAATAATAATAATAAATAAATTAATTAATTAATTTAAAAAAATCACCAGTGAAGCCATCTGTGCCTGGACCTTTCTGTGTA
This sequence comes from Homo sapiens, assembly GCF_000001405.40. Classification (NCBI taxonomy): domain Eukaryota; kingdom Metazoa; phylum Chordata; class Mammalia; order Primates; family Hominidae; genus Homo; species Homo sapiens. The sequence goes on from NC_000005.10 coordinate 69,345,243, forward strand.
GGAAGTTTTAAAATTACTAATTTATTATATTTTCTTGTTATAGGCCTATTCATAATTTATATTTCTTCTTGAATCAGTTTCAGAAGTTTGTGAATTTCTAGGAATTTGTCCATTTAATATAAATTATCTAATTTGTTGGCATACAGTTGTTTATAGTTTTCCTTTATAATCCATTTGATTTCCGTAGTCAGTAGTGATATCCCCTCCCTTCTCTTTTTTGTTAATCTAGATTAAGGTTTGCCGATTTTGTTGATTTTTTTAAATCAAGTTGTTTTATTATTTTGATAATTCTGTACATATTCTAGATACACACCTGATATCAGATATTCATTTTGCATTTTCTCCAATCTGTGATTTGTGCTTTCATCTTCTTTCTCTTTTTTAAAATTTGTAGAGATGGAGTCTTTCTATGTTGCCCAGGCTGGCATGCAGTAGCTATTTGCAGGCACAGTCATACCTCACTACAACCTTCAACTCCAGGGCTCAAGTGATCCTCCTACCTCAGCCTCCCTAGTAGCTGGGAGTAGTTTGGACTAGGGTGAGCACTGCTGCCCTGGCTCTTTGTGCTTTCATTTTCTTAACATTGTCTTTTGAAGAGAGAAAGAGTTATGAATTTTGCTGAAGTCCCATGTATCAGTCCCTTTATGGTTTGTGCTTTTTGTGTCTTATCAGAAAAATCTTTTTTCTAATCCAAGACACTAAATTTTTTCACTTGTTGAAAGATTATTCTTTCCCCCATTGACTTGCCTTTGGACTTCCATCAAAAATTGCCACAGAGCTCGGTGGCTGTCGCCAGTAACGCTAACACTTTGGGAGACTGAGGCAGGAGGATTCATTGAGCCCAGGAGTTCCCGACCAGGCTGGGCAACGTGGTGAAACCTTGTTTCTACACAAAGTTAAAAAATTAGCCAGGTGTACTGGCGAGCATCTGTAGTTCCAGCTACTTGGAGGCTGAGGTGGGAGGATCACCTGAGCCTGGGGAGATTGAGGCTGCAGTGAGCAAAGAGCATGCCATGGCATTCCAACATGGGTGACAGAGCAAGACCCTGTCTCAAAATAAAAAAATGGCCCATCAACTACTGTCAGCTTCAGGTGGGGGGCGCGGGGGAAAAACTTTAAAAAGAAAACATTTTTAAAAATGTGCCCATATGTGCAGATTTCTTTGCTTTTTTTTTTTTTTTTTTTTTTTTAGACAGGGTCTGTCTGTGTTGCCCAGGCTGGAGTGCAGTTGTGCAATCTCAGCTCACTGCAACCTCAGCTCACTGCAACCTCCACTTCCTGGGTTAAAGCAATTCTCATGCCTCAGCCTCTGGAATAGCTGGGATTACAGATGTGTGCCACCATGCCCGGCTAATTTTTGTATTTTTAGTAGAGAGGAGGTTTCACCATTTTGGCCAGGCCTTTTTTTTTTTGAGACGGAGTCTTGCTCCGTCGCTCAGGCTGGAGTGCAGTGGCGTGATCTTGGCTCACTGCAACCTCCGTCTCCCAGGTTCAAGCAATTTTCCTACCTCAGCCTCCTGAGTAGCTGGGATTATAGGCACCCAGCACCACGCCCAGTTAATTTTTGCATTTTTAGTACAGACAGGGTTTCACCATGTTGGCCAGGCTGGTCTCAAACTCCTGACCTCAGGCACCAGCCTTGGCCTCCCAAAGTGCTGGGATTACAGGCGGGAGCCACCGTGCCTGGCCTTTTTGAAAATTTTAAGATGGTGTCTCACTCTGTCACCCAGGCTGGAGTGTAGTGGTGCGATCTCAGCTCACTGCAACCTCGAGTTCCTGGGTGTAAGCGCTTCTCCCGCTTCAGTCTCCTGAGTAGCTGGGATTACAGGCACATGCCACCACACTCAGCTAATTTTGTTGGTTTTTCTTTTTTCTTTTCTTTTCTTTTTTTTGTGATGCAGCCTCATCTGTTGCCCACGTTGTAGTGCAGTGGCATGAACCACTGGCCTAATTTTTGTATCTTTTGTACAGGCAGGGTTTCACTAGCTACTTGGGAGGCTGAAGTCAGAGGATCACTTGAGCCCAGGAGGTCGAGGCTGCAGTGAGCTATGATGGTGCCACAGCATTCCAGCCTGGGTGACATGGCAAGAGCCTGTCTCAAAAAAAAAAAAGAAAAAAAATTAGTCTACTAAATGTTAAGCTTGCGTACAATTTGTCTTTGGGAATTTACTCAACAGATAAACTTGCTCATATGCATAACGCATATGCATTAGGGAACACAACTTAGTGAGTGAAAGCCTGCCTAAGATAGAACACTGAAGCTAATACTTTTTAGCTATTATCTTGGATAAGCCACTTAACTCTTCTGTGCCTTGGTTCCTGTAATGGAAATAATAATAACATCTACCTCAGAGAGTGGTCATGTGGATAAAGAATTCACTTTTGAAATGTGTTTAGAAGTTTATGTCATAGTAATATATTTACTCTTTATTATTCTTGCATCATTGTAATAGTAAAAAGCTGGAAACAGCCTAAATGTCCATTAGTGAGAGGACTGATTAAATCAAACTTGGCATGTCTTTTTTTTTGAGACAAGTTCTCACTCTGTCCGCCCAGGATGGAGTGCAGTGGCTCAATCACAGCTCACTGCAGCCTCGACCTCCTCAGGCTCAGGTGATCCTCCTGCGTCAGCCTCCTGAGTAGCTGGGACTATAGGTGCATGCCACCACTCTGGGCTATTATTTTATTTTTATTTATTTATTCATTTTTTTGGAGACAGTGTCTCACTCTGTTGCCCAGGCTGGAATGCAGTGGCACAATCTGAGCTCACTCCAACCTCCGCTGCCTGAGTTAAAGCGATTCTCCTGCCTCGGCCTCCGGAGTAGCTGGGATTACAGGCATGCACCACCATGCCTGGCTAGTTTTTGTATTTTTGGTAGAGACGAGATTTCACCATGTTGGCCAGGCTGGTCTCGAACTCCTAATCTCAAGTGATCCACCTGCCTTGGCCTCCTAAAGTGCTGGGATTACAGGCATGAGCCACTATGCCCAGCCTCTTTTTTCTTTTTTTTAAATAGAGACGAGGTCTCACTATGTTGCCCAGGCTGGTCTCGAACTTCTGAGCTCAAGTGATCCTCCCACCTAGGCCTCCCAAAGTGCTGAGATTACAGGAGTGAGCCACCATGCCTGACCTATTTTTTTTTTTTTTGCGACAGAGTGTGGCCCAGCCTGGAGTGCAGAGGCACTATCTCGGCTCACTGCAAGCTCTGCCTCCCGGGTTCATGCCATTCTCCTGCCTCAGCCTCCCGAGTAGCTGGGACTACAGGTGCCTGCCATCACGCCTGGCTAATTTTTTGTATTTTTAGTAGAGACGGGGTTTCACCGTGTTAGCCAGGATGGTCTCAATCTCCTGACTTCGTGATCTGCCTGCCTCGACCTCCCAAAGTGCTGGGATTACAGGCGTGAGCCTCCGCGCCCGGCCTGGCCTATTTACTTAATTAATTAATTTATTTATTTATTTTTAGGAACAGTGTTTCACCATGTCGGCCAGGTTGGTCTCAAACTCCTGGGCTTAAGTCATCCGCCCGCCTTGGCCTCCCAAAGTCCTAGGATTACAAGTGTGAGCCACAGTGCCTGGGTACTTGGCATATCATTAATGGCTTTTTTTTTTTTTTTTTTTTTTTGAGATGGGAGTTTCACTCTTATTGCCCAGGATGGAGTGCAATGGTGCAATCTCGGCTCATTGCAACCTCCACCTCCTCGGTTCAAGCGATTCTCCTGCCTCAGCCTCTCAAGTAGCTGAGATTACAGGCACCCACCACCACGCCCGGCTAATTTTTGTATTTTAGTAGAAACAAGGATTCACCATGTTGGTTAGGCTGGTCTCAAACTCCTGACCTCAGGTGATCCACCCACCTCGGCCTCCCAAAGTGTTGGGATTACAGGCATGAGCCACTGGGCCTAGCCTCATTAATGCCATTTTATGCAAACATTAAAAAGATGAGGGATCCAAAGAAGATAAACCAATAGGCACATGAAAAGATGCTCATCATAAATCATTAGAGAAATGTAAATCAAAACCAAAATGTGATATACTACTCACCCACTAGTATAGTTATAATAAAAAAGATGGGAGTTGCCAGGCAAGGTGGCTCACGCCTGCAATCCCAGCACTTTGGGAGGCTGAGGCGGGCAGATTACCTGAGGTTGGGAGTTCGAGGGAGAAACTCTGTCTTTACTAAAAATACAAAATCAGCCGGGTATGGTGGTGCATGCCTGTAATCCCAGCTACTTGGGAGATTGAGGCAAGAGAATCGCTTGAACCTGGGAGGTGGAGGTTGAACCCTTGAACCTGCAGTGAGCTGAGATCACGCCATTGCACTCCAGCCTGGGCAACAAGAGTGAGACTGCCTCAAAAAAAAAAAAAAAAAAAAAAAAAAAAAGGCCAGGCGCGGTGGCTCACGCCTCTAATCCCAGCACTCTGGGAGGCCAAGGTGGGCAGATCACGAGGTCAGGAGATCGAGACCATCCTGCCTGACATGGTGAAACCCCGTCTCTACTAAAAATACAAAAATTAGCCGGGCGTGGTGGCAGGCGCCTGTAGTCCCAGCTACTTGGGAGACTGAGACAGGAGAATGGCGTGAACTCGGGAGGTGGAGCTTGCAGTGAGCCGAGATTGCACCACTGCACTCCAGCCTGGGCGACAGAGCAAGACTCCGTCTCAAAAAAAAAAAAAGATGGGATCAAGCAGTCATGGTGTTCTCGATGCTGGAGGGCCTACTTGACCTATCACCAGAAGGTGTTGCTGCTTTGTAACCAGGCGCTGTACCACCTCAAGCCATGGTGCATCCAGAGATAAATAATGGTATATTTTGCCTGTTTGATGAGAGCCTGGTTTGAAGAGCATAGGAAAAAAAAAAAGGGTATGATGGAGGCTACCCCACTGCTGAGGGAGGCAGAGGAATTCTGGTATCGTCAGCATTCACAGCCATTCTCTTCCCTGACTCTCTGGGGGTACTTCCTATGAGAGATACGAGTGATATGCTACAAGTCTCTGGAGTGGTGCTTAGATGACTGGAATCCTTCTGAGAAGGCAATGTACCCTGATTACTTAGCCAAGAGAGAGCAGTGGAAGAAACTGCTGAGGCAAAGCCAGGAGTGAGAGGTTAAGCAGCTGCAGGAGGAAATCCCAACTGGTGGTCTAGGACTGAAGCTTTGCCCCCTGTGGTGGTATATTGTGACCAGACCCCGGGAGTGGCCCATGTAGAGAGACAGACCTCACCCTGTCATGCCTGCAAGTGAAGTAAGTTACAGAACATACACACACACTTAGCCTAATAAAAATCGCTGAAATGGTAAAAATCAACAAATATAGACCGTAACAAGTGTTAGCAAGAATGTGAAGAAACTGAGTCCCTAATACATTGATGGTGGGAACATAAAATGCTGCAACCACTTTGGAAACCAGTTTGGCATTTCCTCAAAAAGTTAAACATGGTTGCCCTATGACCCAGCAATTCCCCTCCCAGGTATATGCCTAAGAAAACTGAAAACATACATCCACATGGAATCTTGTACATGAATGCTCATAGTATGCTACTATTATGTATTCAACTTCACAATACCCAAAGTGGATACAACCCAATTGTGCAAGTGATGGAAACATAAGCAAAATGTGGTAAATCCATATAATGGAATATTATTCAACCATAAAAAGGAATGAGATATTGGTACATGCTATAACTTAGATGAACCTTGAAAACATTATGCTAAGTGAAAGAAACTGGACACAAAAGGCCACATACTGTATAATCCCATTTATATGAAATATCCAGAATATGCAAATCCATAGAGACAGAAAGTAGACTAGTGACTGCAAGGGGATGAGGAGGAAAGAATAGAGAGTGACTGCTAAAGGGTATAGGAGTTCCCTTTATCATCACTGCTTCCTCCACAGTGGTGACAGTTACATAACCTTGTTAATAAGCTAAAAACCAACGGATTATAAATTTTATTTATGTTTATTTTTAGAGTCTAAGGTCTCACTATGTTGCCCAGGCTGGTCTTGAACTCCTGCCTCAAGCGATTCTCCACCTCAGCCTCCCCATTTGCTGGGATTACAGGCATAAGCCACCATACCCGGTTCTGATTATACACTTCAAAATGGTAAATTTTATTGTATGATATGTATATCTATCTCAACTAAAAAAAAGAACAGGGAGGTCTGTACTGAGATGATATAATCTTCAAATATAGTAAGTGAAAAAAGAAAGGTACAGAATAGTGTGCATAATATACTGTTATATTCTTTAAAAAATGTACACATGTACATATACACTGTGCAGGCATAAAACCTCTAAAAAGACATATAGGAAACCAGTAACATTATTTCCTAAAGGGAAGGAACCTGGGGTGCCTGGGGATAGGGTGGTCTGGAAGGGAGACCTAACTTTTCAACATGCTCTTTTGTACCTTTTGAACTTTGTATCGAGTACAACACTTAACTTTTTTTCTAATTTAAAGAAAGAAAAAAGGAATACTCTGTTGCTTTATCTTTAGTTTTATTTTAAGAGATCATCTGCATTTTTTTCTGTAATAAACTTAAAAGATATCCACCCATTTTGTCAGATTTATTTATTCTTTAGCAATTTAAGTATTAAAATCACAGTTTTTGTCTCAATCCTTAATAATACTATATTCATTATATTTCATGTTTAGCTTTCTCATGGAGAAAAAGAAACACAGGCATAAACCTATATACTATCCACCTGCTGGTTCTGCAACATGATTTTAATAAAGTGTTACTGACACTTGAACAATTTCTATGATGTCGGCAGAGATATCAACAAGAGTGATTATTAAGTAGCTAGCCTTATAAGTCAAGAGTTATGATCTTTGATCCACTGCTCAATCCATTTCAAGATCTGATCTACATTATTTTCTAGCTCTTCTGGTTTATTACTGGGCAGCTGATGCACGATTTCTTCCTTGTAGGATGCTGTGGCTTCTTCATAAAGAACTTGAAAAATCTCACACTGAATATTGTCTGTTAGTTTCTTCTCATTATAACCCCTAGAAGGCAGGGAGGTTAAGCAAACAAGAAGCAAAATAAATGGCATTAACTGGAGTTTCAGAAACATACCAGAAACTGGACACTTTTCAATACGTGAAAAATTACAGAAATGGTCTCTTCACCTAGAGAGGAGTGACTGGTACCTGTTTATATGACACAGTTTCTTGACACTAGGGTGAAACTAAAGATCACCAAACCAGCATCTAGGTTTGTTTGAATTTCCCCCCCCCACAATTTGTCAGCTACTCAATAAATTCCCAATGAATTAGTAAATTAGCAAAATCTCATAACTTAGTAATAAAAAGATTTGTAACCCAATTAAAACTTAAGCAAAGAATCTGAGTAAATATTTCTCCAAGGAAGATACACAACTGTCTAATAAGGACATGAAAAGATGTTCAGCATCTCTAGCTGTATAGGAAATGCAAATCAAAATTACAATGAGATATTACTTCACATCCAGCAGGATGACTACAACCAAAATATGAACAATAACAGCTGTTGGTGAGGATGTGGACAAATTAGAACCCTCATACACAGTGTGAATATGAGATGATGCAGCCACTATGGAAAACAATCTGGCAGTTATTGGAAGGGTCAAATACAAAGTTTCCATATTACCCAGCAATTCAATTCCTAGATATATAAACAAGAGAAATAAACACATGATGTCCACACAAAAACATGTGCAAGAATGTTTATGGATACAATATTCATAACAGCCAAAAAGTGAAACAACCCAAATGTCCACAACCTGATAAATGTATTTTAAAAATGATACATCCATACAATGGAATATTATTTGGCAATAAAAAGAAATGAAGTACTGGTCTATGATACAATATGAATGAACCTTGAAAACAAACTAATTTGACAGGAGACAGGCATAAAAGTCCACATCCTGTATGATTTCATTCATATGAAATATCTAGTATAGACAAATCCATAAAGACAGAGAGTAGATTATTGGTTGCCTAGGGCTGGGGAACTGAGGGTAAATGGGGAGTGACTACTACTGGGTATGGGGTTCCTTTCTGGGGTGACAAAAATTTTCTTTTTTTGAGACGGAGTCTTGCTCTGTCACCCAGGCTGGAGTGCAGTGGTGTGATCTCGGCTCACTGCAACCTCCACCTTCCGGGTTCAAGCAATTCTCCTGCCTCAGCCTCCTGAGTAGCTGGGATTACAGGTGCAAGCCACCACGCCCAGCTAATCTTTGTATTCCTAGTAGAGACGGGGTTTCACCATGTTGGTCAGGCTGGTCTCGAACTCCTGACCTCATGATTCAGCCACCTTGGCCTCCCAAAGTGCTGGAATTACAGGCGTGAGCCACCGCGCCCACCCCCAAAATTTTCTAAAATTGTTTGTGGTAATGATTGTACAACTTTTTGATATACAAAAAAACAAATGAGCAACTGATATATACACCTACTATGTACCCATAAAACTAGAAAAAAACCTGAATTATGTACTTTAAGTGGGTGAATGTAAACTAAATCTCAATAAAGTGGATATTTTTGTTTTTTGGTTGCTTTTGAGACAGGGTCTTGCTTTGTCAACCAGGCTGGAGTGCAGTGGTGCAATCACAGCTCACTGCAGCCTCAACCTCCCAGGCTCAAGCATTCCTCCCACCTCAGCCTCCAAAGTAGCTGGGACCACAGGTGCATGCCACCACACTTGGCTAAATTTTTTATTTTTTGTAGAGACCAAGGTCTTGCTATGTTGCCCAGGCTGGTCTCAAACTCCTAGGCTCAAGCAATCACCTTGCCTCAGCCTCCCAAATTGCTGGGATTACAGGTGTGAGGTGTGAGCCGTCCTGCCTCCCCCTCACCACCCAACCATGCCCAGCCTAAAGCTGTTACTTTTTTACAACCTTTTCGATAGTTAAAAATACTAACTAGCTCTCTCATAGTTTTTTCATACCTTAGTCTTACCCTTGGCTATATATGTAAAACAGTAATTTTTTAATCAAAATTTTAAATTGTCTTGATTGAAAAAAAGCATATGTACCATATAGTCTCTATTACTTCTCTGCCCCAAAACTTTTAATGGCTTTTCACTGCCTAAAAAAGATAAAAGTTTTAGGTTTAGCCCCAATTTAACTTTTTCTATATGTATATTTGCTGCCATACTATTCTGTGCAAGGATTTACAAGTATTGCAAATAATAGTGGTTAGTCAGAGTTGACTATAATCAGTGAAAACCACACATTCTGACCCCGACCTTAAGCAAAATTCTGGAGCTTTCCTTTCTGAGATTGCTCTCTAATTTCTCTAGAATCCCCATATTCCCACAGCTTTGATCAAAAGACAGTGGGGATAAAAGACTTCCCTAAAAGTTTCTCTTTACTGGTTCTTCCGCATTAAATCTGATGCTCTATTTGTGGGTTTAACTCGGTATCTATTAAAGACTGTGAAATGCTGGTTTATTTTGTTAGTTTTTCATAAGCTTTCCCACTCCTGATGCAGGGATAATTTGAGTGAGTAGTGTTCAGTCAATAAGCAAAGAATATGTTAGGGGCTTGGCTGTTTTCCTAGCAAGGGTTTACATCAAAGAAAAAGCATGGCTAAATAGGGTTTCTTTTTTTTGTTTGAGACGGAGTCTCACTCTGTTGCCCAGGCTGGAGTGCAGTGGTGTGATCTCAGCTCACTGCAAGCTCCACCTCCCAGGTTCACGTCGTTCTCCTGCCTCAGCCTCCAGAGTAGCTGGGACTGTACAGGTGCCTGCCACCATGCCCGGCTAATTTTTTTTGCATTTTTAGTAGTGACAGGATTTCACCATGTTAGCCAGCATGGTCTCGATGTCCTGACCTTGTGATCCTCCCACCTTGGTCTCCCAAAGTGCTGGGATTACAAGCGTGAGCCACTGTGCCCGGCCGACTAAATTGGGTTTCTACACAGTACATTTTACTCAATCAGATTGTCAGTTGAGATATTAATTTACTCAAAAAGTACTGCCCATATTTTAAAGTAGTCATATTTTCAAATAAAACCCTTTATTAGCTGGGTGCTATGACTCACACCTGTAGCCTCAGCACTTTGGGAGGCTGAGGTGGGCAGATTGCTGGAGCCCAAGAGTTCGAGACCAGTCTGGGCAACATGGGAGACCCCATCTCTACAAAAAATAAAAAAATTAGCCAGGCAAGGTGGCATGTGCCCGTGGTCTGTTAGTCAGGAGGCTGAGGCACAAGAATTGCTTGAACCAGGGAGGTGGAGGTTGCAGTGGACCGAGATCACACCACTGCCCTCCAGCCTGGGTGACAGCGAGACTCTATCTCAAAAAAACAAAACAAAACAAAACAAAACAAACAACAACAATCTTTTATCATGGCCAATTTCAGAAATCTGAATAAAAGTTAACATTATGCTTTAAGAATCTAATGTTTTTCCTTTCTTACCTTGTTTCAAGTCTTTCGTACAATACATTGGTATCTGTTCTCAGCACAAAAACTATATGAAACCAGCGTTCAGGGAAGAAATCACAACCATGGTAATCAACAATAACTCCACCTTCTCTCATTTGGTTATCTAACTCATCAACTACCTGTAAGAAAAGTTTAAAAAAAAATGCTTCTTAAGAAAACTGAAGTCAACTTTCCTATGAAATTCAACAAATGCATACTTTATGAAAAAGTCATACTTACTCTGTCTTCATCTAAAATGGGACAGTCATACTCTTCATCATAGCCATCATACAATTGCTCTAAAAGAGATTTAGAATTGCTTGTTGAAATATTTTCTAAGTAACTTTAAGTAATTTTCAATTAATTCTAGACTTCAGGAAAGGAAATGTATCATCAATTATTCTTTTAGATACAAGGGTGGATACTAACAAAATAAATGTTACATAAACACCAAATATAAAGGAGCCATACTAACTGATAAATTGGAATTTTGTTTAGAGGGAAACTTGGATTGCAATATATCTGAAACTGCTTTAAATATCAAAACTGAAACCAACTAAAAAGAGTGAATAACCAACTTCAGAATTTGTGGGGCTACTAGAAGAGGACTACACTATTTTTGTTGAACTACAGATTGGCGGGAAGAGGAAACACCTGAACAGATACAAACACACTCACATACATTTAAAAGCAGATTAATTTATCAAAAGCAGTAACAGGCCAGGCATGGTGGCTTTGCGCTTGTAATCCCAGCCCATACGAGGTAGGAGGATCTCTTGAGCCCAGGAGTTCAAGACAGCCTGGGCAATATGTTGAGAACCTGTTTCTACAGAAAAAAAAAAAAAAATTAGGCAGGCATGGTGGTGCACACCTGTAGTCCCAGTTACTTGGGAGGCTGAGGCAGAAGGATTGCTTGAGCCTGGGAGGTGGAGGTTACAATAAGGTGAGATCACACCACCGTACTCCAGGCTGGGCGACAGAGCAGGACCCTGTCTCCAAAAAGAAAGAAAGAAAAAAGCAATAACAGATTCTTTATTCCAGAAATGAACCCTCTGTCACTGAGCTCACATCCTCATGGGAATAGAGAAGGGTCAGGATCCAAATGCTCCTGAACAGTATCTTTACTTCTAGATTTCCAGTATTCCAAACTGCCGTTCCTCATAAGAGTTAAATAGTCTCATTTCAGAAGGCAAAACAAAAATAACGTTCAAAGTTACAAAGGAGGCAAATTTAAATTTAACATAAGAACTTTCCAACAAATCACAGCTGGTTTTCAAAAGAAGTATTCTTTCAGGAGGTAAGACATACCATCTTACCCTTAGCCCCAGCCCTTAGGAGGTATTAATCTAAGGCAAGCTCAGATCATCCATTAACCATCTCTGAGAGCATGTTATATAGCAGTCTTCCCACCTCTTTCCCCTTAATATTTTGGTACGGGTTGAAATGAGGTTAAAATGAACATAAATTCTGAAGGGACACAGGAGTAGTCTGATGGTCACTGCGGGGGCAGTCTGATGGACACTGGAGGGCACAAAAGCAGTTGTAACTCCTTGTCTTGCCTGGAGGGTCTGTGGACTGATTCTAGGCACATAAACCACCTTTCTAGCACTCTAGTGTGGCCTCTGCCTCCTTGGGCTATTGCTCACCTACCAGGAACTCTACCAACCTAAAAAATTAAACTGTCTTGGTATGAAGAAAACTGGTTAACAATTTAGAAAACAATCTAAATCCTTACTTTATACCACAAACCCCAGATGGAGCTATAAAGGAATGATTCATTTGAGTTTGTTGAGTAGCAGAAGAAATAAAAAGACTGATCCAGTTATTTAAAATGTTGACTCTCTGTTCCTTGAGAAATAATCAAATTCTAAGAAAAGTAACAGAATGGGAGAAATAACAAAGGACTGAAATGTAGATAATATAAAGACCTTAAAACCAAAATAACAATTGCTCAATAAACAAGAAAAGAATTCACACAAGATGGAAGAGTGGAAAAAATCAGTAAACACACATGAAAAAATACTGAATTTTCCTAGCTATTAAAGAGATGCAAATTAAAATGAGTCTATATTTATGCCTGTTATATGTTCAATCCATTTAGATATTTACACTACCATTTAATTTCTAATTGGACAAAATTAGAAAATAATAAAAAATGTTGAACAATAAGAAAAGTTAAATCTTGATTTACCAACTTTATAACTTTATAAAATATTATGTAATTAATTTTGTAAAAATTATGTAATTAAAATTAATAAGTATTAGAGTTATAGTATTATAGTTAACATAGTTTAAAAATACTATGTAGTATAGACTAGGCAGCAACATGATAAATGCTCACATATACAAGTGTAAAACACAAAAAGCAGAATTCAAAGTTGTCCTTACTAGGGACAAAGATTAGAAGAAAAACAAAAGCTTTGGAGTATTTTTCCATATACTATTTTTACAGTATTGCATATTTTTTTAACAGTACCACAAAATCTAAGAATACCTATAGCTGATTCTGTACTATGTGGTAATCTTGAATAGATAAACACGGAGGTTCCTTCATACTTTAAATCTTTGACTTTTAAAAGATGACTCTGGCCGGTGCGGTGGCTCATGCCTGTAATTCCAGCACACTGGAAGGCCGAGGTGGTTGATCACCTGTGGTCAGGAGTTGAGACCAGCCTGGCCAACATGGTGAAACCCCATCTCTACCAAAAATACAAAAGTTAGCCAGGCGTGGTGGCGGGTGCCTGTAATCCCAGCTGCTTGGGAGGTTGAGGCAGGAGAATCGCTTGAACCCGGGAGGAGGCTGCAGTGAGCTGAGATCGCGCCACTGCACTCCAGCCTGGGTGACAGAGCAAGACTCTGTCTCAAAAAAAAAAAAAAAAAAAAAAAAAGAAAGATGACTTGAACCAATATATGCTGTCTAAAATAGATGTGTTAACTTTTAGGATTGAAGTCTTTATTTTTTTTGAGACGGAGTCCCAGAGGCTATCAAGTCTACTGCAGATTTTTAGGTAAGTGATGATTGTAGCCTGTACCAGAGAAATGAACGGATCCTAAACTTCATTTCAAATTTCAAAAAAAGAATAAATTTTATGCTACTTTAGAAAGTTTCAATTGGAAGCCAAATTTATACTTGCCTATACATAGGATCTTAAGCAAAGATCAAAAAGGTTGATTTGTTTAAGGACTGAGAGATTAGAAAATTAAATCAACTTTCTAAACAAAGTTTTGCAGTTTATTTTTTTAAATTCCAGGTACAGATATATTGCTTGCAGAAAAAAAATCAATTGTGGGGCCAGAGTTAAAAGGGTGAGCATGGTGGTTCGCGCTTATAATCCTAGCACTTTCAGAGGCCGAGGTGGGAGGATCTCTTGAGCCTGGGAGTTCGGGATCACCCTGGATAACATAGCAACACCCCACCACTACCAAAAGAAAAAAAAAAAAATTAGCCCAGCATGGCGGTGCCAGCCTATAGTCCCAGCTACTCTGGAGGTTGAGGTGGGAGGACTGCTTGAGGCTGGAGTGAGCCAGGATTGCACCACTGTATTCCAGTTAGGGTGACAGTGATACCTTGTCTCAAAAAAAAAAAAATTTTTTTTTTTTAAATTTTGAGACAGAGTTTCACTCTCGTCACCCACGCTGGAGTGCAATGGCATGATCCTGGCTCACTGCAACCTCCGTCTCCTGGGTTCAAGCAATTCTCCCGCCTCAGCCTCCCAAGTAGCTGGGATTACGGGTGCCCGCCACCATGCCTGGCTAATTTTTGTATTTTTAGTAGAGATGGGGTTTCACCATGTTGGCCAGGCTGGTCTTGAACTTTTGACCTCAGGTGATCCACCCGCCCTGGCCTCCCAAAGTGCTGGGTTTACAGGTGTGAGCCACTGCGCCAGGCCCCACAAAATTTTTTAAAGCTCATTCTTACCTTAAAAAACCTTCCCAGCTGCTGCTGTTTGTCAAACTGTAAAATCATGACATTATGTTTAACTGCCATCCTAGAACTTATATACACTCAAGTGAAAGCTGTTCTTTAATCATATTGGGATGCTGGTTGTTTTGACACTGCTGCCAATACTTAAAATTTTTATTTTCATATTTCTTCTTTTGAAAACATATTCACCACATTTACCTCAACTCAACAAGAAGCTGATAACTCTAAAGCAATTAGAACAAGAAATTAACTGGTTTAGAGTGATTGGGTGCCTTTAAAATACCTGGCTTTTTATGCGAAAAGAAAAGGGCAATTAATTCTGCATAGTGAAGTTAGACAGCCAAAGATATGACATTGGAGTTGGGCCTCCAAGGAGTTGTAAGGAAGATAAGGAAACCTATAAAGAGAACAGCATGCATAAATACTCGAGGTGGAAAATTCCTAGTGAGAACAGGGTATGATGGCTGCACTGAAGGGGACATAGGGGAGAGAACGGCTGCAGGTAAACTGTGGCCATTTTATAAAGAATCTCCTATATTTCCTGAAGGAGAATGGACTATGTGAGTAAAAAGTTCAAATCATGTCATTCTCCTTCCCCACTTTTAAGAAAATGATAGTGTAGAAGAGGGAAGAAAGAGATACTGAAGAAGTCAAACAGGAGATTCTAGGTAGGATTCTAGGCACAGCACCAGGGGTCTTGATGAAATAGGGGTACTGTAGGGATGTGTAGGAGAAACCGTCAAGATTTAAAGGCCAAGTGGATCTGTGTGGAGAGAGTGAATGTGTATTTATATGCTTGGGAGGTAGAAATCAGAGGAGTGGGCAAGTATAGTCAAGGATGCTTTCAGAGCACGTGCTTTAAACATACTAATTTAGAGCTGTAAACATCTGGGAACTATCCAGATGGTTGTCTAATAGGTGTCTAGAAATTGGGTTGTTTTAATTATAAATTTAAGTCATCAGCACAAGGGAGTGAATAGTCCTGAATGAGTGAGATTACTAGTGGGAGGGGCAGAATTACAATATGGCTGCAATGAAATCATGGGGGAAACAGGTGGAAGGGGAAAGACCAGAGGCAAAGATAGGGAGAGAGCAGTGTCAGAGAGGTCAATAGAGGAGTTAGTTTCCAAGGCTTCCAGTGGGAGTTGATAAGGGGAGAGAAAAATGGGATTCAGAAAAGGATAGAACAGGGATCAGCATTTTTTCTTTCTGTAAAGGGCCAGGTAATACCTTACGCTTTGCAAGCTAGTCTTTAGCTCAGAAGTCATACAAAAACAACAGTAGCTTGCCAACCCCTAGGTTAGAGATATATCAAGATTCTAAGTGTTCAAGCCAAGCTATGCTTTACAATTTCTACTGGAAATGGATCCAATGTCAATATATTACTTCGTCTAGACCTATGGGTATTCTGCAGTTAGGAACAGAGGCCGAAGACCGAAAAACTGCTGCCAGGAAAATTAAGGATGCTAGTAAGAGTATAAAAATGATTGTATATAGGAAAGGGTATCAAGTGAGGAGGAGTCTTGAGACTGGAAGAATAGCAATAAGAGAAGCACTCTTACAGTCATACCACAGTAAGACTCTTTTTTTTTGAGATGGAGTCTCACTCTGTCGCCCAGGCTAGAGTGCAGTGGCGCGATCTTGGCTCGCTGCAAGCTCTGCCTCCCAAGTAGCTGGGACCACAGGCATCTGCCACCACGCCCGGCTAATTTTTTGTATTTTTAGTAGAGACGGGGTTTCACCGTGTTAGCCAGGATGGTCTCAATCTCCTGACCTCGTGATCTGCCCACCTCGGCTCCCCACAGTGCTGGGATTACAGGCGTGAGCCACCGCGCCCGGCCCACAGTAAGACTCTTTAATAGTTTTCTTTTTTTTTTGAGACGGAATCTCTCTCTGTCACCCAGACTGGAGTACAGTGGCATGATCTCGGTTCACTGCAACCTCCACCTCCCAGGTTCAAGTGATTCTCCTGCCTCAGCCTCCTGAGTAGCTGGGATTACAGGCACCCTCAGCAACGCCGGACTGATTTTTTTTTTTTTTTGAGACTGAGTCTTGCTCTGTCTTGCCCAGGCTGGAGTGCAGTGGTGTGATCTCGGGTCACCGCAGCCTCCGCCTAACGGGTTCAAGTGATTCTCCTGTCTCAGCCTCCCGAGTAGCTGGGATTACTGGGGCCCACCACCATACCTGGCTACTTTTTTGTATTTTTAGTAGAGATGGGGTTTCACCATGTTGGACAGGCTGGTCTTGAACTCCTGACCTTAGGTGATCCACCCGCCTCGGCCTCCCAAAAGTGCTAGGATTACAGGCATGAGCCACCATGCTGGGCCAAAGTGCTGGAATTTACAGGCATGAGCCACCACCCCCGGCCAGTTTTCTTAAACTTGATTCCCTTTTTTTTTTTTTTTTTTTTTGCCTTGGTTTTGGGAGTGAAGATGACCTCTCTCAACTACTACTGCAATTCCACATGATCACCAGGATGATACTAAACTTTTAGAAATAAGTTTAAAATAGGGTTTTCTTAAAAGCTTTCTTTTTTTCCGACTTTAGTGAGCATCGGAATAAGCCTTATTTCTTTACAGCAAGATTTCTCAACCTTATTACTAATGACATTTTGAGTCTGGTAATTGTTACTAAGGGAGACAGGGGACTGTCCTGTGAACTACAGGATCTTTAGTAGAATCCCTGGCCATCACCTCCCCCTCCATGTGACAACCCAAAATGTCTTCACACATTGCTATACCCCCAAAGGGCAAAAATCACCTAGTTGAGAATCACTTCATTATAGATGATTGCCTGGTTTCCCTTAAAAATATATCCCCACTTGAAATAAAAATGAGGTTAGTTGCCCCAGAATATTTCCAGATATATTCAAACAGGATCTGGGTTAAAAAATCTGGTATGTCAAACCTTACAAAGTACCTCATCAGGCTGGGCACAATGGCTAACACCGGTAATCCCAGCACTTTTGAGAGGTCAAGGTGGGAGGATCACTTGAGCCTGGGGAATTGGAGACCACCCTGGGCAACACAGTGAGGCCTTGTGTCTGTAGTCCCAGCTACTGGGGAGGTTGAAGCAGGAGATCACTTGAGCCCGGGAGGCTGGGGTTGCAGTGAGGGGAAACTGTGCCACTGCACTCCAGCCTGGGCCACAGAGCAAGACCCTGTCTCAAACAAACAAACAAAAAAACCCCACAAAGTACCTCCATCAAACTCCATGTCAAGTCAGACCAGAAATCTTTTATCTGGCATTACAGGAGGGGGAAAAAATACTTTTCCTTTAAGACTTAGATCCCATTTCATGAAATAATCTCACTAATAACAAAGAGGATGGGTGGGACTATACACAACTGACTAAAATGGTGTTGAGTACTTGAGGTACAGTGGCTCTCGTCTGCAATCCCAGCACTTTGGGAGGCTAAGGCAGAAGGATCATTTGAGCCCAGGAGTAAACCAGCCTGGGGAACAAAGCCAGACCCTGTCTCTGCAAAAATAATTTTAAGTTAGCCCGGCAGGATGGTGTGTGCCTGTAGTCCCAGCTACAAGGGAGGCTGAGGCAGGATGATCACTTTAGCCCAGGAGTTCAAGGATGCAATGAGCTATGATCAGGCCACCACACTCCAGCCTGGGCAACAGAGCAAGACTCTGTCTCAACCAAATGAAATGGTTTAAGTACTGGTAGGAGAGGACCCAAAGAAGAGGAAGACAAGTGCCTTATACTGGATTGTCCTTGGTCTGGTGTCACCATTGCTCTCAATGCTATTAATGCTCTAATTAGTTTAGAAATGTTAAATTGAGTGAAAGTAACATTGGAATGCATGAATGAAATTGACTATTATGTGACTCAGAAATCACTTGTCAAAAATGGTGGTGTTCAACAGTGAGGAACAAAACCACATTTCATATAGATATAAAACAGAAAGGCCGGGCTGGGCGCGGTGGCCCACGCCTGTAATCCCAGCACTCAGGGAGGCCAAGGTGGGTGGATCACGAGGTCAGGAGATCGAGACCAACCTGGTTAACACGGTGAAACCCCGTCTCTACTAAAAATACAGAAAATTAGCTGGGCGTGGTGGCAGGTGCCTGTAGTCCCAGCTACTTGGGAGGCTGAGGCAGGACAATGGCGTGAACCTGGGAGGCAGAGCTTGCAGTGAGCCGAGATTACACCACTGCACTCCAGTCTGGGCGACAGAGGGAGACTCCGTCTCAAAAGAAAAAAAAAAAAGGAAAGGCCAGGTGAGGTAGCTCACACCTGTAATCCCAGCACTCTGGGAGGCCGAGGTGGGCAGATCACTTGAGGCCAGGAGTTCAAGACCAGCCTGGACAACATGGCAAAAGCCCATCTCTACTAAAAATATAAAAATTAGCCAGGTGTGGTGGTGCACACCTGTAATTCCAGCTACTTGGGAGGCTGAGGTGCAAAGATAGCTGGAACCTGGGACATAGAGGTTGCAGTGAGCTGAGATTGTGCCACTGCACTGCAGCCTGGGCAACAAAATGAAATTCTGTCTCAGGAAATAAAATAAAATGAAATGGAAAATGAGTAGTTGTATGATAGCAAATAAAAATCTAGGTTTTAGAAACTATAACCTTGATAAATTGACGTTCTTTTGGACAAAAAAATATTTTAAATTAAAAAAAATATATATATATATAAACACTATAACCTAATTATCAGCCCTGGATCAAAAATGAACATGATACTGGCTTATAGTATCAGGAATATGAAAAACAAAGATGCTCAAAATTAACCTGCAAAAAGAGACACTTATAAATTTTTTTTTAAAAAGTGGAGACATACTGGGAGACACTAAGGGTCCTTAATATAACCAAAAGGACAGAAAAATGGGACCTAGGAAGTTGGGCAATTGAGGAAGATAATCAAAGCAGGTTAAGAATTCACTATGAATAAAAATCCTGACCAACTGGTCTCTCCAAAGGGGAGTCATGGTTATACTTCAGCAATCTGAGAGAACAGATCACAAGAGTGACGTACACACCAGAGATCATACTATGATCTATGTATCTGAAGACGTTTAAGGTGACACTCTAGTGGTCAAAAATAGACTGCAGTACTGCAAATTGCTGCAACTGCCAACTGTTACTCCTCTTGGTGACAACAAGGAGAAAATTGCTTTTAAAAACATAACTGCCAAAGCACCAACAATCGAATGAATGACAACTTTATTTTTCTTACACTTTTAAGGCTGATGAAAAACCTTCATTTCAATTGAAAAGTATGGTAACTGTGTTTACTCATTATTATTAGTTTTCTAAAACACAACTTGAAAACATCCAGCATGCATGTTTAATATCAGTACAATGAATTCAAGACCAAGTATACATGTTACATTCAGCAAGGCTAGATTACAGATTATCATAGTCATCATCATCATCATCGTCATCATCATCATCTTCACGTTTTCTTTTCAATGCATTTGATGATTCATTGGCAGTATTTTGTGATGACATCATATTAGTGGTAATAAGAATGTTTTTGGACCCGATTAATGATGGATTAATCAGAACATTCTGAACTGCTGAGGTTGCAGGAATTGAAGCTTTTACAGCTGGAGACTGAGAAGTAGGCATCTGTACTGTAAACCTTTGACCTGTGAGGGACATGGGAGTCCCTACTTTAGTTGAAACAGACATGGTCTGTGGGGTTGGTGTGCCTAGTGTGGGAGTACTTGGTCTGCTAGTAACTGAACCAACACTTAACCGCGGGACTGTTATTCTTCCCGCAGAAGTTGATGCCTTTTTCTGTAAAGATTTCAGCCTATAGTTTGGAGCTGTTAAGCAGTATCTATCAGGTGGCAACCTAGGACCTGAATATGGCTTGATCAATGGCAAAGGGGTTTGATTTCTTTGCCTTGCAATATCTAATAAAAAATCTCTTGGGGGAGGAGAGGTAAAAGACTGATCAGCGCGGCACTGGATTGCCAATCGCACATCATCTGCATCAACAGTAGCTTTCTTAGCATGGCTTGAATAAATTTTTGCATCATCTAGAATTGTGGTCACATATCGGAAGGCAAACTCCAACATCTGATTTATAACTCTTGGCTCATATTCTGTAATCCCCATATCCTTCAGGATTTGTGCCATCATCTGTGCATCTTTCGGCATGCTCTTGGGAGAAGCCGTCTTGCCAGACTCCATGATATCCGATGATCAGACTTTAGATCATTTGAAAAAAATATGTACATTAGATCAATCTGAAATAGTTACTTTAGTAGCAACTGTCAGGAACTTAAAAAAATTTTAAATCTATGTTAAACTGTAAAAAAATTTTTAAAATTTAAACCATATGTTTTCTTAATTTTAATGAGGCAACTTAAGGTCGCTTTAATTTATTGAGTTCCTACCATGTACAAATCATTGTCGACTATAAAAAGATGAAGACACAAATAAGGGAGCGATGAAAGATTAGGGGAAAACAGGGTAAAATAAATAAAAACAATGATCATCTTAGAATATATGCAGTTGCATGCAAATCTCACACTAATCTAAGATACCATAGCATAGTCAGGTCCCACACCTGAGCTCAAAACAGTCTCTTTCCAGTGAGACCAATATACTCACTGTGCTCATATATATGTTTAGCAGTACCAAACCTTTGTTTGTTCAACTTAAAAACATTCTCCTTATTCACATTCTACCTATCCGAAATCCAGTCTCTTTATAGGAGCCTTCCCAACTATTCACAAGAATTGCCAGCCATTTTGAAGGCGGAAGGGAAAATGGTCAAAATAACCAGGACATAGCATTAGACACTTAATATTTCTGTGGATTCCCTAACAGAGTATATATTCTTTAATGGCAATCTCTGTTTTTTGTACCCTATGACAATACCCAGCACTAACACTCCACTTACCAGACCTTAAAAAAAAAACAAAACAAATCTAACACCAAAGTGTCCCTTACCTTCTCGAGCTAAATCACCCACATTAATGTATTTCAGTCCTGATTTTGACGCAAGTTCTTTGCCTAGTGTGGTTTTTCCAACCCCTGGTGTACCTGTAAGACAAGCCACAGAAAAATACTGTTTGTGAAATACTACTTATCACACTGCGGTCCACCTTCTGCCTTTCCTTTTATTTTTGAGACAGAGTCTCACCTGGCCTCTGCCCTTAAAAGTTCTTGACGACTGAAATGAAAAATTTCCTAATTAGCAATCATATGTAAAATTTTTTTTTTGAGACAGAGTTTCACTCTTGTCGCCCAGGCTGGAGTGCAGTGGCACAATCTTGGCTCACTGCAACCTCCACCTCCCAGGTTCAAGCGATTCTCCTGCCTCAGTCTCCTCAGTAGCTGGAATTACAGGTGCCCACCACCATACCCAGCTAATTTTTGTATTTTCAGTAGAGACCGGGTTTCACCATATTGGCCAGGCTGGTCTCAAACTCCTAACCTCAGGTGATCTGCCAGCCTCGGCCTCCTAAAGTGCTGGGATTACAGGCGTGAGCCACCATGCCTGGCCATATGTAAATTAGCATGTACTACGATCTAATAAAAATTTTCCAAAGCTAACTGAATGTCAGAATATTACCCAGTGTATTGATTCTCCAGGGGTGGGGCTCAGCAGATTCTGACGCCAATTCAAACTGCCTGCTGCTACCGGGGAACTGCTGAGAATAAAATTAGCCATCTCGTGCTGGGCGCAGTGGCTCATGCCTGTAATCACCGCACTTTGGGAGGCCGAGGCGGGCAGATCACAAGGTCAGGAGATTGAGACAATCCTGGCCAACATAGTGAAACTACATCTCTATTAAAATACAAAAATTAGCCGGGCGTGGTGGCGCGTGCCTGTAATCCCAGCTACTCAGGAGGCTGAGGCAGGAGAATCCCTTGAACCAGGTAGTTGTAGGATGCAGTGAGCCAAGATCGCGCCACAGCACTCCAGCCTGGCGACAGAGACTCCATCTCAAAAAAAAAAAAAAAAAAATTAGCCACCTCGAATCAATTACAATAATTTATTTACCTTTTTCTTTTTTTAAAGACAAGATATCTCTTTGTTACCTAGGCTGGAGTGCAGTGGAACTTGGCTCACTAGAGCCTTTACCTCCTGGGCTCAAGCAATCCTCCCATCTCAGCCTGTCCGGTAGCTAGGACCACAGGTATGCACCACCATGCCCTGGTTAATTTTTGTAGAGACGGGGTTTGGCTATGTTGCTTAGGCTAAGCTCAAACTCCTGAGCTCAAGCGATCTCCCCACCTCCACCTCCCAAAGTGCTGGGATTTACAGGCATGAGCCACCCACCTGGCCTATTTGCTTTAACTTATAAAGATTTAAAAACTGTTCATGGCCACGTGTGGTGGCTCGCGCGTGTAATCCCAGCAATTTGGGAGGAGAAGGCGGGAGGATCGCTTAAGCGCAGGAGTTCGAGACCAGCCTGGCCAACATAATGAGACTCTGTCTCAAACAAAAACAAAAACAAGAACAAAAACAAAACTGTTCATGTTAAAATTAAGCAGTCTGAAAATTACCTCTACTGACCCCTTGCGCCCTTCCCTAGAGATAACCACTGTAAACCAGTTTCCTTTCCCAAAGAAACCCTATTTATGTTTGCATGTAAATGTACATATATGTACATACTCTTTGTTATATAAATACAACACATATTCCCTTTTACATAAATGACAATACTATATACATTGTTCTTTACCTTCCCCTTCTGATACCTATTAAAATTACATTTCAAGATCATCAAATTCATAATTTTCAGCTATTCAGATTTAACATCCCTGAAATTAAACTTAAGCATAAAGATAACAGGGATAATCCAGTTCCCATACCCAGGAGAATAACGGTCACCTCAAGTCCACTATAATACACCAAGTCTGAACCCTGGACTCAACATGTTTTCAATAAAATGTTCACTTTAAAGTTTTGACAATGACTTAATAACCAGGGCACTATGTTTGATCCATGCAAAAAGATGTAAAATCTTCCGCTTAAGGAATCTAAAATTCTAAACGTTATTTGTGGGGTGGTTAATCTGCACCTCTCAGAAACAGACATGTCTTGTGCGCTGCCAACAATTTTACCTTTGGGTGAATGATGTAACTTTACTGTTCCCACAAAGAGTCTTAATTTTTCTGTACCTTGCAATAAAATCTACATGCATTAGATTTTTCCACGAATGGCCTACAATTTGATAAACACTTTCAGGACTAAACGGCTAGCAAAAATATTCGTTAAAGTCGTTATGCAGCATTTTAATTCCCTTCACTGATAACATGCACCCTGAGTATGGCTTCAAAGACCCACTCCTACGCGAGAAACGACCCGAAATGCTCTATATGCCTTCCTTTTAAGGGGCGGGGGGATCCTTTGATGTAACTCAACAAAAGCATACAGCAATTTCGTCACGTCACAAACATCTGAACTCGTTTACCGAAATCTAATCTGAGGCGTTTATCAGAAGCAAAGAAAAAATAAAATACGGCCCACGGAGGCCTAAGGAGTGAGGCATCCACCATTAATGACTCTACCGGGAAGCAGATATGGCCTTACGTTATTTCGCTAAAAATCCCAAGGCCAACCCTGCCAAAGAATCAACAACCCATTTTACAAACGAAATACCAGATTCAGAAAGACTAAGCAGGTTGCCAAGCTGGAGAGCTGGATCTGCCGACCTCTCTCCACCCCCCCCCGCCCCCCCCCGGAGCCTCAGGCCAACGGAATTAACGTTCCGCGTCCCCTCCCTCGCCTCCCGCAACGCCCGCGAGGGTCGGCTCCCGGGGCGCTGACAACCGCCTCGTGGCCCTCGGCCGGCCTCTGAAGAGGGCAGTGAGGGGCCCCCACCTGGGCGCCCGATGCCCAGAGCACTCTGCGCCCCCAGCCTGCCCCAGCCCAGTCCCTCCCGGCCGCGCGCCCTGACCGGTGAGCAGGATGTTCG
The DNA here is from genome assembly GCF_000001405.40 of Homo sapiens. Classification (NCBI taxonomy): domain Eukaryota; kingdom Metazoa; phylum Chordata; class Mammalia; order Primates; family Hominidae; genus Homo; species Homo sapiens. Next base: position 69,369,481 of record NC_000005.10, read on the forward strand.
GAAGCAACATGGTCCCCGCCGCGACGGCTTCGGGCGCCTCGCTCACGTGCCCTTTGCTCTACAGGGAGGAGCCGGAAGGGGCGGGCGGCAGCAAAAGCCCACGGCCCCAAAGGCCCCGAAGCCCACCGCGGCGCCCCTAGCCTGCCCCGGCGGCCCAGCCGCGGCCCACTGGTTACCTGGCTTTCGATGACACATTTCCGTCGCAAAGTTGGAGGGTGGGCATAACTCGGGTCGGTACTTCGGGTCAGGCAGTGCGCTGGATGCCTAAGTCACACACTCCTTCGGTGGTCCCCGCCCTTCGCTTGCGCCGACCAGTCTGGAAGGTCCCCGGGAGGCCGTACCTCCGAGAGGCTCGGCGTTGAGCCCGGGTAGGGCCAGGTGGCTGCCCTTTCACCTAGGGTAGTCCCTGGTCGCCTCCGCTCTTCGCCTAAAAGGGGATGCAGCTCCGGGAAAGTAAGGCCGCCGCGGTTGCGGCTATATTATGTATATGTCTTAGAGACGTGAGTCTATCTCTGCCTTCAAGCTTTCCTGGGCTCTCGTCGCTCCTCCTCCCGACCCGCCCATCCCATCTGGGGATGAGAAGATTGAGGGTGCAGAGCCCTGTCCTGCAGCGGGGATTTGCGAGCTCAACCCGGCACCCCACTGATTACAGGATTACGTTGGACGAATATTTGAGCTTAGTATTCCCTGTTCACTGTGTGGGGTGGTGGTGGGTCGGCTAGGAATAGTCTTGAAGGTCTACCTCTGACATCTCATTTCAGTAACCTCGCATCTTCAGGGACAGTTATCTGCTTTTTAAAGGAGGTAATTGTCAATCTTGTTTTCAAGAGTGAATAGAGACCTGACCGTGACAACAGTCTGCACCTTTTTTTGTTTGTTTGTTTGTTTTTGTTTTGTTTTGAGACGGAGTCTCACTCTTGTCGCCCAGGCTGGAGTGCAACCTCCGCCTCCTGGGTTCAAGTGATTCTCCTGCCTTAGCCTCCAGAGTAGCTGGGATTACAGGCGCCCACCACCACGCCCGGCTAATTTTTGCATTTTTAATAGAGACGGGGTTTCACCATGTTTTGGCCAGGCTGGTCTCAAACTCCTGACCTCAGATGATCCGCCCGCCTCGTCCTCCCACGGTGCTGGGATTACAGGCATGAGCCACCGCGTCCGGCCCCTGGTCTGCATCTTTTATTTCGAGCTACAAACTATATTTACTCAAATAGGTGTTTTTTTTCCACCTGTATACCTTTTGAAACGTCACAGTCTCTAATCGTGAACGATTTGGGGCGGAGGGCTGAACAATGTGTTTTCTAGTGTGTCGAGGTGTTTATAGGCTATGTGTGCCTCCAAACTGTAAAGTAGTCCAGTATACTTTCCAATGTATAAGTTTGTAGACCTTAAACTTTTCTTCTGGCTAACTTAAAATCGTTGAATTCACTAGTTTGCATAAACATTTAAGAATTTGAAAACACGGTTGAAAAACAGTGTTACCAAGAAATTTTGTAATAACATGTTCAAATGAAGACAAAAATTTTACAGTTTAAGACTTAAATTCTTCGTCCACAGCAAGTGAATTCATGGTATTTTACTTTTTTGGGAAATACTGGAAATGAAGACCTGCAACTGTAATTTGAAATAAGGAAAACTTTAATTTTCAGTATAAAAATTGCTCAAATAGAATTGCCTGATTTTAATGACAAAAGGTAAGTACATAGTATGTGTGGTTTTTTTGTTTTTTTTTTTCTAATACATCATTGAGTTCATGTGAAAAACTCTTAACACCACAAGTAGATTATTTGATACAGTTATAGTCATTAAAATTATTTTAGAATTTTGATTTCTTGTATCACTTAAATTTACTGTTCTTTTTCACTAGTTCTTGAGCCTTTATTGTATTGTTGATTATATCAGTATACATTTATTACTATAATTGGGCATTTACAGTTTTTCTTCATTTGAGGGCTTCTTCCCCCCCCCCCCCCCAGGTGAATTATAGTTTAATGTACTGCAAGTCCTAAACTACGGATGGGAACTATTACAGTTTATAATGTCAAAAACTTTTCTTAGACCAAAGGTATCTTCCACAAAGGTATGATACACTGGAATGGCCATGTAATAATTGCCTTAAAATAATTATAAATTTTTATATATATTCTTAATAACTTATTACTGCTATCAAAGTAATAGAGCCGAGTATCTATTGTAATTAATGATTTAAGCAAGTCTGGTAATAAGTTGTGAAACAAGTGTTCTCTAAAAGCACAACCTTAATTTTGAAAAAGTGTTTTACAGTCCCAGTCACAAAGGCTGAAAACATTTGAATGAAAGAACATAGAAGAGAGAAATATGAGTGGTAGTTGGTGTTATAGCTTAACCAAAAGCACTGCTTCTTAGAAGTAATGTAATTCAGTGTGTGAGTTCTCAGCAAGATAGGGGTTAAGGTGGGATGGGGGTCAGACAGTTTCATGCATGCAGGGTAGCTATTTCCCTAAGTGGTAGCTCTAAATTTTCTTTGATGTTAAGTAAGTTACTTAACTTTGCTGTTTATCTTTCTCTTTTTTTCAGTATATGGGAGTCCACATTTATGTAAGAAATGAAACTATAAAATGTATAAATAATTTGCAAATCAGAATTGCTGTCGAAAGTTTTACTATAATGAAAGATATTTTCATACTCTCAAAAATATAGAGGAAAGGGGCCAAGATTATAGTACCAGTCACAATCTTTTGATGAGGACGAAATGAATCAGGTAGCTATGACTAAAATTTTTTCCAGTGGTCTTCCTTTTTTAATCCACTGCCGATAATATTCCTAACTCTGTCTTAAAAGAAGAGTGAAGTGTGACTTAGCATTCGTAAAGTATTTATAAGCCCCAAATTGTCTCCCCTAAGCCTACTTTCAGCTCCAACTTCTGGTTCATTTTCTTCAAGAGAGGAACATTGTCTAATAAATAGCTCAACTGTGGCTGAGTATTCTTGAAAGAAATATATAACTTGGTTTCTTTTTGTTAGCCAGGCAGTAGATTCTACAACCAGATCTGAAGCTATATTTTTCTAGATTTATGCTATTAGAGTGTTAAAAAATCTAGTAAAAATTTCTAATTTCTAATTATTTGTAATTATTAGCTAATAATTTCTAATTATTAGCAAAATTTTTTTTTTGAGACAGGGTCTCACTCTGTTGCCCGGGCTGGAGTGCAGTGGGGTGATCATGGTTCACTGCAACCTTGACCTCCCGCGCTCAAGTGATTCTCCCACCTTAGCCCCCCAAGTAGCTGGGAATACAGGCGTGCGCCACCATGCCTGGCTAATTTTTTATTTTTTGTAGAGTTGGGGTCTCCCTATGTTATGCTAGCTGTTCTCAAACTCCTGGGCTCAGCAATCCTACTGCCTCTGCCTCTGAATGTGCTGGAATTATAGGTGTGAGCTACCACACCCAACCATTCCCAGGCATTTCTGAGTGACAGTTCCCCCTCTGGAAAGCCTGCCTCAATTATAAAAATATTAGTTGCTTCATACACTGAAGAAAAATATAATCCAGTCATAATTACAGATTACGTTATGATCTTTGGCCTATATCTTCACTAAGTCTTCAAGCTGATACGGATTATTTGGATGTATGAAATGGTTCTTAGTTTGTGAATGTATTAACCTGGCCAAGGCAGATATATTACTCTTATTGCTGTTTCTGTTAAAATATTATCATTTGTTTATTTTGTTTTGCTTTTTTTAATAGGTAATTTTAATATTTATGTTTCAATCCTACAGAGAGTTTAAAAAAATCATTCTAGTGTTTATGCTGGGAAGGTTACAATTAATAAAAATAAGTTTGTGTTCTTTACTCCTTTAAGGTCAAGTAGACAAGTATGCACTTGCACTTACTGTAAAGTAGAAAAACAACTATTACAGACAGAGTTTTATTTAAAAAGAGTTAATTTGTAAGATTTTTAGGCCGGGTATGGTGGCTTATACCTTTAATCCCAGCTCTTTGGGAGGCTGATGTGAGAGGATCACTTGAGCCCAAGAATTGTTTGAGACCAGCCTGGGCAACATGGCAAAAACCCATCTCTACAAAAAATACAAAAAAATTAGTTGGGCATGGTGGTGCATGCCTGTAGTCCCAGTTACTCAAGAGGCTGAGGCTGGAGGATTGCTTGAGCTGAGATTATACCACTGCAGTCCAGCCTGGGTGACAGAGTGAGACCCGGTCTCAAAAAAATTTTTTTTTTTTTTTTTTTTTTTTTTTTTTAAGTTTTAAAGGTTATAAATATATGAATATGTTGTTTCCAGAGTAGTTCAGTTATTTGGGGGAATAGATGGGAGAAAATGTGATTATATTTACATGATTTCTTTTTTTTTCAGGTAACAGACTGGGTTGACCCATCATTTGATGATTTTCTAGAGTGTAGTGGCGTCTCTACTATTACTGCCACATCATTAGGTGTGAATAACTCAAGTCATAGAAGAAAAAATGGGCCTTCTACATTAGAAAGCAGCAGATTTCCAGCGAGAAAAAGAGGAAATCTATCTTCCTTAGAACAGATTTATGGTTTAGAAAATTCAAAAGAATATCTGTCTGAAAATGAACCATGGGTGGATAAATATAAACCAGAAACTCAGGTACTGAAAAGCATGCAGACATATCTACATAATTTAATTTCAGGGTGCATAAGGGTAGATGGGAAGCAGAGGGATTTACATTTTCAGATTTTTTACTCATAAGAATCTTTCTAAGTGTTAGAAAAAATTCTGGATTTTTTTATTTTCCAAGGCTTAGATTTTTCTCAATAGTTATTCTAAAGTTGTATGATTAGTTGTCTTAGATTTAATTTAATCCCAACATAGAATTGATCTTTTTAAAAATTTTTGTACTAAATGTAATACTCCTCTCTACTGTCTTCTCAAAATGTATTTCTGAATTTTAAAAAATGTTATAACTGCAAACTTGCCAAAATTATCATACAGAGGTATCAACTTAAGAATATAATTTTTCCATAATAGTATAAAAATTCAAGTATAATCAAAAGGATCATTTTATTATATAGATTGTTACTGATTTGCTACTTCTTTTCGTTAATAATGCTTAGGTTCATATGTGCTGATGTACCAAAAAATCTTCAGTTAAGAAGTTTTGTTTTAAATTTGAAATTTTTGTTGTAGCATGAACTTGCTGTGCATAAAAAGAAAATTGAAGAAGTCGAAACCTGGTTAAAAGCTCAAGTTTTAGAAAGGCAACCAAAACAGGTAACTAAGAAATGTGTTTTTAAATATTTAACATCAAATATTTTTCTGACTTACAGTGTGTTGTTAGAAGTTAAAGTTTTATGATGATTTTGTTCAAAATAAGTCTAGATCTCCTGCAGTAGAAAGCTCCCTAGTGGGGCATGGTGACTCATGCCTGTAATCCCAGCACTTTGGGAGGCCAAGGCAGGAGGATCACTTGAGCCCAGGAGTTCGAGAGCAGCCTGGGCAACATAGGGAGACTGTCTCTACAGCTAATTAGCTGGGCATTGTGGTGCATGCCTCTGGTCTCAGCTACTTGGGAAGCTGAGGTGGGAGGATCGCCTGAGCCCAGAAGGTGGAAGCTGCAGTGAGCTGTGATCACACTAGTACACTCTAGCCTGGGCAACAGAGCAATACCAAAAACCGTAAAAAGCAAAACAAAACAAAAAGCGAAAAAGAAAGCTTCATGACTTTACTACTTCCAACTTGACTAAAAGACTCAGAGACTTTGAGTTTTCCCCTTTATTTGTAACTCTTTTTCTTTATGTCTTATTGTTAGCATAAAGAATCAGTAAACCAATTAGGGTGCTAGTGTATTTAGCACATCAGATTATCTCAGGCTGAGGAAAGCAGGCAAATTACATGTTAGTTTCTCTACTAAATATAGCCAAAAACAGTCATTATTTATTTTAGACTGATATTTTTTGTTTCACTTCCTTACTGCACAATTACCTTGAACCCCCAAGGTAGAATATTCTCTCCTTCCATCAGTCTCCCTTTTTAAATGTTTTTTATTTTGAGATTTTTCAAGCATAAAAGAAAATAGAATAATAAAAAAATATATATAGAATATACTCATTGTTTCCCCCTTAAGTATTTTAAAGTAAATTATAAACATTGTGACATTTCAGTTAGACTTTTAGATACTTCAGTATGTCTGTTTTTTTAAAAAAATGATTTTCCTAATTAATTATGCATACCATTATTCTCTCTAACAAAGTTAACCAGGATGCCGTAATGCTGTCTAATGATGAATTCATATTCACGTTTCTGCATTTGTCCCCAAAATGTCTTTTGTAGCTGGTTTGTTTCAAACAGGATAGGATCACACGTTGCATTTGGCTGTTATATATCTTAGGCCTTTTTTTTTTTCCCTGAATCTAATAATAGTTTACTAACCCTTTCTTTTCTCCAAGGCACTGACTTATGAAGGAGACCAGGCCGGTTGACTTGTAGAAGTCTCACACTGGATTTGTTAGGTTGTTTCCTCCTAATAATGATTAACTTATTCGTCTATCCTGCATTTCCTATAACCTGAAATTTTGAATCAAGGGCTTGATTAGACTCAAGTTGAACATTTTTGCAAGAATAAAGGTCATGTTGTATGTTGTATAGGGCGTCAAATTGGAAAGTATTTGTGGTTCTCCTGCTGTCTTAAGTTTGGTCACTAGATCAAAGAGATGAAAGTCAAAAATCTTCATTGTAGAGTAACTTTCCCTCACAACTGACACATAATCCATGGGGAGATACCGTGGCAGCATGTGAGTGCCCAGTTCTCCATCAGTCGTCCACCTAAGTGCTGTAGCTTCAGTTTTTCAATCCTTGCCTGAATCACTTATTTTATTAGAGTTGTACAGTAGTGACTTTCTTATAGTTCTGTTATTTCTACAGTTATTACTGGCATTTTTCTACAAAGAAAAGTTTGCCATCACTAGCTAGGGTTGTTTAGTTACCTTGAAATACATTTCCAACTAGAAAGGCAGGATAAGTTTTGTATCTTTTCCTTTTTTAAAAAATAGACTTATTTTTGGAGCAGTTTTAGGTTCACAGCCAAATTGGGTAGAAGGTACAGAGATGTACCTCATATCCCCTGCCCCAACACATGCATAGCCTTCTCCCGTTACTAACCTTCCCTCACCAGAGTAGTACATTTGTTAAAACTGATAAACCTACATTGACACATCACTAACACCCAGAGTCCATTGTTTACATTAGGTCTTTCCTTTAGTTTTCAACCTTGAGATGAAGGAGTTGGTGTTTTAGTTGCTTTGATGGTAACAGATCCTTCTCTCTTTTTTTTTTCTCGAGAGTCTTGCTTTGTCACACAGGCTAGAGTGCAGTGGCATGATCTTGGCTCACTGCAACCTCTGCCTCCTGGGTTCAAGCGATTCTCCTACCTCAGCCTCCCGAGTAGCTGGAATTACAGGCATGCGCCACCACACGCAGCTAATTTTTGTATTTTTAATAGAGACAGGGTTTCACCGTGTTGGCCAGGCTGGTCTTGAACTCCTGACCTCAGGTGATTTACCCGCCTCGGCTTCCCTAAGTGCTGGGATTGCAGGTGTGAGTCATCACGCCCAGCCAATCCTCCTCTCTTGAACCAAGCTCCTTTCTCTCTGGCCTGTGGATCTAAACCTTTTGGTTTAGGGCTAAGATCATGAATTCAAGTTGGATTTTCAGTGTCAGCATTGGTATTCCTCTGATGTTTCATAGAAATCTCGTCTCTTGTCTCCGAATACAGATTTTTGGGCAGTCTATCTGACACACCTCTTACATCCAGGCTTTTTCTCATTGATTTGTTTTTGGTCAGCTTAGCTAATAGTTTTTATTTTTCAGTGTCCATTGTGTTTTCTCACTTAGCAATACTCTGTCAGTATAAACATTGTCACATCATAAACCTACATTGGTGTTACTATTATTATTCTACCAGTTGGATAAACTTAGGTATATGTGTGTGTGTGTGTGTGTGTATATATATATATATATATATATATATATATATATACACACACACACATATATATACGTATATATATGTATATATACGTATATATATGTGTATATATACGTATATATATGCATATATATGTATATATATATGCATATATATGTATACATATATATATGCATATATATATGTATACATATATATGCATATATATGTATACATATATATATGCATATATATATGTATACATATATATATGCATATATATATATGTATACATATATATATGTATTGGGAAAAGTATTTTCTTTATGGTTTCAAAAGTTTTCCCCCTAAGGAGTTGGACTTTAATCATATACTCTGTTTATTTGTTTATTAATTTTTTAGAGACAGGGTCTTGCTAGAGACGGTTGCCTACACTGGATTGCAGAGGTGCTGTCATAGCTCACTGCAGCCTTGAACTCCTGGGCTCAAGCAGTCCTCCCACCTCAGCTTCCTGAGTAGCTGGGGACTGCAAGTGTGTGCCACCGCATCTGGCTAATTAAAAAAAAATTTTTTTGTAGAGATGGGGTCTTATGGTGTTGCCCACGCTGGTCTTGAATTCCTGGCCTCAAGTAGACCTCCCACATTGGCATCCCACAGTGTCAGAATCAATAGGCATGAGCCACACCATGCCTGGCCCAAATCACTTACCATTTATTTTACAGAAGTTTCAGGGATGTCAGTAATTAGAAAATGTTTTTATTCAAAAAAATTGGTAAGATCTAGATTTATCAATGGGCAAACGAAATTTACTTTTCAAAATTTATTTTAAATACGATATACCAAATATTTGCAGAGTTTAATTTTTCAGGACAGCTTCTTTCCTTCAAAATTCAGTAAAACTCTGTTACAGTGTAGACAAATGGGATTAACAAGATTCTTCACATTATAATGTCCTGATAAGAAACTACCTCCTAGTTCTCTTACTGGAAGGGAAACTTGCTATGTGGCTGTACCCACTCTGTCAGAAAACAGGCACTTAAGTATATTATTACATGAGAAAAATGTATAATGCCTGTGCATAGGCTTCTTTTTCTTTGTAAAGAAGTGATCTGTCTGGTATTGTAGTTCTCATTATTCAAGGTAGTTATGTTCTGTAAAGTTGCTGAATTAGCAAATACTGAACCATTATTCTAAGAAAAACACTAAATTAGGTTTTTGCAAACCTCTGGTAACAACATTTTTGTCAACCCATCAATATATAGCCTTGTTGTATATGTGTTTTTATTTAAAGTTATTTAATGTTCAGTCATGCTTCAATTAATGATGGGGATACATTCTGGGAAATGTGTCATTAGGTGACTTCATTGTTGTGAGAATATCATAGAGTGTACTTACACAAACCTCCACCTAGGCTATATGGTATAGCCTCTTGCTCCTATGCTACAAACCTGTATAGCTTGTTACTGTATTGAATACTGTAGGCAATTATAACACAGTGGGAACTATATGTGTAAATAAACATACCTAAAGCATACCATTAAAAAGTACAGTAAAAAGGCCGGGCTTGGTGGCTCAGGCCTATAATCCCAGCACTTTGGGAGGTCGAGGTGGGTGGATTACCTGATGTCAGGAATTCGAGACCAGCCTGGCCAACATGGTGAAACCCCATCTCTACTAAAAATGCAAAAATTAGCCAGGCATGGTGGTGTGTGCCTGTAGTCCCAGCTATATGGGAGGCACAAGAATCACTTGAAAGCGGGTGGCGGAAGTTGCAGTGAGCTGAGATAGTGCCACTGTGCCCCAGCCTGGGCAACAGAACAGAGACTTTGTCTCAAAAAAAAAATATTTTTTGGTAAAAACATGGTTATAAAAGATAAAAAAAATGCTAGTATACATTTATATAGGGAACTTACCATGAATGGAGCTTGGACTGGAAAATGGTTAAGTCAGTGACTGTGAGTGGTTAGTGACAGTCTAAGGACATTACTGTGCACTATTGTAGACTTTTATAAACATTGTACACTTAGGCTACACTAAACTTAAACAGTTTTTTATTTAATAAATTAACCTTCACTTACTGGAACTTTTTGTAAAGGCCATGTGAAGGACTTTATGTAGCTTTTTTACTTTATAAACTTTTAGATTCTTTGATAATAACACTTAGCTTAAAACACAAATAAATGGTACGGCTGTACAAAAATATTTTGTCTTTATATCTTTATTCTATAAATTTTTTTTGTATTTAAAAAAAAATTTTTAAGCTTCTTTTAAAATTAGAAATGAAGACACAAACACACCAATTAGCCTAGGTCTACACAGGATTAGGATCATTAATAGCACTGTCTTCCACCTCTATGTCTTGTCCACTGGAAGGTCTTCAGAGGCAACAACACGTAAGGAGCTGTCATCTCTTATGACAACAGTGCCTTCTTCTGCAGTACCTCCTGAAGGACTTGCCTGAGGCTGTTTTATAGTTAACTTCTTTTTTTTTTTTTTGACAGAGTTTCACTCTTGTTGCCCAGGCTGGAGTGCAGTGGTGCAATTTTGGCTCACTGCAACCTCTGCCTCCCGGGTTCAAGCGATTTTCTTGCCTCAGCCTCCTGAGTAGCTGGGATTACAGGAGTGCACCACCACGCCCGGGTAGTTCTTGTATTTTTAGTAGAGATGGGGTTTCTCCATGTTGGCCAGGCTGGTCTTGAACTCCTGACCTCAGATGATCTGCCTGCTTCGGCCTCCCAAAGTGCTGGGATTATAGGCGTGAGCCACTGTGCCCGGCCAACTTTTTTTTTTAAAAAACAAGTAGATTCTAATAATAAAGATGGGCACTGTAAATACATAAACCAGTAAGATAGTTGTTTATTATAATTATCAAGCATTATGTGTTACACATAATGAGATATACGTGTTACACTTTTATACAGCACAGTAGGTGTGTGTACACCAGCATTACCACAAACATGAGTGATGTTTTGCATTATTGTTACTAGGAATTTTTCAGCTCCATTATAATTTTATGAGACTACTGTTTATATGTGGTTCATCATTGACTGAAAGTTGATTATCTGGCACATGACTGTATATTGTTGATCCATATAGTTTGAACTCATGGTGAACAGCGCTATAACTCATGCACTGCCCCTTTCAAAAGTGGAGCAGGCTCTCTTTGTCCAAGTACATAGGTTCTTATTAAAGGAAAATAAACAAGAATTATAGCCTACCATTGTATGTAGGAAATCTTTTGATATTTCTGTAGCTTCAACTTTTTTTTTTTTAATCAAATTTACGGTATGAGGGAATGTTACTGGGATCCACAACCTCTAGTCTCTCGTTAGAGTCCTATCTCTGGTAAATATGTTTCTTTTTTTTCCTTTTTTTTTTTTCTGAGACAGGATCTTACTCTAATGTGCAGGATGGAGTGCAGCGGCAATCTTGGCTCATTGCAGCCTCCACCTCCCAGGCTCAAGTGATTCTTCCACCTCAGCCTCCTGACCAGCTGGGACTATAGGCGCACACCACCATGCCCAGCTAATTTTTTGTATTTTTTTTGTAGAGACAGGGTTTTGCCATGTTGACTAGGCTGGTCTCAGACTCCTGGGCTCAAGGAATCCGTCTGCCTCAGCCTCCCAAAATGCTGGGATTACAGGTGTGAGCCGCCGTGCTCTTCCCAAATATGTGTCTTAATATGCATTTCTTAAAGAATCTAATAACCAAACTGAGGTCTTTCCATAAGAATATTGTATTTGTATAACAGTAACTTATATCATCCAATGAGATGTCTATATTAAGAATAAATTTTGCTGGGAGCGGTGGCTCACATCTGTAATCCCAGCACTTTGGGAGACCATGGCGGGCAAATCACGAGGTCAGGAGATTGAGACCATCCTGGCTAACACGGTGAAACCCTGTCTCTACTAAAAATACAAAAAAATTAGCCGGGCGTGGTGGCGGGCGCCTGTAGTCCCAGCTACTCGGGTGGCTGAGGCAGGAGAATGGCGTGAACCCGGGAGGCGGAGCTTGCAGTGAGCCGAGATTATGCCACTGCACTCCAGCCTGGGTGAAAGAGCAAGACTCGTCTCAAAAAAAAAAAAAGAATAAATTTTATGAGTTCAGGTAACCTCTAAAAATCTTTGTTTCAGACATCACCTCCCTAATTTAGCCAAAGTTTAGTATTTGGCTACTAAATAGTCCTTGAGAGGGACATAATGCAAAAATTGAGAAATTATCAGAAGCGGAATTGAGAGTTGAAGAATTAAGATTCTCTTATTTCCATATTTGCAGATGTTTTTGTATGGAAAAGGGGGGAAAAAGGCAATTTTTAAAAAAGAAAAAAATAAAGCTGGTTTATTCCAGCAAGCATTATTATGAAATTTAATGTGCTTATATGAGACATTCAGCAAATATTTATAGAAGTAAATATATTTAGAATGAAAAGTCAGAAATAATATTCTAGCATTCCAGTGATTTTGGTTTTTAATTCATATTTGTATTTGATTTTAGGGTGGATCTATTTTATTAATAACAGGTCCTCCTGGATGTGGAAAGACAACGACCTTAAAAATACTATCAAAGGAGCATGGTATTCAAGTACAAGAGTGGATTAATCCAGTTTTACCAGACTTCCAAAAAGATGATTTCAAGGGGATGTTTAATACTGGTAAGATTTGCTGTGAAGGTAGTAGAAGTAGTGGGGCAAACCTGTGCTTAAGGGAGCTTTCAGATAAAGTTCTATGAGTGCATTTTTTCCCATACTTCTTGCTTTCAGAGGGATGGAATTTCACAGGCCAGGTGCGATGGCTGTCACATGGGAGGCTGAGGCAGGAGGATTGCTTCAGGCCAGGAGTTAAAGACCAGGCTGGGCAACATACAAAGAACCTGTCTACAAAAATAAAAAAATCAGCTAGGTATAGTGTTGTGTACCTGTAGTTCTAACTACTCAAGGGCTGAGGTGTGAGGATCACTTGAGCCCATGAGTTCAAGGTTGCAGTGAGCTATAGTGTTACCATCGTGCTCCAGCCTGGGCAACAGAATGAGACATTGTCTCAAAAAATAAATAAATAAAAGTTATTTCAGGAGAAGGAAAGAAAGCATGTCTCCAATGGAAGACAATGGAATTTTTTGAAGATTAAGTCTTAACTGTTTTGTTAACATATTCTTCTGTTTGCATTATTTATCTGCTTTTTTCTAAGATCTGGCTAGGAGGTTAGACAGTATTAACTAAGATATTTTATTTGTTAAATCAAGCCTTAAGATGTGTTAAAAAGAACTTGCCCCCCAACAAGATAGCTTAGATCAGTAAGTACCTGTTAGAACAATATCAAATGAAAGCAAAAGACAAAGATGTCTTTGGAATTTGGAAGGAGGCCTTAAGATAACGATTTAAAAATTGATAATAGTAACAATTTTATTTATTTTTATTTTTTTTGAGACAGAGTCTCACTCTGTCGCCCAGGCTGGAGTACAACCTCTGCCTCCCAGACTCAAGCTATTCTCATGCCTCAGCCTCCTGAGTAGCTGGGATTAGAGGCATGTGCCACCACACCCAGCTAGTTTTTGTATTTTTAGTAGAGATGGGGTTTTGCCATGTTAGCCAGTCTGGTCTCGAACTCCTGGCCTCAAGTGATCCACCTGCCTCTGCCTCCCAAAGTGCTGGGATTATAGGCGTGAGCTACCATGCGTGGCAATAGTACCAATTTAAAGATGTAATACGTTATAAGTTCATGCATATGCTTATGTACCTTAGCACTATCATTTTTATCTTTCATAGTTTTTCATATTGCAACTCCAGGTGGTGAAACTAGGGATAGCCAAATCTCCTAGGCCATTTTGAAGGGAAAAGGGTTCTGTAGAAGGATAATTTTAATGTGGAGTGTTCCTCAAAATCCCTTCTCTGGACTCTTCTTTAATGTACTCCCTTGTGCTACTAGTATCCCATCCTGCTGGGGCTTTTACTGTTTTCTTTTCTTTATTATTATTATTACTATTATTATTATTTTTTTTTTGAGATGGAGTCTTGCTCTGTCACCCAGGCTGGAGTGCAGTGGTTTGTCTCACTGCAAGCTCCGCCTCCTGGGTTCAAGCAATTCTCCTGACTCAGCCTCCCAAGTAGCTGGGATTACAGGCGTCCACCACCATGCCCGGCTTATTTTTGTATTTTTTAGTAGAGATGGGGTTTCACCACGTTGGTCAGGTTGTTTTCGAACCCCTGACCTCAGGTGATCCAACCACCTCGGCCTCCAAAAGTGCTGGGATTACAGGCGTGAGCCACCACGCCCGGCCCATTATTATTATCATTTTTTTAAGAGAGAAAGTCTCACTATATTGTCTAGAATGAACTTCTTAAGCATTTAAGGGATTCTCACGACCCAACCTCTGGGGTAGCTGGGACTACAGACGTGTGTTCCTGCATCTGGCTTTTACTGCTTTCTAAATAGTAGCATTACTTTTGACAGTCTGATAAGCTTTAACTTAAACAGTCTTCAATATGAAACATGCCTTCAGAGAGCTTCCCTCATTCTCAAGTTCACTAATCAGTTATTCTGTTTTTGTTGTTAAACCTTTATCACTCCAGCCTGACCAACATGGAGAAACCCCGTCTCTACTAAAAATTCAATAATTAGCCAGGCGTGGTGGTGTGTTCCTGTAATCCCAGCTACTCAGGAGGCTGAGGCAGGAGAATTGCTTGAACCTGGGAGGTGGAGGTTGCAGTGAGCCAAGATTGCGCCACTGCACTCCAGCCTGGGCGACAGAGCAAGATTCCGTCTCAAAACAAACAAACCAAACCCTTATCACTGAAGGTAATTCATTTATAGGCTTGAACTCATTTAGAGATTCTTCATTGGGTAGGCCACAGTCATAGATATTTTTACCAATTATATGAATGTTATACCGACAGCTGTGTTCTTAGGTCAGTTAACTCCATATTACACAGGGTCTCACTCTGTCACCCAGGCTGGAGTGCAGTGACACAATCTTGGCTCACTGCAACCTCCACCTCCTGGGCTCAAGCTATTACCCCCACCCTCTGCCTCAGCCCTGCAAGTAGCCAGAACTACAGGCACAAGCCTCCACACCTGGCTAATTTGTGTATTTTTTTGTAGAGACCGGGTTTCACCATGTTGCCCAGGTTGCTCTTGAATTCCTGAGGTCAAGCGATCCACCTGCCTCGGCCTCCCAAAGTGCTGGGATTACAGGCGTGAGCCACTGTGCCTGGCTACATGTTGACTCTTGTCCTTTGAAAGGAATATCCTATTTTAAATTTAAATGATTTTTCCTAATTGGGAAATAGTCTACAGTATTGTGAGATGCATCAAGTATGTGTGTGTGTACATACAGATGTATAATATTAATGTATATCATTTGTTGAAAATAAAAGTGGTTATGTGTTTCCTTTCAGAATCAAGCTTCCATATGTTTCCCTATCAGTCTCAGATAGCAGTTTTCAAAGAGTTTCTACTAAGAGCGACAAAGTATAACAAGTTACAAATGCTTGGAGATGATCTGAGAACTGATAAGAAGATAATTCTGGTTGAAGTAAGGACAACTTTTAAAATCTTTTTTTTTTTTTTTTTGAAATGGAGTCTTGCTGTGTCACTGTCACCCAGGCTGGAGTGCAGTGGCGCGATCTCAGCTCATTGCAAGCTCTGCCTCCCAGGTTCACGCCATTCTCCTGCCTCAGCCTCCGGAGTAGCTGGGACTACAGGCGCCCGCCACCACGCCCGGCTAATTTTTTGTATTTTTTAGTAGAGACGGGGTTTCACTGTGTTAGCCAGGATGGTCTCGATCTCCTGACCTCATGATATGCCCACCGTGGCCTCCCAAAGTGCTGGGATTACAGGCGTGAGCCACCATGCCTGGCCTAAAATCTTTTTTTTTTTTTTTTTTTTGAGACAGAGTCTCTCTTTAACCCCTAGGCTGGAGTGCAGTGGTGCAGTCTTGGCTCACTGCCACCTCCGCCTCCTGGGTTGAAACAATTCTCATGCCTCAGCCTCCCCCGAGTAGTGGGGATTACAGGAACCTGCCACCATGCCGGCCTAATTTTTGTATATTTAGTAGAGATGGAGTTTTGCCACGTTGGCCAGGCTGGTCTCAAACTCCTGACCTCAAGGTAATCCTCCCGCCTTGGCCTCCCGAGTGCTGGGATTACACATGTGAGCCACCACACCCAGCCAACTTTTAAAATTTTGCTGTAGCTATTGACTAAACAATTGTGAGATATATCTTACATGATAATGTTAACTTGTCTCTATAGTAGTGATATTGGTAAAATACAACACAAAGGCTTTGTAATAGTAGAAACCTAAAGTCTCTTCTAGTAAACTTGAATGGAATAGCTGTAGGATAAGGAATGTTATAAATTTTAATGGTTTAAGTATAGAAAAACAAAAGAAAAGTTTGGAAAATTACTTCCTAGTGAAAATACTGTAACTGGAAAGCAACCCAAAGAAATTTGATCTAAAAATTGGGATCCCCATTGATGTATATTACTGTTTCGGATATCATCTATTTCATGTTTCCTGTGAAAGTTCTGTTTAAAATACATTGAATAAATATATTTTTGCCTACCTCAATAAATATAAATTTGAAAAATAAATTTGCAATGGAATAAAACTATACTATTATTTATTTTTTATTTTCAATAGGATTTACCTAACCAGTTTTATCGGGATTCTCATACTTTACATGAAGTTCTAAGGTAGGTTTCAGTGAAGTATTCTAAAACTCCAAATTAAATGAGAAGTGGCTTAAATTTCAACATTGCTGTATTTTGTTATTTTAGGAAGTATGTGAGGATTGGTCGATGTCCTCTTATATTTATAATCTCGGACAGTCTCAGTGGAGATAATAATCAAAGGTTATTGTTTCCCAAAGAAATTCAGGAAGAGTGTTCTATCTCAAATATTAGGTAAGAAAGAAATTTCTGCTTATAAAGGTCACATACATATTATATTTTTAAATTAATCATTTAACTGCTATCTTTCTTTATAAAACTTAGTTTCAACCCTGTGGCACCAACAATTATGATGAAATTTCTTAATCGAATAGTGACTATAGAAGCTAACAAGGTAAGTCTCTGATTAATTAAACCTTACTCGATAACTATAGAAAGCCTAGCTTAAATAGTATTATGTAAACTGAAGGAGTGTTATTTTAATTTTTTAGAATTAAAACATTTTATTATACTCATAAGGCATGTCATTTTAGCAAATGTAGGAAATACTGATTTTAAAAATCTTTAACATTTTTCTACTATTAAACTTTCACTTTCACATTGAGGTAAATTTTTCCTTTGCTTGGTTTACTGTTCTAAATTGTGTCTGTCATCAAGAAAATGTTTTCTGGCATGTAGGTATGGTAGTTATCAACAATTCAACTCTTCCTATTGTCCTGTTGTCACTTTTTTATTTTCACATTTTTTTTAATTATGGTGAAAAACATGTATCATAAAATTTATCATCTTAACCATTTTCAAAGATACACTTCAGTATTGTAAAGTCTATTTACATTCATATACAGCTGTTGTCACTTTTTTTTTTTTTTTGGAGACAGGGTCTCACTCTGTTGCTCAGGCTGGACTGCAGTGGCATAATCATGGCTCACTGCAGCCTCGACCTCTTGGGCTCAAGTGTTCCTCCCACCTCAGCCTCCCAAGCAGCTGGGACTACAGGCTGGTACCACCACGCCTGGCTAATTTTTTAATTTTTTTTAGAGACAGGGTCTCTCTGTGTTGCCCAGGCTGGTCTCGAATTCCTGGCTCAAGTGATCCTCCCTCCTCGGCCTCTGAAAGTGCTGAGATTTCAGGCATGAGCCTCTGTGCCCGGCTTCTTTTCACTTTTAGTACGTCATTTTTTCTGTATTTCAAATCAAGATGATGTTAAAAAAAAATTGATGGACCTTCTGCTCCCAGCGTCATGGTTTTAGGGAATCCTATTGGTATAAATCAACCAAATCTTGCATGAAACATAATTTTTGTTGCACTGCTAGGACCACAGGAACTGAGGGAAATATCCAAGGGAGAGGTTGTTTTGAGGATTAAATACGTTAGTGTAGAGCACCTAACTGAATAAATAACAGATATTAATAGTGAAAAATGAGAAACAAACTGAGTCCAATAATACAGGAAGCAATTACTGTGATGAATTATTATGCTATTAGTGTTTTGAAAATATTTAATGGGTCAGGTGCGGTGGCTCACGCCTGTAATCTTAACACTTTGGGAGGCCGAGGTGGGTGTATCACCTGAGGTCAGGAGTTCATGACCAGCCTGGCCAACAGGTGAAACCCCATCTCTAATAAAAATACAAAAATTAGCCGGATGTGGTGGCGGGTACCTATAATCCCAGCTACTCAGGAAGCTGAGGCAGGAGAATAGCTTGAACCCAGGGGGTGGAGGTTGCAGTGAGCCGAGATTGCGCTACTTCACTCCAGCCTGGGCAGCAAGAGCAAAACTCTGTATCCCAAAAAAAAGAAAAAAAATTACCTGGGCATGGTGGTGTGCTCCTGTATTCCCAGCTACTCAGAAGCCTGAGACAGGATGATCGCTGGAGCCTAGGAGTTTGAGGCTGCAGTGATCTAGATGAAATGACTGTAGTCTGTCATGGACAGAGCTAAACCCTGTCTCTAAAAAAACATCTACATTCTCTACTATAAGCATGAGAACTGCAAATTGAGCCATGGTGCATGCCTGTAGTCCCAGCTACAAAGGCTGACAGTGGTGGGAGGATTTGTTGAGCCTGGGAGCTCAAGACCAGCCCAGGTGTGATATAGTAAGACCTTGTGTCAAAACAAAAATTTTTTTTTTAGTGAATTGATTAGTTCAAGTGGCTCTGGTTTAAAAAAGAAGAAGAAGAAATAATTGGTGTAATTATGGCTTTTTCATCCTCACCAGACTGTATAATGTATAACCCCAGTAAAGGAATTTTCATGTAAATTTCATAAATTAGTTAGATTATTTTGTGTATATTTAATTTTATCACAGTCTGTTGCATTTTGAGGGTTTTTTTGTGTGTACACATATATGTTGTTATATATCTGTGTGTATGTAGTGAGAAAGAGTAAAAACTTCAAAATACAACCTGGTCAAAGTGAAAAAGTAAAATAATACAGTATTTAATATTTCCTGAAAGTATACCTTAAACTGTAATAAGTCATTGAAGCTTGTATCATTCATAGACCAGTGTTTAGCATGAAGGCTTTTTAGTTTTTTATTACTATTTTAAGATAATTTTTTTTTTCTGGCTCTATTGCCCAGGCTGGAGTGCAGTGGCAAGATCATAGCTCACTGCAGCCTTCATCTCCAGGTCTCAAGTGATCCTCCCATTTCAGCCTCCCAAGTAGCAGGGACTACAGGCGCATGCCACCATGCCCAGCTAATTGTTTTGATTTTTTGTAGAGATAAGGTCTTACTACCTTGCCTAGGCTGGTCTCAGACTCCTGAGCTCAAGTGATCCTCCTGCCTCAGTCTCCCAAATTGCTGAGATTATAGGAATGTGCCACCGTGCCCAGCCCTTTTTAGTATTTAAGTTTAAAAGAATCTAATTTACGTTAATTAAGTTTAGAAAATAGGTTGGGGTTTTTTGTTGTTGTTATTTTTAAGAAAATACTTTTTTTTAAATTTAATTTTCTTATTTTAGAATGGAGGAAAAATTACTGTCCCTGACAAAACTTCTCTAGAGTTGCTCTGTCAGGGATGTTCTGGTGATATCAGAAGTGCAATAAACAGCCTCCAGTTTTCTTCTTCAAAAGGTAACTATGGAAGATACAGTCATGTGGCATTATATAGGTGACTGACTTTCTCTTAATTCATTCAATGAAATCAAACATTTTAACTTACATTTGGTCTATACCTATTTATCCTTCTTTATTACTGAGACAGTGGCTTAAAATTAAATATATACACATGCATACATACCCTTCTATGAATATGTCGTAGTATATATCCTTGTTTCTGTTTGAGATAGTTTACCTTTCAAAGTTAACTTAGAACCAGATTTCCTGGATAAAAATTCTGCCTCTGCCACTTACCAGTTATATAGGCCTATGCAGGTGACTCTTATCTTTCTGTGCCTCTGTTTTCTCACCTTTTATGTGAGCACTTACCTCTTAGGGTTCTATGAAGAATATGTGAGGTGACACTATTATAGAGTGCTTCTTACAGTACTTGATTCATATTAAGTGTTCATAAATGGCCAGCCATTAATCAGTTTAATAATACTGTGCCGAGGTAGGTTTACTTTTGGAATTATTATTATTTATTTTGAGACGGAGTCTCGCTCTGCCGCCCGGGCTGGAGTGCAGTGGCATGATCTTGGCTCACTGCAAGCTCCGCCTCCCAGGTTCACAGCATTCTCCTGCCTCAGCCTTCTGAGTAGCTGGGACTACAGGCAGCTGCCACCACGCCCAGCTAATTGTATTTTTAATAGAGATGGGGTTTCACTGTCTTAGCCAGGATGGTTGCGATCTCCTGACCTCGTGATCCGCCCGCCTCGGCCTCCCAAAGTGCTGGGATTATAGGTGTGAGCCACCTCATCTGGCCTGAAATTATTTTTATAATAATTTATGAGATATGTTTAATAAATTTATTTCCTGTTAATGTTAAAAAGTATAAATTTATGAGATATGTTTAATAAATTTCCTGTTAATATGTAGAAAGATGTAGTAAAAAGATAGTTTCACTAATGGCAGTGAGTTACATTTTTACTGTAATGGTCATCGTTTACTGCATAGTCCTCCTTCAGAAGGCATTTAGCAGACTACTTAATGCTTAACGTTGATAATTGACATCAAAGAGTGGGCCAGGAACTGTGTTAGCAATTATGTTTTTTTCATTTAATTCTCATATCAACCTGATGAGATAGACAGTATTTTGATTCAAATCCAGATCCTGTGCTCTTTCTGCTGTTCAAGGTAGCTTTTAAGCCATGCACTCTTGAGTTCTAAATATTAGACTTAAAAATGAAACTTGGGTCAGGCATGGTGACTCATGCCTGAAGCCAAGGTGGGTGGATCACTTGAGCCTAGGAGTTTGAAACCAGCCTGGGCAACATAGCAAGACCTTGTCTCTACAAAAAAATTAAGGAAAAAAAATAAAAACCCAAGAAATGTGATCACATGCATATTCATAAATTGGATACTCTCAACATCAATAGAGAGGTTGTTAAACATAGATTGCAGAACCAGGCTGCCTGGATTCCAGTCATTCACTCACTGATGACCTTGAGCCAATGACTTTACCTCTTTGTATCTCATTTCATTAACTGTCTAATAATAATTGGTCAGGTGCAGTGGCTCTCGCCTGTTATCCCAACACTATAGGAGACTGAGGTGGAAGAAAGCTTCAACCTCAAGAGTCTGATACCAGCCTGGGCAACATAGCGAGGCCTCGTCTCTAATTAAAAATATATATATATATAGCCAGCATGGTGGTGCATGTAGTCCCGGCTACTTGAGAGGCTGAGGTGGGAGGATCACTTGAGCCTGGAGGTTGAGGCTTCAGTGAGCTATGATTGTGCCACTGTACTCCAGCCTGGGTGATAGAGCCAGACCCTGTGTCAAAAAAAAAAAAAGGCCGGGCATGGTGGCTCATGCCTGTAATCCCAGCACTTGGGGAGGCCAATTTGTGTGGTTGGGAGGTTGTGACCAGCCTGGCCAACATGGTGAAACCTCATCTCTGCTAAAAATACAAAAATTTAGCCGGGCATACACCTGTAATTCTAGCTGCTCGGGAGGCTGAGGCAGGAGAATCGCTTGAACCCAGGAGGCAGAGGTTGTGGTGAGCCGAGATCACACCACTGCACTCCAGCCTGGGCAACAGAGCGAGACTCCATCTCAAAAAAAAAAAAAAAAAATTCTCCCTTCACAGGGTTGTTATGAAGATTAAATTCCTATGTATTACATGCCAAGAACAGTATCTTGCACATAACACGATGAGAAACCAAGGCGATGTGACTGTACAGGTTGAATATCCTTTATTTGCAATTTTTGGGAATAGAAGGATTGCAGATTTTTTTAAGATTTTGGAATATTTGCATTATACGAATTGAAAATCCCTTGTCTGAAAATCTGAAATACAAAGTGCTCCAATGAGCATTTCCTTTGAGCATCATGTTGGCACTGCAAGTTTCATATTTTGGAGTATTTTGGAGTTTGAATTTTTTGGATCAGGAATGTCAGCCTATATTAGAGATTGTGCTATTGTGCATGTGAAAGTTTGAAATCTGCATTATGAAATAACTTTCAGATAATACTTTATTCCATTTTAATGTTAGTAACCCAAAGAGGATTCCAACTCAGTTAATGTCATTTATAATTTTTGTTTATTAGGAAAACAAATTGTAATTAGAATATTTAGTGTAACTATATCTGAAGTGTTCTTAGTTTTAATTTTCATATTTTAATTTAAATATTGTCACTTGGATGTATATTATTCAGGAGAAAACAACTTACGGCCAAGGAAAAAAGGAATGTCTTTAAAATCAGATGCTGTGCTGTCAAAATCAAAACGAAGAAAAAAACCTGATAGGGTTTTTGAAAATCAAGAGGTCCAAGCTATTGGTGGCAAAGATGTTTCTCTGTTTCTCTTCAGAGCTTTGGGGAAAATTCTATATTGTAAAAGTAAGAAATTTTTACACTTTTAAAATCTGTTGGATATCACATAGTCTTAAAATGGAAATAAAATGTCACTTTTAAAAAAATGTCATGTATTTTGGTTCTGCTCTAAGAGTTAGAGCTAGGTCAGATACTGTTTGCCTAGGCCTAAGACATAGTAGGAAATCAGAATATTTTCTGACCGTAAGCAGGATTAAAAGTAAAAACATGCAATTGCAGGCCATATCCATGTGTGTAAATCTTTAAAATTATAGTTTGCTGAAGGTAAGAGAGCAGATCATCTAGACTTGTAGTGGCAAGTGTTGGTAGCCTAAAGCCCTCTTAACACTGGGCTCCAGCCAACAGAGCCTTATACAAATTACCAGGTAGTTTAAGGTTTCTTTCAATCGTCTTGTATTTCTCTAATTTACAAGCGTTCTGTCTCCCCAACCAGAGATGTTTATCGCCTTTTCTGTCTTTTTTGATGACTGCTCCCCCTCAGTTCTTTCACTCCCTATTGCCCATTTTAGTGTCCCAAATAATCCCTCCTTTTGATAGCAAATGCCTGTTTTCAGTCTGATGACCCTAAAGGAAAGAAATTAGGATTTCTAAATGGAAACCTTCATACCATCTGAGGAAAATGGGCATCACTTAGGTGGCAGTGAGGACACTCCTCTGTCACTGGATCCTCTTACTTTGAACCTGAGTGACTATTCCCACCTGATTCTTTTCTTTCTCTCCTTTCTTTTCCTCCCCAACATACGTTTATCGTCTCTTGCATTAGTGAATGGAATTCGTATTCTTTCATGTAGAGAGCAACATCTTCCTACATAGTAAATAAAAGAGTAAAGACCACTGTATTGAGATGAGAAATCAAGGGAAGAAAGCAACCCAAAGCTGAAAAAGGTGAAATGGGAGTGCATTAGGAAATGGAATATTTTAAGTCTAGAGAAGCCATAATCTAAGCATCAGAATTGTTAATTTAGTTCTTGCTAATGTGGAAAAAATAGGTGCTTGCTTCCAGTTGTTTTTTATTTATTTATTATTTTTTAACAGTTTGTTACTATGTTGGTATTGTATGTCTAAAATTTTCAAACTCTTCAAATGAGAGGTGCTATATAATTATAAAGAAGGTATTATCTTTAATAATTCCAGAAATTTTTTATAGGAGCATCTTTAACAGAATTAGACTCACCTCGGTTGCCCTCTCATTTATCAGAATATGAACGGGATACATTACTTGTTGAACCTGAGGTAAGTTCTTTGATGACACTTAGTATAGGTTACAAAGGATATATTATTCGTGTGCATATATATTTGACCATTGCATTTTTACCAAATTTATGTATATATGCTTCTTTTTATAGGAGGTAGTAGAAATGTCACACATGCCTGGAGACTTATTTAATTTATATCTTCACCAAAACTACATAGATTTCTTCATGGAAATTGATGATATTGTGAGAGCCAGTGAATTTCTGAGTTTTGCAGATATCCTCAGTGGTGACTGGAATGTAAGACCATTTGACTTAAAATGTTTATGTTTATAGTATTTCCTTAGAATTAAGAAAAGAAAGTTTACTTTTATCCCTAATTGCCTGACATTATTTTATGTGACTTTTCTTCATAACTATGCTAAAGTTAATGTAACCAACTCAGTGTTTATAATGAAGCTTCAGTAGCAAATCTGATTTTTCTGCTGATAATATAGCACCAATTGTTTCTAAAGTTATTTTCTTTTTTTCTTTTTTTTCTGTGTGTGTGTGTAGAGACAGGGTCTTACTGTGTTGCTCAGGCTGGTCTCAAACTCCTGGGCTCAGACAGTCCTCTCACCTGAGCCTCCGAAAGTGCTGGGATTACAAGCGTGAGCCACCACACTCCTGTCTCTAAATTTTCTGATTTTGTGTTTTGTGTTATGGTGGTTTTTTTTTTTTTTTTTTTTTTTGAGAAGAGGCTCTATCTACAGCTATGTTACCCAGTCTGGTCTTGAACTACTGGGTTTAGGGAATCCTGTCCTCTCTGCCTTCGAAGTAGCTAGAAATACAGGCACACACCACCATGCCCAGCTTATTTTTTTTTTTTTTTCGAGACAGCGTCTTACTTTTTTGCCCACGCTGGAGTCCAGTGGTACAAACATGGTTCACTGCAACCTTGACCTTCTGGGCTCAAGCGATCCTCCAACCTCAGGCACTCCCCATCTAGTAGCTGGGACTACAGGCAAGCACCACTATCCTTAGCTAATTTTTTTTTCTTTGTTTTAGAGACAGGGTTCACCATGTTACCCATGCTGGTCTCCAACTCCTGAGCTCAAGCGATCTGCCTGCCCTGGCCTCTCAAAAGTGCTGGGATTACAGGAGTGAGCCACCATGCCCAGCCCCAGCTTATTTTCTGATTTTAAAATTAATACATACTCAAAATATGACAACCATTAAGAAGTAGATACAAGAGAAAGAACTGTACATGTTGCTACACTTTCTGCTAGTTTTTAAAATTTATTTCTTTTACATATTTGAAACTATTTACCATAAAATTTGTATTTTGTTCTTAACATCTTAACACTGCCCTTACCAGTACAACAGCCACCAACCACATGTAGCTATTTACATTTAAATTTAAAAATTCAGTTCCTCAGTCATACTAGCCACATCTCCAGTACTTGATAACTGCATGTGGCTGATGGCTACTTTATTGAACAGCCCAGATACAAAACATTTCCATCATTGCAGGGCGTTCTGTTGGACGACACTATTTTGATACGTTAATATTTCTGTGTGCTATAAATATTAAAATAAGGCCGGGCTCAGTGGGTCACACCTGTAAACCCAGCACTTAAGGAGGCCGAGGCAGGTGGATCACTTGAGCTCATGAGTATGAGACCAGCTGGGGCAATGTGATGAAACCCCATCTCTACAAAAAAATACCAAGAAAATTGTTTGGGTGTAGTGGTCCCAGCTACTCAGGAGGCTGAGGTGGGAGGATGGCTTGAGCCTGGGAGGCAGAGGTTGCAGTGAGCTGAGATCACACCACTGCACTCCAGCCTGGGCAATAGAGCTGGACCTTGTCTCAAAAAATTAAAAAATTGAAATAGCAGTAATAAGTAAAATTAGGAAAGACACAGAAAAACCATTTATGTTATAGAGCTTCATTACTCAGCAGTTGAATTTGCTTAACTTTTAAAATAATTGTTTCTTTCTTATTTTGAAATTTTCCATCCTATAAATAAATTAAAAGGATAGTACAATGAGCCAGGAGTGGTGGTTCCTGCCAGTAATTCTGCACTTTGGGAGTCCAAGGCAGGAAGATCACTTGAGGCCAGAAGTTTGAGAACAGCCTGGGAAACACAGCGAGACCCCATCTCTAGAAGAGATTTTAAAAATTAGCTGGGTATGGTGGCATGCACCTGTAGTCGTAGCTACTTGGGAGGCTGTGGTGGGAGAATCACTTGAGCCCAGGAGTTTGAGGTGGTAGTGAGCTGTGATCGTGCCACCACATTCCAGGCTGGGCAACAGACTGAGACCCTATTTTAAATAATAATACAAAATAACGAAAAGAGTATAATTGACTTGTTTGTGACACCAAGGATAAATGCTTGAGGTAATGGATACCCCATTTAACTTGAGGTAATTATTACACATTGTATGCTGGTATCAAAATGACCCCTGTACCTCATAAATATATACAGCTACTAAGTACCCACACAAATTAAAAATTAAAAAAAAATGATAGTACAATGAATAGCTGCATATCCTTAACTTTTGTTTAGCAGTTTGCATATTTTGCCACTTTTTCTTAATCTCTCTATATATTTACGTATTTGTTTCTGGCTGAATAATTGGAAAGTATTAGTAATTGCGAACATCGTGACACTTAAGCAGCATAAGGACATTGTTCTATTACAACTACCATAGCATTATCATACCCCATTGAAACTAAAATATAACTAGTTGATATAACTGGCCTCTCAAAGTGCTGGGATTACAGGCGTGAGCCACTGCGCCCAGCTGCATAGTCATATTTTAGTTTCAATTATATTTTAGTTATATTAACTAATTAGTTACATTAACTAATTAGTTATATAATTAAGTTAACTTTCCAGAGAAACTTCACACTAATCTAGCAATATATTGTCCCTATTCAGATTTCCTCATTTGCCTCAAAAATGTATTCAAAGTTGTTTCCTCCACCCCTGTCCAAGATCCAGTCAGGGTTTACACATTTAATTTGATGGCTATGTCCCAGTGGAATTTGCTTTAGATAAGTTTATAGTGCTGTTATTTATAGGGCTGTAGTGATGTTGAAGAAAGTGAACACATAGAAACTAAATACGGTTAGTATTTTTGTATATATCAGGAATACCAGTAATGCTCTTTTATAAATCTATTTTCTTTCACATCTTGTCTCATTTGTTAGACACGCTCTTTACTCAGGGAATATAGCACATCTATAGCTACGAGAGGTGTGATGCATTCCAACAAAGCCCGAGGATATGCTCATTGCCAAGGAGGAGGATCAAGTTTTCGACCCTTGCACAAACCTCAGTGGTTTCTAATAAATAAAAAGGTAAAAAAAAAAAAAAAAATTCTGTACTTTCAATATGTGAACTTTATGGTACGTGAATTATAACTCAAAGCAGTTATTTTCTTTAAAACATAACAAAGGAAAAAATATTTCATTTTTAATAAAATAGTTGCTAAGGTCCACAATTAGATTCTGAGTTTTTATAAAACATAAAAAGGTGACTCTTAAATGCTTGTACAATTTTTTAAGGGAAAAAAGACCATCACAATTTGAAAATATTAGTTCAGTTTTATTGGAATCAAAGCGTAGTTACATTTTATTTTATTTTTTATTTTTTTATTTTTTGAGACGGAGTTTCGCTCTTTTTGCCCAGGCTGGAATGCAATGGCATGATCTCGGCTCACTGCAACCTCCGCCTCCCGGGTTCAAGCAGTTCTCCTGCCTCAGCCTCCCAGGTAGCTGGGATTACAGGCGCCAGCCACCACGCCTGGCTAATTTTTTGTATTTTTAGTAGAGACAGGGTTTCACCATGTTGGCCAGGTTGGTCTCGATCTTTGGACCTCATGATCCTCTTGCCTTGGCCTCTCAAAGTGCTGGGATTACAAATGTGAGACACCATGCTCGGCCATATTTTATTTTTTATTTTTTATTTTTATTCAGACAGAGTCGTTCTCTTGCCTAGGCTGGAGTGCAGTGGTGCCATCTCTGCTCACTGCAACCTCTACCTCCTAGGTTCAAGCAATTCTCCCACCTCAGCCTCCTGAGTAGCTGGGATTACAGGCATCTACCTCCATGCCCAGCTAATTTTTGTATTTTTAGTAGAGATGGGGTTTTGCCATGTTGGCCAGGCTGTTCTTGAACTCCTGACCTTAAGTGATCTGCCCGCCTTGGCCTCTCAAAGTGCTGGGATTACAGGCATGAGCCACTGTGCCCAGCTGCATAGTTATATTTCAGTTTCAATTAAAAACAAACTTTAGGGCCAGGCATGGTGGCTCACACCTGTAATCCCAGCACTGTGGAAGGCCAAAACAAGAGGATCACTTGAGCCCAGGAGTTTGAGACCAGCCTGGTCAACATAGTGAGATCCCATATCTACAAGAAAAAGAAAAAAATTGTAAATAAATAAACCCTAGTTCAACCTGAGAATGCTGATTGGAAAATAGAAATCCCTAGTATATAAAATTTCAGTTAGGCAGGAGGAATAAGTTTTTTTTGTTTTTGGTTTTTGAGACGGAGCCTCGCTGGCCAGGAGGAATAAGTTTTAAGTTCAAGAGATATGTTGTATAACATGGTGACTATTAACAACAATGTGTCATGTATTTGAAAATCATGGCCGGGCATGGTGGCTCACGCCTGTAATCCCAGCACTTTGGGAGGCTGAGGCGGGCAGATCACGAGGTCAGGAGATGGAGACCATCCTGGCTAACACGATGAAACCCTGTCTGTACTAAAAATAAAAAAACTTAGCCGGGTGTGGCGGCGTGCGCCTGTAGTCCCAACTACTCTGGAGGCTGAGGCAGGAGAATGGCGTGAACCCAGGAGGCGGAGCTTGCAGTGAGCTGACATGGCGCCACTGCACTCCAGCCTGAGAGACAGAGCGAGACTCCATCTAAAAAAAAAAAAAGAAAATCACTAAAACGGTAGATTTTAAGTGTTCTCACCACACACAAAAAATATATGTATGTAAGGTAATGCATATGTTAATTGGCTCAATTTAGCCATTCTACCATATATACATATTTCAGAACATCATGTTGTATACCTATAAATACATACAGAGCTTATTTGTCAATTTAAATTAATCAAAGAAAGGAGAAGAAATCTTGGCCTTGCCTCTATATGGACAAGGTATTCACCTAATGTGTTCTTACTCTCCACAGCTAAAAATGTAGATGATTGAATTATTTAGAGGTAAAAAATGGGAGGCACACAAGTTGAAAACAAAATACACAACAGTTTTCAAAATGAATTGCCAATCTTTAAAAATCAGACTAATGATTAAAAGTCAGATATGAATTTCGGCTGGGCGCTGTGACTCACACCTGTAATCCCAGCACTTTTGGGAGGCTGAGGCGGGCAGAACACAAGGTCAGGAGTTCGAGACCAGCCTGACTAACATGGTGAAACCCCATCGCTACTAAAAATACAAAAGTTTGCCAGGTGTGGTGGTGCGCTCCTGTAATCCCAGCTACTCAGGAGGCCGAAGCAGGAGAATCGCGTGAACCCGGGAGGCAGAAGTTGCAGTGAGCCGAGATCATGCCACTGCACTCCAGCCTAGGCGACAGAAAAAGACTCTGTCTCAGAAAGAAAAAAAAAAAGTTAGATATGAATTTCTAGCTTCAGAATTTCTGGAATCTCCTGGTTAAAAAAAAAAAAAAAAAAAAGAGGCCAGGTGCAGTGGCTCACACCTGTAATCCGAGCACTTTGGAAAGCTGAGGTGGAAGGATCACTAGAGCCCAGGAGTTTGAGACCTGCCTGGGCAATATGGTGAAACCCCATCTGTATAAAAAAAAAAATAATAAAAAAATTAGCTGGGTGTGGTGGCAAACACCAGGAATTTGAGACCAGCAATATAGTGAGATCCCATATCTACAGGAAAAAGGAAAAATTTTTTTTGTTTTTCCTACCTAGTCCCAGCTACTTGGGAGGCTGAATTGGGAGGATTGCATAAGCCTGGGAGGCAGAGTTTGCAGTGAACAATGATTGTGCCACTGCACTCCAGCCTGGGCAACAGAGTGAGACCCCCATCTCTCAAAAAAATGAAAGTGAAGTATAACACTGGCTCATATTTCTGCGTAGCAACAATCACCTCGCCATGTAGCATCTGCCCCTTTGAGATGAGAGTAGTAGGCACCACTGTCCCCAGCTGGTTCATTCACTTATATTGCCTGCTTGACTTCTGTAATATCTGAATTCGTGACCCCTGGACTGGGTCGTCTCTGAGATGTCTTCCAGTTCTAAAATCATACAGCTGAAAATTACCCTATAATTTATTACCTAGGACATTTTTTCCAACAGATTTCTTGGAGAATTTAATGACTTTTAAGCAATTTATATCTCATTGACTTGCTTTGTCTTTTATAGCATATATATTAATTTTGCATTGTTGCTGCATATAAATTATCTAAGACTGTTAGCTTCTTGAAGGCAGGGATTGTGCTTTTCTCTTGCTCAGCATAACGTGTTGACTAAAGAAAACAAATTATTTCATTGAAAACTATTTTCGTGTAATTTATGATGTGTGTGTGCTCATAAACAATTCCTTTGAGTTTTAAATTTGGTTTTCTTATACATTCAATGTCTTTTAAAAATTGTTGTTTATTAAATGTGGAATAGTTGTGTAGGTAAAATACTTTATTAAACGATGCTAAAAAAACTATAAAGGACTACTTAAATAAGCTATTAAAAGTATATTTGTGATATATAAACCCACAAGTTAATATAAACTTATTGTGTAAGTTTATATAATAAACTTAGTTTGTCTAGGAATACATATTTTTAATTTCATTTTTCCTTTCATCTTTTTTTTTTCTTTTCTATACAGTATCGGGAAAATTGCCTGGCAGCAAAAGCACTTTTTCCTGACTTCTGCCTACCAGCTTTATGCCTCCAAACTCAGCTATTGCCATACCTTGCTCTACTAACCATTCCAATGAGAAATCAAGGTAATAACATAGGTTTTTCTTTTCTTTTAAGAAGTAGGGTTTATTTATTTATTTATTTATTTTATTTTTTTAGGGGGAGTCTCTACTGTCCAGGCTGGATTGCGGTGGCACGATCTCGGCTCACTGCAACCTCTGCCTCCTGGGTTCAAGCAATTCTGTTCCCTCAGCCTTCTGAGTAGCTGGGACCACAGGCACGCGCCCCCACACCTGGCTAATTTTTGTATTTTTAGTAGAGATGGGGTTTCACTGTATTAGCCAGGATGGTCTCGATCTCCTGACCTTGTGATCTGCCTGCCTCGGCCCCCCAGAGTGCTGGGATTACAGGTGTGAGCCACCGCACACGGCCAGAAGTAGGGTTTTATAGCAATATCTTTTTGTGGGCCAATTTATTGCTATATGCAGTGAGATACTTTTTTTCCTTTTATTTTTTGATCCAGATAATTCTGGATCCTTTATGTTTTTTTTTTAAAACGCATCAAACAGGCCAGGTGCAGTGGCTCATGCCTGTAATCTCAGCACTTTGGAAGGTCAAGACAGGGAGATCACTGGAGGTTAGGAGTTCGAGACCAGCCTGGCCAACATGGTGAAACCCTGTCTCTACTAAAAATAAAAAAATTAGCCAGGTGTGGTGGCATGCGCTTGTAATCCCAGCTACTCGGGAGGCTGAGGCAGGAGAATCACTTGAACCCAGGAGGTGGAGGCTGCAGTGAGCCAAGATCGCACACCTGCACTCCAGGCTGGGTGACAAAGTGAGGTCTGTCTCAAAAAAACAAAAAGCATCAGATGATACAGAAATATATAAAGAGCCGAACGTGGTGGCTTATGCCTGTAATCCCAGCACTTTGGGAGGCCAAGGCTGGGAAACCCCATTTCTACTAAAAATACAAAAAATTAGCCAGGCGTGGTGGCACGCGTCTGTAATCCCAGCCACTCGGGAGGCTGAGGCAGGAGAACCTTCAACCCCGGAGGCGGAGGTTGCAGTGAGCCAAGATCAGGCCATTGCACTCCAGCCTGGGCGACAGAGCAAGACTGTCTCAGAAAAAAGAAAAAAGTTTCTAAAGTAAAAATTGAAAGTACTTCCCCTACAACCACAGGTTGCTTTGACAGATTAATGTAAATTCTTCCAGATACTCTTCTGTGGATGTAGAAACATGCAGAATGAGGCAAGCTTTAATTTGCTTATGTCACTTACTGTGGATAGCCTTTCATATCTTATAAGTTAATGTCAGAGCAGCAATCTCATTTTTTTCCAATTTGTAAACATTTTATTTAACCTTATGATGGATATTTTGGTGGATTTCAGTATTACAAAAATGCCTATTAATAGTATTTTTCATTATATTTCTGTTACGAAATTATAATGCTACAAACATTACTATGCCTGTGGCAGTATACATCTGCACAAGTTTTGAAAATGTTATGCATTCATAGGCAAAAATGGGATAACTTTTGGGCAGTGGTCATGATTAATCTGTTGATCAGAATCCAGAGATTGCCCTTCTCCTTGCCAATTGCTTTAAGAGTACACTAGTTTTTGGCCGGGTGCAGTGGCTCATGCCTGTAATCCCAGCACTTTGGGAGGCCAAGACGGGCGGATCACAAGGTCAGGAGATCGAGACCATCCTGGCTAACATGGTGAAACCCCATCTCTACTAAAAATACAAAAAAAACCCACAAAAAACAAAAAAACCAGGCCTGGTGGTGGGTGCCTGTAGTCCCAGCTACTTGGGAGGCTGAGGCGGGAGAATGGCATGAACCTGGGAGGCGGAGCTTGCAGTGAGCCGAGATTGCACCACTGCCCTCCAGCCTGGGCAACAGAGCAAGACTCTGTCTCAAAAAAAAAAAAAAAAAAAAAAAAGATTACACTAGTTTTTAAACTTTTTGTTTTTTTTTTTGAGATGGAGTTTCACTCTTGTTGCTGAGGCTGGAGTGCAATGGCATGATCTCGACTTACTGCAACCTCTGCCTCCCAGGTTCAAGCGATTCTCCTGCCTCAGCCTCCAAAGTAGCTGGGATTACAGGCATGTGCCACAACACCCGGCTAATTTTTTTTGTATTTTTAGTAGAGGTGGGGTGTCACCATGTTGGCCAGGCTGATCTCGAACTCCTGGCCTTAAGTGATCTGCCCACCTCGGACTCCCAAAGTGCGGAATTACAGGCGTGAGCCACCGCGCCCGGCCACTGGTTTTTAAACTTTATTTTGAAATTATTTCAGGCTGGGCGCAGTGGTTCACGCCTGTAATCCCAACACTTTGGGAGGCCGAGGCGGGCGGATCACGAGGTCAGGAGATCAAGACCATCCTGGCTAACCCCGTCTCTACTAAAAATATAAAAAATCAGCCGGGCACGGTGGCAGGTGCCTGTAGTCCCAGCTACTCAGTGGGCTGAGGCAGGAGAATGGTATGAACCCGGGAGGCGGAGCTTGCAGTGAGCTGAGATCACGCCACTGCACTCCAGCCTGGGAGACAGAGTGAGACTCTGTCTCAAAAAAAAAAAAAAATTATTTTAAATGTAAGGATGCAAGAATAGTACAAAAAATTCTTGTATATCCTTCACTAAGTTTCCTGATTATTACATTTTTTACCATATTTGCCTGATTATATTCTCTCTCTTTATAAGCATGCACATATATGTATTATTTTGCTAAACTAGTCTTGAGTAAATTGCAGGCATGATATCCCATTATTCTTAAAAACTTAAGTCTGCACTTGCCAAAAACAAGGACATTTTCCTGCATAACCACAGTGTGCAATCAAATCAGGAAATTAACTTAATACCGTTTATTTTATAGTCCCCATTCAAATTTTTCCAATTGTCCTAATAATATCCTTTTTTAATTATTTTTAATTAATAGAGATGGGATCTCGCTTTGTTGGCCAGGTTGGTCTTGAACTGCTGGCCTCAAGCAATCCTCTTGCCTCAGCCTCCCAAAGGGCTAGGATTATAGGCACAGGCCACTGCACCCAGCCCTAATAATCTCCTTTGTAAAATGATAACTCCCCATTTCTTGTCCAGAATCCAATGAAAGATAACCTGATGCATTTAGTGATTTAGTTTCCGTGTGTTTTTAGTCTCCCTTGATCTGGAACAGTTTTGTAGTCTTTCTTTGTCCATGACATTTTAGAGGGATATAGGACAGTTACTGTACGATCCCTCAATTTGGGTTTGTCTGGTGATTCCTCATTATTGGATTCAGGATATGTATTTTTTTGGCAGAAATACCACAGAAGTGATCTTAAAAAAAATTGGCAAGGAGAGGAAAGATATCTGGATTCTGACCAACAGATTCATCATGTCCACTGCATAAACGTTATTTTTGCCTATGAATACACAACATTTTAAACACTTTAAGTATCAGTACTTACAAAAGCTGTAAGATAAAACACTTCATTGTATCAAAGTAGATATTTAGTCTTTAATCCTTTCTTCTGATCACTGATAAGGTCAACTCTATCTTTAAAATTTCTGGGCCAGGCATGGCGGCTCATGCCTATAATCCCAGAACTTTGGGCGGCCAAGGTGGGAAGATCGCTTGAGCCCAGGAGTTTGAGACCAGCCTAGGCAACACGGTGATACCTTGTCTCTACAAAAAAATTTAAAAATTAGCTGGGTGTTGTGGCTTGCACCTGTAGTCCCAGCTACTCGGGAGGCTGAAGTAAGGGGATCACTTGAGCCCGGGAAGTGAAGGGTGTAGTGAGCTGTGATCACCCCACTGCACTCTAGCCTGTCTAGCTTGGGTGACAGGGTGAGGATGAGACCCTCTCCAAAAAAATAAAATAAAATTTCTGAGATGTTTTGATAAGTTATATGGTAGATTACTAACATTTTTAATATGACACAAATTCTGTTTTCTGTTTTGAAGATTAGCACCACAGACAGGTGATCATTAATGAAATATGGCCCTTAAAATACACATTACAAAAGAGAAACTGATGGTAAAATTGCTGGTGAAGTTAACTTTTATCATTTCTCCACTAATTAAAAGTTCAGATTCTGGGATCACATCTCTAAGCTGTTCATATCAAAGAGCTATTTTTTAAAGATCCTGATTATAGGCAACAAAAGCAAAAATAAACAAATAGGATTACATCAAAACTGAAAAGCCTCTGCACAGCAAAGGAAACAACAGAATGAAGAGCCAACCTACATAATGGGAGAAAATATTTGTAAATTATACATCTGATAAGGGGTTAATAATCAAAATATATAAGGAACTCAAAGAATGCAATAGTAAGAAAACAACCCAATTAAAAAACAGGCAATTCCAGCCTGGGCAACATGGTGAAACCCTGTCTCTACAAAAAATAGATAAAATTGGCCGGGCACGGTGGCTCACGCCTGTAACCCCAGCACTTTGGTTGGCCGAGGTGGGTGGATCGCCTGAGGTCAGGAGATCGAGACCAGCCTGGCCAACATGGCAAAACCCCACCTGTACTGAAAATACAAAAAATTAGCTGGGTGCAGTGGTGGGCGCCTGTAATCCCAGCTACTCGGGAGGCTAAGGCAGGAGAATTGCTTGAACCCGGGAGGCGGAGGTTGCCATGAGCCGAGTTTGCACCATTGCACTCCAGCCTGGGCAACAAGAGCAAAATTCTGTTTCAAAAAAAAAAAAAATAGATAAAATTAGCCGGGTGTAGTGGCACACACCTGTAGTCCCAGCTACTTGGAGGCTGAGTGGGAGGATGGTTTGAGCCTGGGAAGGGAAGGTTGCAGTGAGCCGAGATCACGCTGCTACATTCTAGCCTGGGGGACAGAGTGAGATGCTGTCTCAAAAGGCAAAGGACCAGATAGACATTTCTTAAAAGAAGACTGGCCAAAAGGTATATGAAAAACTGCTTAACATTAAGGCTTAACACTAATGATCAGGGAAACACACTTAAAACCACAATGAGATATCATATTACACCAGTTAGAATGGCCGTTACCAAAAGATAAATGATAACAAACGTTGGCTAGGGTGTGGAGAAAAGGGAATCACAGAGTTAGTAAGAATGTAAATTAGTACAGCTGTTTTGAGGAACAGTATGGAGGTTCCTTAAAAAACTGAAAATAGGCCGGGCGCAGTGGCTCACGCCTGTAATCCCAGCACTCTGGGAGGCTGAGGCGGGCGGATCACGAGGTCATGAGTTTGAGAGCAGCCTGGCAACATAGTGAAAACCCATCTCTACTAAAAACACACACACAAAAAAAAAAAACACCAAAAAAACTAAAAATAGGCCAGGCGTGGTGGCTCACGCTTGTAATCCCAGCACTTTGGGAGGCCGAGGTGGGTGGATCACCTGAGGTCGGGAGTTCGAGACTAGCCTGACCAACATGATGAAACTCTGCCTCTACTAAAAATACAAAAATTAGCTGGGCGTGGTGGCACATGCCTGTAATCCCAGCTACTTGGGAGGCCGAGGCAGGAGAATTGCTTGAACTTGGGAGGCAGAGGTTGCAGTGAGCCACGATCACGCCATTGCACCCCAGCCTGGCAACAAGAGCAAAACTCTGTCTCAAAAAACAAACAAAAAAAAAACTCTAAAAATAGAACTACCATATGATCCAGCAGTCCCACTACTGGACATATATCCAAAGAATATGAAGTCAAGGCCAGGTGCAGTGGCTCATGCCTGTAATCCCAGCACTTTGGGAGGCGAGGCAGGCGGATCACTTGAGGCCAGGAGTTTGAGACCAGCCTGGCAAACATGGTGAAACCCCGTCTCTACCAAAAATATAAAAAATTAGCCAGATGTGGTGGTGTACTCCTGTAATCCCAGCTACCGTGGAGTCTGAGGCAGGAGAATTGCTTGAATCCAGGAGGTAGAGGTTACTGTGAGCTGAGATTGTGTTGCTGCACTCCAGCCTAGGTGACAGAGCCAGACTCCATCTCAAAAAAAAAAAAAAAAGAATATGAAGTCAGTATGTTGAAGAGATATCTGCCCTCCCTCCCAGTTTTATTGCAGCATTATTCACAATAACCAAGATATAGCGTCAGTCTAATTGTCCATTGGATGAGGAAAACATGGTATATATACACAGTGGAATACTATTCAGCCATAAAAAAGAACAAAATCTTGTCATTTGCAGTAACATGGATGAACCTGGAAGACCTTATTTGAAATGAAATAAGCCAGGCACAGAAAGACAAATATTGCATATTCTCACTTATATAGGAGCTAAAAAAGTTGATCTCATAATAGTAGAGCACAGAATGGGATTACCATGGGCTTGGGTGGTAGGGGAGTTGTTGATCAAAGAATACAAAATTTTGTTATGTAGGAGGAATAAATTCAAGAATTCTATTTTACAACATGGTGACTATAATTAATAGTATTTTGTGTGTGTGTGTGGTTTTGTTTCTTTTTTTGAGTCAGAGTATCACTCTTGTCACCCAAGCTGGATTGTGGTGGTATGATCACGGCTCACTGCAGCCTAAACCTCCTTGGCCCAAGTGATCCTCCTACCTCAGCCTACTGAGTAGCTGGTAACCACAGGTGCGCACCACCACACTTGGCTAATTTTTGTATTTTTTTTTTGTAAGGATGGGGTTTTGCCATGTTGCACAGGCTGGTCTTGAACTCCTGGGTTCAAGCAATCCTCCCACCTCAGCCTCCCAAAGTGCTGGGACTACAGGTGTGAGCTACCACACCGAACCAATATATTGTATTCTTGAAAAATGCTGAGAGTGAATGTAAAGTGTCTTTGCCACAAAAATAATAACTCTGTGAGGTAATATATATGTTAATTAGCTATAGTCATTCTACTATATATATATTAAAACAATATGTTGCCCACAGTAAATATATACAATTTTGTTTGTTAATTAAAATAACTCTGTTTGTAGTAGATTTTTTTTTTTTTTTTTTTTTGAGATGGAGTCTTGCTGTATCTCCCAGGCTGCAGTGCAGTGGCACCATCTTGGCTCACTGCAACCTCCAATTCCCAGGTTCAAGCGATTCTCCTACCTCAGCCTCCTGAGTAGCTTGAATTACAGGCGCATACCACCACACCCAGCTAATTTTTGTATTTTTAGTAAAGATGGGGTTTTACTATGTTGGCCAGTCTGGTCTCAAACTCCTAACCTCAGGTGATCCGCCTGCTTCGGCCTGTGTAGTAGAATTTTTAACAGGTTAAGTATCCAAAGGTCCTCATAGTGTTAGATGTGCAAACTTTAAAAGGTTCATAAAAATTAGTAAAAGTAAGATGTTTTGGTTTTTCTTATCAATTTTTATACTGTTTCTTCCGCTTTTATTTACTATGTCATTTTCAGCCATTATTTCTTTAAATATTTTTCTGCTGCTTTCTGTCCTTCTAGTCTTTCATTAGGGTATGTTCACTTGAAAGTGTTCCACATTTTTCTGAGATTTTGTTTATATTTCTTCTGTCTTCTATATGTCAATCTATGTCCAAGTTTTTTTTTTTTTTTTTTTTTTTTTTTTTTTGGAGACAGAGTCGCCCTCTGTTGTCCAGGCTGGAGTGCGGTAGCACCATCTCAGCTCACTGCAATCTCCACCTCCTGAGTTCAAGCAATTCTCCTGCCTCAACCCCCTGAGTAGCTGGGAATACAGGCATGTGCCGCTATGCCCGGCGGGGTTTCGCCATGTTGGCCAGGCTGGCCTTGAACTCCTGACCTCAGGTGATCTGCCTGCCTCGGCCTCCCAAAGTGCTGGGATTACAAGCATGAGCTACCACGCCTGGCCTATGTCCAAGTTTGATGATACTTCTGGTTCAAATCTACTGTTGAGCCCCTTTAGTGAATTTTTCATTTTAGTTATTGTACCTTTTGACTGCAGAATTTTCATTTGGTTCTTTTTATAATTTTTGTCTTTTTGTTGATGCTCTTTTTCATGAGACATTGTCATTACAGCTTTGTTTACTACTTTGAGCATGATTTCCTTTTCTACTTTGAAAATATTTATAATGGTTTATCTGAAGTCTTTTTCTGTTAAATTTAATGTGTGAGCCCTCGCAAAGGCAGTTTCTTTTACCCACCTTTTTCTTGTGTGTAGGTCACACTTTCCTGTTTCTTTACAGTCATAATTTTTTGTTGAAAACTAGATGTTTTAGGGAATATATTGTAGCAATTTTGGAGAATATTGATTCTCCTCCTCTGGGGCTTGTTTTTATTGTTGTGTGCTTGTTTATTTGTTTAGTGACTTGGCTAAACTCATGTAATGAAGTCTGTCTTTTGCAACATGAAGCCTTCCTCCCTCTTCAGAGAGCTCATCCTTGGCTGTGCCCACAGTTTACTTGGGATGATGGTGGTTTTAGCAGAGCTCACTTTGTCTCTTTCCCTGATATGTCTGTATAGCTCTTTGCTTCCTTTGTTATCACACTGTTGGCTACCCTAATTACTTTTTTTTTTTTTTTTTTTTTTTTGAGGAAAGAGTCTCGCTCTGTCACCCAGACTGGAGTGCAGTGGTACGATGGCTGACTGCAACCTCCGCCTCCTGGGCTCAAGCAATTCTTATGCTTCAGCCTCCTGAGTAGCTGGGACTACAGGCATGTGCCACCATCCCCAGCTAATTTTTCTATTTTTAGTAGAGATGGCGTTTCACCATGTTAGCCAGGTTGGTCTTGAACTCCTGACCTCAAGTGATCCACCCACCTTGGCCTCCCAAAGTGCTGGGATTACAGACGTGAGCCACTGTGCCTGACTACTCCCTAATTACTATCTAATTGCTCTGTTTTCAGCAGTGCTCTAGGACAAAAATTTCTCCACAGGCTGATCCAGTTTAATTTGGGCAGGTGTAGGCTTTCAAGCCAGTTTCTGAGGGTTGTTCTGAAACCAGGAGGGCCCTTCTTAGTTGTCTCTTTCCCTGGTTTCTTATGAACTAGTTGGCTTATGTTTAGCTTGTTCTTATTTAAGAGGAGCTGGTTTCCAGGGTGCCCTTTAGGCTTGAACTTCCCCACACTATGTTTCAAATAAAGTGAGTTCCTTTGGGGAAGGCTTCGGAGCTTTTTCCTACGGACTGCCTCTCCTCTGGGCAAAATCTCTAAGCCACTTATTCTGGGTGGGTGCCCAGCTGCAGAGGTAGCCTCTGATTATTTTGGCTTGCCTCTCCCAGTGTGGACCCTCTGCTATGTAACAAGCTGGGGTAAGGGAGACTGCAGCTGGGACAGGGGACAGTGCCTTTGGGTTAGAACCTCTTATCCTATGAGTAGGGCCAGGTGGGGAAAGGAAGCCCCAAACACCCTGCTGCACTCCAGTAGGAAGGAGTCCTTTGTTCTTGGCTGTACCCACCTGGAATGAAATGTTCATCAAGCTGAGCCCTCTCAGCTCAGGGTTGGGAATGGGAGGGAGGAGATAGTGGCTCAGATGCCTCAGATTCTTCCTGTTTGGTTTTCTTGAATAGATCTTTTCTCATTTGCTGTATGCTATTAGGACAATTTCCAGAGACTTCAAATGATTGATTTTTAAAAGTTTTCACCGATTTTGCTTATCTTTGGGAGTGGGTACACAAGAGCTTATGCTGTCATCCTGAAAGTTTACTATGTCATTCTTTTTCTTTTTGCATTTTTAATTGTGATAAAGTATACAAAGCATAAAGTTTATCATCTTAACCATTTTGAATTCTACAGTGCAGTAGTGTTAAGTATATCCACCTTGTTCTGCAACCAGTTTCCGAAACTTTTGCTTCTTGCAAAACTGAAATTCTATAACTATTAGCATTAATTCCCCATTTTCCCTTCCCCCTGGCAGCCACCATTCTACTTTCTGTCTCTATGAATTTATGACTCTAAATACTTCATATAGGTGGAATCATACAATATTTGTTCTTTTGTGACTAGTTGCACTTAGAATGATGTCATCGCAGTTCATTTGTGTTGGAGCATGTGTCCTTTTTAAAGCTGAGTAATATTCCATGAGATGTATATACCATATTTGGTTATCCATTCATCTGTTGATGGACACTTGGGTTGCTTCCACCCATTGATTATTGTTGATGCTGATATGAACATGGGCATACAAATATCTTTTTGAGACTCTGTTTTTAATTATTTTGGGTATATACCCAGAAGTGGAATTGTTAGATCATACAATAATTCCATTTTTAATTTTTTGAGGATGCACTATACTGTTTTCCACAGCAGCTACACCATTTTACATTCCCATGAGCAATGCACAAGGGTTCCAGCTTCTCCACATCCTTACCCACACTTCTTGTTTTCTGGTTTTTTGTAACAGTCATCCTAATAGATGTGAATTGGTATCTCACTATGGCTTGGATTTGCATTTCTCTAAAGATTAGTGATGTTCAGCATCTTTTCAGGTGCTTATTGGCCATTTGTATATTTTCTTTGGAAAATTGTTTACAACTTTTAAAAAATCTGTTTCAGCTCAGATTTCTTTTATCCAAGATATTGGAAGGCTCCCTCTGAAGCGACACTTTGGAAGGTAAGCTGATCATCTCAATTTCCAAAAAGCTGATAATGAAATGTCTACTGAATATGTTCAGTATGAATCAATAACTGTTACCTGT
This sequence comes from Homo sapiens, assembly GCF_000001405.40. NCBI lineage: Eukaryota > Metazoa > Chordata > Mammalia > Primates > Hominidae > Homo > Homo sapiens. Next base: position 69,410,636 of record NC_000005.10, read on the forward strand.
AACATCCAAGAAAGACATACTGTACCTAGTAATTTATAAACATAATTGTATTGTAGACCCTTCCTTTTCTTAAATATAACAGCATATCTTCACCCACTCCCAATGGACTATACCAGATTAAATGGAAGCATGGAATCACAAAGGCAGAGGAATCTTTAAAATCCTCCAACTCAACAAATCTAGAAACCCCTTGCCAGCTTTCCTGTTGAGAGATGTTCTTAGCCTATGCTTGAAGACCTGCAGTGACTAGGAACTGCCTCAGAAAGTAGAAGAGTCCTTCATATTTTCTTATTTTAGAAAATTTAAACAAGCAAAAAATAGATGTCTGTCTATATATATATATATATATATATATATATATACTGTTCATTTTATTGGAAAGTAGCTTCTGTGCCATTATCAGTGATTAACACAAAACTTATATTTCAGTTTGACTTAGCTTATTTGTAAGATCGAATTAAGCACTTAGGAATTGTTTAAAGATTTTAAAAATGGCCGGGCGTGGTGGCTTATGCTTGTAATCCCAGCACTTTGGGAGCCCGAGGCAGGTGGATCACCTGAGATAAGGAGTTCAAGACCAGCCTGGACAACATGGTGAAACCGTGTCTCTACTAAAAATACAAAATTTAGCTGGGTGTGGTGGCACATGCCTGTAATCCCAGCTACTCAGGAGGCTGAGGCAGGAGAATCGCTTCAACCCAGGAGGTGGAGGTTGCAGTGAGCCAAGATCACACCATTGCACCCCAGCCTGGGCAACAAAAGCAAAACTCCATCTCAAAAAAAAGATTTAAAAAAATCTTGCTTACTGAATGCATGGACAAAAGTAAGTGATAGAAATGGCACCTCTGACTCCTCCTACCTTTTCTCCTATTTCTGGTCCCAAATGGAAAACTCCTGTGATGTGAGCTTTTTCCCCCTCTTTACCCTCCAAGATTCATTAAGGCCTTTGTAGTGTTAATGTTTTTTTCTGTATACTGGCTTAGCTATGTGGGGCCCATCTTTCCTATCGCAGAAAGACCATGATGGATGGATCTTGAAGCATCGTCCCACTGGGATGTGATCAGGGCTTACACATTTCATAAACACTGCTTTTCTTCTCACATCCCTCTGAATGAAAGCAGGACCAAGTCTCTTTGATGGCTTCTCTCCCCAACCCCCTAAGATTATGGCATCAAAATAAAGACAAGTATGTTCTATTGTATTTTTGCTCCTGAGATGTATTGAGTTGCTGCAATTTACACAAGGCTAAATTGAATGAGAATCTTCACTATTTTATTATTGGTTCAACTACCTACTTGATGTGACTTGAGAGGCAGTATTTTCTTTTCTTTTTTTTTTGTAGACGGAGTCTAGCTTTATCGCCCAGGCTGGAGTGCAGTAGCACGATCTCGGCTCACTGCAAGCTCCACCTTCTGGGCTCACACCATTCTCCTGCCTCAGCCTGCCGAGTAGCTGGGACTACAGGCGCCCGCCACCACGCCCAGCTAATTTTTTGTATTTTTAGTAGAGACAGGGTTTCACTGTGTTAGCCAGGATGGTCTTGATCTCCTGACCTCGTGATCCGCCCACTTCGGCCTCCCAAAGTGCTGGGATTACAGGCGTGAGCCACCACGCCTGGCCACGAGAGGCAGTATTTTCAGTGCTATATATTACAATGACTGGTACTATCTTTTATTTATGTTGACCATATTTAAAACCATTGTTCATATGTTTAGTATTTAGTATTAAATATTAATACTTAATATTTAATAGGTGTTTAATTTCCTGTAATTCAACCTACACGTTATTTTTGCCCATTTAGCTTTTTTTCAGCTTTTACTATCCCAGCCTTATAGATAAGTCATCATGCACTTCAAATACTATTTACTTAGGGTGAATTCCTACAAATGAAATTGCTGGATCAATAGGTATATACCTTTTGGGGCTTTTCCTCTTTATTGCCAAATTGTTGGCAAGAATATTTTGCCAGTTTTGTATCCACTTACAGTGTATCAGTATGTTCTTTTCTCCTAACCCTTGCCACCACTGGGTTTTAAAAGTATCTTTGCCAGTTTAGAAGATGACAGTAATAGGCCAGGCGCAGTGGCTCATGCTTGTAATCCCAGCACTTTGGGAGGCTGAGGTGGGTGGATCATCTAAGGTCAGGAGTTCGAGACCAGCCTGGCCAACATGGTGAAACCCTATCTCTGCTAAAAATACAAAAACTAGCTGGGTGTGGTGGTGCCCGCGTGTAATCCCTGCTACTCCAGAGGCTGAGACAGGAGAATCGCTTGAACCTGAAGTGGAGGTTGCAGTGAGCCAAGATCGTGCTACTGCCCTGTAGCCTGGGTGACAGAGCAAGACTGTCTCAAAAAAAAAAAAAGATGACAGTAGTAGCTCATTATGTTAATTTTCATTTTTAAAATTACAAATTAGATTTAACAATTTAGGAACCATTTGTATTTGTTTTATAAGTTGTCCATGTTTGTGCCCATTTTTCTATTTCATTTTTTCCTTTTTAATTTGTAAAAATTCTTTACTGAAGGCTGGGTGTGGTGGCTCACACTTGTAATCCCCGCACTTTGGGAGGCGGAGGCAGATGGATCACCTGAGTTCGGGAGTTCAAGATTACCCTGGCCAACATGGTGAAACCCCATCTCTACTAAAAATACAAATTAGTTGGGCATGATGGCATGTGCCTGTAATCCCAGCTACTTGGGAGGCTGAGGCAGGAGAATCGCTTGAACCTGGGAGGCAGAGGTTGCAGTAAACTGAGATTGCACCACTGCACTCCTGCCTGGGCGATAGAGAAAGACAGTCTCAATGAAAAAAAAGAAAAAAGAAAAATTCTTTACTGAAGACATTATTTCTTTTTATTTTTAGGTGTTTTTGTTGTTGTGGTTTGGTTTGGTTTTTTTGTTTGTTTGTTTTTTGTTTGGAGACAGAGTCTTGCTCTGTCGTACAGGCTGGAGTTCAGTGGCACGAGCTTGGCTCACTGCAGCTTCTGCCTCCTGGGTTCAAACAATTCTCCTGCCTCAGCCTCCTGAGTAGCTGGGATTACAGATGCGTGCCACCACGCCTGGCTAATTTTTCTATTTTCAATAGAGATGGGTTTTTGCCATGTTGGCCAGGCTGGTCTTGAACTCCTGGCCTCAAGTGATCTGCCTGCCTTGGCCTCCCACAGTGCAGATAGTACAGGCATGAGCCATCGTGTTCAGCTCCTTTTTGTATTTTAAGTTGTAGGAACTTATTCAGTTTGTCATTTACCTTGTAGTTTTGTTTTTATAGTTAAAGGGACTAGCTAAACAGCACAATGTAGGTAAATGAAAGATGGCTTCATAATCATCACACTCATGGTGTAATTTAAAAATCTTCTCCTTTGGTTCTTATTAATGCCTGCACTGTGAATCTGACAGATTGAAAATGGAAGCCCTGACTGACAGGGAACATGGAATGATAGACCCTGACAGCGGAGATGAAGCCCAGCTTAATGGAGGACATTCTGCAGAGGAATCTCTGGGTGAACCCACTCAAGCCACTGTGCCGGAAACCTGGTCTCTTCCTTTGAGTCAGAATAGTGCCAGTGAACTGCCTGCTAGCCAGCCCCAGCCCTTTTCAGCCCAAGGAGACATGGAAGAAAACATAATAATAGAAGACTACGAGAGTGATGGGACATAGAAGCCAGCCTGCTAATCAGATTGCTACTTCACAGCTTCATTTTTGTTTCATTCAGTGGTACTTCAGCAGAGTTAATATGCTTTTCTGATGAATTACACAACAGTTTGTTAATTCTTCATTCTTGTAGTATTTCATCACAAGAAACCTACTCTTCTGTCATCTTGAAGTAAATAGAAGATCAAGCCTTCAAATCTCTTAATTTTTTCGGTATTTATTAAATCTGTGAGTGGTTTAAGGAGCGGTCAGTGTGTATAAAGTGTGTTTGAACATTATGCCAAATATCAAGATGTGAAGGACTAATTCAGGATGCAAAAACGTTATTGGGGGGTTGTAAATATCAACTATTCAACAGTTTAGGATGCAATTACGAGTGTAAACTGTGTGCCTTATTTACACTTTATTGTCTCCCGCTTCTCAGATAGTTTTGATGTGTTGTACAGTGGAATATCTTAGATACTTTTTGGAAAGTATTTACATAAGTTATATCACAATTAAAATGTTGAATTTAATTTTGTTTCTCCTGTCTTTTAACATTATCTAGCACGCACTCGCTGCCATGGGTCCTTAAGCACAGTGCACCAATCTCCCTCCCCCAGTGTCAAACTTTTCAAAAGATAGGGAAGAGGATGGCAACGTTGCGATGAGAACTGTAAACTCTTTCCAAAAGAGCCCAGTGTGTGGTCATTGCCGCGACGTGCCGGCTGGTGGCACCGAGCAGCCTGGGCCCAGAGCGGTTGTCGGGCCGACAGATCCGGGCGGGGCAAAGCCGGGCGGGGAAAGCTGGGCTCGTCCCGTCCCGGCCCCGCCCCCACCCCGGGAGCCCGATACCGGTTTCAGAGTCCTGGGCAGCGTGCGCGCTCTTCCTGGCGGCTGCGCAGGTAAGTGGGACCGGGGTGGGGCCACGTGACCGGGAGAGGAGGGCCCGGCGGCCCCCGGCCCAGGTGTGCTGCGACGGACGGCTGCCCGCGCTCGGCGCTCAGCCTGCCATAGCCCGCGGGGGAGGCCGGAGCCAGGGATCCGGGGAGGCCCGCGTCCCGCCAGGTTTCGCTCTGCGGACGCAGGTGCGGCCGAGCCGCCGTCCTTCCGGGCGCGGGGCGGGGCGCGCACCTCGGGGCGATCTCGGTGCTCCTTACCTGGGAGGTCTCCCGGCTTAGTTTCGGCCTCGTTGGGTCGGAATCTCCAAAGACAGTGGGTTTCAGCCAGAAACGCGAAGACGAACGCCTAGCCGGCGCGGGCAGAACCGAGGACACAATGAGATTTGTGGGACCGGGCGCCCAGAGGCTGGCGCGGGGGAGACCCCACAGCTAAAATGCTCGGTACCCCCGGGCAGTCGTGGGTTAGTTAGAACCGCAGAGCCTTTCCCGACCCCTCGGAAGCGCAGAAGTATCCGAAATCTACCCGTTTCTTGGGTCCAGCAAAACTTTTAAGCCAGGTAAACCGGTGGTTCTGTTTGTGTAAAGGTGACCAGGCATGATTCCTGTGACACTTTGCTGGGGCAGCCATTTCTCCTGCCATTGCCGCGGCTTTCCAAGATGAGTGTCCAAGAGTGGAGTAAGGGTCCGGGGCCTGAGCAGGACAAAGACACACGCTGCCGCGACCTGCGGGACCAGAACGAACTCTCAGTGACATCTTGAAAGACATTAGGGGTATCCAGATATTTAAGATGTAATGAAATACAGCTAACCATTCCCTTCTAAAAATCACATTATCTTGCTTTTCCACAACTCTTTAATAATTGCTTGTTTTTTCTTTAAAAATGGATAGGGTGGTTTGATTCAAATAAGCCACTTCACAGGTGAAGAGTTAAATCCATTACAGTGAATCGTATTTTTACCAGTGAGTTGAATTAAGCATAGCGTATCCTGTAAATGCTGTGTAAAACTTGCTAAAATCATTTGTTGTGCTTTTGCTTCTACATTTCTTAGGAATGTGTTTCAAAAACTAGAGTCGTAATAGCATTTCTAGAACTTACACTTTTTTAGAGAAAGAAAGAGAAAGGTACAAAAATAACTGATTGTTATAATATACAGAGCCGCTTTGCATTGGGCACCCTGCTGGGGCCATCACAGTTAATCCTCTAAGGTCGGAGTGCCCTATTAGAAGACCCTGGGTTTCCACCGCATTCCCTTGTCTCCAGTCTGTACATACCCTGTGTGCCTTGCTTGCCCTCTTAACGTCTCTACCTGGATTTTTAACGCATCTGAAACACTCTTCAGTCTGCTGCTCCCCAAGGCTAAGCTGGAGGGGTGGAGAATGAGGTATAGATAGATAAAATGATCAGATGTCTGGGGTTTACTTCAGAGGACTCTATTGGCAGAGGAAATAGTATGGGGAGTATAAATGAAACAAGTTTGGCCATAAATCGATAAGTGTAGAAGCTGGATGTGGGTACACAAGGGTTCATAATGCTATTCTTTCTACTTTTTATTATGTTTGAAAAATTCTATAATAAAAATTTTAAATACCTGTCTAGCATTTGACCTCTTCTCAAGATCTCAGTGATCCATTGGATTATTTCAATGGCCTAGCCAGTCTTCCTGTTTTACCTCTTGCCTTCTGGAGTGTACTCTCAACACAGCATCCATAGTGATACTGTTAAAACAAGTCAAGTCATGTCACTCCTCTATTCAGAATCCTCCAGTGGCTTCTCATCTCACTCCTAGCAAAAGACAAAGTCCTTTCTTTCCAGTGGTTTTCAAGGCCCTACATGATTCAGATGGCCTCAGTTCTACTATTCACCTTCTTACCCACTTTGCTGCTGCCACAGTAGCTTCCATGCCTAAATATTTCTTGAACATACCAGGCACTCCTGCTTCAGGGCATTTGCGCTAGCTATTCCATCTGCCTGAACACTTGTCCCTGATAATGGCCTGGCTTCCTCCTTCACCTTCAGTTCTATACTCAGATATCCCTTTCTCTGTGAAGATTTCCCTGCCCACTCGGTTTAAGATGGTAACATCCTGTCCCCATTGCAGTCTTTACCCCCTTTCTCAACTTTGTTCTTTAGCATACTGTATATTTCATTTATCTATCATCTGTCAATCTGCCCGGCACTCCCCCGGTTAAAGCATCATGAAGGCAAGGATTTCAGTCTGGTTTGTCCACCAGTATACTTTCAGCATGCCTGGTGCAAGGCAGGTTAAATGAAGGGTCTTCGTTTTCCAAAGTAAAATAAAATAAAGCCTTAGGAATTTCCAAATTGTTCAACAGTATAAAGATGGGGTTATCAGACCAGGTGCAGTGGCTAACGCTTGTAATCCCAGCACTTTGGGTGGCCAAGGCAGGAGGATCGCTTGAGCCCAGGAGTTCAAGACCAGCCTAGGCAACATAGTGATACTTAATGTCTACTAAAAATTTTAAAGAATTAGCGGCCGAGCGTGGTGGCTCACACCTGTAATCCCAGCACTTTGGGAGGCCGAGGCGGGTGGATTATGAGGTCAGGAGATCAAGATCATCCCGGCTAACATGGTCCCCATCTCTACTAAAAATACAAAAAATTAGCCGGGCGTGGTGGCGAGCACCTGTAGTCCCAGCTACTTGGGAGGCTGAGGCAGGAGAATGGCATGAACCTGGGAGGCGGAGCTTGCAGTGAGCCGAGATGGCACCACTGCACTCCAGCCTGGGCAACAGATTGAGACTCTGTCTCAAAAAAAAAAAAAAAAAGAATTAGCTGGGTATGGTGGCATGCACCTGTAGTCCCAGCTACTCAGGAGGCTGAGGCAGCTGGAGTGCTTGAGCCAGGGAGATTGAGGCTGCAGTGAGCTATGATTGTGCTCCTATGCTCTGGCCTGGGAAACAGAGTGAGACCCTGTCTTAAAAATATTAAATAAATAAAACAATAACAAAAAAGATGGGGTTATCCATTTTAATTTTGAGACCTTCATAGTATCAAGTACAATACCATGTGCCCAGTTTAAGTCTTCAATAATGAGTCTTGGCAGGGTGTGAATGAAAAAATTTTTTTAAGTCTTCAAACAAAATACTTATAAACAATTCGAGAGAGAAATTCAGCATACCTTAAAACTAGTAGTTAATTCACAAATGGTTTCCTTCTTTCTGTATATGGGTGCAGAGCATTGATTTCATGAATCAACAGGCTTAGTAAAAGTGCATTTTCTATGCTTTATTTTTGAGGTGGATTGAATACCTTCTGAGATACTTGAGTCTCTCCTTGGGAACAGTAAATCACCTGAATTGCCCTCGAAAGAGTAATAGTAATGGTCATTGCTGCCATTCTCTATTGTGCCTTGGGGGAGCCTTAGCCTTTGGTGATGTTGTCTCTGAGATTCAACTTTTTTACATCTAGTTTCAATTGTTAATATTTTAGACTGGAAGAAGCAAGTCCTCTAAAATGACTTTGTTGATTTAGGAAGGGGAAGGGCTGTGCATACCCTGTGTTTTAACAGACTGCCTCTCCTAGGCTATTCCAAGTGAAAATGAAGAATATTTGCTGACCCATCAAATTTCGCTACACTCAAACTCTTAGTATTTTGATTTAGATGTTTGAGGAAATGACTCTACTTGGGAGTGTGTTCGCGTTCTGTTGTGTTAAAGTTTTGTCACTTTTGTTTTTTATTTTATTGTTTAATAGGGCTCACAGATAAATTAGATTTATAAATCATTTTTCATTTCTTTTTTTTTTTCTTTTTTTTAGAGACAGAGACTCACTGTGTCAGCCAGGCTGGAGTGCAGTGGCGCAATCTCGACTCACTGCAACCTCTGCCTCCCGGGTTCAAGCGGTCTATACCTCAGCCACCTGAGTAGCTGGGATCACAGGCGCATGCCACAACGCCTGGCTAGTTTTTGTATTTTTAGTAGAGATAGTGTTTCACCATGTTGGTCAGGCTGGTCTCAAACTCCTGACCTGAAATGATCCGTCTGTCTTGGCCTCCCAAAGTGCTGGGATTACAGGCATGAGCCACCGTGCCCGGTATCATATTTATCATTTTTGTATATCATAATAATTAGACATGATCCTGTTGGTCTCCTAAATACTTTTTGCTACTACATGAATAAAATCAGCATCATTGAGAGGATAAGTAACTAATCATAAGTGATAACTTTAAATTTGGCCACAGGTGTGAAAATCACAAATGTCAAATGATGGAAGATCCAGGAATCGGGACAGGCGCTACGATGAGGTCCCAAGCGACCTGCCCTATCAAGATACCACCATAAGAACCCACCCAACTCTTCATGACAGTGAGCGGGCAGTGAGCGCTGATCCCTTGCCACCACCCCCTCTCCCATTACAGCCACCATTCGGCCCAGACTTCTACTCAAGTGACACAGAAGAACCAGCTATAGCGCCAGATCTCAAACCAGTAAGGCGCTTTGTCCCTGACTCCTGGAAGAACTTTTTCAGAGGGAAGAAAAAGGACCCCGAATGGGATAAGCCGGTGTCTGATATCAGGTACATCTCCGATGGAGTGGAGTGTTCACCACCAGCCTCTCCAGCAAGACCAAACCACCGTTCGCCCCTCAACTCCTGCAAAGATCCCTACGGAGGGTCAGAAGGAACCTTTAGTTCCCGGAAAGAGGCTGACGCAGTGTTTCCCCGGGATCCCTATGGATCTCTAGACCGACACACACAAACAGTTCGAACATACAGTGAGAAGGTGGAGGAGTATAACCTGAGATACTCCTACATGAAGTCGTGGGCAGGCCTGCTGAGAATACTGGGTGTGGTGGAGCTGCTTTTGGGGGCCGGTGTCTTTGCTTGTGTCACAGCTTACATTCACAAGGACAGTGAGTGGTACAACTTGTTTGGATATTCACAACCGTATGGCATGGGAGGCGTTGGTGGATTGGGCAGTATGTATGGGGGCTATTACTACACTGGCCCTAAGACCCCTTTTGTACTCGTGGTTGCTGGATTAGCTTGGATCACCACCATTATTATTCTGGTTCTTGGCATGTCCATGTATTACCGGACCATTCTTCTGGACTCTAATTGGTGGCCCCTAACTGAATTTGGAATTAACGTTGCCTTGTTTATTTTGTATATGGCCGCAGCCATAGTCTATGTGAATGATACCAACCGAGGTGGCCTCTGCTACTATCCGTTATTTAATACACCAGTGAATGCAGTGTTCTGCCGGGTAGAAGGAGGACAGATAGCTGCAATGATCTTCCTGTTTGTCACCATGATAGTTTATCTCATTAGTGCTTTGGTTTGCCTAAAGTTATGGAGGCATGAGGCAGCTCGGAGACATAGAGAATATATGGAACAACAGGAGGTAAGTGATTTCATAATCCCTCATTTGTGTGTGTATGTTTGTTTTTTCTGTTATTTGCTCCCTTGTTAAAAAATGTATAGCGCTCAAAACAGAAAGCTTTCATAGAAATCTTTTCTTTCTTCCTTTTTTTTTTTTTCAATGGTCTGAGATTCAAAAGTCCTAGTGCAATATCTGACATGCTTTGACTGGGATAACCCACTCTGGTGTTTGGCTGTTACATAACATTGCAAGTAGACACCAGATGTGTAATATATAGTTTGTTGGCTGCATTATTATGTCTGTCTGAAGCTTAAGGGAAAGATACAGCTACCGAATTTTTGCAAAGAAGAAGAGTGTACTCAGTAAAATAAGTGTCTCATCATTAAGTTTGAGAACAATCTTAATTCTTTAATAAAAGCTCCTAATTTTTCATTTAAATGTTACAATTTACTTTCTCCCAGTGAGTTGAATAAAGCCAAATAAGAATGTGGTAAACCATGTTTGATTTTTTTTAAGTATTGAGAGATTGAATTGTAATGAACATACTCTGAAAACTTGCCCAGTGGTTTTGATAATTTGTCTTTATTTGAGGAAGACGTATGGTCCAAAATGAGAATGGAAGTCCTACATTGTTTTTATATTTCTAGAACTTAATAGGATAATAATGAGAATAAATAATAATGAGAACAATAAGAAGAATAAAATAATAATAACTGAAGGATGAGATAAAAGCCCTACCTAAAATTATTTTGGTTGAACAGTAGCAAATGTTAGAGTATGTTCCACTGGCTACATTATTCTCTGAAGTAAGTTGATATTTTGCCTTCTTCCAAGGATATGTGTATAGTAGACTCTCCTATGCCACTGAAATTTTCAGTATTTACCTTAAAATTTTTTGTAATTTTAAGTTAACTATATTATGAATTTTTGCTTTTCCACTTTTCCTAAGACTTCTTAGATACTATACAATTGCACATGGTATATATTGGGCAAAACTATAAATAAAAATTAAATCCTGTCCTTATAACAGCACACACTGACATATGTATTTTGTTTTTAATCTTTTGCTTGAATCTGATGCATAGCAACAAATAGCGCTTTGGTTTTAAAATTTTTTTAATTTTTTTTTTCTTTAGAGATGAGTATTTGCCATGTTGTCCAGGCTGGTCTCAAACTCCTGGACTCAAGCAATCCACCTGCCTTGGCATCCCAAAGTGCTGGGATTACAGGTGTGAGCCACCATGCCTGGCCCGTTTTTTGGTTTTTTTAATTTTCTTTTCTTTCTTTTTTTTTTTTTTTTTGAGACAGAGTCTCACTCTGTTGCCAGAGTGCAGTGGCACTGTTGCGGGAAGTCAGGGACCCCAAACAGAGGGACCAGCTGAAGCCATGGCAGAAGAACATAAATTGTGAAGATTTCATGGACATTTATTAATTCCCCAAATTAATACTTTTATAATTTCTTATGCCTGTCTTTACTGCAGTCTCTGAACATAAATTGTGAAGATTTCATGGACACTTATCACTTCCCCAATCAATACCCTTGTGATTTCCTATGCCTGTCTTTAATCTCTTAATCCCGTCATCTTCATAAACTGAGGAGGATGTATGTTGCCTCAGGACCGTGTGATGATTGAGTTAACTGCACAAATTGTTTGTAGAGCATGTGTGTTTGAACAATATGAAATCTGGGCACCTTGAAAAAAGAACAGGATAACAGCAATGTTCAGGGAACAAGGGAGATAACCTTAAACTCTGGCTGCCTGTGAGCTGGGCGGAACAGAGCCATATTTCTCTTCTTTCAAAAGCAAATAGGAGAAATATCGCTGAATTCTTTTTCTCAGCAAGGAGCATCCCTGAGAAAGAGAATGCATCCCTGAGGGTAGGCCTCTGAAATGGCCGCTTTGGGGATGGCTGTCTTTTACAATCATAGATAAGGGATGAAATAAGCCCTGGTCTCCTGTAGTGCTCCCAGGCTTATTAGGACGAGGAAATTCCCGCCTAATAAATTTTGGTCAGACCAGTTGTCTGCTCTCAAACCCTGTCTCCTGATAAGATGTTATCAGTGACAATGCATGCCTGAAACTTCATTAGCAATTTTAATTTTGCCCCGTCCTGTGGCCTGTGATCTCGCCCTGCCTCCATTTGCCTTGTGATATTTTATTACCTTGTAAAGCATGTGATCTCTGTGACCCACACCCTATTCATACACTCCCTCCCCTTTTGAAAATCACTAATAAAAACTTGCTGGTTTTACGGCTCGGGGGCATCACGGAACCTGCCGACATGTGATGTCTCCCCTGCACACCCAGCTTTAAAATTTCTCTCTTTTGTACTCTTTCCCTTTATTTCTCAGACTGGCCGACACTTAGGGAATATAGAAAAGAACCTATGTGAAATATCGGGGATGAATTTCCCCCAATATCTGGCACCAGGCTGGAGTGCAGTGGCACAATCTCTGCTCACTATAACCTCCGCTTCCCAGGTTCAAGTGATCCTTCTGCCTCAGCCCCCCTAGTAGCTGGGATTACAGGCACATGCCACCATGCCCAGCTAATTTTTGTATTTAGTAGAGACAGGGTTTTGCCATGTTGGCCAGGCTGATCTTGAGCTCCTGACCTCTGGTGATCCATCTGCCTTGGCCTCCCAGAGTGATAGGATTACAGGCGTGAGCCACCACACCCAGCCTTAGATTTTCTTTTTACACCTAGTGGAATGGGAAACAAATCGTTTTGTTGTCGTTGTTGTTGTTGTTGATGGTTTGTTTTGAGGAAGGGTCTAACTCTGTCACCCAGCCTGCAATACGGTGGCACAATCATGGCTCACTCCAGCTTTGACCTCCCAGGCTCAAGCAATCTTCCCACCTCAGCCTCCCAGGTAGCTGGGACTGCAGGCATACACCACCACACCTGGCTATTTTTCAATATTTTTTGTAGAGACAGGGTATCACTATGTTACCCAGGCTGGTCTCGAACTTCTGGGCTCAAGCAATCCTCCTGCCTCAGCCTCCCAAAGTGTTGGGATTATAAGTATAAGCCACTGTGCTTGATGGAAAAAAATAGTTTTATAACAAGTACCTACATGTTATACAAAGGACTTTGACATGTGTCCATGTGATCTCTCTCTCTATATATTTTAAATTTTTTGTAGAGACGGGGTCTTGCTATGTTGCTCAGGCTGGTCTCAAACTCCTGGCCTCAAGCAATCCTCTCCCCTCAGCCTCCCAAAGTGCTGGGATTACAGGCATAAGCCACCATGCCTAGCTTGATTGTCACAAAATAATTTATCTTGCTAGAACTCTACATAGATTCAAGTTATTTCTAAAAATGTGTCTTAGCATTTTAAGCATATTTCTTACATTTTTGTTTTTTTATGTAACCTTCACATGTATTAAATTTTTGTTTCTTAAAGTTACAATTTATTTCTTAAATGTACATCTCTGTGTACAAAGTAAAAAATGTTAATTCTAATCAGTATGAAATCCAGATAGTGAAACACATACTTCCTCATAAATTTATGCTAGTTGCATAAGTTATTAAATCTTAATATTTAAAAATTCTATATGAATAGAATGATCAACATAATACTTTTATTTCTTTTTCCTTTCTCAACAAAAACTTATGTCTATGAGACTTTTCATAATGCCTAATTAGACTTCAGTCACCTGATGTTGAAAGTTGTGCCTGTCTGTACGTTGCTATAACTTCCTAAAGGTTAGAAGATGTAATGGCCTAGGGCTTTTTTCTATTAATTTTATAGAGTAATTGTCCTAACTCTTTAATCATGCAAAGTAATGGGAGGCAAGAATAAATAAAATTTGAGGGTAATTCAGAGTGGTTTATCTAACAGTTTCCACCATCTCCGTATTCCCTACTCCTCTCTATGCCCTGATTGACAGGGAATTACAGTTATCCCTCTTCTCAGTTCTCCACTGGCCCTTCAAAACCTAGGCAAAAAAAGGATGAGAAACACCCGTCAAGTAGAGGATCAACCTCTTAAAATTGAGGTTGGGCTATAAATGCAAATGGATGAAAATATTTGCAAAGTAGCTTCACATGCCTTTGAAAAACTATTTGAACTCTTTTTGTTCCAGATAAATGAGCCATCATTGTCATCGAAAAGGAAAATGGTAAGAATAAAGTTTACTTCATATTATGCTTTAGATTTGTTAATACTTTTCTCTTAGGTCTGTTTATCTACATAGTAGTATCGTACATCTGTGAAATGTAGCTATTGGCCAGGTGTGGTGGCTCACACCTGTAATCCCAGCACTTTGGGAGGCTGAGGAGGGCGGAGCACTTGAGACCAGAATTTCAAGACCAGCCTGGCCAAAATGGTGAAACCCTGTCTCTACCAAAAATACAAAAATTACCTGCACGTGGTGGCACACGCCTGTAATCCCAGCTACTCTGGAGGCTGAGGCACGAGAACCACTTGAATCTGGGAGGTGAAGGTTTCAGTGAGCCAAGATCACGTCACTGCACTCCAGCCTGGGTGACAGAGTGAGACTGTTTAAAAAAAGAAAAGAAAAGAAAGTGTAGCTATTACATGCAGCCATAAAAAATGATGAATTCATGTCCTTTGTAGGGACATGGATGAAATTGGAAATCATCATTCTCAGTAAACTATCGCAAGAACAAAAAACCAAACACCACATATTCTCACTCATAGGTGGGAATTGAACAATGAGATCACATGGACACAGGAAGGGGATTATCACACTCTGGGGACTGTGGTGGGGTCGGGGGAGCGGGGAGGGATAGCATTGGGAGATATACCTAATGCTAGATGACGAGTTAGTGGGTGCAGCGCACCAGCATGGCACATGTATACATATGTGACTAACCTGCACAATGTGCACATGTTCCCTAAAACTTAAAGTATAATAAAAAAATATATATATATTAAAAAAAAAAAAAGAAATTGTAGCTGTTACATCGAGTTCATATTAGGACTTTGAGCTTTTTTCCAGATACTAAAAGGACCAAATTAAACAATCATATCTATAGCTGCTTTTAATTTTGTTAGATGAAAATTTATGCAAGTAAACAAACCAACATATGTTTGAAATTTAATTATTTTTTAAATGAAAGTGATTCTCTGAAACTTTCTTCACTTGTATTTAAAGTTCTGTGCTGTTCTTTGTATCCTTCTCACCTTGCTTTCAGATGCCAAATTTTTTACTACACTCACAGGACAGTTAAAAAAGAAATTAATAATAATAATACTTTTTTTTTTTTTTTGAGATGGAGTCTCTGTCGCCCAGGCTGGAGTGCAGTGGCGCTATCTCGGCTCACTGCAAGCTCCGCCTCCCAGGTTCACACCATTCTCCTGCCTCAGCCTCCCGAGTAGCTGGGACTACAGGTGCCCACCACCGCGGCCGGCTAATTTTTTGTATTTTTAGTGGAGACGGGGTTTCACCATGTTAGCTAGTTTCACGAGGTCAGGATGTTCTCGATCTCCTGACCTCGTGATCCGCCCGCCTCGGCCTCCCAAAGTGCTGGGATTATGGGTGTGAGCCAGCATGCCCGGCCAATAATACTTTTTTTTAAAGATGCCAAATTTTGTAGTGTCAGGGAATTTCTATTCCACAATTTACCAACTGTGTGGCAGCAGACAAATTATTTAACCTTTCTATGCCTGCATTTCTTCATCTGTGAGATTGCAATAATAATAATTCATACCTCGCAAGTTTGCTGAGAGGACTCAGTGAGATGCTGTTATCATTATTTACATATATGTAATAATTTATTTTAATAATCATAATTTTACCCTCATTGAAAATTTTACCCTCATTTTTTGAGATACTGGACATTATTATTATTATTATTATTATTATTATTTTTAGACAGAGTCTTGCTCTGTCGCCCAGGCTGGAGTGCAGTGGTGCGATCTCAGCTCACTGCAACCTTCGCCTCCCAGGTTCAAGCAATTCTCCTGCCTCAGCCTCCTGAATAGCTGGGATTACAGGCGCCCGCCACCACACCCAGCCAATTTTTGTATTTTTAGTAGAGACAGGGTTTCACCATGTTGGTCAGGCTGGTCTCGAACCCCTGACCTCGTGATCCACCCGCCTTAGCCTCCCAAAGTGCTGGGATTACAGGCGTGAGTCACCGCGCCCGGCCTGGACATTATTTCTTAGCAAGGAGTTGAGAATTCAGTCTTTGGATTTGTTTCTCTGAAAAGAGAGCATATTTACTTGGTTGAAAATTCAAAAGGGTCTGTCACCCAGGCTGAGGGCAGCCGCAAACTCCTGGGCTCAAACAATCCTCCCACCTTAACCTCCCAAGTAGCTGGGACTACAGGCATGCACCACCATGCCAGTTAATTTTTAAATAATTTTTAGTAGAGAAGAGGTCTCACTATGTTGCCTGGGCTGGTCTTAAGTGATCCTCCTGCCTCAGCCTCCCAAAGCACTGGGATTACAGGTGTGAGCCACCTCACCCAGCCAGCAAGTGAACTTCAGAATCAGGCAATCTAAATTTGAGTACTAGGTCAGCTACTTACTAGCTCTGCGATCCTGGGGAAATTGCTTACTTTCTCTGAACTTCAGTTTCCTGTCTGTTGTTTGGTTTAATACTAGGGGGTGCCTTCTTATTTTGTGTTTTAATTAATATAATTTTTAAAAGCAAATAAGACTACTTTTAAAAGAAATAATAGATATAAGATCACATAGAGACAGCAACAAATTCTGAAGTCTGTGCTTTAAGTGCTGTGCAGGTTTATATTATAAGCTAGAAAAGCCGGAATCTAATGTGGGCATGGAACGTGATGGTATGGGTTTGAGGTCAGGGGCCTGTGCATTATTATATTATACACTCAAAGGGAGAGAGAATCAAGAATTGGAGAAATAAATGCATACTGAAACACATAGCTAGTTCTCCCTATATCTTTTCCTTTTTTTTTTTTGGTTTGTTTTTTTGAGACAGAGTCTCACTCTGTCACCAGGCTGGAGTGCTGTGGCACGATCTCGGCTCACCGCAACCTCCGACTTCCTGGTTCAAGCAATTGTCCTGCCTCAGCCTCCCTTAGTTCTCTCTATTTCTAACCTGACAGATATTCATTCAGCCCATTTTTAAGTTGAAAAGTTTAATAATTATATTCATAACATTACTTAGACTAGTTTTTGCTGGAAGCAAAGAACGGTCATGTTACTCTGGGGCACTGGGACATTTTCCCCTTTCCTTTGACATGTCTGTCATCAAGAGTACTGTCTAAGAGTGGCCTTTCCCGTGCTGGAGCTTAATGCAGTCTTCCCACAAAAGCCTGACGAAGATTTAATTCTTTGTCTCATATGTGGTTTTAGATTTCTTCCCAATAGAGAACAGGTGCAGTGGCTCACGCCTGTAATCCGAGCACTTTGGGAAGCCAAAGCAGGTGGATCTCTTGAGGCCAGGAGTTTGGGACCAGCTTGGCCAACATGGTGAAACCCCATTTCTACTAAAAATACAAAAATTAGCCAGGCATGGTGGTGCATGCCTGTAATCCCAGCTACTCGGGAGGCTGAGGCAGGAGAGTGGCTTGAACTGGGAGGCAGAGGTGGCAGTGAGCAAAGATCGTGCCACTGCACTCCAGCCTGGGTGACAGAGCGAGACTATGTCTCAAAAAAAAAAAAGTTTTTTCCCAATAGAGTTTTCCAAACTGATGATCGGGAAGGTTCATCCAAAAAGAGCAGAAAAAAAGTTAAGACCATAAAAATAAAAAAAAATTTAGGCCGGGCATGGTGGCTCACACCTGTAATCCCAGCATTTTTGGAAGCCAAGGTGGGTGGATCACCAGAGGTCAGGAGTTTGAGACCAGCCTGGGCAACATGGCAAAATCCCATCTCTACTAAAAATACAAAAAATTAGCCGGGTGTGGTGGCGCAAGCCTGTAATCCCAGCTACTTGGGAGACTGAGGCGGGAGAATGACTTGAACCTGGAAGGTGGAGGTTGCAGTGAGCTGAGATCCAGATTGTTACCACTGCACTCCAGCCTGGGCAATAGTGCGAGACTGTCTCAAAAATAAATAAATTAAGTAATTAAAATAAATTTAAAGCAGATGAAATGTCTACATGGAAATATTCTGATTTCTTCAGGCTCCCTTTCTATATTAAAAGGTAAGTCTTACAATTAGGGATGGGCAAGTAAGAAAAATGATTAGTTCTTCCTTAAAAAAATTTTATGTAGAAAACAAATTAATGATGGACCTTCTGCCCAAAGCAGCTTTGACCAGGAGATCTGAGATTGATGCTGGGACTGCTGCTGAGATCCAGAGGATCAACAAGCTCATAGCAGCTTCCTCAGCACCATGAGATCTGGATTGTTAAACATTTAGGAGTTAAACCATGTGTCCATATGGGGGTCAAAAAAAATAAAACAGAAGTTAAAGAGAAATAGAAATTCATTTATTAAAGCCAAAAATGCTCCCCCTAATGTTTAATACCATTATTCGTTTTCAAGACTAAGTATATAGGAATTCATTAGGATGAAGAAATGGCATCCTAATCAGCAAGAAATACAGCAGAATAAATACTAACTTCAAAATGTGTTGCCTAAAAATATCCTGGCTTAATTTCATTTCCTCGGGGTACTCTGCTCGCCACTCATGTTTTTGCAGATTGGGAGACCAAGTGGCGAGGCATGCTTTCTACATCTAGGTGATCTGGCTTCTGTCCCACCTAGAGCCATGGTTGGAGAGCTTTTCCTTTTCATAACCTTCCCCTAGGGCTGGTTAGCAGCCTCCACACCTAATCCAATCTAAAGGGTGTGCTATTTGGTGAGTTAAAGTGCTAGTGGTTTTTAGAATGAGCTAATATTAAACCAAAGCCAGTTTCAGGGTAAGGAAATCAGGAAACAAAGGATTTTTAAAGCTTCCTGGCAAGATGAAGATTAAGGTTTTAAAATCCTGTTTGGTTTTTTATTTGCAGTGAAGTAGGGGCCCTCCCAAGCCACTCTCAGTTTAGTTCAGCAAGCATTTCTCGAAGGCTTAAGGGGTCAGTAGAGGGGAGGGAGGTTACTGCTCCAAAGAGGAATCATGTTCCCAAGCACGATCTTACTTTCCAGTAGCAGTATGGCATTGCTTGCCCTGTCCATCACAAGCTCACTTCTAGTGTGCTACTAGAACTTCATGCAACTTTAGGATATGAACAATATACATTTAAGCTAACAGGTTTCTTTATGTTATTCATTTAAAGTATCAATGAACCAGGTCAGGCACCGTGGCTCACACCTGTAACCCTAGCACTTTGGGAGGCCAAGGAGGGAGGATAGGTTGAGCCCAGGAGTTCGAGGCTGCAGTGAGCTATATGATCTCGCCACTGCACTCCAGCCTGGGTGGCACAGTGAGACTCTGTATCAAAAAAAAAAAAAAAAAAAAGTATCAATAAACCAAATAGTTCTGGGTTATTTATTTATTTATTTGTTTGTTTGTTTTTTGAGACAGGGTTTCACTCTGTCACCCAGGCTGAGTAGAGTGGCATGATCACGATTCACTACAGCCTTGACCTCCTGGGTTTAAGTAATCCTCCCACCTCAGACTCCCAAGTAGCCTGGACCACAGGTGCATGCCACCACACCCAGTTAATTTTTTATTTTTTGGCCAGGCACTGTGGCTCATGCCTGTAATCCTAGCACTTTGGGAGGCTGAGGTGGGTGGATTGCCTGAGCTCAGAAGTTTGAGACCAGACTAGGAAATATGGTGAAACCCCATCTCTACTAAAATACAAAAAATTAGCCAGTCATGGTGGTGTGCACCTGTAGTCCCAGCTATTCAGGAGGCTGAGGCAGGAGAATTGCTTAAACCTGGAGGCAGAGGTTGCAGTGAGTCGAGATCGTGCCACTGCACTCCAGCCTGGGCCACAGAACGAGACTCTGTCTCAAGAAAAAATATATTTTTTTAATTTTTTTTGTAGAGACAGCATCTCCCTATGTTGCCCAGGCTGGTCTCAAACATCTGGGCTCAAGCAGTCCTCCTGCTTTGGCCTCCCAAAGTGCTAGGATTACAGGAATGAGCTACTGCACGTGGCCTAGTTCTGGGTTTTATTTATTTATTTATTTATTTTTGAGACGGCGTCTCGCTCTGTCACCCAGGCTAGAGTGCAGTGGCACAATCTCAGCTCCTTGCCACCTCCGCCTCCCGGGCTCAAGCCATTCTCCTGCCTCAGCCTCCTGAGTAGCTGGGATTACAGGCGCACACCACCACATCCGGCTAATTTTTGTATTTTTAGTAGAGACAGGGTTTCACCATGTTGGCCAGGCTGGTCTTGAACTCCTGACATTAAATGATCCACCCCCCTCGGCCTCCCAAAGTGCTGAGATTACAGGCGTGAGCCACCTTGCCTGGCCCAGTTCTGGGTTTTAATTGTGGCTTTTCTACTTAATAGTTATGTGACCTTGGAGAATTGACTTGACCTCTCTGAACCTCACTTCTGTTTTTAATTTTTTTTTTTTAAGAGACAGGGTCTTGCTCTGATGCCCAGGCTGGAGTGCAGTGGACCATTCACAGCTCCCTGCAGCCTCGAACTCCTGGCCTCAAGTGATCCTCCCACCTCCCACCTCAGCCTCCCAAAGTGTTAGGCTTACACGTGTAAGCCCCTGCACCTGGCCTCAACCTCACTTCTTTTCTTTTCTTTTTTTTTTTTTTTGAGACAGAGTCTCACTCTGTTGCCCAGGCTGGAGTGCAGTGGCGTGATCTTGGCTCACTGCAAGCTCCGCCTCCTGGGTTCACACCATTGTCCTGCCTCAGCCTCCCAAGTAGATGGGATTACAGGCGCCCGCCACTATGCCCGGCTAATTTTTATATTTTTAGTAGAGACAGGGTTTCACCATGCTGGCCAGGCTGGTCTCGAACACCTGACCTCGTGATCCACCGACCTCGGCCTCCCAAGGTGCTGAGATTACAGGCATGAGCCACCGTGCCCGGCCAACTCATTTCCTTTTCTAATCCACTCAGTGGTTACTTACAATTAAATCATCCCAAATTGCCATTATCATTACTTTCTCTTTCCATTTAAGTAGGCTTGTTCCATTTTTATCCTTGAATTTATTTTGAATTACATTTTTTATTCTTTTACGTTTAGTTGGGGTGTAAATTCTAAATAGGTAAGTTCTTAAGACTGCGTGTTTGGCATTGCATCATCCACCTTTGACATGTACACGATTGGGGCTGGAGTGTGTTTTACCTACTGTGTATTACCATATCCCAAATGTGATTCCCTTAGCTATTACAGAAACGTTCAGAACAACTTTGTGACTATAAAACATATAATTGTGATGTGAAATGTTAACTCTTATTTCCACTTTTCTTCCTCCTGTCTTCCTCCCCATTTTCTTCTTCTTCTTCTTTTTTTTTTTTTTTTTTTTTTTTGAGCCAGAGTCTCACTCTATCGCCCAGGCTGGAGTGCAGTAATGCAATCACAGCTCACTGTAACCTCTACCTCCTGGACTCAAGCAATCCTCCCACCTCAGCCTCCAAGCCTCCCAAGTAGCTACTAGCGGACTACAGACACACACCGCTGCATCTGCCAGATTTTTTTTTTTTTAAACAGAGTCTCAGTCTGTCTCCCAAGCTGGAGTGCAGTGGTACAATCTTGGTTCACTGCAACCTCCACCTCCTGGGCCCAAGTGATTCTCCTGCCTCAGCCTCCCGAGGAGCTGGGATTATAGGCACCCGCCACCACTCCCAGCTAATTTTTGTATTTTTAATAGAGATGGGGTTTTACCATGTTGGCCAGGCTGGTTTCAAACTCCTGATCTCAAGTGGTCAGCCCACCTCGGTTTCCCAAAGTGCTGGGATTACAGGCGTGAGCCACTGTGCCTGGCCTTAAACTTTTTATAGAGACAGGGTCTTGCCATGTTGGCCAGGCTGGTCTTGAACTCCTGGCCTCATGTGATCCTCCGGCTTTGTCCTCCCAAAGTGCTAGGATTACAGGTTTGAGCCACCCCACCTGATCTTCTTCCTCATTTTCTAAGAATGAATTCAGAGGGTTTTTTTCTACTTATGTTTATTAACAAATCCTCTTTTTCTCCCTAACTGCAGTGTGAAATGGCCACCAGTGGTGACAGACAAAGAGACTCAGAAGTTAATTTCAAGGAACTGAGAACAGCAAAAATGAAACCTGAACTACTGAGTGGACACATCCCCCCAGGCCACATTCCTAAACCTATCGTGATGCCCGACTATGTGGCGTGAGTGTCAGTCTGAATTCTTCCTCAAGGTAGAAGTTGAGGGGCCCCATTTGGTCCTTTCATTTTCCAGTTTGTCTCCAAGTTAATACTCTGTGCTTAAAATCGTGTATGTAAATAGTTGTTATCTGAGAGGTAATGTATTGAATTGAAGGTACAATATGATCAGTAAGGAATAAGATAAGCTGATTTCCCATTCAGCTTCTTTTAGTGAAACAATTATATCTTTGGCTTATGTTTTTCCCCTAGAAAATACCCTGTGATTCAGACAGATGATGAGCGAGAACGCTATAAAGCTGTGTTCCAAGACCAGTTTTCAGAGTACAAAGAGCTGTCTGCAGAAGTTCAGGCTGTCCTGAGGAAGTTTGATGAGCTGGATGCAGTGATGAGCAGATTGCCACATCATTCGGAAAGCCGACAGGTTAGTATGTGCAGCTGCCTAGGAGGAGCACTGAAATCTAGAGGATGAATAAAATCTGGCTTTTTTTTTTTTTTTTTTTTTTTTCTGTGAGACAGAGTCTTGTTCTGTTGCCAGGCTGGAGTGCAGTGGCACAATCTTGGCTTGCTGCAACCTCCACCTCCTGGGTTCAAGCAATTCTCCTGCCTCAGCCTCCCGAGTAGCTGGGATTACAGGCACATGCCACCACACGTAGCTAATTTTTTTCTATTTTTAGTGGAGACGCGGTTTTGCCATGTTGGCCAAGAGTGGCCTCAAGTGATCCACCTGCCTTGGCCTCCCAGAGTGCTGGGATTACAGTCATGAGCCACCGCATTTGGCATAAAATCTGGCTTTTTTTTTTTTTTAAGGCTAGAATCTCACTCTGTCACCCAGGCTGGAGTGCAGTGGCGTGATCTTGGCTCACTGCAAGCTCCACCTCCCGAGTTCATGCCATTCTCCTGCCTCAGCCTCCCGAGTAGCTGGGACTAAGGCGCCTGCCACCACGCCCAGCTAATTTTTTTGTATTTTTAGTAGAGATGGGGTTTCACCGTGTTAGCCAGGATGATCTTGATCTCCTGACCTCGGGATCCACCTGCCTCGGCCTCCCAAAGTGCTGGGATTCAGGTGGGAGCCACCACGCCTGGCCCCCAAAATCTGGCTTTTAAAAAAATTTATAACCATTTACATCTGCTTTCTGTGTCTAGGAAAGCATTTGAGATCCTCAAGGTGTCTAGTCAAGATGACAATTCAAATTATGTAACTTAATATCTTTTGTCTTCAATTATTAAACAGTATTTCTTCTTTTTTTTTTTTCACTCTGTGCTTACCCATATTTTATTTTCTTACTTAAGTAAAATACGAATTTGCCTAAGATAGATACTGAGTCAGTCAGGGTCCCAAAGGAGACAGATAGCACATTCAAACTAGGATAATTCACAAAGGTTTATTCAGAAAGGGAATGTAGGGAAGCCACCAGGGGCATTGCATTCCCCTGCTAAGCCAGAGCCCAGCAGTTAGCACCCCAGGCCCAAAGGCAGAGCGCCCACTGAGTAAGAGTAGAGAGCAGAAATGGCCAGGCGCAGTGGCTTATGCCTGTAATCCCAACACTTTAAGAGGCCAAGGTGGGCAGATCGCTTGAGCCCAGGCATGCAAGACCAGCCTGGACAACATGGTGAAACCCTGTCTCTACAAAAAATATAAAAATTAGCCGGGCATGGTGGCATGCACCTGTAGACCCAGCAGGAGGCTGAGGTGCAAGGATTGCCTGAACCCAGGAGGTGGAGTTTGCAGTGAGCTGTGATTTTGTCACTACACTCCAGCCTGAAGGACAGAGTGAGACCATGTCTCCAAAAAAAAAAAAAAAAGCAAGCAGATATGAGATATGCTACAAATGTGAGCTGCTGGACACACACATCAGACAGGTAGCTGTGATTATGACAAAGAGGAAAACCAGGAGTAGATATGGTAGTTACAGAGGCTTAAGCTTTTTCGTAGTGCTCTTCCGCACCCCCCACATTTTTCACATTTTGAAATAGGAATATTGAAATAGGAATGCCTTATAACCTGTGCCATTTTTTAATTTTTATTTTATTTTATTTTTTTGAGATGGAGTTTTGCTCTTGTTGCCCAGGCTGGAGTGCCATGGCGCGATCTCGGCTCACTGCAACCTCTGCCTCCCGGGTTGAAGCGATTCTCCCACCTCGGCCTCCCAAGTAGCTGGGATTCAGGCATGCGCCACCATGCCCAGCTAATTTTGTATTTTTAGTAGAGACGGGGTTTCACCATGGTGGTTAGGCTGGTCTCAAACTCCTGACCTTATGATCCACCCGCCTTAGCCTCCCAAAGTGCTGGGATTACAGGCGTGAGCCACCGTGCCTGGCCACCTGTGCCATTTTTTAATCAGATGTACTCTTTTTTTTTTTTTTTTTTGAGATGGAGTCTTGCTCTGTCACCCAGACGGGAGTGCAGTGGTGCAATCTCGGCTCACTGCAACCTTTGCCTCCCAGGTTACGCGATTCTCCTGCCTCAGCTTCCTGAGTAGATGGGACTATAGGTGCACACCCGGCTAATTTTTGTATTTTTAGTAGAGGCAGGGTTTCCCCATTTAGGCCAGGCTGGTCTCGAACTCCTGACCTCAGGTGATCCACCTACCTCAGCCTCCCAAAGTGCTGGTATTACAGGCATGAGCCACTGCATCCGGCCCAGATGTACTCTTTTTAATTGAGATCTCATTCACATATAATAAACCCACCCTTTTAAAGTGTACAATTCAGTGAATTTTAGTATAGTTACAGAGTTTTGCAATCAGCACCACTCAAATTCCACAACAGTTTTATCACCCCAAAAAGAAACCCTATATTGGCTGGGTGTGGTGGCTCATGCCTGTAATCTCAGCAGTTTGGGATGCTGAGGCAGGCAGATCACTTGAGGTCAGGAATTCGAGACCAGCCTGGCCAACATGGTGAAATGCTGTCTCTACTAAAAGTACAAAAATTAGTTGGGCATGTTGGCAGGCTGAGTAATCTCAGCTACTTGGGAGGCTGAGGCAGGAGAATCACTTGAACCCAGGAGGTGGAGGTTGCAGTGGGCCAAGATTGCGCCACTGCACTCCAGCCTGGGCAACAGAGTGAGACCCTGTCTCAAAAAAAAAAAAAAAAAAAAAAAAAATGAAACCCTTTACGAATTAGCAGTTATTTCCCATTCTCAGCTCTGTCCAACCATTGACAACCACTAATCTACTTTCTGTCCGAATGGATTTGCCTAGTTTGAACATTTCATATCAATCTTTTGTGTCTGGCTTCTTCATTTTGCATAATGTTTTCAAGGTTCATCCATATTTTAGCATAAGTCAATACATATTCCTTTTTGTGGTGGAATAATATTCTGCTATATGGATATACCACATTTTGTTTATCCATTTATCAAGAGATAGACATTTGGTCATTTCCAAATGTCTATATAGTCATTTCCACTCATTGGCTGTTACGAATAATGCTGGTATAAATATTTGTGTAATATTCTGTCTTTTTAAAAGAGGCTGTATTAATCTATTACATGTATGATTAAATTTTAAAAACACAGCTTTGTAAAAACTAAATGTCGGTCTGGCTGTGGTGGCACATGCCTGCAGTCCCAGCTACTTGGGAGGCTGAGGCAGGCAAGTCGTGTGAACCCGGGAGGCGGAGGTTGCAGTGAGCCAAGATCATGCCACTGCACTCCAGCCTGGGCGACAGAGCCAAAAAAAACCAAAAAACAAACAAAAAAAACTAAATGTCAAATTTATGTATGGGAACACACACACACACACACACACACACACACACACACACACACACACACACATATATATAAATTTTTTACCTGAGAAGTTAGGTGTCTTTGTTTCAATCACAGACTCTTTGTTAAGTGTGCATTTAAATCACTTATCGTTATGAGTTAACTAAGCCAAATGTGTATTACAGTAACATTTTCCTAATCCTGGAGCAATGGAATGGTGTTGGCTAAGAGACGCCAGTACCAGGAAGCAAGAGAAATTCAGCAAATATTGAGGTTGAATGTCAGTACCATTTGGAAAATAAGCAAGGCCCACAGGTCTAAGAAGGGTGACCTAGTCTCTCAGAGGCCGTCAAAGGAGTGCAGGAAGGCATGAGGCCCCAGGAATCTGGATCAGCACAGGCTGGGAAATGCAGGCTTGTTGGGAGAAATAATGAAGAAAATCCTGACCTGTAAGGCCGGGTGTGGTGGCTCACACCTGTAATCCTAGCAGTTTGGGAGGCTGAGGCGGGCAGATCACCTGAGGTTGGGAGTTCCAGACCAGCCTGACCAACATGGAGAAACCCCATCTCGGCCAGGCACAGTGGCTCATGCCTGTAATCCCAGCACTTTGGGAGGCCAAGGTGAAACCGCGTCTCTACTAAAAATACAAAAATTAGCCAGGCATGGTGGTGTGTGCCTGTAATTCCAGCTACTCAGGAGGCAGAGACAAGAGAATTGCTTGAACCCGGGAGTCGGAGGTTGCAGTGAGCTGAGATCGTGCCACTACACTCCAGCCTGGGCGACAGAGCAAGACTTCATCTCAAAAAAAAAAAAAAAAGAAACCATCCCAACTAAAAATACAAAATTAGCCGCACGTGGTGGTGCATGTGTGTAATCCCAGCTACTCGGGAAGTCTGAGGCAGGAGAATCGCTTGACCCAGGAGGCGGAGGCTCTGGTGTGCCAAGATCGCGCCATTGCACTCCAGCCTGGGCAACAAGAGCGAAACTCTGTCTTAAAAAAAAAAAAAAAAAAAAAAGCTGGGTGCGGTGGCTCACACCTGTAATCCCAGCACTTTGGGAGGCCGAGGCAGGCGGATCATGAGGTCAGGAGATCGAGACCAGCCTGGCCAGCATAGTGAAACCCCGTCCCTACTAAAAATACAAAAAATTAGCCGAGCATGGTGGTGGGCGCCTGTAATCCTTGCTACTCGGGAGGCTGAGGCAGGAGAATGGCTTGAACCTGGGAGGCGGAGGTTGCAGTGAGACGAGATTGTGCCATTGCACTCCAGCCTGGGTGACAGAGTGAGACTCTGTCTCAAAAAAAAAAAACAAAGAAAATCTTGACCTTGACCTGTAATCTTTGAGCCAACACCCAGTGGTATCTGGTTTGTGTGCTTTGTATGAATGGACAAGGGCTGCAGCACATGGTCTGCAGTTGGGAAATCAAGAGGGTCCTGATGACAGTACAGGTTGAGAGACCAAGTCTTCCCATGATGTTTCCACACAATATCAACAACAGCCATTACCTGTGATTTTTAACAAGACAGGGCTTGTAAGTAACCCAATGGCAGGCCCACGGTTATTATTATCAGTGTATCCTCCAGTCCTTATCTAAAGTAGAAATATTAACCATATTACAAAAGTTAGCTTCTCCTTGGCCACAGGCTGAGCTTTGTCCTGGGCAGGAGTCCACAGGCTCATTCGTTTTCCCACCATGTCCCCATGGAAGCATGTGAGGCATTTCAAAGCCCAGTGGGCCTGTTTGGAGGCAGGTTCTCCCACAGACATGGTTGTGCACCACTGAAAAATAGTCACATGACTTTTCTGAGCCCATAAAGTAGAAATATTGCCCCAAACAATCCCTCTGGTCCTCACCACTCCTTAAATTCAGTGACAGACTCTAGATGGATGTTACAGCTCATCTCTGCCTGCATCTCCAGCACAGCAGTGCTAACCCCAATAGCAAGTTTATTCCTTGTCCAGGATCTGTTATTACAGATTACAATTAAATCACCAGGTTTATCTTCACTGCTGGCAAGCATTCAAAACACAAACATACTCATGATCTCAGTATGTAAAAGAGATTGAAGAATTAAAATAGTTCAGGCAAGGGGGCTCATGGCTGTAATCCCCACACTTTGAGAGACAAGGCAGGAAGAGTGCTCAAAGCCAGGAGTTCAAGATGAGCTTGGGCAACATAGCAAGACTGCATCTACACACAAAAAAGTAAAAGTTAGCGGCCGGTCATGGTGGCTCACACCTGTAACCCCAGCACTTTGGGAGGCCGAGGTGGGTGAATCACAAGGTCAGGAGTTCGAGACCAGCCAGGCCAACATGGTGAAACCCCATCTCTACTGAAAATACAAAAAATTAGCTGGGCGTAGTGGCAGGTGCCTGTAATCCCAGCTACTCGGGAGGCTGAGGCAGGAGAATCACTTGAACCTAGGAGGCGAAGGTTGCAGTGAGCCGAGATCGCACCACTGCACTCCAGCCTGGGTGACAGAATTGAGACTCCATCTCAAAAATAAAAAAAAATAAATATAAATAAAAATTAGCCAGGCCTGGTGATGTGCCGTATAATCCCAGCTACTTGGGAGGCTGAGACAGGAGGATCACTTGAGCCCAAGAAGTTTTGGTTACAGTGAGCTATTACACCACTGCCTTCCAGCTTGGGCAACAGAGCAAGACCCTGTCTCAAAAAAAAAAAAAAAAAAAGAAGAAGAAAATATACTGGGAAAAGGATATGGGTCAGTGATAGAAAAAGTTCTCAGGCCAAGCTTTTATTTTATTAGTTTTTTATTTATTTATTTATTTTTGAGACAGAGTCTCTGTTGCCCAGGCTGGAGTGCAGTGGCGTGATCTTGGCTCACTGCAACCTCCGCCTCCTGGGTTCAAGTGATTCTACTGTCTCAAACTCCTAAGTAGCTGAGATTACAGGTGCCCGCCACCATGCCTGGCTAATTTTTGTATTTTTAGTAGAGATGGGGTTTCGCCATGTTGGCCAGGCTGGTCTTGAACTCCTGATCTCAGGTGATCCACCCGCCTCAGCCTCCCAAAATGCTGGGATTACAGGTGTAGGGCAAGCTTTTAGAACTATAAATTACTGGCTGGGCACAGTGGCTCATGCGTGTAATCCCAGTACTTTGGGAGGCCAAGGTGGGTGGATCACTTGAGGCCAGGAGTTCGAGACCAGCCTGGGAAACATGGCAAAACTCCATCTCTACTAAAAATACAAAAATTAGCTGGGCATGGTGATGCACACCTATAATTCCAGCTACTTGGGAGGCTGAGGCTCAATAACAGCTTGAGCCAGAGAGGTGGGAGTTGCAGTGAGCTGAGATCACGCCACTGTACTCCAGCCTGGGCGACAGAGGGAGACTGTCTTAAAATGAAAAAAAAAACGCTGTAAATTATTATATTTATTTATTTATTAGGTTTGCATTGTCTGACAATCTCTATGCATAGGTTTGCATGGATGAACGAGGGCATTGCTATAGTAATGTGTTCCCTTTGGATAGGCCGTTCAACTCCTTAACAAAGTTCGTATTTATTATAAAACTTAGAAAAAAGTTACAAGGAGCCTTATATTAGCTATTTTCAAAAGTTGCATACTCTCAAACTTCTTAATCCCAACACCTAATAACTCAAAAAAGAACTTTCCAAAAAGGATGAACATAATCATAGCTAATGTGGTTATTATGTGGCAAGCACTTTATAAGGATCATTTCAAATAAGTGAACCTTCTTACAACCCTTTGAGATCATTATGGTTTTATTTCCATTTTACCAGTAAGGAAACTGAACTTGCCAGCTGTATGACCCTGGGCAAGCTATGTATCCTCCCTAAGGGCCTGGGGCTTGGGTCTGGTTGCATGTGGTCAGGGCCCTTTCTCTCTTTTATCGCCTGGGCCTAGCAGACAGTAAGCCTTCAAATATTTGCCTGTGAATTGAATTTTTGTGTGTGAATGTTTTCATTATTTTCTTAGGTAAAAATTATTTTTTGTTCTAATTCTCAGTGTGCTTTGAGATATGATTTGAGTAAATGCAAATGTTTTAACTTAAGTATACAATGTATTATTTTTAGGAACATGAGAGAATTTCAAGAATCCATGAAGAGTTTAAGAAAAAAAAGAATGTGAGTAAAACAGTTTTCTTCAAACTGTATTCTTATCCAAGTACATATGTGATAATTTACAGACTCTAGATTCTGTTAGCTAAAATAGTTCCTTTTTGTATTTCATGGGATGCTCCTTTTAAGAGAAAATGGCTGCTGGATGCCATTTCTTCTCATGTCTGCTCTGAATACATTTTGCTGTGTCCTGATTTAGCAACCTAGAGAAATGAGCATTGATCAGGAATTCTCCACCTGTTCCTTCAAAAAGATGAACTGATTTTACATCTTTCCAACTCTAACTTAATCTCAAAATCAGTAGAGGTGGCTGGACACTGGCTCAGGCCTGTAATCCCAGCACTTTGGGAAGCCAAGGCGAGTGGAACGCTTGAGCCCAGGAGTTTGAGACCAGCCTGGGCAACATGGCGAAACCTTGTCTCTACAAAAAAATACAAGCATTAGCCGGTAGTGGTGGCACACGCCTGTAGCCCCAGCTACTTGGGAGGCTGAAGTGGGAGGATCACTTGTGCCTGGGAGGCAGAGGTTGCACTGGGAGACAGTACGCCACTGCACTCTAGCCTGGGCAACAAAGTGAAACCCTGTCTCAAAAAGAAAAAAAAAATCAGTAAAGGCTGGAGAGACCGTTTATTAGTATTTTCTATACTTATTACTTTTTCTTTTTTTTTAAAGAGATGGGGTCTTGGCATGTTGCCTAAGCTGGCCTCAAATACCTGGGCTCAAGCAATCCTTCCACCTCAGCCTCCTGAGTTGCTGGGACTACAGGCACATGCCACTGTACCTGGCTTTATCAGATATTAAAATGAAAGGTGTCTTAGCACTTTGTACTTCTGCTTGATTTTGCTGTGAACCTAAAACTGCTCTAAAAAAAAAAGTACATTTAAAAAATATGTAGAGAGCTTAACTGTTACCCTGAGTTCAGAATCTGCTGTAGAGACTTTTGCTATGTATGATCATTTCCTGGGTGACAATGTATGTTTCTGTGTTTTTCACTGAGGAAGCCAGGAGCCAAAATAATACTTATATTTCTTTTACAGGATCCTACATTTCTGGAAAAAAAAGAACGCTGTGATTACCTAAAGAATAAACTTTCTCACATAAAGCAAAGAATTCAAGAATATGATAAAGTAATGAATTGGGATGTACAAGGTTATTCTTAACGCTTATTTGAAACCACTTTATTTTTTTATTTTATTTTATTTTTTTGAGATGAAGTCTCGCTCTGTTACCCAGGCTGGAATGCAGTGGCACAATCTCGGCTCACTGCAACCTCCACCTCCCGGGTTCAAGCAATTCTCCTGTTCAAGCAATTAGCCTCCCCAGTAGCTGGGATTACAGGCGTGCGCTGCCACACCCCGCTAATTTTTGTATTTTTAGTAGAGACGAGGTTTCACCATGTTGGTCAGGCTGGGAAACTACTTTTTTTAAAAAATAGCAAGTTTACTATTTATTTACTGCCTTTTTAATGCTAGCCTCTGTGGTAGAGAAGCAAGCGCTTCCCAAATCAGCTTCCAATTGGTTTAACCAGTATGCAACATTAAAGATTTTACTCAGACATTTTTAAACGAATTCAAATGTTCTAAGGGCCTTTACTAAGAATGGAAAAAATCCTGTGTTCATCTTTCATCTGTGACCAATTTCATATTCATCTATCTCATTTAAATGTGTCATCATTTTAGAGATCGTATCCTGGCAGTGTGATGGGCAAGTGGACCATCAATTCTGGTGCTACTTTTTCCTTTTTTACTCAGGCAGGTTCCTAGGATTTTTCTGGGACAAATTTCTCTTCCTAGAGAAATTCCTAGGGGATTTCTAAAGGATTTTTCTAAGGGAAAAAGGGTGACATCTTTCAAAGGTGTCATTTATTCCCTTGAAAGGTGTTTGAATCCCAGATCAACATTTTCAGACATCCTGATCTTGGGCAAATTGCTTAATCTCTCTGTGCCTGTTTCCTCTTCTGTAAAATGGGGCTAATAATAGTTCCTTCCTCATAGAGTTGTTAGGATTAAAGGAGTTACTAATATGGTAGGAACTATATTAGTGTTTGTGAAGTCTACTGAAGTGTTTGTGAAATGAATAAATTATAAAGAATGAGTCTCAAGAAAAGGTCCTTAATGAGCAAGCCCAACCTACTTAACCAAAAGCCCAAGTGTCTGGTGCCTTTCTGGTTTGTGGTGTTAACTCATGGCCTTAGCCTGGTGCTTCACTGTGGCTCTGTGGCCCCTGGGGTTCCACATGGCCTCCCTGTCTTTCATCAGTGTGACTGTACATCTCTCCATCTCCCCATAGTCCAGCCTGCCCTGGACACATTGAATTGTATGAATGGTATTGCTTTTTTTTTTTTTTTTTTGTGAGACAGAGTCTTACTCTGTTGCCCAGACTGGAGTGCAGTGGTGCGATCTCGGCTCACTGCAAGCTCCGCCTCCCAAGTTCACGTCATTTTCCTGCCTCAGCCTCCCGAGTAGCTGGGACTACAGGCACCTGCCACCACGCCCAGCTAATTTTTTTGTATTTTTAGTAGAGATGGGGTTTCACCGTGTTAGCCAGGATGATCTCGATCTCCTGACCTCATGATCCACCCGCCTCAGCCTCCCAAAGTGTTGGGATTACAGGCGTGAGTCACCGCGCCCAGCTGGTATTGCTTTTCTATTCCCTTTGGACATACATGCTACAGTCCCACAATGTAGCATTTCCTTGGAAACTCCCTTTTTTTTTTTTTTTGAGATGGAGTTTCGCTCTTGTTGCCCAGGCTGGAGTACAGTGGTATGATCTTGGCTCACTGCAGCCTCTGCCTCCTGGGTTCAAGCGATTCTCCTGCCTCTGCCTCCCAAGTAGCTGGGATTACAGGCACCCACCACCATGCCCAGCTAATTTTTTGTATTTTTAGTAGAGACAGGATTTCACTATGTTGGCCAGGTTGGTCTCAAGCTCCTGACCTCAGATGATCTACCAGCCTCGGCCTTCTGAAGTGCTGGGATTCAGGTGTGAGCCACTGTGCCCAGCAGGGATGCTTCATCTTTCTAAGAATTATCTTGGCTTTGGACTTTATTCATAAATGTTTTATTTCTGTTAGTATGAACAATAGACTGCCTTAACAAAGTTTTTTTTTAAACAAAATCGTTCTTGTTGGATTTTATTCAGCAGCATCTATCATGTAGATAAATTCCCAGGTGTAGCATTACAGCTTCTGACTAATATAGCTGCCATTCAGACAATTAATGTTCAAAGAGTTTTCTAAAGTGATAAAACCAAAGAAAAGCATGTGGAAAAGCAGAAGCTTAGAAAGTTGTGGTCACTGAATGCACTCCCTGGTTTTTATTTGTCAGTGAAATCTTTATGCATTCATTGTTAATATTTTAATTCCATGGCTTTGTAGGCTGTGCTGTGTCTGAAGGGGTAACACCTAGGGAAACATGAGGCCCCTTATGGGACCCCCCAAATGGAACAACTTCACTTTCTCTTTTATGTATTGAGCCCTGTGTTAACATTTCACTTAAGAAGAGCACCAGTGCTTTAAAAAAAAAAAAAGGTAAAATATTACCATTTTGATAGACTGTAAAGAGTTAGATTCCTGTTGAAGTGTTAAGGAAATTTAACTTTGTGAAACTTTTAAAATAAAGTTTATAAATGTAGCTAATCTTTGAAAAACCAATGCAGTAACACTGATTTGTAAATGTTGTGGTCAATCCCTAGGTGCATTAAAGTTTCAGTCACCTGCCGTGTGTGTGTGTGCCCTTTTATGTTTGCCTTCCTAGCATTCCTGTGTTCACTGTGCATGTTCTTGAAAATATTTTCACTTGTCAGAAAATAAACTGGAAAGTCATTGAAAACCCGTAGGTCACGATGCTCAGGTGACTCACTGTTTCTCCTTCCCCCATTATTCGCAATAATTCAAAGTCCAGGCCACTATATTAGTTTCCTAGGACTGCCATGACAATGTACTACAAACTGAGTGGCTCAAAACAACTGAAGTGTGTTGTCTCACAGACCTGCAGCCTAGAAGTCTGGAAGCAGGGTGTCAGCTGGGACATGCTCCCTCAAAAACCTGTAGGGGAGTCCTCTTCTAGTTTCTGGTGGTTTGCTGGCCATGTTTGATGTTCCTTGGCTTGTAGATGCATCTCTCCAATCCTCCATTCTCGCATGGCCTTCTCCCTGTCTGGCCATACCAGTCATATTGGATGAGAGGCCCACCTTCTCCAGCATGACCTCCTGTGAACTCATTACATTTGCTAGGACGCTATTTCCAAGTAAAGTCACGTTCTGAGGTACTGGAGGTTAGGAACTTCAGTGTTATCTTTTTGAGAGGCCACAGTTTAGCCTGTAATAGCTACATTTGGCAAGTTACAAGATTCAGAAGGAAAAGTACTTCCCTGTACATTTTCTTTCTTCCATATTATTTTTTCTTTTATTTTTTGTGATGGAGACTCACTCTGTCGCCCAGGCTGGAGTGCAGTAGTGTGATTGGCTCACTGCAACCTCTGCCTCCTGGGTTCAAGCTAGTCTCCTGCCTCAGCCTCCCAAGTAGCTGGGATTACAGGCACTCACCACCACACCCAGCTAAATTCTATATTTTTAGTAGAGACAGGGTTTCATCTTATGTTGGCCAGGCTGTTCTCGAACTCCTGACCTCAAGTGATCTGCCCGCCTCGGCCTCCCAAAGCAATTCCCCTGCCTCAGCCTTCCAAAGTGCTGGGATTACAGGTGTGAACCACTGCACCCAGCCCTTCCATATTATTTCAACATGTATTCTAATTTGAAAATTAATATGAGGATATGTCAGTATATCTAAAACTTGAAAAAAGTATATGCCAGTTATATGTCAAATGCTTTTATTGTCCCAGATATGTTAGCATTAAAGATACTGAAATCAGTGAAACAGGTAGAGACTTTGGGGGTGGTAATGAAGTACATATTTCTAGAAATTGTTTCTGATATTGAGATGCACCGACATTTGAAAGATACAACACAGGAAAAGTCTACAATTTTTTCTGACCATCTTTTTTTAACTATTATAATTTTTAAAAATAATGAGTATAAAAGCTTAGAAAACAAAAGTCCTACCAGTACCAATTCTATTCCCTGGCAGTATATACTGTTTGCAGTATACCCTCCCAGACCTTTGTGGTGTGTATAATCACCTTTATTTATTTATTTATTTATTTATTTTTACAAAAATGGCTTTAGACATTTTATTTTTGAGATGAAGTATTGCTCTGTCGCCCAGGCTGGAGTGCAGTGGCATGATCTTGGCTCACTGCAACCTCCCCCTCCTGGGTTCAAGTGACCCTCCCACCTCAGCCTCCTGAGCAATGAGGACTACAGACGCATACCACCACGCCCAGCTAATTTATGTATTTTTAATAGAGATGTGATTTTGCTGTGTTGGCCAGGCTGATCTTGAACTCCTGACCTCAAGTGATCTGCCCACCTTGGCCTCCCAAAGTGCTGGGATTACAGGCATGAGCCACCACACCTGGCTGTAAAATCACTTTAAAATTGTCTACTTTAATGCTTTCAATGGGTTTCTTTTTTGGGATTGTTGTTGTTGTTTTGATATGGAGTCTTGCTCTGTTGCCCAGGCTGGAGTGTAGTGGTGCTACCTCCGCTCACCACAACCACCACCTCCTGGGTTCAAGCAATTCTCCTGCCTCCGCCTCCTGAGTAGCTGGGATTACAGGCGCACACCACCATGCCCAGCTAATTTTTGTATTTTTAGTAGAGACAGGGTTTCACCATGCTGGCCAGGCTGGTCTTGAACCCCTGACCTCAAGTGATCTACCTGCCTTGGCCTCCCAAAGTGCTGGGATTACAGGCATGAGCCACCATGCCCGGCTGCTTTCAATGGGTTTTTAAAGGAGAGTATGACAGACCTGCTCGAGCATGTAATAGACTACTTGTCCTATAATAGACAAACTGGGGATAGGCAGAAGGCAGGAGGGATGGTTTAGCCCCGCAGAAGGCGAAGAAGGTGAACTTCTGAGCTCATCACAACCAAGACTCCATTTCTTACTATGTGGCCTTGACAAATTAACATCTCCAACCATCAGCCTCCTTAACTGTGATGTGGCGATAATACCACCTGACGAAATTGTTGTGAAAATTAAATAATGTAAAACACCACGAAGATACTTGCTCAATAACTGGTGGCTAGATACTCAAAATATACTTTTCATTGTGTTAAATAATAAGGTGGCTATAGACTATCAAAATGACTTCTTTTGAATAATAAAAGTTATAAAAAGCTTTTTTAAAAAGTATATAGGTAATATATTTATTATAGAAAATTGATTAGGTCAGGGGTGGTGGCTCATGCCAGTAACCCCAGCCCTTTAGGAGGCTGATGTGGGTGGATCACTTGAAGCCAGGAGTTTGAGAACAGCCTGGCCAACATGGCAAAAACCCTTCTCTGCTGAAAATACAAAAATTAGCTGGGCGTGTTGTCGCACACTGTAGTCCCTGGAGGTAGTCCCGGGAGGCTGAGGCACGAGAACCGCTTGAACCTCAGAGGTGGAGGTTGCAGTGAGCTGAGATCGTGCCACTGCACCCCAGCCTGGGCGACAGAGCAAGACTCTGTCTCAGAAAAAAAAAAAAAAAAGTACAAAAATTAGCCTGGTGTGGTGGTGCACGCCTGTAATCTCAGCTACTCGAGAGGTTGAGGCATGAGAATTGCTTGACCCCAGGAGGTGGAGGTTGCAGTTAGCTGAGACCATGCCACTGCACTGCAGCCTGGGTGACAGAGTAAGACTCTGCAGAAGGAAGGGAAGGGAAGGGAGGGGAGGGGAGGGGAGGGGAGGGGAGGGGGAAAGAGAAAGAAGAAAGAGAAAGAAGGAAGGAGAGAAAGAGAGAGGAAGGGAGGGAGGGAGGGAAAGAGAAAAGAAAGAGAAAGAAGAAAAGAAAGAAGAAAGAAAAAGAAGAAAAGAAGGAAGGAAGGGAAGAGAGAGAGAGAGAAAGGAAGGAAGGAAGGAAAGAAAGAAGAGAGGCCAGGTGCGGTGACTCACGCCTGTAATCCCAGTACTTTGGGAGGCTGAGGCAGGCGGATCAAGAGGTCAGGAGATCGAGACTGTTCTGGCTAACATGGTGAAACCGCGTCTCCACTAAAAATACAAAAAATTTAGCTGGGCTTGGTTGCGGGCACTTGTAGTCCCAGCTACTCGGGAGGCTGAGGCAGGAGAATGGCGTGAACCCGGGAGGCGGAGCTTGTAGTGAGCCGAGATCGCGCCACCACACTTCAACCTGGGCAACAGAGCAAGACTCAGTCTCGGAAAAAAAAAAAAAAAAAGAAAGTTATTTTGAAACTCCAACCTCTGATGATAGAATTCAGAATAGGGGTTACCTGTGAGAGAGGTTTATTGGCTGGGAAGGAGCATGAGGGAGCTTTCTGGGTACTATACCTTCATCTGGTTCGTTGCTTACCAGGATATATACATATTTAAAAATCCATCAAGCTAAGCATTTAAAATTGGTGCCTTTTACTGTACATATATTATACATGTATTTTACCTCAATTTTTTTTCTTTTTTAAGACGGAGTCTCTCTCTGTTGCCCAGGCTGGAGTGCAGTGGCGCAATCTCGCCTCACTGCAACCTCCACCTCCAGAGTTCAAGTGACTCTCCTGCCTCAGCCTCCCGAGTAGGTGGGATCACAGGTGTGAGCCACCACGCCCAGCTAATTTTTGTATTTTTAGTAGTGACGGGGTTTCACCATGTTGGTCAGGCTGATCTCGAATTCCTAGCCTCAAGTGATCCACCCACCTCGGCCTCCCAAAGTGCTGGGATTACAAGTGTGAACCACTGCGCCTGGACAGGGTCTTGCTCTGTCTCCCAAGCTGGAGTGCAGTGATGTGATCTCAACTCACTGCAACCTCTGCTTTCCAGGCTCAAGCAGCCCTCCAGCCTCAGACTCCGGAGCAGCTGGGCAGCTGGGACCACAGGAGCAAGCTACCACGCCCAGCTAATTTTTTTTTTTAAGAGATGGGGTTTCCATGTTGCCCAGGCTGGTATATCTCAAATTTTTTTTTTTTTTTTGAGACGGAGTTTTGCACTGTTGCCAGGGCTGGAGTGCAATGGTACGATCTCAGTTCACTACAACCTCTGCCTCCCAGGTTCAAGCGATTCTCCTGCCTCAGCCTCCCGAGTAGCTGGGATTACAGGCGCCTGCCACCATGCCCGGCTAATTTTTTGTATTTTTAGTAGAGACGGGGTTTCACTATGTTGGCCAGGCTGGTCTCGAAGTCCTGACCTCCAGATCTGCCCGCCTTGGCCTCCCAAGTGCTGGGATTACAGGCGTGAGCCACCGTGCTTGGCCCTCAATTTCTAACAATTATACTGTATACATGTTTGAACAAAAGTATGTTCACAGTTTTTTTTTAAGTAATGTTGTTGTTGTTGTTGTTGTTGTTTTGAGACACTGTCTCACTCCCTCGCCTGGGCTGGAGTGCAGTAGTGTGATCTCGGCCCACTGCAACCTCTGCCTCCTGCGTTCAAGTGATTCTCCTGCCTCAGCCTCCTGAGTAGCTGAGATTACAGGTGTGAGCCACCACACCTGGATAATTTTTGTATTTTTAGTAGAGATGAGGTTTCACCATGTTGGCCAGGCTGTTGTCGAACTCCTGACCTCAGGTCATCCACTCACCTCAGCCTCCCAAAGTGCTGGGATTACAGGCGTGAGCCACCGCGCCTGGCCAAAAAAATGTAAATTTAAGAATACAATGCTTTCATAAATTGGGAACTGCCTGTAGTGTTCTAGTGATCTTTGGAAAACATTTACAAAGTTCTGGAGAAACAAAAATCTTACAACTATTGGCTTCATGAGCCATATTTGAAACCCAAGCCTGTGTGTGTGTGTGTGTGTGTGTGTGTGTGTGTGTGTGTATGACTTGAAGCCAAACCCCACATCTAAGATGGTAGATATAACCATTTCGTCCCCTTTTCCCCTATGAGTGGTTCTAAAACAAAAAGTCTGCAAGTGAATGGGCCTGATTTAT
The DNA here is from genome assembly GCF_000001405.40 of Homo sapiens. Taxonomy (NCBI): domain Eukaryota; kingdom Metazoa; phylum Chordata; class Mammalia; order Primates; family Hominidae; genus Homo; species Homo sapiens. Next base: position 69,449,478 of record NC_000005.10, read on the forward strand.
ACCTGTTTAAATGCTTTTATTCAACATAATTGCATTCATGCCTATGAATTCCCTTTGTGTATAGGGCAGGAGGCTGAAGGATGTATGACACGTGGGGAAAATGCTGTTAGTTAATGTGTGAACAATAGTAGCCCTTCCCAATTTAAATCTTGTTTGTGACCAGTAAGCCTGCCAGTGTTAATATTCAAGGGTACTCTGCGGATTGCTATTGCTGAAGGGCAAAGCCAAGTTAAAAGACAAAGTTACTCAGAACTAGCTTCCCAAGTATTTGGAAGGTGCCTGCCATGTGATATAGCTGCCCAGATGCAGCAATGTGGTGAAAACAGTCGGCCACTGTTCTTAGAGTTTATAGTGATATCCAGGATTTTCTTAGAAACCCTCAGGGTTGGCCGGGCGCGGTAGCTCACGCCTGCAATCCGAGCACTTTGGGAGGCCGAGGTGGGCAGATCACAAGGTCAGCAGATCGAGACCATCCTGGCTAACACAGTGAAACCCCGTCTCTACTGAAAATACAAAAAAAAAAATAAAAATTAGCCAGGCGTGGTGGCAGGCGCCTGTAGTCCCAGCTACTCAGGAGGCTGAGGCAGTAGAATGGCGTGAACCCAGGAGGTGGAACTTGCAGTGAGCCGAGATCGCGCCACTGCACTCCAGCCTGGGTGACAGAGCAAAACTCCATCTCAGAAAAAAAAAAAAAAAAAAGAAAGAAACCCTCAGGGCTAAGGGTTTGAAATTAGAGAATATGAGAGATTACATACTGTAAGAACAACATTATGGTAGGTGTTTGATGTCAATGTGCCAAATGTCCATGAGTAACTCATGAGTCAATTTCAGAGAGTCACTGTTTCCCTACAGTTCCTTGATTTCTGCCTATTCTCAAGAGGAGAAATTGGTACTGAATGACTGTACTGTAGAAATTCCTCTTCCTCTTTGTGACATTCCCACCAGCAATGCATGCGGGTTTCAATTTCTCCACATCCTTGCCAACACTTGTTATTTTCTCTTTCTCTCTTTTAATAAATAGCCATACTGCCAGGCACAGTGGCTCACACCTGTAATCCCAACACTTTGGGAGGCCGAGGTACGCGGATCACTTGAGGTCAGGAGTTTGACACCAGCCTGGCCAACACGGTGAAACCTCGTCTCTACTAAAAATACTAAATTAGCTGGGCATGGTGGTGCATGCCTGTAATCCCAGCTACTCAGGAGGCTGAGGCAGGAGAATCACTTGAACCTGGGAGGCAAAGGTTGCAGTGAGCCTAGATTGCGCCACAGCACTTCAGCCTGGGCGACAGAGCAAGACTGTCTCAATAAATAAATAAATAAATAGCCATCCTAATAGATGTGAAGTGGTATCTCATTATGGTTTGAATTTCCTTAATGATTAGTGATGTTCAGCATTTTTTTCACGTACTTACTGGCCATGTGTACATCTTCCTTGAAAAATGGCCATTCAAATCCATTGCCCTTTTTTTTTTTTTTGAGGTGGAGCCTCACTCTGTCACCCAGGCTGGAGTGCAGTGGCACGATCTCGGCTCACTGCAACCTCCGCCTCCCGGGTTCAAATGATTTTCCTGCCTCAGCCTCCTGAGTAGCTGGGCCTACAGGTGTGTGCCACGATGCCCGGCTAATTTTTTTGTATTTTTGGTAGAGATGGGGTTTCACCGTGTTAGCCAGGATGGTCTCGATCTCCTGACCTCGTGATCCACCCGCCTCGGCCTCCCAAAGTGCTGTGATTTATAGGCGTGAGCCACCATGCCCGGCTGGTCATTGCCCATTTTTAAATTGGGTTGTGGTCGTTTTGTTGTTCAGTTGTAGGAGTTCTTTATATATTTTGAATTTGATTTAGTTTTGAACTTGGCTAAATCCATCTGTTTGTTCATCAGAAGAGTTGTAAAAATATATGCCAGAAAATAATCTCAGCTAAATTATCTTTGGATACAAAAATAATATAATCTGATAGGGGGCTTAATGATGGTGGAGTTTAGGTCAACAGATGTTACTGTTGGACTGCTGGTTGGGCTGGCCAGATAAGTATAGTAGGTCACAAAAAAATTAAAAGTATAGAAGTCAAGCAACAAGGCCAAGACTCCTTTGAGACCTGCAGCTGTGTTTTCTGGGTACCCAGTACCCAAGCCTTGTGCTTGGTACTTGTCCTCTGTACTCCAAACCTGGGTGTCCATAAATTGGGTAGAAAATGGCAGAAACAGCTGGGCGCAGTGGCTCATGCCTGTAATCCCAGCACTTTGGGAGGCCGAGGTGGATGGATCACCTGAAGTCAGGAGTTAGAGACCAGCGTGACCAACATGGGTTTCACCATGTTGGTCACGCTGGTCTCAACTAAAAATACAAAAATTCGCTGGGTGTGGTGGCAGATGCCTGTAATCCCACCTACTCGGGAGGCTGAAATAGGAGAATCGCTTGAACCTGGGAGGCAGAGGTTGCAGTGAGCCAAGATCATGCCACTGCACTCCAGCCTGAGAGACAGAGTGAGACTCCATCTCAAGAAAAAAAAAGAAAGAGAGAGAGAGAAAAAAAGAAAGGAAGGAAGGAAGGAAGGAAGGAAGGAAGGAAGGAAGGAAGGAAGGGGAAGGTAAGGGAAAGAAGGAAGGAAGGAAGAAAGAAAATGGAAGAGACAGGTTTCACACGTGTTTTTGGTTTGTAGCAGTGGGTAGGGAGTGCTTCAGTTAATCATTCACAGATCCTCTAGGTCAAAAGATTCTGAAGAAAATAGAACACATACTTGGTGAAACTGTTGTGGGACATGTGAATGAAATTAGGAATATATGATGGGAGAGCTCATTCAGAGAACTGGGAGAATGGGGATTCAGGTATAAATATTGAGTAAGAAAATAGGAAAGTAGTTATCAGAAACAAATACTTGGGACAACGGTATTAAAATTATTATAAAACAAACCTCCTGATTATACTTTCCATCTCCAGAGCTGGTTTCGGTATCACTATTTTACAGGAATATTACACCTGGCAGAGTTAAGAGGCAATCTAAATATTTACTTTCATGCTGCAACCTTTGCCCTGTTTGCAGTCTAGTTTCCCTGAGCTTTTAGAAGATAAGATACAAGCATTTGAATTTTGAGATAGTTTCATAAATATCGCAAATAACTGAAGCACCATGCTAACAAAACCTGACCTTTTCAAAACAGCAACACAAAGATTGGTTATATCTAATGTTATAGAAAATTATTTTTATCTAGTTATCTCATTATAATAATTCAACATATATTCCGAATAAGAGGAAGGAAAACTACTTAAAATTTTACCAAAATAAATCAGTTAATAAGCCTTTTAGCTTTTTTTCTTTTTCTTTCTTTCCTTGTTTTTGTTTGTTTGTTTTTGTTTGTGGCTATTTCAACTCCAGATAAGCCCTTTAAATAAAATAATAAACACTTTCGGAGGCTGAGGTGGGAGGATCACTTGAGCCTAGAAGTTTGAGACTAGCCTGGGCAACATGGCAAGACCCATCTCTAAAAAAAAAAAAATCATTAAGGCCGGGCCTGGTGGCTCACACCTGTAATCCCAGCACTTTGGGAGGCTGAGGCGGGTGGATCACGAGGTCAGGAGATCGAGACCATCCTGGCTAACACGGTGAAACCCCATCTCTACTAAAAAAAACAAAAACAAAATTAGCCAGACGTGGTGGCGGGCGCCTGTAGTCCCAGCTCCTTGAGAGGCTGAGGTGGCAGAATGGTGTGAACCCGGGAAGTGGAGCTTGCAGTGAGCCAACATTGCACCACTGCACTCCAGCCTGGGCGACAGAGCAAGACTTCCTCTAAAAAAAAAAAAAAAATCATTAAAAATAAGCTGGGTGTGGTGGCGCACGCCTGTGAGCCCAGCTACTGGGGAGACTGAGGCAGGAGGACCACTTGAGCCCAGGAGGTCCAGGGTGCAGTGAGCCGTGTTCATGCCACTGTACTCCACCCTGGGTGACAGAGGGAGACCCTGTCTCAAAAAAAAAAAAAACCAGAAAGAAACCAAACTTTGTTATGTTGCTTACCTTTCTTTTCTGAGGGGCTAGGGTGGTGTGCATTGGAGGAGTGGCCCACAAGTTCAAAAGACCAGGAGGGATGTTACTTCCTTTTCTTTTCTTTTTTTCTTTTTTGAGACAAAGTCTCGTTCTGTCACCCAGGCTGGAGTGCAGTGGTGCAATCACGGCTCACTGCAGCCTCAACCTCCTGGGCTCAAGTGATCCTCTCACCTTAGCCTCCCAAGTAGCTGGGACCACAGGTGCACCTCACCATGCCTGGCTAATTTTTAAAAATTTTTTGTAAAGACACCGTCTCCCTATGTCAGCCAGACTGGTCTTGAACTCCTGGGCTCAAGTAACCCCCTGCCTCTGCCTTCCAAAGTGTTGGGATTATAGGTGTGAGTCACTGTGCCTAGCCCCTTCCTTTTTTTTTTTTTTTTTTAACAATTTTTAAAAGCTGTGGAAAGCTAAGACCAGTGCCCAATAATAAAAGGAAGATGTGGCTTTAATCTCTTAATATAACTTTGAGGCATGACCAGAGAAGTTGGAAGTGCTAGATTCGGTCTATAATTTTTATTTATTTGTTTGTTTATTTATTTATTTATTTATTTATTTATTTATTTATTTATTTTTGAGACGGAGTCTCACTCTGTCGCCCAGGCTGGGGTGCAGTGGCGCGACCTCGGCTCACTGCAAGCTCCGCCTCCTGGGTTCACGCCATTCTCCTGCCTCAGCCTCTTGAGTAGGTGGGACTACAGGCGCCCGCCACTACGCCCGGCTAATTTTTTGCATTTTAAGTAGAGATGGGCTTTCACCGTGTTAGCCAGGATGGTCAGTCTATTATTATTTTTAATCCCGGAAGAAGGAAGAGGGAAGAGTCCGTGGCTCTGATTTTCATCTCTGAATTTCCAAGGACATAACCTAACAAATTCAGCCACCATGCTCTTCCTTCTGTCGTGAAATCTGTTTTATTTTCAACTGGCTTGTGGCAGCTGACTCTGCCTCCTCTCTTCCAGGCTCTGAGATGCCCCTTTTCCCGGAATGACTGTCTTAATCCCATCCAAATATTCAAAGAGGAGGGTGGAGAGGTCTCAGAGAAGCTAATTTTTCGCTTAAATTGAAAAACTGGGGTGGGGTTGGAGCTATTGTTCTTCCTGAAGCTTGCTTCTGCTAGACTTTGGAATTGTCCTCCCAGTGAAAAGGTTTTAAGTTGTAAAAGCCAGCTCAGCAGAGCCCCACCCACATGAATAAAACATTCGTGCAGAAACATAGACTCTTGGTTTCTTCGCAGTCAGAAACCTATGCATGTACTTCACTCTCCCCAGCATCCAATTCATGACCAGGTTCTTTCTTCCTAAACAGCTCTCAAACACTTACCTCCAGGATGCCTTCCATTCATTTTTTTTCAACAAATTTGTTGCCCATCTGCTATATGTCAGGCACTGTGCTAGCTATTGGGAACACAGCAGCAAGCCAAACCTAGTGAAAAAGCCAGGGGAGTTTATCATCTGGCTAACCCCTCCCCAATCAAACCAAACCAAACCAGCTGGGCCAACCCGCACAGCACTCCTCACTGCTCGCTGTTAACTCTCAGCATTTGTTGTTTTTTTTTTTTTGAGACAAGATCTTGCTCTGTCACCCAGGCTAGAGTGCAGTGGCAAAATCACAGCTCACTGCACCCTTGACTTCCTGGGCTCAAGTGATCCTCCCACGTCAGCCTCCCTGGTTGCTGGGACCACAGGCACATGCTGCCGGCCCCAATGGCTTTTTTTTTTTTGAGACAGGGTCTCACTGTGTTGTCCAGGCTGGTCTTGAACTCCTGGGCTCAAGTGATCCACCTGCCTCAGCCTCCCGAAGTGCTAGGATTACAAGCGTGAGCCACCGTGCCTGGCCTCAAATGGCTTTTAAACATAAGAAAATGTGCTCAGCCTCACTCATATAAAGTAAAATGCAAGTTAAAATTATACCAAGGCCAGGGACAGTGGCTCATGCCTATAATCCCAGCACTTTGAAAGGCTGAAGTGGGAGGATTGCTTGAGGCCAGGAGTTAGAGAGCAGCCTGGGCAACAAAGCAAGACCTTATCTCTACAAAAATTGAAAAAAATTTTTAAATTAGCCAGGCATGGTGGCATGTGCCTGTAGTCCCAACTATTCAGGAGGCTGAGGTGGGAGGATCGCTTGAGCCCAAGGAGGTCAAGGCTGCAGCTAGCTGTGATTACACCACTGCACTCCAGCCTGGGCAACAGAGCGAGACCCTGTCTCAAAAAAAAAAAAAAAAAACAAAGTCTTGCTCTGTCGCCCAGACTGGAGTGCAGTGGTGCAATCACAGCTCGCTGCAGCCTTGACCTCCTTGGGCTCAAGTGATCCTCCGGCTTTGCCCTCCCAAAGTGCTAGGATTACAGCCATGAGCCATCATGTCTATATTATATATAATGACCACGTTTTCTTTCTGGCTACATTGTATATAGAGAGCACATATTCTTCATCCTTTCATCCACCGATGGACACTTGGGTTACTTCCACTTTAGCTATTGTGAGTAATGCTGCTATGAACATGGGTGTACAAATATCTTTTGGAGTCCCTGTTTTCATATATATTTTTTTTGAGACGGAATTTCATTCTTGTTGCCCAGGCTGGAGTGCAATGGCGCAATCTCGGCTCGCTTAAGTCGTTTGGAAGTCATTCAATATCACCATATCTAGATCAATGTTGTTTTTGAAATTGTTGGATATTTCAGGGATAATTATGGTTTATATAACCAATTGCTTCCTGTTGGATATTTAAGATTTTTTTTGCTATTAACAAATAATGCTTATATCTATATTTTTGAACACTTGTACAAGTATAAATGCATGGTAAATTCCTAGAGGTAAAATTACTGAGTCAAGAGTTTTACATGTTTTGTGAATTTTGATAGATATTGTAAAGTTGTTCTTCAAAGAACTTTCATTTATTGTTTTCCCACATTTAGCCAACATTAGGTATTACGAAACTTTTTTATATTGGCCAAAACTCACAGGCAAAAGAAAAAGAAAAAAGTCTCATTGTTTTAGCTTGGTATTTATTTGCTTGTGGTTGAGGTTAAATATAGTAGAAATGAAAAACCCAGTACTATAGAAGATAGAGTTGAAGAAATATTCCAGAAAGTACAATAAAAGGAGTAAAATAAAGAGGTTCAAATAGGAGAGTAAAGATAAGAATACTGGTGGATTTATCCAGAAGGTCTAATATGAGAATGATATGAGAAAAAAAGAAAACATAGGATAAAAAAATCATCAAAGACATAGTTCAAAGAAATTTTCTATTGAAGGACAGAACTATCTAGATTGAAAGGGCCTGTTGGCTGGGAAGGGTGGCTCGTAGCTCTAATCCTTGCACTTTGGGAGGCTGAGACTGGGGGATCACTTGAGGCCAGGAGTTCCAGGCCAGCCTGGGTCACACAGCAAGACCTCATCTCTGCAACGAAGATAAAAGAAAGGGACTGCCAAGTGCCTAACGTATTGAAGGAAGGCAGACCCCATAATTGTGAAATTTCAGAATACACAATAAACCATTAACCCTAAACATTTCCAGAGAGGAAAAACTAGGTCACACACAAAGGATCTGGAATTAAAATTGTTTGGCTTCTCATTAGCAACACCGGATGCAGAGAGGGAGCAGTCACCTTCAAAGTTTGTAGTGAAAATTGTTACCAACTTAGATACCCAGCCAAACTATCAGTTAAGTGTAGGTAGAATAAAGACATTTTCAGACTTGTAAGGTCTCAAAAAGAGATTTTTCTGGGGAAGGTCTGGAAGAGGTAGGTGATTCAAAGGAACTGAGAAGGAGAATGACATGGGATCTAGTAATATGTATCTAATTCAAAACAGGCTGAAGAACGGCCTAGGATGATGGTAAGGAGAAATTCCAGAATGATACCTGTGTGTCACATATGGGGAACCGTCCAGTTTGGAGACAGTCAGGATGCTCCAGGAGAGAGATCACCAAGGGGATGAAAACTGCAGAACTCCTGATGTATTTGAACATATCGAGAGGACAGTTAGACTATTCTGGAGAAGACTGGGCCTGAATTAGTGTCAATTATATAGGAAACTAACCTTGGGAATAGCAACACAGTATTTCCAGGAAAAAAAAAAATGTTTTAAATAGGGGAAAACTTATGGCTTAGCTGAGAATATTTTTATAGGCATAGTAAACTAAACATTGATTATCGTTCTATTCAAAAGGAAGACTTAACATGTAGAAAGAATTGAGAATGACATTAGTTACATATTTATGCATTACTGGGTTCAAGATGATTGAAAGATAATTAAATTCTCTTCTTTCATAGTTGGAGGTTCATAGCCAATAACTGTGAAGAACCACGAAGTAGCACTTATTAGAATATGTGACTATCAAACAAAAGTTTTGAAAGTGCTTCTGGCTGGGCATGGTGGCTCGTGCCTGTAATCCTAACAATTTGGGAAGCCAAGATGGGAGGATTGCTTGAGCCCAGGCGTTTGAGACCAGCCTGGGCAATATAGCGAGACCCTGCCTCAATAAAAAATTAGCCAGGCATGGGGATTCATGTCTGTAGTCCCAGCTACTTAGGAGGCTGAGGCAGGAGGATCACTTGAGCCCCGGAGTTTAAGGCTGTAGTGAGCCGTGATAGCACCTCTGCACTCCAGCCTTTGAGCCAAAGCAAGACTCTGACGTGAAAAAAAAGAAAAATAAAGCATGCTCACATTTAACCTTAATGAAAATAAAAACTAATGATGATGTTGTATATACTGTGGAATTTTTTTTTTTTTTTTTTTGAGACGGAGTTTCGCTCCTGTCGCTCAGTGTGGAGTGCAATGACACCATCTCGGCTCACTGCAACCTCCGTGTCCTGGGTTCAAGCAATTCTCCTGCCTCAGCCTCCCAAGTAGCTTGGATTACAGGCACCTGCCACCACACCCAACTAATTTTGTATTTTTAGTAGAGATGGGGTTTCACCATGTTGGTCAGGCTGGTCTCGAACTCCTGACCTCAGGTGATCCGCCCGCCTCAGACTCCCAAAGTGCTGGGATTACAGGTGTGAGCCACCGCGCCCATAGCCTGCTTTCACTTCTTTTGGGTACAAACCCAGAAGTGGAATTGCTGATATATGGTAATTCTATGTTTAATTTTTTGAGGAGTCAATATACTTTTTTCCACAGTGGCTACATCACTGTATATTCCTATCGGCAATGCAGGAGGGTTCCAATTTTTCCACATCCTCACCAATACTTATTTTCTGTTTTTGTTTATTTGTTTATTTAATAGCAGCTATCCTAATAGGTGTGAAATTGTATCTCATTGTGGTTTTGATCTGCATTCTCCAGTGATTAATAATGTTGAGCATCTTTTCATCCACTTACTGGCCATTGTATATCTTCTTTGGAGAAATGTCTACTCAAGTCCTTTGTCTATTTTTGAATTGGGTTGTTTGCTTTTTTGTTGAGTTGCAGGAGTTCTTTATGTATTGTGGATAAGCACTGCTTATTAGATATACAATTCACAAATATTTTCTCCCATTCTGTGGGTTGCTTTTTCACTGTTGATAGTGCCCTCTGATGCACAAAATTTTTAATTTTGATATGGTCCGAATTACCTATTTTTCCCTTTGTTGGCTGTCCTTTGGTATCATATCCATGAAATCATTGCCAAACCCAACGTCACGAAGCCTTTCTCTGTTTCCTTCTAAGAATTGTATACTTCTAGCTCTTACATTTAGGTGTTTGATCTATTTTGAGTTAATTTTTGTATATGGCGTGTGTTAGGGTTCTCCAGAGAAACAGAAGCAATAGGATATTCATAGACAAATAAGAGGGGATCTATTATGGCAGTTGGCTCATGCAAATATAGAGGTCATGAAGTCCCAGAGTGTGGTGTCTGTGGGCTGGAGCTGGAGAACCAGGAAAGCCAGTGGTATAATTCAATCTGAGTCTGAAGGCCTGAGAACCTGGAGCTTTAATGTCCAAAGGCAGGAGAAGATGGATATTCCAGTTCCAGAAAAGAGAGCAAGTTTGCCCTTCCTCTGCCTTTGTGTTCTATCCAGGTCCTCAACGACGGGAAGATGCTCATTCACACAGGTGAGGGTGATCTCTACTCAGTTTGATTCAAATGCTAATCTCTTCTAGAAACACCCTCACAGATGCATCCAGACATGATGCCAGCTATCTGGGCATCCCTATGTCCAGTCAAGTTTAACACATAAAATTAACCACCATATGGTGTAAGTAAGGTAAGGGTCCAATTTTATTTTCTTGCATGTGGATATCCAATATTCCCAACATCATTTGTTGAAAAAAAACTGTCCTTTCTCCATTGAATGGTACCCTTGTTGAAAATAGCTATATATTTCTAGCAAAACAATAAACATGTTCTCAATGTCATATCACAATATGATACCATGATGTACACTAGGGATACAATTGATAGGCTTTTACCCATAAACAAATTGGGGTGGATATGTTGCTGGATACAAAATATACAATCACTTGGTATTTACTTGATAAAAAGAATATGAGCTTGTCCACATGGTTTTATATTGTACAAAGTGCCTTATACATTTAAAAATAACCCAGTCATCGGACGGGTGCAGTGGCTCACGCCTGTAATCCCAGCACTTTGGGCGGCTAAGGCAGATGGATCACTTGAGGTCAGGAGTTCAAGACCAGCCTGGCCAACATGGTGAAACCCCGTCTCCACTAAAAATACAAAAATTAGACAGGCATGGTGGCACATGCCTGTAATGCCAGCTACTTGGGAGGCTGAGGCAGGAGAATCACTTGAACCCAGGAGGCAGAGGCTGCAGTGAACCAAGATCGCGCCACTGAATCCAGCCTGGGTGACAGAGCGAGACTCCCTCTCGAAAAATAAATAAATAAATAAAAAAGAACGCAGTCATTTCATTACACCTACCTGGCTTCCATGTTATATAAATAGCACAAATTCATGAGAAGCACATAACCAATGAAGTGTCATAGTGCAAGCATATTTTTAGGAAATTATACAAACCTCTGATTTAGCAATATGGATATAGAAGAATCCTATTAGAATATCAAACCGGCTGGGCGTGGTGGCTTACACCCGTAATCCCAACATTTTGGGAGGCCGAGGCGGGCCGACCACCTGAGGTCAGGAGTTCGAGACCAGCCTGGTGGTGGGCGCCTGTCATTCTAGCTACTCAGGAGGCTGAGGAAGGAGAATCTCTTGAACCCAGGAGGCAGAGGTTGCAGTGAGCTGAGATCACATCACTGAACTCCAGTCTGGGAGACAGAGCAAGAGTCCGTCTCAAAAAAAAAAAAAAAAAGAATAACAAACTAACACATCTTGAAGTCGAATTCCTTGAAAATTATGGCCTAGAAAGCCTACTTGGCTGGGCCTGATGCTCACGCCTATAATCCCAGCACTTTGGAAGCCGAGGCAGGTGGATCACCTGAGGTCAGGAGTTTGAGACCAGCCTGACCAACATGGAGAAACCCCATCTCTATAAAAATACAAAAATTAACTGGGCGTGGTGGCACGCACCTGTAATCCCAGCTACTCAGGAGGCTGAGGCGGGAGAATCGCTTAAACCTGGGAGGCGGAGGTTGCAGTGAGCCGAGATCATGCTATTGTACTCCAGACTGGGCAACAGAGCGAGACTCCGTGTCAAAAAAAAAATGCTCATGCAAATGAGCATCACAAAAATTATACAGTTGGCTAAAGGAAACACCAAATTGATAATAATGAAGCTAAACTAATAATTGACATTTTAAAGGAAAGACTAAGCCAAGCTAATACCTAACGAGCTGTCTGAGTCAACACATAAAGTACTGATAACATACCTATCTAACTAGAAAATTGAGGAATCCCAAGGATGTAGGTATTTGCATAGTGGGAGCTTCACATAGTTACCAGCAATTCAACTTTTCAACTTTTCTTTCCTTTTTTTGAGACGGTGTCTCACTCTGTTGCCCAGACTGGAGTGCAGTGGCATGATCTCAGCTCACTGTAACCTCCACCTCCTAGGTTCAAGCAATTCTCCTGCCTCAGCCTCCCGAGTAGCTGGGATTCCAGGCGCCCGCCACCACACCCGGCTAATTTTTGTATTTTTAGTAGAGACAGGGTTTCACCATGTTGGTCAGGCTGGTCTTGAACTTCTGACCTCAAGTGATCTGCCCACCTCGGCCTCCCAAAGTGCTAGGATTTCAGGCATGAGCCACCACACCCGGCCAGCTCAACTTTTCAGTACAATGCCAAATCAATTCCTCTGTCAACTTAAGTGCTAATACCCCAGGGTTTTAGTTTTTGTTTTTGTCTTAGAAACGGGGTCTTACTATGTTGTCCAGGCTGGTCTTGAACTCCTGGGCTCAAGTGATCTTCCCAGCTTGGCCTCCCAAAGTGCTGGGATTGCAGGCATGAGCCACCACAGCCGGCCTAATACCCTAGGTGTTGGATAGCAAAGACATGTTATCCTTAGTAACTCCTGAAGAAAGTTACTAGGAGTCCTTAGTGCAATATAAAAATTTACTTACAGAAAAGAAAAAACTGCTGCATTGGTTCATAAGAACCAAGGAAAGCACTTCCAATTTGGAATCAGTGGGCTGCCCCTTGGGAGGTGCACTCGGAGAACATAAAGCTAACCCCGAGAAGGATGAGGGAGGTGCGTCCTCCAAGATTTTGAAATCTGAGTGTACAATGTGAGGAGAGGGAGCAGAGGTTGTAAGAGGAGAGGGATGACTCCACAGATCCTTTGAGAGAGAGGAAAGTGATCTACATTTTCTCAGCAAAAGCAGAGCTATCTTCAGCCAAGTTAGAAAGACTGTGAGGACCAGGGCAGTTTGAGATTTATGAAGTGCCCTTTAAAATTTTTAATTTTTTTAAATTTTTATTTATTTATTTATTAAAATTTAAAATTAAACAATTTAAAAACTTTTAAATTTTAAAAATTTAAAAAGTATTTTTGGCTCTTGAGGAATTTTCTGCTGCATTAAAGACAAGGGAATATTTACATTTAAATAACAACTCAAGAAATACTAAGGCAGGGCACAGTGGCTCACATCTGTAATTCCTGCATTTATGGGAGGCCAAGGCAGGAGTTTCGCTTGAGCCAAGAGCTTGAGACCAGTGTGGACAACAGAGCAAGACCTGGCTCTACAAAAAATGTTTTAAAAATATTAGCCAGAGGCCGGGCGCAGTGGCTCACGCCTGTAATCCCAGCACTTTGGGAGGCTGAGGCGGGTAGATCACAAGGTCAGGAGTTCAAGACCAGCCTGACCAACATGGTGGAACCCCATCTCTACTAAAAATACAAAAATTAGCTGGGCGTGGTGGCGTGCACCTGTAATCCCAGCTACTTGGGAAGCTGAGACAGAAAAATCGCTTGAACCCGGGAGGCGGAGGTTGCAGTGAGCCGAGATGGCACCACTGCACTCCAGCCTGGGCAACAAAGCAAGACTCCATCTCAAAAATATATATATATATGAAATATATAATATATATAATATATTATATGAATATATAATATATATATTATATGAAATATATAATATATATATTATATGAATATATAATACATATACTATATTATATGAAATATATAATACATATACTATATTATATGAATATATAATACATATACTGTATTATATGAATATATAATACATATACTGTATTATATGAATATATAATACATATACTGTATTATATGAATATATAATACATATACTGTATTATATGAATATATAATACATATACTATATGAATATATAATACATATACTATATTATATGAATATATAATACATATACTATATTATATGAATATATAATACATATACTATATTATATGAATATATAATACATATACTATATTATATGAATATATAATACATATACTATATTATATGAATATATAATACATATACTATATTATATGAATATATAATACATATACTATATTATATGAATATATAATACATATACTATATTATATGAATATATAATACATATACTATAGTATATGAATATATAATACATATACTATAGTATATGAATATATAATACATATACTATAGTATATGTATATAATACATATACTATAGTATATGTATTATATATTCATATAATATATTATATATATATTCATATAATATATTATATGTATATAATACATATATTATATGTATATAATACATATATTATATGTATATAATACATATATTAGATGTATATAATACATATATTAGATGTATATAATACATATATTAGATGTATATAATACATATATTAGATGTATATAATACATATATTAGATGTATATAATACATCTAATATATTAGATGTATATAATACATATAATATATTAGATGTATATAATACATATAATATATTAGATGTATATATTAGCCAGATGTGGTGGAGCAAGCCTGTAGTCCCAGCTACTCTGGAGGCTGAGGCAGGAGGCAGAAGGATCACTTGAGCCCAGGAGTTCCAGGTTGCAGTGAGCCATGATCTCACCACTGCCCTCCAGCCTGGGCAACAGAGCAAGATCCTGTGAAAGAAAGAGAGAAAGAGAGAGAGAGACAGAATGAGAAAGAGAAGGAAGTACTATACTTTTACATGTATATAGTCCTTAGTCCTTATCATTTTTTTTTTTTTAAGATGGAGTCTTGCTCTGTCACCCAGGCTGGAGTGCAGTGGCACAATCTCGGCTCACTGCAACCTCCACCTCCCAGTTTCAAGTGATTCTCCTGCCTCAGCCTCCCGAGTAGCTGGGACTACAGTTGCCCACCACCATGCCTGGCTAAGTTTTTGTATTTTTAGTAGAGACGAGGTTTCACCATGTTGGTCAGGATGGTCTCGATCTCTTGACCTCGTGGTCCACCCGGCTTGGCCTCCCAAAGTGCTGGGATTACAGGCGTGAGCCACCGCTCCCGGCCCTATCCTTTCTTAAATACTTTCACATAACTCATCTCAGGATTGACAGACCTTGATAGCGCCTTAAATCCTGGAGAGAGAGAATTCTGAAGAGGCTACAATAGGATGGAATAGTCAGAACATTTTTGAAAAAAAACAGGTAAGACTGCAACCAGGCATGGTGGTTCATGCCTGTAATACCAGCATTTTGGGAGAACAAGGCGGGAGGATCACTGTAACCCAGGAGTTCAAGGCTGTGGTGAGCTATGATCACACCACGGCCCTCTAGCCTGGGTGACAGAGTCAGACTCCGTCTCTAAAAAAATAAAAATAAGGCCAAGGCGGGCGGATCATCTGAGGTCGGGAGTTCAAGACCAGCCTGACCAACATGGAGAAACCCTGTCTCTACTAAAAATACAAAATTAGCTGGGTGTGGTGACGCATGCCTGTAATCCCAGCTACTCGGGAGGCTGAGGCAGGAGAATTGCTTGAACCCGGGAGGCAGAGGTTGCGGTGAGCCGAGATCACGCCATTGCACTCCAGCTTGGGCAACAAGAGCATAACTCTGTCTCAAAAATAAATAAATATTAAAAAATAAAAATAGGCCGGGGTGCAGTGGCTCACGCCTGTAATCTCAGCACTTTGGGAGGCCAAGGTGGGTGGATCACGTGAGGTCAAGAGTTCAAGACCAGCCTTCCCAACATGGTGAAACCCTGTCTCTACTAAAAATACAAAAATTAGCCAGGTGTGGTGGCGTGCCCCTGTAATCCCAGCTACTCAGGTAGCTTAGGTGGGAGAATTGCTTGAACCCAGGAGGTGGAGGCTGCAGTGATCCGAGATCTTGCCGCTGCACTCCAGCCTGGGTGACAGAGCAAGACCCCATCAAAAAATAATAATAAATAATAATAAATAAAAATAAAGGTAAACAAATATCTCATTTAAGTTTACTCTGTTACCTAATATATTAGAAAGTCTTATCTTAAAGTTTTGTTGTCTTGAATCTTTTCTGTGGGGTCATAATTAAAATAAATCTTCCAACCCCTAAGTAAGTTCATATCTCCTATTGTTCAGGTAAGATAATTTTGAAGTCAACAGATTGTTGCTCTCTTACCTGACACAGCTGGGATCAGTAATTAGAATGTCAATTCAAAAAAGTAGATTAAAGCTAAACATCAAAAAGTGACATATGGGTGCCATAGTTTGTCTTAATTTTTTTTCATTTTTCATTTTTCATTAATTAATTTTTTTTAGAGACAGAGTCTCGCTCTGTTACCCAGGTTGGAGTGCAGTGGTGTGAACACGGCTCACTGCAGCCTTGACCTTGTGGGATTAAGTGATCCTCCCACCTCAGGATCCTGAGTAGCTAGGACCACAGGTGTGTGCCACCACGCCTGGCTAATTTTTAATTTTTTCATAGAGAGGGGGTCTTGCCATGCTGCCCAGGCTGGTCTCAAACTCCTGGGCTCACAGGATCCTCCAGCCTCAGCCTCCGAAAGTGTTGGGATTACAGGCGTGAGCCACCCTACCTAGCCAACATTTTTTTTTTCTAAAGCAACATCATTATGAGTCTTTTAACAATTAACTTGATTTTTATAGAAATACCTTTTTGTTTGTTTGTTTGTTTGTTTGGGACAGAGTCTCACTACGTCGCCCAGGCTGGAGTGCAATGGTGCGATCATAGCTCACTGTAACCTCTCCCTCCCAGGTTCAAAAGATTCTCCTGCTTCAGCTTCCTGAGTAGCTGGAATTACAGGTGCATGCCACCACACCTGACTAATTTTTGTATTTTTAGTAGAGACAGGATTTCATCATGTTGGCCTGGCTTGTCTCAAACTCCTGACCTCGTGATGCACCCACCTCCACCTCCCAAAGTGCTGGGATTACAGACATGAGCCACCGTGCCCAGCCTAGAAACACCTTTCTGTTGGGGTCATCATATTTTATTTTATGTTATTTGTGTGGTTTTTGTTTGTTTGTTTTTATGGCAGGGTCTCACTCTGTAGCCCAGGCTGGAATGCAGTGGCATTGAGAATTGAAGCCAGCTGGGCTTCTGGGTTGGGTGGGAACTTGGAGAACTTTTCTGTCTAGCTAGAGGATTGTAAACACACCAATCAGCACTCTGTGTCTAGCTAAAGGTTTGTAAACACACCAATCAGTACTCTAAATATGCACCAATCAGCGCTCTGTGTCTAGCTAAAGGTTTGTAAATGCACCAATCAACACTCTGTAAAAATGCACCAATCAGTGCTCTGTGACTAGCTAAAGGTTTGTAAACACACCAATCAGCACTCTGTAAAAATGGACCAATCAGCACTCTGTAAAATGGACCAATTAGCACTCTGTAAAATGGACCAATCAGCAGGACGTTGGCAGGGCCAAATAAGGGAATAAAAGCTGGCCACCGGAGCCAGCAGCAGCAACCAGTTCGGGTCCCCTTCCAGGCTGTGGAAGGTTTGTTCTTTTGCTCTTCACAATAAATCTTGCTGCTGCTCCCTCTGGGTCCGCACTACCTTTATGAGTTGTAACACTCACTGCGAAGGTCTGCAGCTTTGCTCCTGAAATCAGTGAGACCACGAACCCACCGGGAGGAACAAACAACGCTGGATGCGCCACATTTAAGAGCTGTAACACTCACTGCGAAGGTCTGCAGCTTCACTCCTGAAGTCAAGCTAGACCACGAGCCCACCGGAAGGAAGAAACTCTGGACATATCTGAACATCTGAAGGAACAAACTCCGGACACACTACGTGTAAGAACTGTAACACTCACCACGAGGGTCTGCAGCTTCATTCTTGAAGTTAGCGAGACCAAGAATCCACCGTAAGGAACCAATTCCGGACACAGCATGATCTCAGCTCACTGCAACCTCCACTTCCCAGGTTCAAGTGATTCTCCTGCCTCAGCCTCCTGAGTAGCTGGGTTTACAGGTGCATACGATCATGCCTGACTAATTTTTGTGTTTTTGGTAGAGACGGGGTTTCACCATGTTGGCCAGGCTGGTTTTGAACTGCTGACCTCAGGTGATCCACCCACTTTGGCCTATCCAAGTACTGGGATTATAGGCCTGAGCCACAGCAGCTGGCCCGCATCATATTTTATCATTTAAATAATATTTAATTAAATCATACACATACGTACACACATGTAGTAGCAAGTACAAGTGGGAATAACAGGTTTAGGTACAACACAACTATTGCTAACCACCCATCTCCACTATTGAGAGCAGAAGTAGTGTTCTCTAGAAACAGGCCTTCTAGGGTGCTGAGGTCATCATAAGATGCTTAAACTGAGCTTGTATGTTTCAGAATTAGCTGATATTTTTTAAATGGTCTCTTATTAAGTAAATAACTATCAAATTTCATAAGATATGAATTTGAGGACTGAAACTGTATTAGTCAGAACGGCTTTGGTTTCTAATAACAGAAACTCAAATCAGCTTATGCATACAAGGGACTCTTTTGAATTAGAGAACTGAGAAGTTTAGGAGCTGACTTGGCTTCAGGGTTCCCTTTCAGTCTGTTTCTCTCATCTTCACTGCTTCTCACAGCATATTTAGTCTCATGCTGTCATGTTTAGACTTTCTCTGTGTAACTGCGGAAGATGCCTGGTGTCAGCTCCAGTACATAAGCACGTAGTGGGTTACAGGGAAGTGGCTCTCTTCCAGCAGCTTTCTATCATGTCTCTGGAAGCGTCTGATAGGTCTTGGTTTGGGTTATGTGTCCATCTTTGAACCTATCACCACATCAGATGAGGCAGCCTGGATCTCATATCCGCTAATGTGTGGGCAGAACACAATCCCGTCAGGACCTCATGGAATGGAAGAAAGATAAGGTTTTTTTTTCTTTTTCTTTTTCTTTTTTTTTTTTTGAGATGGAGTCTCACTCTGTTGCCTAGGCTGGAGTGCAGTGGTGCGATCTTGGCTCACTGCAATCTCTGCCTCCCGGGTTCACGCCATTCTCCTGCCTCAGCCTCCAGAGTAGCTGGGACTACAGGCGCCTGGCACCACGCCTGGCTAATTTTTTTGTATTTTTAGTAGAGACGAGGTTTCACCGTGTTAGCCAGGATGGTCTTGATCTCCTGACCTCGTGATGCACCCACTTGACCTCCCAAAGTGCTGGGATTACAGGCATGAGCCACTGCGCTGGGCTGAAGAAGGGTGAGTTATAAATGAAAAGCTGCATGTGTGCTCTAATAGAAGCTAGACATGCAAAAACCACAGATGCCTCCAGCATAGACCATGCTTTTGTTACCATAATAGCAGGTATTCAGTCTAAGTCCTGCTCCTCATAGCACAGAAAACCAATCACTGAGACAATGAGTATTGCCAAGGAAGAAAGCTTTAATTGGGTGCTGCAGCTGAAGACATGGGAACTAGTCTCAAATTCATCTCCTGACTGACTATAATTAGGGGTTAATCTAGCAGGGAAGAAATGTAACTATGCATGGGAAAACAGGAACTCAACTTGAGAGGGGTAAGGAAGCAATCATGATGAATGAAGGGCCTGGTGTCTCATTGTCTGGATGCAACGATCTGGTGAGTTTCAGTTCTTTTTCTTCAGGTACTTTTTGAGAGGCTTTTGAGGGTCCTTTCCTGAGGAAGGAACTCAGATAATACAAATGTAAGGTTCAAGCTTAAGACCAGAACTGTCTATGGGACTATTGAGTTGGTTTCACCTTAGCTATTCTTTAATTCCCTCCTAAGACCAAGCCCATGGAAGCAGCTTGCCCTTAAATATTGAATGGCTCAACTGCTAGTAGCACTTTATTCTTCCAAACATTTTCACAGACTGATAAGGTTTGGATGTTTTGTCTCTTCCAAATCTTATGATGAAATGTGATCCCCACTGTTGGAGGTGGGCTAGTGTGAGGTGTTTGGGTCATGGGGGCAGATTCCTCATAAATGGGTTAGTGCTGTCCTCACAATAATAAGGGAGTTCTCGCTCTGAGAGCTCTTGAGAGCTCTGGTTGTTTAAAAAAGTGTGGCACCTCCTCCACCTCCACCACTCACTCTCACCATGTGACATGTCTGCTCCTGTTTTGCCTTCTGCTATGAGTAAAAGCTCCCTAAGGCCTCACTAGAAGCCAAGCAGATGCTGGTGCCATGTTTCCTATACAGCCTGCAGAACGGTGAGCCAATTAAACCTCTTCTTTTTCCTCTCTCCTTTTTTTTTGAGACGGAGTTTCACTCTTGTCGCCCAGGCTGGAGTGCAATGGTGCAATCTCAGCTCACTGCAACCTCCGCCTCCCAGGTTCAAGCGATTCACCCGCCTCAGCCTCCCAAGTAGCTGGGATTACAGGTGCCCGCCATCACGCCCAGCTAATTTTTGTATTTGTAGTAGAAATGGGGTTTCACCATTTTGGCCAGGCTGGTCTTGAACTCCTGACCTCAGGTGATCCGCCCACCTCGGCCTCCCAAAGTGCTGGGATTACAGGCGTGAGCCACTGTGGCCGGCCACCTCTTTTCTTTGCGAATTACCCAGTCTTTTTCCAGCGGTGACGACCTACCCAGGAGAACATGCCTCTCACAAAGGATCTCCTTCATCCCTCTCCAGAATAGGGGAAGAGGAAACACAAGAAGCAGTGCCTGATGCAGAGCCCCAATTCCTACTTCATGGGTGTAAATGCCCAGGATGGTACAAAATCATCACAGTCTTTAGCCATGCACTAACAGAAATTTTGTGTGTTGGCTGCTCCACTGTCCTCTGCCAGCCTACAGAAAGAAAAGCAAGGCTTACAGAAGGATGTTCCTTCAGGAGGAAGCAGCATTAAAAAGCACTCCGAATCAAGATGAGTGGGAAATCATCTCAATAAACACTTTTTTTTTTTTGAGACTGAGTTTCACTCTTGTCGCCCAGGCTGCAGTGCAGTGGTGTGAGCTTGGCTCACTGCGACCTCCGCCTACCAGGTTCAAGCAATTCTCCTGCCTCAGCCTCCTGAGTATCTGGGATTACAGGCATGCGCCACTATGCCCGGCTTATTTTGGGGTTTCATCATGTTGGCCAGGCTGATCTTGAACTCCTGACCTCAGGTGATCTGCTCACCTCGACATTCTAAAGTGCTGAGGTTACAGGCATGAGCCACTGTGCCTGGCCTCAATAAACACATTTTGGATAAAAAATAAATAAATTACCCAGTCTCTGATATTTCTTTATAGCAATGCAAATGGACTAACACAGAGACATTATTGTGAGTGGTAAAGGCAGATTAAATGTCTTGCTTAGAATTACACAGCTGCTACTTGACTTCAAATTATACTATGAGACTACAGTAACCAAAACAGCATGGTACTGGTACCAAAACAGATACATAGACCAATGGAACAGAACAGAGGTCTCAGAAATAACACCACACATCTACAACCATCTGATCTTTGACAAACCTGACAAAAACAAGCAATGAGAAAAGGATTCCCTATTTAATAAATGGTGCTGGGAAAACTGGCTAGCCATATGGAGAAAACTGAAACTATACCCCTTCCTTATAGCTTATACAAAAACTAAGTCAAGATGGATTAAAGACTGAAACATAAGACCTAAAACCGTAAAAACCCTAGAAGAAAACCTAGGCAATACCATTCAGGACATAGGCATGGGCAAAGAGTTCATGACTAAAACACCAAAAACAATTGCAACAAAAGCCAAAATTGAGAAATGGGATCTAATCAAACTAAAGCGCTTCTGCACAGCAAAAGAAACTATCATCAGAGTGAACAGGCAATCTACAGAATGGGAGAAAATGTTTGCAATCTATCCATCTGACAAGGTCTAATATCCAGAATCTACAAGGAACTTAAACAAATTTACAAGAAAAAAACAAAGAACCCCATCAAAAAGTGGGCAAAGGATATGCACAGACACCTCTCAAAAGAAGACATTTATGCAGTCAACAAACATATGAAAAAAAGCTCATCATCACTGGTCATTAGAGAAATGCAAATCAAAACCACAATAAGATACCATCTCATGGCACATGTATACCCGTTAGAATGGTAATCATTAAAAAGTCAGGAAACAACAGATGCTGGAGAGGATGTGGAGAGAAATAGGAATGCTTTCACCCTGTTGGTATGAGTGTAAACTAGTTCAACCATTGTGGAAGATAGTGTGGCGATTCCTTAAGGATCTAGAACCAGAAATACCATTTGACCCAGCAATCCTGTTACTGGGTATACACCCAAAGGATTATAAATCATTCTATAAAGACACATGCACATGCATGTTTATTGCAGCACTATTCACTATAGCAAAGACTTAGAACCAACCCGAATTCCCATCAATGATAGACTGGATAAAGAAAATGTGGCACATATACACCATGGAATACTATGCAGCCATAAAAAAGAATGATTCACGTTGTTTGCAGGGACATGGATGAAGCTGGAAACCAACGTTCTCAGCAAACTAACACGGGAACAGAAAACCAAACACTGCATATTCTCGCTCATAAGTGGGAGTTGAACAATGAGAATACATGGACACAGGGAGGGGAACGTCACATACCAGGGCCTGTAGGGGGGTGGGGGAGAAGGGGAGGGAGAACATTAGGACAAATACCTAATGCATGCGGGTCTTAAAACCTAGATGACGGGTTGATGGGTGCAGCAAACCACCATGGCACATGTATACCTATGTAACAAACCTGCATGCTCTGCACATGTATCCCAGAACTTAAAGTATAATTTAAAAAAACTACGCAGCTGATTTCTGACAGAGCTGAGTTCATAACTGGATTTCCTTTGGATGTTTCCCTCTTTTCTTCTCTTGTGTTGCCAGAACTGATATCAAAGGGAAGGAATACAAGAGAAATATTCAATTTCACTACTTCTTTGATAGTTTGATATGTTGTCCCTAGAAGGCCATGATAATGATATGTTGTCTCTAACTTTCAGGCTAATTATAGGTACAGATAATGGGTGGTTATTTGGACTATTTTAAAAAATAGAGACAGGTTCTCACTATGTTGCCCAGGCTGGTCTCGAACTCCATGGCTCAAGTGATCCTCCCGCCTTGGCTTCCCAAAGTGCTGGGATTACAGGTGTGAGCCACCACACCCAAACTTTTTTTTTTTAATAGGTTCTCACTTTGTCACCCAGGCTGGGGTGCTGTGGTGTGATCATGGCTCACTGCAGCCTCAACCTCTTGAGCTCAAGCAATCTTCCCACCTCAGCCTACCAAGTAGTTGGGACTACAGGTGCTTGCCACCACACCCGGCTAATTTTAAAACTTTTTTCGTGGAGATAAGGTCTTGTGCTGCCCAGCTTGATCCTGGATTCCTGGGTTCCAGTGATCCTCCCACCTCGGCCTCCCCCAGTGTGGAGATTACAGGCATGAGCCATTGTACCCAGTCTATTTGTCCGATTGATTTATTGAGTTGTGGAGTTTGCTGAAGGAAACCGCACCTATGTTTTTGTTTCTAAGGCTAATATTTTCCCTTATGTTTGACAATACATTGATGTGCTAAGACTCTGCAGTGAAAATAGTTTTTTTTTTTTTTTTTTTTTGAGACAGAGTTTTGCTTTTGTTGCCCAGGCTGGAGTGCAATGGTGCGATCTCGGCTCACCGCAACCTCCGCCTCCCGGGTCCAAGCCATTCTCCTGCCTCAGCCTCCCGAGTAGCTGAAATTACAGACATGCGCCACCACGCCCAGCTAATTTTGTATTTTTAGTAGAGACGGGGTTTCTCCATGTTGGTCGGGCTGATCTTGAACTCCCGACCTCAGGTGATCTGCCCACCTCAGACTCCCAAAGTGCTGAGATTACAGGTGTAAGCCACCATGCCCGGCCTGAAGATAGTTTCTTAAAGGCAGTGTGGTATATTGGACATAATGTAAGATATACAGTCAAACTGTGTTTGAATCTCAGGTCAATTACTTGTATCCTTGGGTAAGTCAGGTAAGCTCCATGAGCCTCTGTGTCCTATTAAAAAAAGGGTGATATCACCATCTAGCTACTATACATACTTCACAGGATTGTGGTGAATATAAAATGAGGTAATTGTAGGGAAAGCTTTCCGTTGGCCCTCTGAAGATTTGTTGAACAATAACTCATAGCCAGGCGTGGTGGCTCACACTTGTAATCCCAGCACTTTGGGAGGCCAAGGTGGGAGGATCACCTGAGGTCAGGAGTTTGAGACCAGCCTGGCCAACATAGTTAAACTCCTACAAAAATTAGCCAAGTGTGGTGGCACACACCTGTAGTCCCAGCCACTTGGGAGGCTGAAGCGGGAGGATTTATTGAACCCAGGAGGTGGAGGTTGCAGTGAGCTGAGATGGCGCCTCTGCCTAGGTGACAGAAAGAAAAGGAAAAAAAGAAAACTCATAAAAGGAGATTAATTGGAGAAAAGGCATATACATGTATTAATGTGCACATAGATTGATTACTTCCAAGCTCCCAATAGGGTGTGGAAGTTTATGTATCATCTTGAGGTTCCGTAAAGAATGGGGTTTGGATAGTGGCAAAACAGGTTATGGGAGAGGGAGAAGAGGAGGCCTGGCGAAACCTCACAGGTAGCAACCTTCACGGAGAATAGATGGTGAAGGTTTTTTTCAGATCTTTAAAACTGTCGGACTCTCAGTTAACTTGTTTTAGGTCAGAGAAGGGAAGGCCGTCAGAGAAAACCTAACTGTACTGATGTAGACTTTATTTTTATAGATGTAAATCTCCTCCACAACAAACAACCTTTCAGCTATTCTATTTCTAGCCCTTTTGAATAGACATGTTGAACTATGTCAAGGAAATAAATATGTTTTGGGGTGAAACATCTTGGTTTCCTTCATAATGTTTGTAAAAATACATTTGTAAAGTGTTTCGAAGGGCTCCATGAAATTTGCAAACTATAAGTTTTAAATAACTATGAGATTTTTTTTTTTTTCATTTTAAGACAGGGTCTCACTCTGTCACCCAGGCTGTAGTGCAGTGTCATGATCATAGCTACCTGTAACCCCAAACTCCTGGGCTCAGGGGATCCTCCTACCTCAGCCTTTTGAGTAGCTAGGACTACAGGCATGCACCACTACACTTGGCTAAATTTTTTATTTTTATTTTTCATAGAGACTGGTTCTTGCTATGTTGCCTAGGCTGGTCTCAAACTTTTGGGCTCAAGAGATCCTCTGGCCTATGCCTCTCAAAATTCTGGCATTACAGGCGTGAGCTATCATGCTCAGTCACTATGATTTATTTCAAGAATGAGTATTAATTCAGGCATATTCTACTATGTATGACCAATTATGTGGTTTTTACTGCTGTTCACAGATGAGATAGCCGGTTTTCCTTCCCTTCCCTTCACATGGAAGACTGTGGCTGGGTGGGCCATCTGTCTAGTTCTGGCAATTTTTTGTGAATGGAAGTGATTTGCATCACATCTGAGTCAAAGCACTGAGTTTCCAGTGTGAGACCCTCCAGAGCTTTCTTCTCCTTTCAGATATAGATATATGTGTGTGTGTGTATATATATATGTGTGTGTGTGTGTATATATGTGTATATATGTATATGTATATATGTGTATATATGTTTATGTATATATGTATATTAGATGTGTGTGTGTGTGTGTGTGTGTGTGTGTGTGTGTATGCCTGGTAATATTTGAAATGTTTTCTCTAACAACCTGGGTCCAAGAGTGACAAAAATTATGAAGCAGATACCCTAGCCAACTCTCTCTGGACATGGCCATGAGAAAGAAAGAAAGTTTTGTTGTTCTAAGACATCAAGATTTGTTGTTCTAAGACGTCAAGATTTGTTGTTCTAAGACATCAAGATTTGTTCCCTCAGCATAACCTAGCCTATCCTAATGAAACCACTGTGATTAGCTTGGCCATTTTGGACATGGATGTTTTGGTCTATGTCAGTGAAGGTATATGGAAATGTCTGTTTAGTAAAAGAGACATAAGAAGATAATCTTGGCAAGTAATAGTCTTATGACTTCCTGCGTGTTTTTCCTTAAGCAAAAGAATGTCATAGGTCAGGTGTAGTAGCTTACACCTGTAATCCCAGCACTTTGGGAACCGGGGAGGTGGAGCTTGCAGTGAGCCGAGATCATGCCACTGCCCTCCAGCCTGGGCGACAGAGCAAGACTCCGTCTCAAAAATAAAATAAAATAAAAGGACACATAAGTGGCAGATGAGTGGCAGAGATAAGGCCACTCTCTCTTCTTTTTTTTTTTTTTTGAGATGGAGTCTCGCTCTGTCACCCAGGCGTGATCTCGGCTCACTGCAACCTCCGCCTCCCGGGTTCAAACAATTCTCCTGCCTCAGCCTCTGGAGTAACTGGAATTACAGGCGCCCACCACTACGCCCAGCTAATTTTTGTACTTTTAGTAGAGACGGGATTTCACCATGTTGGCCAGGCTGGTCCCGAACTCCTGACCTCAGGTGCTCCGCCCGCCTCGGCCTCCCAAAGTGCTGGGATTACAGGCGTGAGCCACCGCACCCGGCACACTCTCTGTTCTAAGTGGAACTGCTCACCTGGCTGCCCATCTGTCCCTCCCACTCTAGTCTCTGTGACTTGCCTTTTGAGCACACTAATTCCTCTACCTGGAACATTCTCTTCCCAACTTTGCATCTGGAGGTTCATATTCTAAAATATTGCCAGTGCTTCAAGACTGAGCTGAGATACTATCTCTTTCATTTATTATTATTTTTTAAAAGCTCCTTAAGGCCGGGCGCGGTGGCTCACACCTGTAATCCCAGCATTTTGGGAGGCCGAGGCAGGCAGATCACCTGAGGTCAGGAGTTTGAGACCAGCCTGGCCAACACAGTAAAACCCCGTCTCTACTAAAAATACAAAAACTAGTCTGGTGTGGTGGCACACGTCTGTTATCCCAGCTACTCAGGAGGCTGAGGCAGGAGAATGGCTCAGACCCAGGAGGCGGATGTTGCAGTGAACCCGATATCACGCCATTGCACTCCAGCCTGGGCAACAGAGCAAGACTCCATCTCAAAAAAAAAAAAAAAAACTAGGCTGGGCGCGGTGGCTCACGCCTGTAATCCCAGCACTTTGGGAGGCCGAGGTGGGTGGATCACGAGGTCAGGAGATCGAGACCATCCTGGCTAACATGGTGAAACCCATCTCTACTAAAAATACAAAAAATTAGCTGGGCGTGGTGGCATGTGCCTGTAGTCCCAGCTACTAGGGAGGCTGAGGCAGGAGACTCACTTGAACCCAGGAGGCAGAGGTCACAGTGAGCCGAGATCACGCCACTGCACTCCAGCCTGGGTGACAGAGCAAGACTCCATCTCAAAAAAAAAAAAAAAAAAAACTCCTTTAATTTCTCTTCTTCTCTAAGAAGTGGCTTCCCCCTATGCTGTATATACTTCAAAAACAATTTAAATCAGCCAGGTGTGGTGGCTCATGCCTGTAGTCCCAGCACTTTAGGAGGCTGAGGCTGGCAGTTCACCTGAGGTCAGGAGTTCAAGACCAGCCTGGCCAACATGGCAAAACCCCGTCTCTACTAAAAGTACAAAAAAATTAGCCGGGCATGGCCTGTAATCCCAGCTACTCGGGAGGCTGAGGCAGAAGAATTGCTTGAACCCGGGAGGCGGAGGTTGCAATGAACCAAGATTGCGCCACTCTACTCCAGCCTGGGCCACAGAGCGGGACTTCTGTCTTTAAAAATAATAATAATAATAATAACAATTTAAATATTTTGACCCCCTGAAGTTAAATCACTTTCTAACTTGTATTACTTCAATCGTGTGTGGGTCCCTCCACCTAGGTTTTATTCTCTCTGAGGGTGCCCCTCCATCTGATTCCTCTGCCCCTCCTTCTGGGACTTTGCACTTCTGTTACTTTAGCTAAGTAAATGAATAGTATTCAATGCTTCAGTACTATCCCTAAGTACTTAAGAGTTGAATTATGCTGCTAATGATATTAATGAGAAACTCACTTGCTTTCTGTGTTTATTTCTTCAAACGTGTTCCTTATAGTAGCAGTTTAACAAGGAAGTTTTCTTTACTCCTTTCCCCTAGACAAAGGGAAAAAATAACAGGAAACCAACCCACAGAAAACAATGAAGATGAATATCAAATATTTGTTCCTTTCTATATAAGAGGAGTTAGGCACAAAATTAGGTCATCATACTAACACTTGAAAGAATCAGAGTTTCTTTGAGTTTTAAGAATTTCCAGGAGAGAAATTTGGCTGTTTTTATTGAAGTGGAGTTGAAACATAGCTGCTTAACAGAAATTAGTAGATATTATTCCAAATATCCACAAGCGTCATCTAGAAGCTGCTTTCAAACTTATGATCCAGGAACTTGGTCTGATGCTGCAGGCAGTTAAGTTGCTTTCTTGTTGTGCTTACATAGACATTGTACACTGTAAAAAAATAAATAGAAGATGCCACTTATTAAGTACCGTCTATGTGTCACAAACACAGATGTTTTATACAGTTGTCACTGCAATATCTTAAATATTATCTTCATTTCATAGACAGGGAAACTAAGTTTCATAGATGTTTAAAACGTGCCCCAGGCCCGGTGCAGTGGCTCATGTCTTAATCCCAGCACTTTGGGAGGCTGAGGCAGGCAGATCATGAGGTCAGGAGTTCGAGACCAGCCTGGCCAACATGGTGAAACCCTGTCTCCACTAAAAATACAAAAATTAGACAGGCGTAGGGGCACATGCCTGTAATGCCAGCTACTCAGGAGGCTGAGGCAGGACAATCACTTGAACCTGGGAGGCGGCGGTTGCAGTAAGCCGAGACTGCGCCAGTGCACTCCAGCCTGGGCGACAGAGCAAGACTCCATCTCAAACTGGGAAAAAAAAAATAAAGTGCCCCAAAGTATACAGCTAGCAAAAAATCAGGATTCAAAAACCCATGTCTTTCTGACCCCCACACCCATGCCATCATAGACTTATTTATTTAGGTACCTGCCTCCTATGCCGAACTGTGAGGTCCTTATGTCCACATCACTTACCCTAGTGCTTGGTGCATGAGTATCGAATACTATTGAATACCTTCCAGCTTCCCTTACCCCTTTCATCTTACCTCACTAAATCCTTTTTTTTTTTTTGAGACAGAGTCTCACTCTTATCGCCCAGGCTGAAGTGCAGTGGTGCAATCTTGGCTCACTACAACCTCTGCTACCTGGGTTCAAGCAGTTCTTCTGCCTCAGCCTTCCAAATAACTGAGATTACAGGCGCCTGCCACCACGCCTGGCTAATTTTGTAGTTTTAGTAGAGATGAGGCTTCACCATCTTGGCCAGGCTGGTCTTGAACTCCTGACCTCGTGATCCACCCGCCTTGGCCTCCCAAAGTGCTGGGATTACAGACGTAAGCCACCTTGCCCAGCTACCTCACTAAATCTTACCTCACCAAATTTTATGTTTGTATTCACTCTGTACTTCCATTTATGTGAGACAATACATTGCCTTATTATTTAAACTACTTTAAACTTGTTTTTTGTAGCATTGAGCTGAAATCATCCTGATATAGGAAGCATAGGCAGCTACTAAATATCCATCGAATAATATTTATTTTGTGCCAGGAATAAGGCCATTTTACATACAACCCTTGCAAGGTGGGTATTACCATCACTTCCATTTAATTTTCATTTAAAAACTTTTTTATTGGGGGTCTCATTATATTGCTCAGGCTGGAGTGCAGTGGCTATTCACAGGCACTATACCACTACTGATGATTGGCACAGGACATACCACTACTGATGACTGGCACAGGATATACCACTACTGATTAGCATGGGAGTTTTCAGCTGGTCCGTTTCCAACCTGGGCCAGTTCACCCCTCCTTAGGCAACCTAGTGGTCCCCACTCCCAGAACATCACCATATTGATGCAGAACTTAGTGAGGACACCCAATCAGCCTAGGCTCAAGCGATCCTCCTGCCTCACTCAGCCTTCCTAGTAGATGGGACTACCGGTACCCCCACATAGGCACCACTGGGCCTGGCATCACCTCCACTTTATAAATAAGGAAATTAAGCCTCAGAAGTTTAAGTTATTTATTTAAAGTGTCATAGAGCTGGTAAATACTGAATTTGGGAATCAAAGTAGAATCTTTTGATACCCTGGCTCCCTTACCCACTATACTGATGAAGGGAAGAAGGTGAAGGTGCTCACTCTGTGCTGTGATGCTTTTTTTTTTTTTTTTTTTTTTTTGAGGCAGGGTCTCACTCTGTTGCCCAGGCTCTGGAGTGCAGTGGCACCATCATGGCTTACCACAGCCTTGACCTCCCCAGGCTCAGGTTATCCTCCCACCTCAGCAGCCCTCTTGAGTAGCTGGGACCACAGGCACCCACCACCATGCCTGGCTAATTTTTTTGTAGAGACCGGGTTTTGCCACATTGCCCGGGTTGGTCTCCAACTCCTGGACTCAAGCAGTCTGCCCACTTTGGCCTCCCAAAGAGAAATTAAAGGAGTTTTTTTTTGTTTTTTTATGTGTTTTGTTGTTGTTGTTGTTGTTTTGAGAAGGAGTCTTGCTCTGTCACCCAGGCTGGAGTGCAGTGGCGTGATCTCGGCTCACTGTGACCTCTGCCTCCTGGGTTCAAGTGATTCTCCTGCCTCAGCCTCCCTAGTAGCTGGGACTATAGGTGCATGCCACCACGCCCAGCTAATTTTTTGTATTTTTAGTAGAGATGGGGTTTCACCATGTTAGCCAGGATGGTCTCGATCTCCTGACCTCCTGATCTGCCCACCTCGGTCTCCCAAAGTGCTGGGATTACAGGCATAAGCCACCAGGCCTGGCCCAGTTTTTTTGTTTGTTTGTTTGTTTTTGAGATGGAGTCTTGCTCTGTTGCCCAGGCTGGAGTGCAATGGCGTGATATCGGGTTCACTGCAACATCCGCCTCCTGGGTCTGAGCCATTCTCCTGCCTCACAGCCTCCTGAGTAGCTGGGATAACAGACGTGTGCCACCACACCAGACTAGTTTTTGTATTTTTAGTAGAGACGGGGTTTTACTGTGTTGGCCAGGCTGGTCTCAAACTCCTGACCTCAGGTGATCTGCCTGCCTCGGCCTCCCAAAATGCTGGGATTACAGGTGTGAACCACCGCGCCCGGCCTTAAGGAGCTTTTAAAAAATAATAATAAATGAAAGAGATAGTATCTCAGCTCAGTCTTGAAGCACTGGCAATATTTTAGAATATGAACCTCCAGATGCAAAGTTGGGAAGAGAATGTTCCAGGTAGAGGAATTAGTGTGCTCAAAAGGCAAGTCACAGAGACTAGAGTGGGAGGGACAGATGGGCAGCCAGGTGAGCAGTTCCACTTAGAACAGAGAGTGTGCCGGGTGCGGTGGCTCACGCCTGTAATCCCAGCACTTTGGGAGGCCGAGGCGGGCGGAGCACCTGAGGTCAGGAGTTCGGGACCAGCCTGGCCAACATGGTGAAATCCCGTCTCTACTAAAAGTACAAAAATTAGCTGGGCGTAGTGGTGGGCGCCTGTAATTCCAGTTACTCCAGAGGCTGAGGCAGGAGAATTGTTTGAACCCGGGAGGCGGAGGTTGCAGTGAGCCGAGATCGCGCCTGGGTGACAGAGCGACTCCATCTCAAAAAAAAAAAAAAAAAAAAAAAGAAGAGAGAGTGGCCTTATCTCTGCCACTCATCTGCCACTTATGTGTCCTTTTATTTTATTTATTTATTTTTTTTAGATGGAGTTTCGCTCTGTCACCCAGGCTGGAGGGCAGTGGCATGATCTCGGCTCACTGCAAGCTCCACCTCCCAGGTTCACACCATTCTCCTGCCTCAGCGTCCCGAGGAGCTGGGACTACAGGCGCTTGCCACCATGCCCGGCTAATTTTTTTGTATTTTTAGTAGAGACGGGGTTTCACCGTGTTAGCCAGGATGGTCTTGATCTCATGACCTCGAGATCTCTCCGCCTTGGCATCCCAAAGTGCTGAGATTACCAGGCGTGAGCCACCACACCCGGCCTTTTCATTTTATTTTTAATTTTTATGAGTGTATGCCTCATCTTCTAGACGAGTGGTCCCCAACCTTTTTGGCCTAGGAATCGGTTTCGTGGAAGATAATTCTTCCATGGATCAGGGCAGAGGGGGATGGTTTCAGGATGATTCCAGTGCATTACATTTATTGTGCACTTTATTCGTATTATTATTACATTTTTATATTTAGTGAAATAATTATTTAATTCACGATAATATAGAATCAGTGAGAGCCCTGAGCTTATTTTCCTACAACTAGATGGTCCCAAATGGGGGTGATGGGAGAAAGTGACATATCATCAGGCATTAGATTATCAGAAGAAGCTGCAACCTAGATCCTTTGCATCCCCAGTTCACCATAGGGTTCATGATTCTATGAGAATCTAATGCTGCTGCTGATCTCTAACACACTCGCCAGCCACTTACATCCTGCTGTATAGCCCGGTTCCTGAATTAGCTATTTCCACTGTGCCAGTCCATGGCAGGAGGTGAGAGGCTCGATTCCTAAGAGGCCATGGTCCGTGGCCTGGGAGTTGGGGACCCCTGTCCTAGACTATGTGAAGGAAGAGTGCTGTACAAAAACATATGCTTTAAGCCCGTTGTGATGGCTCACACCTGTAATCCCAGTGCTTTGGGAGACTGAGGAGAGAGGACTGCTTGAGCCCAGGAGTTTGAGACCAGCCTGGGCAACTTAGGGAGACCTCATCTCTACAAAACATTTTAAAACTTAGCTGGACATGGTGAGATGGGAGGATTGCTTGAGCTTAGGATTTCAAGGTTGCAGTGAGCTATGATTGCGGCACTGCGCTCCAGCCTGGGCAACTGAGCAAGACTCTGTCTTAAAAAACAAAAAAACAAAAAGTATGCTTTGATTTCTTCCTGTATCATCTACTGTCCTTAGTAAATAAAAAAGTAACACATCTATTATGGAGGGGAGGGCATTGGTTGACTCATTAAAGGCAAAATAGAAAGAACATATATCACAAGAAGGAAAATTATGTCATGAAAAGTCAATATTTTAATGATTTAGAGTCTGTTCCAACTTCTTTTACTCACACTTACAATTTTTTTTTTGAGACAGTCTCACTCTGTTGCCCAGGCTGGAGTGCAGGGGTGCGATCTCGGCTCACTGCAGCCTCCGCCTCCTGGGCTCAAGCGATTCTCCTGCCTCAGCCTCCTGAGTAGCTGGGACTACAGGCACGCGCCACCACGCCTGGCTAATTTTTGTATTTTTAGTAGAGACGGGGTTTCACCATGTTAGCCAGGATGGTC
This sequence comes from Homo sapiens, assembly GCF_000001405.40. NCBI lineage: Eukaryota > Metazoa > Chordata > Mammalia > Primates > Hominidae > Homo > Homo sapiens. The sequence goes on from NC_000005.10 coordinate 69,482,528, forward strand.
TCAATCTCCTGACCTCGTGATCCACCTGCCTCGGCCTCCCAAAGTGCTGGGATTACAGGCGTGAGCCACCATGCCCGGCCTACACTTAAAAATTTTTAAAAATTCCCCTGATAGTATTAAATAGTATTGATGTTAATAGTTGATAGTATTGGAAAATAACCATAATGCAACAACCAATGCAATGATGGATCAGCAATGGACACTGAAAGCTTTCATTGGATGAAAGGTTGTTGGGGAATAAGAGAGTCACACAGAATCAAAGCACGGCTCCATGGAATACTTACAAATTACAAAGAGAAAAGAGAGATCTGGAGAGTACACCCTGAACCAAGCATTCAAACTTATCATCACCCATCCTGGGACAATTTGATAGTGATAGCCTCCTGATGTAATGCTCTATGAGGTCCACAACATCACCTGTGTAGTATTTTTGCCAAAATGTTTCCTTTAAATCTAATAATGAGGAAGGAAAATACAAATCCTGGTTGTGAGACATGCAACAGGACAACTGGACCAGATTCTTTAAAAATGGCAGTGTCATGAAAGACAAAAATGGCAATGGAACTGTTCAAGATTTAAGGAGACTTACATTTTGGGAGGTTGAGGTGGGCAGATCACTTGACGTCAGGAGTTTGGGACTAGCCATGAGGTCAGGCCAACATGGTAAAACCCTGTCTCTACTAAAAATACAAAAATTAGCCGGACCTGGTGGCAGGTGCCTGTAGTCCCAGCTCCTCAGGGGGCTGAGGTGCAAGAATTGCTTGAACCGGGGAGACAGAGGTTGCAGTGAGCTGAGATTGTGCCACTGCATCCCAGCCTGGGCGACAGAGCAAGACCCAGTCTCAAAAAAAGAAAAAACAAAGGCATGATGGTGAGATGTGAGGATGATCCTTGATTGGTTCCTGGATTTTAAAAAAGAACACATATATATATGTATAGAAGATATAGAAGATATTTTTGGAACAATTAGAACAATGTAAATATAATCTATATTAATGTTTGCTTGGAGATGTGTTCATGATATGGTAGTTGTACAGAAGTATGTCTTGATTCTTAGGAGATACATGCTGAAGTATTTAGGGTAAGGTATTATTATACCTAAAAGTTAATTTTAGAAAGCTGAACAAAAAAGTATAAATGTTAGAGTATAAATGGTTGGGCAAAAAAAGTATACCATGGGCCAGGAGCGGTGGCTCACGCCTGTAATCCCAGCACTTTGTGAGGCCGAGGTGGGTAGATTGCTTGAGCCCAGGAGTTCAAGACCAGCTTGGGCAACATGGCAAAACCCTGTCTCTACCAAAAATACAAAAATTAGCCAATATCATAACCCGGTCTCAAAATAAATAATAAAAATGTAAAAAATAAAACATACTATGTATACTTTTTATGTATATGTGTGAGAGAAAAAACAAATGTGGGCAGTGTTAACGATTGGTGAATTTAGGTGAAGGATATAATTCATTGTACTATTTCTCAACTTTTGTTTGTTTGTTTGTTTCTTTTTGAGACATTGTCTTGCTCTGTTGCCCAGGCAGGAGTGCAGTGGCACAATTGCAGCTCACTGCTGCCTCTGTCTCGGGCGATCAAGCGATCCTCCCACCTCAGTTTTTGAGTAGCTGGGACTATAGGGATGTGACACCAGGCCCAGCTAATTTTTAAACTTCTTGTAGAGACGGGGTCTCCCTATATTGCCCAGGCTGATCTCAAATTTCTTGGCTCAAGCAATCTTCCCGTCTCGGCCTCCCAAAGTGTTGGGATTACAGGTGTGAGCCACCATGCCCAGTCAACATTTCTATGGGTTTGAAATTTTCAACACAGTATAAGTTAGGGAAAAAATTAAAATATGGCCAGGCATGATGGCTCATGCCTGTAATCCCAGCACTTTGGGAGGCTGAGGCAGGTAGGTCATTTGAGGTCAGGAGTTTGAGACCAGCCTGGCCAACATGGTGAAACCCCATCTCTACTAAAAATACAAAAAATTAGCCAGGTGTGGTGGCTGGCATTTGTAATCCCAGCTACTAGGGAGGCTGAGGCAGGAGAATCGCTTGAACCTGGGAGGTGGAGGTTGCAGTGAGCCGAGATTGTGCCACTGCACTCCAGTCTGGGCAACAGAGTGAGACCTTGTCTCAAAAATAAATAAATAAAATAAAATAAAATGTTTTTTTTCCTAATTGTTGGAAATAATAGATGCCTATTCATTGAGAAATTTTAGAAAATACAGAAAAAGCGTTTTAAAACATCATGCGATTATGGTAGAGCTTCTCCTACCATGTCTCATTC